>NC_000020.11:60632883-61249763 GCF_000001405.40 Homo sapiens | reverse complement strand
TTGGAGCTTTTGCAAGTGGGGCCTGGAAGCTGACCTTGTAACAATCTCTCCAGTCCATGCTCATGCCACTAGCATTTGAGAATCACGGCCTGTCCCACAGACAGTATGTCCCACGTAACAGAGCAGCAGCTGGAAGCATCAGAAAAATGCTCTCTCCTATGCCCCACCCTGGATTTCCAGAACCTGGACCTCCAGGGGTGGAGCCTGGGCCTCTGCCTGGGGTAGCTGGAGAAACCCTGGCACAGTGTTTGGCACATTGGCCAGTGGGACTGTGGCCTGCCTTTGGTCCACCCAGTGCAGGGAAGACCACAGCTGGCCTGGAGGAGGAGCTAGTCTCTCTGCACTTTGGATAAAGAGCCCTAGAAAAATGTGTGCGTTTGTTTCTAAGAGAGATTAAGAGAATGCATTTGGGAGGTAGTGTATAAGTGACTGTTTGCTCTCAACACCTGTAAACTGTTGACAGTAATTGGACTACAGATGTTTGCTAAGCTTGATAGACTTCTCTGTCTCCCTCTCGATGAGGTGAGTCTGGGAAGGGGTTCCTCTTTAGAAGCAAAAACCAAGTGCTTGTATCAGGGCCACATTTCCCTATATTCGTTGGATGTTAATTTGTTTCCTTCCCTATTGATAGTTATTATTGTAGACACTTCAATGTTCGACAAAAAGGCTGTTTTGTACAGAAAGCAGTGAGATGTTGGCAAAAGGTGTGTTCGTAGAATAAAACATTGTCTTTGTGGGCGATTGAAGATATTCAAGGCACTGTAGAAATGAATGGAATCAGCCTGCTACCCAGCTCAAGAAAACTCCCTGCATGCAATAGAGAAGAGCGATCTTAAAGCAAAAAGCAAAGGAGAGATTGAGAGGGGCGAGCAGGCAGCAGAGAGACCAGTACAGATCGCTCCCTGCCTTCCATTCCAATAACGCTCACCCGCTGAGGTGAAGCTACACTGGGAATAAAGAAAGGAATAGAGTTATTGTTGTAGGTTTTTCAAAATCTATCTTTCTCCATGAACAGGGATCCCTATGTACTGTGTGGCAGGTACTGTGTCGAAGGTTTTCAGTCATGATCCCATGCGATCCTCACATAGGACGGAGGTGGTGATGCCCATGGTCCACAGACAGGACAGACTTGGGTATGTGAGCAGCCTGGCCTGGGTCACCCGCCGGCACG
This sequence comes from Homo sapiens, assembly GCF_000001405.40. Classification (NCBI taxonomy): domain Eukaryota; kingdom Metazoa; phylum Chordata; class Mammalia; order Primates; family Hominidae; genus Homo; species Homo sapiens. The sequence continues at coordinate 61,248,592 of NC_000020.11, read as the reverse complement.
GGGTGGGCTGAGATTCTACTCCAGGCAGCGTGACTTAGGACCTGGGGGCATGGCTGTGAGGTGCATCCCTTGGAAGCAGAAATCCCAGGGGGAAAGATGCAAATGTCCCCTTCCAACCTAGGGCTGTCTTCTTTCCTTTTCCAGTCTCATGCTCAGCCTGGCCCACTCGCCACCAGCAGAATCCTGACCCTCTAGTCCATCCAGAAGCACACGCCCCCATCCAGGCTCTGTGCCTGTGCCTCTGCTGCTCCCTCCGGAGCTCCTTTCTCTCGGAGCACTGTGTTGGCTTTAGCTGCTGCAGGGCTTGGTGGACACCTCTCTCCTCACAGTGTGGTGGAGCTCCTTTCTGTGTGTCCGCCCTCTGGCCACTCCGAGAGCCTTGAGGGTGGGGGAACAGGGTGTTCCCCTCTCCACATGTGGCCCAGGCTCTAACCCTCTAGGAGCCCCCAGGGGGTGGACCCATAAAGCAATGATACCAACGATGACCCCCACTGGCTGCACTGTACCCTGGGGTACTTCCTGCACTCCCCCATTATACAGATGAAGACACTGAGGCATGAAAAGAGGGGAGGAGCTTGACCTGGAACCCAGGGCTGGCTGAGTTCAGACTTACAGCCTTAGTCATGACTGTGCTCCAAAGAAGCACACCATGCACTCTGGGTTCTGAGGAAGAACCAGGTGAGGCTGCTTCTCTCACTCCCCTGGGACTTGGGGGTCTTTGAATCTTTGGAAATTTCCATGGAGCAGGAGATGCAATTCACAAGGGGAAAAAAATTCAAAACAAAACAGTCAAACCATGCAACAATCAAAGGTATCGGATCTGCTGGAGAAGGGAGATGCGTCCTGGCAACAGAAGATGGGGAGGGGCCGTTTTGAGATCCCAGGGCTTTTGTTTGTTCCATGTTGTTGCTTTGCTTGTTTGTTTCTTGTCTGCTGTTAAAAAGGGGGGAACACCAGAGGTGGGAGCAGAGACACACGTGTCACAGGGAGGCCAACGACAGGGCCCTGGCTCCACCTCGCATCATGTCTGCCTTGTCTCTGGCTGGTTTATAGAAGCAGCTTGACAGAGGAGAAAGGAGGTCAGGGTAACCTCTGCTGGAGCGGGAGCCGCTGACATGGGTGGACTAATAGTGTCAGTGTGAGACACAGTGCACCTTGTTACACTCCCATGTCCCACGGGGGACGTGGGCCCCAGTTCCCTCAGCCTGGCCCCGTCCTCTGCACCTGTTCCCTGGGACCCCCCCCCCACCCCGCCCGCCTCCCCGGCGTGGGATGGACTGTGCGCTTCACATCTGGGACTTAATGCATTCACCTGCCCCGTATCCTGGTACCATTAAGGTGGGGCAGAGAACTGAATGTTTTTCTTTTACTTTAATTTTTATCTTTTTTTCCTTTTGTGGTTGATTCTTATCCCAAAGCATATCCCAAGTGCATCCACTTCCCTCTAGCTGAAAACTGGAGATCCATCATTGCTCACCTGGATCTCTGCCGGTCTCCTCCTCACTGGGTTCTCTCTGCAAACCAGGCCCCAGAGGGACCCACTGAAGACTGAATCAAGACTGTGACATCCCAGTCCTGGCTTAAAGCCCTCAGGGGCCCTCCTGTAGACACTCAATAACAGCCCACAGGTCCTAAACCCTCTGGCCTCTGCCCGAGTCCTCAGTCCGGTGTCCCGGCACTGCACTCCACTCCCAACCAATGGCCTCTTGTTTCTCCCTAGCTGGTTCCTGCATCTGGGTCTCTGAACTTGCCATTTGGAACATTCGGCCCCAGATGCCCTGATGGCTGATGGCTGCTCGGCACACAGGCTTCTGCTCAGAGAGGCCTGCGGGACCCCCGGCAAGGCTGCTAGGTAGTGACAGCTGCTCACCCCTCTTGCTCTGGTTCTGAGCTTCTTGAATATTTCCAAAGGGCAGGGGCACTCCTACCTACACAATGTTCTGTTCTGTCCCTAGCACCTGGGACAGCATCTGGCCTGCAGGGCTCAGCAAATACCCAAATAGAGAAACCCGAATACAGGATTGCAAAAGCTGGGAGAGGAGAGGAGTTTCCCAGGACTTGGCCTTGCAGGAGTGGGGAGTGGTCCCGTGATGCTGCACCTGCCCAAGCCGCTGCCCCACAAGGAAGTAGGAATGAAAAGGAACAGGGCAGGGCTTGCAAGAGTGGGTCCCGGTGAACGCACCATCTGCCTGGGATTCCAGAGGCAAGGGTCGGGGGAGTGCAAGGAAGATGATAAAAACTAACGTCCTAGGAGAGGAAATCAAATTAAACAGTAAAATAGATAACATTGGATTTAAAGGGAGGCAGAAAACAAGGGACATGCTGGGAGTAGGAGTCATAGGACAGTGGCCATAAAATACCAGAGACCAAGGAGAGGGGAAGAAGGTGGAGAGTAGGTCTTCGGTGCTAACATATCCACCTGGAGTGTGAGGCTGTCTGCTGGGTAATGAGGGCCTGGGTGAAACCGCTCTCACCTACAGAGGGGCTGGGTGGCTCCTTTCAAGTTAACTTTCACCGGGTTTTCTTATCAAATTTTGGGATTACAGCTGATCACTTTCTGCAGAACACAAGTCCTAGGCTGTGAGAGGTGGCTGGGATCCCCGGCGAGTGGGATGGAAGTGCCCAGGCCACTGCCTTCTGCTCAGGTAGCACATGGGGGCTCCCTGCCGAGCATCTGTCCTCAGGAAGCAAACCTCCAGCAAGCCTAGGTGCTCCACTTTCTGGCTCTGTGGTTGGAACTCTAATGGAGAAGAAACTGGAGAGGCCAGGGGAAGATGCCGCCTTCTCAGACACACATGCCCCACTGGAGAGCCACTTCCTGGGAGAAGGGGAACTAACTGACAGTGGGACTGCCTGACAAGCGCCTTAAAAATTTGATTGCATGGACCCCTGCCCGGCTCTGTAGATCAGGTTCAGCAAATATCATCAGGGCCTGAGTGACACTATTCTTGACATATCCCCAGGTGACTCAGAATGCACATCAGTATTTAATCTTCTGGGGAAGGCACACAGTCACTTCCAAATGTTTCCGCTCCAACACCTTCCTGAGACTTCAGTTTTGATAGTTTTCCAGTAAGGGGCCACCTTGGGTTGGCACATGAATGCCTGATGTGATGGGGGAAGTGAGGCAGGGGCGCAGAGGAGGCTGGAAGTCCTCTTCCTGGGGAAGGGCTCGTGACAATGGGAGTCTCAGGACAGCCAGGAGGGGCCTCCAAGTGATCAGACACCACATGGGAGGCAGAAAGGAGACCCTAAGGAAGAAGGTGGGGTGATACTGACATGATCATCTGGGTAACTCAACAGGCAACTCAGCGCTCAAGCCACATAGGGAAACTAATCCCAGGAACAAGATTCATCCCAATGGACTAGGTCCAGATGGCCAGCTGCACGCAGAAGAGGCCGTGAGTGCAGACGAATTAGTGGTGTTGGGGGTTAGGGCATCAGAGGATGGATTGGGAGGATGCAAGTTCCCTTCTCTGCCCCCAACAGCTGCAGAAGGAAGAGGTTCAAGGGGCTGCGTGAGGGACCCTAGCAGAAGGCCGAGATCTGCACACAGCCTTCAGCTGTGTGGCTTGGACACATTGTGTGAGAATGAAAAGCATCTCTGACATTCAGGCAACACTTTTGCTGTCTCAAGACTGGTTTCTTCTGGAGAATTCTATGACGAAGGAAAAAGAAGAGAGAAAACTGGATGGCTGATTAAGAAGGACCGTGGATGTTCTCCAGAGATGACATGGGGTTCTCCCAGGACCAGAGAGGCGCAGCTCCGTCAATCAAGGATGAGGAAGGCCCCTTTGGTCCAGCGGCAATCAGTGCCTTTGTGTAGCATACTTGGGTTCATGTGCATGGATAAGTGAGAACAGCACAGATGTCAGGCTCAGAGGAACTGAGCTCAGCCTAGTCCTATATGAAGGATTCAAAGTCTCTTGTCCCATCCCTGTTGAATCCTCTAAATTCACTGATTAATTCAGGGCTCCAACTATGCACAGGGGCTGTGCTACGTTTCACAGAGGCAGCTGGGGATACAAGAGACACGGTTGCTGGCCCTCAGACCTCACAGTCCAGCGGGGAAGTTAGGCCTGGAACAAAGATGCCAGGTGGACTGGCTCAGGGAGGCACTAATCCTGGGGGTACCTCACACGTTCACACCTAACATCTCAGCTCATCCTCCCGCTGCCGGAGTGGGACTTGCAATATCAGCCTCAATTTATAGGTGTGAAAACACAAACACTGTCGGTTCTGAGATTAGAAACAGGGCCATCCTTTTCCCAGAACCCCAGCGTTCAGGGTTCTAGGGGCCACAGTGGATTATCCATCTGCTGTTCCAGGTGGAAGCAGCTGCTTCAGGCTGGGCCTCCTTTGCTTTCCTCCAAACTCCACAAAGTCTGCAGTCTGCTGTTCATAGAAGACTATGAATAGTACATGCCCTGCATCCTCTCCACTACCACTCTAAAAATATTAATGGACTTTATATTTCAGAGCAGTTTTAGGTTTACAGAAAAATTTAGCAGGATGTATGGAGCATTCACAGACACCATTTCCCCTCCAGACACAGGCGTACAACTTTCTTGTTAACATCTTGCATTTGCTACAATCGACAAACCGGTATTGATACACTATCATTCACCGAGGTCCACACTTCACACTGGGGCTCACTTTTTGTGTCATAGGATTGTATGGGTTTTGTGAAATTTATCCAGTAATACAATATAATACAGAATAGCTTCACTGCCTTAAACATCCTCCAGCCTGGACAATGTAGTGAGACTTCATTTCTAAAAAAAATTTAAGAATTAGACAGGTGTGGTGGCACACACCTGTAGTTCAGCTACTTGGGAGGCTGAGGCAGTAAGATCACTTGACCTGGGAGGTCAAGGCTGCAATGACCTAGTATTATGCCACTGCACTCTAGCGTGGGCAACAGAGCAAGACCCTGTCTCTAAAAAAATAAAATAAAACAGAATACTCTGTGCTTCACTTATTCATTTCTTTCTCCCCCAAACCTCTGGCAAGCACTCTTCACTGTCTCCATAGCTTTGCCTTTTTCAGAATGTCACGGAATTGGAATCACACAGCATGAAGCCTTTTCAGACTGGCTTCTTTCACTTAGCAACGTGCATTTTGAGTTTCCTCTGTGTCTTTTTCTGGTGCAACAGCTCATTTTTATCACTGAATAATATCCCACTGCATGGATGCCCCACGATTTTTTTACCCATTCACCAGTTTAAGGACGTACCCATTCACCAGTTTAAGGACGTACCCATTCACCAGTTTAAGGACGTCCCCATTCACCAGTTTAAGGACGTCCCCATTCACCAGTTTAAGGACGTCCCCATTCACCAGTTTAAGGACGGCCCCATTCACCAGTTTAAGGACGGCCCCATTCACCAGTTTAAGGACGTCCCCATTCACCAGTTTAAGGACGTCCCCATTCACCAGTTTAAGGACGTCCCCATTCACCAGTTTAAGGACGTCCCCATTCACCAGTTTAAGGACGTCCCCATTCACCAGTTTAAGGACGTCCCCATTCACCAGTTTAAGGACGTCCCCATTCACCAGTTTAAGGACGTCCCCATTCACCAGTTTAAGGACGTCCCCATTCACCAGTTTAAGGACGTCCCCATTCACCAGTTTAAGGACGTACCCATTCACCAGTTTAAGGACGTACCCATTCACCAGTTTAAGGACGTACCCATTCACCAGTTTAAGGATGTCACCATTCACCAGTTTAAGGACGTCTCCATTCACCAGTTTAAGGACATACCCATTCACCAGTTTAAGGACATACCCATTCACCAGGTTCAGGATGTACCACTTGCTTTCAAGCTCCCTGGGTTTTGAATAGTGGAGACTGAGGTACTTCCTTGTCCACCTTCCCCCTAAATGAATTTCAGATAAGCTAATGGCTTCTTGCCTTCCCTACATGGCCAGCCCCACCTATCATTTCAACAGCGAGCCTCTGCCTCCTGCCTGGCCAGAAGGATTTGGTTACTCTGCCCCAGCTTTGACTGTGAGCTTGGGGGTCGGGCTGAGTGACTGTGCAACTCCTCTCCTGTCCCCTTGAGGTAGGAGGTGGGACTCAATTCCAGGGGCTGGGCTCAGACACTGGACCAAACTGAGGACTAGCTAAAACAGGGATGGGGTGGAAACAGCTTTCCATAAGACACGCCCACCAGTGTGCCACATCAGTTTACAATCACCATGGCAACACCCAGGTATTACCCTCCCTTTCCATAGCAATGACCTGACCACCTGGAAGTTACCACCCTATTTCTAGAAATGTCTGCATAATCTGCCCCTTAATTTGCATGTAACTTAAAAGCGGGTATAAATATGAGGGTAGCACCATCTCTGAGCTGCTGCTCTGGGCGCACTGCCTATGGGGGAGCCCTACCTCACAAGGAGGGGTCCTTCTGCTGCTGCTGTGCATGGCCACTTCAATAAAAGCTGCTGTCTAACACCACCAGCTCACCCTTAAATTATTTCCTAGGCTAAGCCAAGAACCCTCCCAGGCTAAGCCACAATTTAGGAGCTATCCTATCCTGCCTCACCCTCATCACTGTGCTGTCCCCTGCAGCCTGCAGGTAGCATGCATGGTGTCCCATGGAGTCCTGTGAGCACCTCTCACAGTACAATATTTTAGACGTCAATTAACAACATTGCCCTGCTCTCTCCCACTTAGGAACTTAAGCATGGGGAATTGGCAAGTCTGAAGCACTCTGCATTTATAAATAGTCTCCCTCTTTGGGGAAACTCAAAGACTATTATGATTTGCCTTTCATTTATAAACTATTGCTGGGAAAGGCACATTCTCAACCAACAGTCATTGCTTTTAAGAGATAATGATCTTTAGTGAGTGTGCCATTGTCTTCTCTATGAAAGATCCAATTTATTGCACTTGAAATTCATTGTTTGGAGGAATATCATGAAAGTATGGGAGCTCTCTCTCACAGCTGGAGGAAGAGTCAGGTCCTAGGTGGGTGACTTGGACTCTTGGTCTTGGACTCTTGGTCTGAGGTTTCTGAGAAGCTCCATACCCAGGAAATTTCCAATCTTCCTGCACCAACGAAAAGAAGGGCCATCTTCCTACCCTATTCAAAGGCTGCAGACTGAGTACTTTAAGCACAGTCTCTCATTTCATTCTTGCTCCCACTCTCTGAGGGAGAAATGAGACTTAACGGAGAGGAAGCAGCTCTGCTGTGGTAGACTGAAGGTGCTGGTGTTCTTTGCGGTTCATATCAGTGATACAGGAGGATGGAGTCCCCTTCATGAAATCTGGACGAGCCTTAGCAGCTTGTTCACTGGATACAATGCAATCAAACTGCTAGATCTTCAAGACTAGATCACGAGAAGCTATGCAGCTCACACTGGGGCCTCTTGGGCCATTTTGTCTGGGCCCCTGAGCTGCTGTATAAGCGGTCTAAGGACCCTGAGACCACTGTGCTGCAGAGGCCACGTGTAGGTCACCTCCAGCTGTACTTGCCAAGGTACCAGGCATGAGCCTGAAGTTCTCCAGAGCCTCTAGGCCAGACCATTCCTTGGCTGAGTGCCACCAAATGAGCCCCATTCACATCACCTGGAACAGATGAACCGTCTGGCTGAGCCCTGTCTGAATTCCTGACCCATAAAATTGTGAGATACAATCCAAGATGATTGTTTTAAGCTACTAGGTTATGGGATGATTCACTGCACCACAGTAGATAACCAGCTTTAACACTGTTCTACTTAAGAGGCACAGTTGACTCAGATCCATACCCTTGTATCCAAAGCCTGCTCACTTAACCACTGGTGGTTGAAGAAAGCCCACTCTCACTTCCAATTAACCACTGGTGGGTGAGACATGGGAAGAAAGCCCACTCTCGCTTCCACCATGCCGTTGATGCCGGGGAGCTCAGAGGCTGCCCTGGGCAGCTGTTTGAGGCTATGGGGTGGCTGGAGGTCCCCATGCTTCCCTGTGCCCACAGAGGACAGCCAATCGGCTCAACCTCTAGTTGATTCAGCCTCAGACACAGAGCTCAGACCCTAGAAATACCAACCATGTCCGTAATGAGGTTTTTCTTCACTCACACAGCTGGAAGGAAGTAGCCCATTCCCGGGAGGTGCTGACGCTGCTTGCACACCCTCTCCACGCCTGCCCTTCACATATGGAATGCGTTACTCTGCTCTCACTCTTGTTTGCGGGAGAGAAACAAGACAGAAATCATGTATTTCAGGTTTTCAACCACAGAAGGATGGGGAAGGGGAAGAGGAGGGAAGGGGAAGGATTTTTTTAAAAGGGGTGAAACGATGCCTTTCAAGAGGCTAAAATATGGGTTACATGTCTTTCCTTGGGAATCTGCCCTGTTGTTTTCTTAAAGACTGAGCTGCCTCAAATGAGCCTGTAGAGTTGCTCAGGAGGTGGGCTGTGTGTGAGTTGAGTGTGTAGTAATCAAGCAAAGGAAAGCAGAGAACGTTGCCTCTTATTGCTCCCAGCATTAGACATAGTGCCCTAAGAGAAAGATATATTGGGGAAAATGGGACATTAATTGGCTCTAAGAGAATCAATGTAGGAACCAAGCCAGGGATGAAGCTTCTGTAATTCTAAAGTTCTCTGCTTCCCCTGACAATTGGAGGCTGACATCACGACGCTGGCCCCAGGGCCACCATTGTGTGGCAGCTGCATTGGAGGGGCAGCATCCACGGAGCTTGCTCTCCCTACCTCATTACACATGGAAAACCCACAAAGCAAGGACAGAATGAGCAAGAACATACAGCCGAGGAAGGAATAGACTTTCCAAACTTTACTTGGTGGGGGCAACTTATCCCAGGAGCAGGAGGCAGCAGGTTCTGCCCAATTTGTTCTCCTCTCTAAGCTCATCTTGCAAATGAAATGTAGGATGGGTGGTTTGCTAAAGGCAATCCCAGATCCACAGTGTTCAATTCCAGACCAGTGAATGTGGTGGCCCCAAGGCTGGCTCTTTCTTGAAGTGTCCCCCAGCCAAGTCATATCCCCAGTGTCCCCAAAGGGTAGGGAAAATGCAGAGGCCAGTTCAGAATGGATGGTCAAGGAGGGCTTCTCCGTGTCACAGTGGACACACTGGTGTCCCATGAATGGATGGTCAAGGAGGGTGTCTCCATGTCACAGTGGACACACTGGTGTCCCATGAATGGATGGTCAAAGAGGGCGTCTCCGTGTCACAGTGGACACACTGGTGCCCCATGAATGGATGGTCAAAGAGGGCGTCTCCATGTCACAGTGGACACACTGGTGTCCCGTGAATGGATGGTCAAGGAGGGTGTCTCCGTGTCACAGTGGACACACTGGTGTCCCATGAATGGATGGTCAAAGAGGGCGTCTCTGTGTCACAGTGGACACACTGGTGTCCCATGAATGGATGGTCAAGGAGGGCTTCTCCATGTCACAGTGGATACATTGGTGTCCCATGATGCATTGCCTAGGTCCAATGCTGATGTCAGGGGCTGCTGTGGGGGGCTGCTCCCACCCAAGCTACTGTCTGCCACTCTCAGTCCTGGCCATGTCTTCTGGCTTCAGGGGCTCCTCAGATGTGTGCAGGCTGAGCTGAGAGAGAGAGAGAGAGAGAGAGAGTGTGTGTGTGTGTGTGTGTGTGTGTGGGGAGGCATACTGGTAATCCCCTGGGGGCAATCAGCAGCGGCTGGAGTTGACGGATGTGCCCTCCCAGGCTCCTGTCCTTTGTAAAACCAATCTCTCAGGTTATCAGAGTGATTCGATGGGACGGAAGAACTGTGCTATTCAAAATGAACAGGGAAAGGCCTTTTTCTGAGTGTGTTTCTCCGGTTCTGAGAGACCGGCCCCTGCCCCAGCCCCAGATTCTCAATCAGGGACCAGCTCAGTAACTCACTCTTGTTGGCTTCTCCACCTTTTCTCTCTCCCTACTTCTAAAATAATCTTTTAAAAACTAAATGCAAATTTATTTGTTTATTTACTTTTTTCTATTTAGTGGTAAGTACACTTAACAGGAGGCTTACACTCTTAAACTTTTCAGTGTACAAGACAGCATTGTTTAGCATAGACACAACGATACAGCACTGTTTAGTGTAGACACAACGATACAGCACTGTTTAGTGTAGACACAACGATACAGCACTGTTTGGTGTAGACACAACGATACAGCACTCTTTGGTGTAGACACAACAATACACACTGTTTGGTGTAGACACAACAATACACACTGTTTGGCGTAGACACAACGATACACACTGTTTGGCGTAGACACAAAGATACACACTGTTTGGCATAGACACAACGATACAGCACTGTTTGGCGTAGACACAACGATACACACTGTTTGGTGTAGATACAATGTTGTGCAACAGATCCTTGATCTTAGTCATGCCATGTAACCAGAACATCGTACCGCTGACCGGCAGCTCACATTTTTCCCTTCCCAAGCCCCTGGAAACCACCATGCTAGTTTTTGTCTGTGTGAATTTGCCTTCCCTGGGAACCTCCTATAACTGGAATCATGTGGTATTTGTCCTGTGGTGACTGCCTTCTTTCATGATTGTAATGTTCTCCAGGTTCATCCAGGTTCATCCACGTTGTTGCATACGGCAGGACTTCCTTCTTCTTACAGGCTGAATAGTGTTCCAGTGTATGAATAGAGTGCACTTTCTTTATTCATCCATCGATGGACTAGGCTCCTGCCATATGGTGGCTATTGTGGATGTTACTGCAGGGAACATGGGGCTGCAGATACGTCCTCCCTCAAGCACATAGGGAGCATTCTCCAGGACAGGTGACAGATGATGTCACCAAACAAGTCTTAACTAATTGAAGAAGACTGAGATCACACCAAGTATTTTTTCCAATCACTATGGAATGAAACTAGAAATCAACAGTGAAAGGAATACTGGGAAACTCACAGAGATGTGGACATTAAACCTCCCACCCTGGAATAGCCAATGGGCCAAAGGACAACTCCAAAGGGGGATATATTAGAAAATATCCTGAGACAAACGAAAACCCAACACAACATACTTATGGAGTACGCAAAAGCAATGCTAAGAGGGAGGTTTATAGTGATGAATGCCTACATTAAAAAAGAAGAAACTCTCAAATCAACAACCCAATGTTAGACCTCAAGGAACTAGAAAAGGAAGAATAAATCAAGTCCAAAATTAGCAGAGGGAAGTCACTCCAAGTAGCGCATTTGGGCAGAGGGCACACAGAAGGTTTTAGCCACATTTACGTAGAATCAAAATCCAGTTCTTGTTTTCAAACCATACAACTGAAATCGAACTTTTTACCTCCCAGCATCTTCTGGAAGCAAGAAAAGCTTCCATTCAAAGGGAAGCAAGGGGCCACTAACCCAGTCAGCATCTTTGCTGCAATCAGAAACCCAAGTATTTTCTGATTTTCTGTTTTTCTGAGGTCTAAACCAAAGTCAGGACACAGGCCCCCTATGTTGGAAAATTCAATGGCAGCATAGCCACCTCCAGGGGCATGTATTTGCATAGCCATTTTACACAATGGTGCATATTCATTTACATAGATTTTCCCTGTTGTGTTCAAAATGCCATTGACTCTGGTATGCAAAATAAAGTAAAATTAATAGTTCAGCTTGAGTCATGTGTATTCACACACATTATCTAAGGCCACTGATAGAGGGGAGACAGTGGCAGCCCCGGGGCAAAGGGCTTGGCTATCCACCTCTTCTCTGAATCCAAGGGCATGAGCTGGAGAGCTGGGAGTAAAGATGCATCTGTGGGCTGGAGGAAGAGCCAGCTGCCTCCAAAGCAGGAAGAAGAGGGTGGAGGGGGAGGCTGGAAACGCTGGAGGAATAGTGACACCAGGTGCAAAGAAAACTCCTGGAGGAAAAGCCGTTCCCTTTTTATTTTAAAATGGTACATTTTGGCGGGCATGGTGGCTCATGCCTGTAATCCCAGCACTTTGGGAGGCTGAGGTGGGCAGATCACTTGAGGCCAGGAGTTTAAGGCCAGCCTGGCCAACATGGCAAAACCCCATATCTAATAAAAATACAAAAATTAGCCAGGCATGGTGGTACATGAATGTAATCTGAGCTACTCAAGAGGTTGAGGCAGGAGAATCACTTGAACCCAGGAGGCAGAGGCTGCGGTGAGCCAAGATTGCGTTACTGCACTCCAGCCTAGATTACAGAGGGAGACTCTGTCTCAAAAAAAAAAAAGGTACATTTCCTCCAAATAATCGGATCACTTTGCACTCTAATACCTTGAGAGATTGATTTTACAAAGGACAGCACTTGGAGGAATCCAAAATCTACCCGGAATTTAGAATCGGACTTTTGTGGTCGTAAGGAAAGCTTGACAAGTGTCAGGAGGATGGGCGAGGCGCCTGATCTTGGTATTTGGGCTCTCCTTTGTATCAACAGGATCTTTGTTTCAGCCAGAAAAGAGTGAATCCCAACTCACACTAGCTTATGATTTTTAAAAAAGTATATATGTTGGCTTAGGTAACTCAAAAGCCGAGACAGATGTGGCTGAATTCAGGCATGGCTGGATCGAGGTGCTCAATCGATTTCTCCTGACCTGTGGGCTTTGTCTCCTTTTCTATTTGCTCACAGTAGCTTCATTTTGAATGAAGCTTTCTCCTTCTAGTAGCAAGAATGCCACCAGTGGCTCTAAGTTTATACCCTACCTTCTCAGCAACCCCAGCAGCAGGGAGCTGAGCATATTTAATTATTTTGGCAAAAAGACATCATTGGACTAACCTGGTAGCTCTCTCTGAGCCTGGTAGCTACCCTGGACTAACCTGGTAGCTCTCTCTGTAGCTCTCTGTGAGCCTGTCACTATGCCAGGATGACTGGATGCTCTGATTGGCCAGGTCTCAGCCACAGGACCACAACTGGAGGTCAGAGTGGAGTCAGTCTACTCAAATCTCACTGACGAGGGTGAAATCTCCCACTGAAAGTTGAGGGTCTGTTACCAGAAGGCGGCGGTGGCGGAGGCTGGGAAGGCCAAAACCACTGCATCCATGAGACAGTGACACTGATCTGTGGCTCTCAGCCCAAGGTCTGGAGTCCCTCCCTAATAGCCCAGGGAACTCCTGAGTTTGCATTATGGCATTTGTGACTTTGGGCAATAGAGCTGGTGTCAAAAGGAACATATATCTGTAGTACTCCTAGGCATCCATTTTACTTTCCTTTAGATGGAGTCTTAAAATAAAAAGGAATTTTCTGTTCTAAGCATAGGTTCTGCTCCAGATATGCAGAACCCCTTTAATTATTCACAGTGGCTGCACCAAGAACGCTTCCTGGTGACTCCAGACCCCCTGGGGTAGCAGCGTGGGTGGGAGCTCACCGTTCCTCCCTGTGTCCCGCAGGCCCCTTCCCCTGCTGCCGTGGGCTCCTCCTCCGGGGTAGTCTTAGCTCCCTGTGCTCACCTTGCACAGAGCGAAGTACTTTCAGCTCAGGTCACTGAACAGAAACCCGCAGGAGCCGGTGCACACCGAGGCGACTCTTCTAAATCAATACAAAAATGATGGCGGTGACATTTCACCTTCACAGGGTGCAGCTCAAACAGAGCCGGGCTGGAGCAGTAAAATTGAAACTAAATGGAATTTCAGGGGTGACGGCGGCGGGGGCTGAGGTGGCGAGGTTGCCTTTGTAGCATAAATTCATATGCATTCTAAAAAATATCGCCCGAATCTAAAGAACTTGGCGCGATTCCAGGAGACAAGCAGACGCTGCAGTCGTGTTTACCCGGCATGCTTCAGCAAACTTTCAATCTATTTACAGGTATGCATGACAAACTGCCTTGAATGGATGAGTTATTGGTTCTGCTATAAATGAAATTAATAATATGAGGTGGAGGAGGTGTAGTAATAACACCATTAAAGCCAACTAAGCTTGGAGACCAGAGATCAGCTTTCAAGTGCAGCCCGTTTCTCCCCAACTGCCGTGCGTAGCCAATTGACCCAGGCACAGGCTCAGGCTATCTAAATAGGTAGAAAAGGCAAGTGTCTTGAACAGGTGATTAGCGAATACATAAATCTGGGAGGAAGGAAAGGTTGTGAAACAAAATCACATCCCTCCATGACAGTGTTTTTGAAGGCCTGAGATGCCCAGTCTTCTTGCCAAGGTCAGCTGTCATGGAGCAAGGAGGCCACCCCTTATTTACAGATGGAAGGGACAGTGGAGACGCAGTGTCACCAGGCGAGTCTCCCAATTTATCAGAGGTGATAATGGAGCAGTCTGGTGATACTCAGCTCTCGCCTGAAAATAACCACAAAGCCACTGCTTACGTTTCCATCAGGCAGTTAGAAAGGGTGCTCCGATGTTGGTCCATAGCAACCGGGAAGCACCATGAGATTTGGGGGGCCGTGAGGTCTTGTTTATTATTGAAAAACCTGTTTCCCAGACAGTGCAATAGTAGGTATTTTTCCATGACAGAATGAATGCCACACCCTTGTTTGTACAATACATGAGAGCACACAGATTTTCCCTGAAAACTTTGTAAAATAGTCGTTCCACAACTAGAGCAGCGGGTACCATAATGCTGTTACTGCTGTTTAAGGAAAGGCAAATGTCTCTCAGAAAAATGGGCTACATCTCTCACGGGGAGCACCCACCCCTTTGCGCGCTATGCACAAGAGATTTGCAGAAAATTCTTCACAGGACGGTATTAGTGGGGATTGCTAATGGTGACATTTGTTTCCCTGAAATGCACGCACACACACACTCATGCGCACACTCACACACTCATGCACACACTCACAGACTCACACACTCATGCAGACACACACTCACACTCATGCGCACACTCACACACACTCATGCAGACACAGTCACACACATGCGCAATACAGTCACACACACATTCATGCACATACACGTGCACACTCACATGCACACACTTATGCACACACACTCACATACTCATGCACACACTCACACATGCACAGGGTTCTGTGTTGCATTTTTCCCCATTCATCAAAATATGAAACCTGAATAATTCACCCCAAACTCATATCCAATAATGTAAAACCTCATCATGATTGACGGGGGTTGCAAGTTAGTAACGCATCTGCAGCCTCTGGATTTCCTGTCGCTCTGGGCAAACGCAAATTAGGGAGAACGGAAGCCGTGCAGGAGGGCGAGGCCAAGCTCTGACACTGCTCCCCACCCTGGCTCTGCCTGCATGTGGAGAGGCTTCACACTTATTTTTCAGAGGCCAGGAAGCTTTATAATTATTGAAATTAAGCAGTGCTTTGAAAGTGATGTCAAGTCGCTGGCAGTGTAATGATCCAGCAGCACAATGTGCTGGCAAATGATCCAGCTGTTGGAGTGAGCCTGGGCTGTTGGGGTGAGCCTGTGCTGTTGGGGTGTGTCTGGGATGTTGGGTTGTGTCTGGACTGTTGGAGTGTTCCTGGGCTGTTGGGGTGAGCCTGGACTGTTGGGGTGAGCCTGGGCTGTTGGAGTGAGCCTGGGCTGTTGGGGTGTGTCTGGGATGTTGGGTTGTGTCTGGGCTGTTGGGGTATTCCTGGGCTGTTGGGGTGAGCCTGGGCTGTTGGGATGTGCCTGGGCTGTTGGGGTGTGCCTGGGCTGTTGGTATGCGCGTGGGCTGTTGGGGTGAGCCTGGCAGGGCCTTTTTGGCAACTCCTGGACGCTGATCCCCATTAGACCCTTTAATGGGCAGTGTTTAATTGGGAGAAGCATGCATTTCAAGAGCATTCAAAGGCCCTGGGCTGCACCTCTTGCTTCCTCAGGTCTGTGAGATGCAGCTACCCCATTCACCTAGTCGAGGTGAATGCTGCTGAAGCCCAGCCAAGGTGGATAGACATGGTTTGGCCTCGATTGGCCTGTGTTATCCAGGGTTGACTTGTGTTGACCTGCTTTGGCTTAGGTTGACTTCTGTTGACCTAGTTTAGCTTAAGTTGGTCTGGGTTGACCCCTGTTGACCTGGTTTAGCTTGGGTTGGGCCTGGGCTGACATGGAGTAGTTTGAGTTGGCCTGGGTCAACCTTTGTTAACCTGGTTCAGCTTGGGTTTGCTGCCTGCCCCCCAGGCCCAGCCTCCCTTGAAGAGATCTCCTGAAGATTAGCCTTTCTTGGTGGAAGAGTTGCCTTGGGGCCACACACCGTCCTCTGAACACACCTGGAAGGCTTTTGGAGTAAGCAAGGGAGATGTCAGAAGCCAGCAGGGCACTTGGGATGAAAGTGAATCTCAGTGTCTCAATGAAGCCCACCACAGTGTGAGACTAAGAACCAGAGCGGGGACCAAGGGAGACATGGCAGGTGCCAAGTGTGCAAGGGTAAGGTGGCCTCACTCCATTTTGAAAAGAAATGATAATAAGTCTTTTGCAGGCAGCTGGTGAGGAGTAGAGTTTGATACATGCAAGTCAGAAGCTTATTTCTCAGAGTTCTGGAGGCTGAAAAATCCAAGACTGAGGTTCCAGCCAGCATGGTTCCAGGTGAGGGCTCTCTTCCTGGCTTGCAGACAGCAGCCTTCTTGCTGCGTCCTCACATGGCCTTTCTCAATAGGTGTGCACGGACAGATATCTCTTTTTCTCTTCTTTTAAGGTCACAGAGCCACCCTCATGACCTCATCTAACCTTGATTTCCTTCCCAAGCCCCCATCTCTGAATACCGTCATGCTGGGGGTTAGGGTGTAAGCACATGAATTTCAGGGGTATACATTAAGTCCATAGCAGGTTTGTCAGTGTTCCTGGGGGCTCACGCACTCACTCTGGCAGTGCAAGGCCCAGGCCCGAATGTCAGTAGGTCACCCTCCAGCAGTAACTGAGAACCCCGTGTCAGTTTTCTGTCCCACATAATGGGGACAATAATGGCTGTGGTGAACATTGGATGACGGGCTCCCCACAGTGCTTATCCCCTGCCTGGCTGGCAGCAAGTTCTCAAGAGTGTATAGCAATGTTTATTTGTGCACTGTTGTGGTTTTACTAGGCAGGAGGTCTGTTGCTGGAACTTTGATGCAGTTTGCCTTCTCTGTCTAGGGAATCCTCCTGCCAGCCTAGCCCCAGGCCCCCGGTGCCGTGCTGAGCTCAGAGTGGACACTCAACATGCCCTTTGCTCGGCAGGTGCCAAGTGTGTGGAGGCTGGGCCTGGTGGAGATTCCAAACAGGCCTGTGGACTTGACCTTGGATACACCTTGCTCAGAAGCAGGGGAGCCATCATTTGGTCAGCCTAACCCTAGGCATGGAGACTCCTTCACAGCATGGGGAATGGGAGCAGGGTTGGGAGAGGAAGAAGAACATTCTAGAAATTTGCTGCTGTTTTACCAGTTGGGGCAGACAGGCATCGTGGAATTTGCCGATACAGAAAAAGCCCTAAAAGGCGTTTTAAAAATGAAAATATCACTTACAGTCAGTAAAATTTACCCTTTTAGTGTGCAGTTCTGAGAGTTGTTAAATGCTTCAGTAGTTTGTTGTTGTTGTTTTCCTTGCTAAGGGACACTTGGATTGTTGCCAGTATTTGGTGATTACAAGTAGGACTAAGGTCTGTTATCAACACATGTCTATTGTATAGACATATATTTTGTTTCTGTTAGATAAACACCTAAGAGTAGGGTTGTGGGGTCATGTGGCAACTCTGTAGGCTTCACTTCATAGGAAGCTCCCAGACTGGACTGTTTTCCATAGTGGCTGCTGTATTTTGCATTCCCACCAGTAATGCAGGAGAGTTCCGGTTGCTCCAAATCCTCCTCGGCACTTGGTTTTGCCAGTTTATTGTTTTGTTTTAGCTGTTTTTTTTTTAAATTTCCCATTTATTCTAATAGGCATGTGACATGTCTCACCAGTGGCTTTAATTTGCATTTCCCTGGTGGCTGACAGCGCTGAACGCCTTTGCATGTGCATATTTGCCATCTGTATATCTTCTCTGGGGAAGTGTCTGTTCAAATCTGTGCTGCTCTCCAGGCATGGGACAAGGACAAGTGCCCTGTCTGCAGCAGTTATCTTCATTATCAACACTGTGGGTGGGCCTAGACACCCGGAGCACAGGGACATAGCAGGCCAGAGGGGCCTGGCTTGCAGGGCAAACACCGTTAAGACAGAAGACAGAATTCCTGGCAGAGACTGTGTGGTTGGGGGGACATCCCACATTCCGTGGCGGGATCTGGAAAGGCTTCCGGAAGGAGACAGCACTGAGAGGAGAGGCCGCAGAGCAACCCACGCAAAGGCAATGGGGAGTGCAGCAACCTGGGCTGGGCTGGTGGCAGGGAGGGAGGGGAGAAAAGCAGGTGAGCAACAGCCCTTCCTGGCCTCAGCTGATTGACCTAGCATGGACATGTGACCTGGAGGCACGCTCCCCATTGGGCAGGAGTAGCCAATCAAGGTCTTCCTTCAGAGAGTCCAGAATTGAGGTCGGCAGATGGCTTGGGAACCAATGGGCCACGTGGGGCGTGGAGTGTCCTTCTCCCTCCTGCCTGCACCTGGCCAGTGAAGGAGAAGCAGAGGTGAGGCAGCCACAGGGAGTAGGAGTCCGACATTTATGAAAAACAACAAACATGTTAAAAATAAATAAATTAATGGCTTTATTATGAAGTTCAGGAGCCAGATTGCTTAACTCTGTTACTTATTCTTAAACACATTATCAGGCTGGATGCGGTGGCTCACGTCTGTAATCCCAGCACTTTGGGAGGCAGAGGCAGACGGATCACTTGAAGTCAGGAGTTCAAGACCAGCCTGGCCAACATGGTGAAACCCTGTCTCTACTAAAAATACAAAAATTAGCCAGATGTGGTGGGCATCTGTAATCCCAGCTACTCGGGAGGCTGAGACAGGACAATCACTTGAATCTGGGAGGCGGAGGTTGCAGTGAGCCAAGATCACGCCACTGCACTCCAGCCCGGGCTACAGAATAAGACTCCGTCTCAAAAAATCAAAACAAAACAAACAAGCGACAACAACGAAAACCTCCCACATTATCAGAATTTCCCTGGAATGGGAATATATATATATATATATATATATATATATATATATATATATATATATATATATATATATATATATATATCCTTTGTTTCTCTAGTTCTCCTATACAAATATTAGGTTGATCCATTTTTTGATGTCTAAATGGTAATTTCTTAGGGTTCTGTTGAACATATCAATAGACAGGCATGCATTTATTAATTCTCTTCAATTCATAGTTTGCTACTGCCTGCAAATTCCAACATAGCTTTCAGATACACACAGAGCTCTAGGAACAAAATGAGGTGGTGATTTACAAAGACCTATTTTTTTCCATTCCAGTCTCGCCCAGAGATGCGCACAGCCGGTGCGCCGTGGCTCTCGGACGCTAGGTGGCGCTGTCTGCAGCTCAGCGTCCTCGCCCCGCCGGGCTTGAGGTGCAGCCGCGCCTGCAGGGGGTTTCAGAAGGGGCATCAGCAGTGATGCGTCCCGTCCTTCCCCAGGCCTGGCTAACAAGGAGGAAGGAAGAACACATTCCCAAGGGAAAAGAGACACTGCGAGAATCACAGACCAACCGGTTGCGGGAAAACTGCGGGGAGAAAGAAATTTACTTGCAAAAAAATGGTGAAGGGCAAATAAAGTATTGAGCTTGTGCAGCATAAATAAAAAGGCTTTGGTTTTATCTCTGGGAAGTAAGAACAAAATAGAAAGTTCCCATCTCAAAAAGCTCAGACTTGTGGGAATAAAACCTCTTTCCCTTTTGCATTATAGAACAACGCCACAATTTCCAGCATCGTCCAGAGACTGCAAAGGACTCACCTGAGATTGCAGGGCCCAAAATGATCTCCTCATCTGGGGCCTCTTTATAGTTCATGTATATTCAATCAGCAGAGCTCTGGTTCTACGCAGCGAGAGCATGGAGGCATGCGGCTTCCCAGGGTCCCGCCCAGAGCCCAGAGCCCAGAGCCCAGAGCCCGGAGCCCAGAGCCCGGAGCCCGGCATCAGGGGTTCTCAAATGCTTGCTGTATGAATGGATGGATGAATGAACAAAACGAAAAAGAGCATCCTAATACCATTAGCTCCACGTTCAAGTGAAGTAGCTCTAACTTGCAAATCTGTAACTGCTACAAAAAATCCAGCTCTGTGATAAGCCTGCTATTTACACGATCGTGATTTATATCCTTGCTATCATTACAAATTCAACATTTTGCATCTTCTGGTCCATAGCACTTCCTTTTTTGGCTCTAATGATGACTTACACACATTGCATGATGGGCCAGGTGCCTCTCCAGGCACCATCTCACTTAATGTGTAAAATGGTCCTGTGGAGTAGGTATGCTAATGACCTTGACATTGCAGGAGAGGCTTTGCGGTGCCGGGGTGCATGTGGGTGATCTGAACAGGGCCAGTGGACTCCAGAGCTGTGTAAGTTTCCTATTGCAGCTGTGACAAATTACTGCAAATGATACGAAGTTACCAACTCCAGGTTCTGGAGGTCGGAAGACTACAATGGATCTTGCTGGGCTGAAGGCTCCAGGGAGAATCCATCCAGTTTCTAGAGGCCGCTGCATTTCTTGGGTCATGGCCCCTTCCTCCATCTTTAGTAATCACTCACTCAAGTTCCTTAATCACATCTGCAAAGTTCCTTTTGCCACGTGAGGTACCATATTTCACAGGTTTTGGACATTAGGGTGTGACTTTTTTTGGCGGGAGGCATTATTCTGCTGGCCACAGGGACCCCTCTTGTGGTTTTTATGTGGGCTCTGCCCAAGCCTTGTAACTGTTATTTCCAGTGGCAATTTTATATCCATTTTATTTTCACAATTTGCCTCTCTACATCCTCCCATTGGCTTTTGAGTATTTTCCAATTTCTAGCTATGAAAATAGTTGCCTCCATTTTAAACGCTCCCAAAACACTGTATGCATTTTTCACATTTTGAATAGACAATATCCTAAACCCATCCACCCATTTAAAATCGTTTGCTATTACTCCATTGTTCTGGTAGGCAGCAAACCCTTGCCATAAATTGGAATCCAGAGCTGTAAGGTGAATGAGATTTCCTAGGGCCAGTTCTCAAAAAGATACCCAAGGGAGCCCTGTCTTGTTCAGGAATCTGACCCGGATACTAGGTTAAATGTGGCAGAGCTGGTTAGTGGGGCCTCCTTACGCAGGAATTTAGTCAGAGTATTAACTCCCTTTAAGGCAATTTCTGCTTGATCTGATTTAATTTGCTCTGCGTATGTGCGAGATAGATTTTTAAACTGAAATTGATGCGTGGATCCTAAGCATGTTCTGAGTGGTGAACAGCACGCGCCTCTGAGTGATGGGCAGAGGGGACAGACAGTGATGGGAAAATAAACCCCAATTTATCTAAGACCCAAGGTTTGCCTTTGAAGCTGAAACGAGGAACTGTGTGAAATGTTGATGTGGGGGAAGGAGGGATAGATTGGGCGCATCAGTTTCATGACCGCCCCCTTGAAAAGCCTCAACACCTGGCTTGAGGGGCATTTGTTTACAAGGAAACCCTTTGCTAAGCATGGCCCTGCCTGTGGGAATGGAATTTGCATCCCCACTCTTTAGGGGAAGGAGGATTGAGTGGGTTCATGGACAGCTTTGAAGAGCACTGGAGAGCGACGTGCAAGTGTGTGTTATAATCACTATTATCACGGTTACCCCGATCTCAAGCCAGGCCACTAGTCATAGACAAAGGTCCTGACGGCCCACCTGTCTCAGAGCCTCAGCGGGAGCTGGAGCACATTTATTTACTTCGGGCATCTCGCATCTGTGCCTCCTTCGTGTCCACAGCCCCTTCTCTTGGCACCAGGAGGTTTCCTGTGAGAAACAAGGCCTTGTCCACACCCAGTCTACATGACGAGGTCAGGTAGCGCTGTGGCCTCCCCTGTTCTGGGAGCACATGGCCCAGGTCACGCCAGTGACCGCAAGGGAACTTTTAGTAACAGGTGGGGCTATGGAGACAGGAGGACAGAGCATACTGCCTCTGGACACAGTCACTCAAATGTGCTTGGTTGTGTTTCCTGTCTCCGGCTTTGTAAAAATGAGCGTCATGGTGCACAGCTTCTGCAAGATGCTCCTCTTAAGAAACAATGAGTGGGGTATATTCCCGGTATGGCCATAGCACATTCTGTTCATCCATAACGAGACGTGCAGCACTGATGCCCGCTACAGCATCACGCACCCCGAAAGCATGCTAAGTGAGAGATGCCAGACACAAAGGCCACAGATTTATGACTCCATTTCAATGAACTGCTCGGGTAGGCAAACCCACAGAGACAGAAAGCAGGCTACTGGCTACCAGGGGCTGGGGGTTGAGGGAGGGGAGTGACTGCTTATTGGGTTCAGGGTTTCCTTTTGGGATGATGACCAAGTCCCAAAACTGGATAGATACAGCATCGTGATGTATCCAATGCTACAGAATTGTATTCTCTAAAATCATTAAAATGATAAATAAGAAAACACAATGGCATGGGAGGCTTTGAGGTTATTTTAAAAATACTTTGAAAAACAAAAACATATCCTATATCCATTCTTGGGTTCAAAGACCTTATACAATTTGTTTCTAGCCTGCAGACTTTTTAAATTTTATTGTAGCACTGGTAATTAAATTTACTTTTTAAAAAAATTTCAATAGTTTTTAGAGGAGCAGGTGGTGTTTGGTTACATGAATAAGTTCTTCAGTGCTGATTTCTGAGATTTTGGTGCGTCCATCACCCGAGCAGTGTACACTCTACCCAGTGTGTAGTCTTTTATCTCTCACCCCCTCCCTCCCTCTCCTCCGACACCCTAAAGTCCAATGTATCATTCTCTCTTCTGCCTTTGTGTCCTCATAGCTTAGCTCCCACTTGTGAGTGAGAACATATGATGTTCGCCATTTCATTCCTGAGTTACTTCACTTAGAATAAAAGTCTCCAATTCCATCCAGGTTCCTGCAAATATCATTATTTTGTTCCTTTTTATGGCTGAGTAGTATTCCACGGCATATGTATATATATATACCACAGTTTTTTTATCCGTTCATGGATTGATGAGCCCACAGACTTTGGACTAATATGCATTTTTCTATCCCATCACGCATCTGATGACATCCAGACAAAATGGCTGCAGGGAACATTTTGGAGGTCCAAGCACCCATTTTTCCCTTTAGCTGTGGGGAACTCATCTTGCCTGTGCTGTGCAGAGCTGCAAGAGGGAGGTAGCTCTGACGCCTGCTTCCCATTCAGGGGCCCGAGGGATGAGGGCAGCAGCTTCCTTCCTCCAGCCTGGCAGCCGGAGGGCCTGGCCTTGTTTGGGCACAATCACCTTGTCCCTTGGAGCTCTGCCCTCAGACTCTCATTCATCCCTGTGGGGGGCCCTGGCTATGGAACCCTCCCTGGGGCTTTTGAGGGCTTCTGTGCCTAAGTCTGATTCTCCAGTCTTCCCCCAACCCAGAACTTTCCAGAACTTCTGGTAAGTGATGCCCAACCCCTTTGCAAATTAAAATTCCTTGGGAAGCTTAAAAAATACTGATTCTCAAAGCTCAATGCCCAGAAATGTTTTTTTTTAACCAAATCATAGTGTTCTCTGGGCACTGGCATTTGAACAAAGTTTTGCAGGTGATTCTAAGGAATAGTCAGGGTTTAGACCACTGTTCCATAGAAATTCTTTTTTCCCTTAATGTAATTGGAATCAGGGTCTCTTGAATTGTAAACAAAGAGCCCTGACAGATTAGACGGGGTTCTCAAGGAACACTCATTGGGAACCTGTATACACGTGATTGTGTGTGGTTCAGGAAAGCCCTGGTTGGTTTTGGTTTCTTTGTCATTCCTTGGGAGTGATAAATATTGACATATTCACGCCAATAATTCATAGAGTGCAGCCTCCCTTCCCTGCGTAGCAGCCCCTGTTCGTCTCCTGAAATCTCTGGAAGCCTGTGCACCAGGTCTGCTGTGTTTATCCTGCGCCCTTTAACCGGCTTAAAGCACAGCCACAGGCTGAACAAATATTTAAGAGCTGCCTACACCACTCGTTCAGGGTCTCGCTTTGAGAGATAACATTTCAACAGGACCTCCGATCCCTTGTGATCAATAAAATAACTTCATAGCCAGTGTGTGGAATAGAATATGGGCTCTGAAGGAGAAAAGACAATCTTCTCCTCTTCAGTTCCATGGTGTAAGGATGGCTAATTTCAGGGATCCTGTAGCTGGGGCAGAGAATCACAGGCTGTCATTTCCCTGGGAAGCCCAATCAGACAGCATCCTAAATAACGCGTGTCAAATATACGGTGCTTAGTATGAGGAACAAGACGCGGAAACTGGCAAGTCAATCTATAAATCTCGTTTTCCTCGTTTAAAAATGTCATTCAATCTGGATTATGGCCTGGGTGCTTTGACGCATCTGGAGATATTTGTGAGTGCTAAAGTGAAGTTGAAAAATGTGTGTCTCGAGTGGTCTTTATCATGCCAGGATGACAGTGGTTCTGTGGCTCTTCTTCCACTGGATTCTGAGAGTGAGACATGAGAACAGGTTACCCTGGTGAGGGAGAGTTGGGTAGCAAAGCCCAGGAGTCTGTCCCCACTCCACCAGGCACCTGTCTACTGTGGTTCTCTGAACTCCAAAAAGTTCAAGGATGTTTTTTATGATGAACTACATTTTTAATTGATAGCTGTAATGAACACTTGAATTGGTTCCACAAGTGCAATCAAATGAAATGTGGGCTACCTCAGGGCATGGATTCCAGTTGAGGTATGATGTGAAATGCAAATGGACAGGTACAGGTACAGTAACCAAAGAAATAGATACAAGACATCCAGACTAAAGGTCTTTTGAAGCAATGACAGGATGATGGATGAGTGAGCATGGCTTTTCACGCAAGGATTATATTTCTAGATCCTGGAGGTTGGGATGAGCCTGTCTGCAAAGCTGACCATTCCAAGCCCACTAGCCATTGGAGTGTCTATTTTTAACTCTGGACTCACATTTTTCGGCTTCACTTTAGCACCCACAAATCTCTCCAGATGTGTCAGAGCACCCAGACCATATTCCAGATTGAAGGACATTTTTAAATGAGGAAAATGAGATTTATACACAATTATAAGTTCGAACACATCTCTTCAATTCTATGCTGTCAACTATGAGAGCCACTAGCCATGTGTGGGCATTTAAGTTTAAATTAAGTGAATTAACGGAATTAACATATTCAGTTCCTCAGTCCCAAGAGTCACAGAAGTGCTCTGTTGCCTTGTGTTTCTGGCGGCTCCTGTGTTGGAAAGCGCAGATCTAGAACCTTCCCAGCACCACGGAAAGTTCTGTTGCGCATCTACAGCTGCCCTCCACATCATGCCCTTTTGACTTCTACTCAGCATAAAATGGGCCGTTGCCAATGCAGGCAGAGTTTCTCATATGTAAATACTACTATCGCCTTTTTGTTCTGGTGTACACTCCTGTGTATACACACACGAGACGTGGCCAACGGCTCTCAGTGAGCTGATAGCCATACACCACTGGGCACTCAGTGGGCTGCATTTCTGTGTACACATGAGAGGTGGGATTAATAACAAGAGGCCCTCAGGATTACATCACTCTCAGCCCTCGCAACCATGAGCCTGGCAAAGCCATAGAGGGCTGTCGTGTTTATCCGTCTCCAGAGACTGATTTTGGATATAGCTTCAAGATCCCTTTTGGTAAGACCTCTTAGCAGAGACAAGACAAGAAGCAAGCCTCAAGTTGAAAGTATTAGGCTGGTGCAAAAGTAATTGTGGTTTGCCATTAAAGTTCATTGCAAAAACCGCAATTACTTTTGCACCAACCTAATAGACATTTCCCAAACAAGACTGATCTTTTTATTACCTCTAGCTGACGGAAATGCATTAAAATCATGGAGCCCTGTACTTGGCCTTGGGAGCCAAAACTCAGCTGGGTTCCAATCCTGCCCTGGAGCTCTCTTACTCAATAGGGCCCTGGATATGTATTAAACCATCCAAAGATGCATTTTCTCAGCTCTAAAATCAAGCAAATAATTGCTCAAAAGAAAGGCTGGCTGAGGAGAAGGTGCTCTTCTGGGAGAGCGGCTTGGGGAGCCGCTCACTCGGCACGCAGAGAGCTGGCCCCACCCTCCCTATGCTGAGCTCTGATGGAGGGCAGCCACGTGTCTGCTCACCCCTTTCTCTCTGCCGAACCTCTCTCTTCTCCGATGCTGATAAAATTTATGTTGAAGCGGCCGAGTTTCACAGCCAGGTCATTAGAAGTGCTGGCTTGTGGGTGGTGGGAGCCTACCTGGGTGGTGTTGACTCTGCGCAGCTGTGCAGTGCCCGAGAATTTCCTGAATCACAGATGCATTCGCTTTCTACTGCTGCTTTAACCAATTACCGCACACGTAGTGGCTTGAAAAACATGTATTTATTCTCATTTTGGAGTCCAGGAGTCTGACACGGTCTCACTGGGCTGAAATCAAGGCATCCGAAGGGCTGCATTCCTTTCTGGAGGCCCTAAGTGAGGGTCTGCTTTCCTGCCCTTCCCAGCTGCTAGAAGCCACCTGCATTCCTTGGTTGGAGACCCCTTCCTGCATCTTCACAGCCAGCCATGGTGGGCTGAGTCCCACATCCTATCTCTCAGACTCTGCTCCCAGGGACACAGTTCTTTCTCTGTGAGCCTCCTGCCTTCCTCTTCCCCATTTAAGGAGCCTGGGATGACACTGGACCTGCCCAGATAGGGCACTGTGATCTCCCTACTGTAAGGTCAGCTGAATAGTAGCCTTCATTCCCGTTCATCATGGAATCTCATCTATTCACTGGTTTGGGAGAGTAGAATGTGGACATCTTTGCATGCCCATGATTCTGATGATCACCTCTGAGAATAAGGTCATAACAGGCAAGCACATATCCCTGTGTTTCCCTTTACTGATTGTGGGTTTCACATGGGAAAGGTGGAGTTCTCAAGCTATCTCATGTTGTTTTTCCATAGTCTCCTTTGATTAGGGAGAAAGGCTGGCAAGTGAACCTACTGAGTCCTGTTTGCGTGCTGCCTCCTTGTTCCAGCAACACATCAAGATGATGCCTGTCCCAGAGCTCGCCTTTCAGCCAGGCTCAAAAGGAGACAGAGCTAAAGTGGGGGGTTATGGGTGTCTTCCCCTTGGTGCTCTATCTGGCTGTTTCTGGGTTTAAGGAACAGAGGAGGCTATGAGTTCTCTCTCTCCTAAGGTATCTTTCAGATCCTCTCACTTTTCTTTTTGTGCTCCTTGAGGAGGGCACTCTATTTGTGGTGCTTTGTTTATTAATTCTTTCCTTAGCATGGAATCTTCTGCAACAATTACATCATGGCTGATGACAAATAGCATTTGTCTAATGATACTAGTTTTCCAGTATGATAGTTAAGGAGATTATTTAATGAGGCTGAAGTCAATGTTACTTAACATTGCATTACTTAACATAACATTACAGCATTATTTAATACAACAAATTTTTAAGATGATGCCGGGGAATTAGGTGCATGGCTCTCATTATTGTTCATGGTTGTTGCATACCTAATTCCCTGCTCATTGCGCTGAAATCTCGGCACCAACTCCTCCTCCTATGGAAATGAGCTCACGAGCATCTGCACAGAACATACCGGCCGCAGGTGTAAATAACCGCGGTGATGTTTCTTTGTGTATGCAGAAATTAGCCCTGACCCCAATAGAGGGAACGCCTGCATATAGATTCAGTTTGACAATTAGTGGCATGTAAGGGTCATTACCAAGGAAATGAGGTAAACATTTAATTAGTTTTTATTGACTTTCACACTCAGGATGTAAATCTTGGGAGTAGGTAGGGTGCATCGCCTGCCAGGGTCTTAGCGCTGGGATGTACGCGTTTTAAGCAAGATTTATTCCTTCGGTGGCTGTGGGAGAAGGGACAGATCTGGGGGCAGTGCTGGAAGACGACTCAGGGATAACTGGCACACAGGGAAGTACACAGGGCTGTCTCTGACAGCCCACATGGCCTGCGGTGGACCCACTCTCAGATGGGAAGTAGTGATGTCGCCTGCAGAACTGGCTCTTTGGGATTTGGATATTTGGGAGGGGAGTGACTAGACCAGAGGACAGTCACTCCAATGTCCTCTTAATCTGAGCAGACAGCCTGGCCGTAGCATGTTAAAAAGTTGCCTGACCACCAAGATGAGCTCCACGAAGGCAGAGGGCAGGCTCACTGCCAGTTCCTCTGTGCTTGTTACAGTCCCTAGAACATAGCAAGTGCTTAAAAAATATTTGTCAGATTTCTGCCCAGGGCAGATTTCTAAAGATTGACATTTTGATATGGAAGTGGATGCTCCAAACCCTTTTGCCGGTAGGTGACAGAGATCTACCTGGGTCTGAGATCAACCTGACCACGTGGATGCAGGGTGGGGCCAGGAGCTTCCCAGTGGAAAAATGGCACTTGAGTAATGAGCAACAGGAAGCAGGTGAGTCACCTTTTACTGCAGGAAGGTCACCCGTGTCACTGGTAAAGGTGTGGAGATGGTCAAATTAAAGCCAGGAAGCCTGCCTTTCGGTAAAAGTTTTGACACTTGTAGTCTTATGAGTTTTGTTAAATATCTTCATTTTGATGAAGCTAATGGCATCTGCTCTGCCCATCTCACTGGACTTTTGTGAGGAATAAGTAGGATGGCAGGACTGTGTTTTGTCACTGTGTGCAGTGACACGGCTTAGGCGAAATGCACTATGATCTTGAGTTGTTCAATAAATGCAGAGCACCAAATTATATTACAATTTCAGCTAAACAGTCAAATTTGTTAGTGTAAGTATGTTCTGCATATATGTGGAGGCACACTTACATTTAAAAATTGTTTCTTGGCCAGGCATTGTGGCTCATGCCTATAATCCCAGCACTTTGGGAGGCTGAGGCGGGTGGATCACCTGAGGTCAGGAGTTCGAGATCAGCCTGACCAACAAGCTGAAACCCCATCTCTACTAAAAATACAAAATTTAGCCAGGTGTGGTGGCAGGCACCTGTAGTCCCAGCTACTCCAGAGGGTGAGACAAGAGAATTGCTTGAACCAGGGAGGTGGAGGTTGCAGTGAGCCAAGATTGTGCCACTGCACTCCAGCCTGGGCAACAGAGCAAGACTCCGTCTCAAAAAAAAAAATTGTTTCTTGCATGAAACCTACATATACCAAGAAATTATTTGTTTATCTGATCTTCAAATTTAACTGGATGTCTTTTTTTCTTTTCTGTTAATCCTGGGAACCCTACCTTGATAGTGACATAAGACAAGCACGTTTGACTCTAATGCACATTGTTCCTCTGTCTTCTTTCTTCTCTAAGTGCCAGGGAGGGTGGTGTTCTCTGCACTGGAAGCCTGGCTGTGAAGCTGGCCAGCCTGGCTCAGGGAACCCACAAAGCTGTCCCTCTGACACTCAGCCTGAGCAGAGAGATAGGCTTCCACATAAGACAGGCCCAAAGATGAGTCATTTTCCACATGGAAAGGTATGGAAAGGTCAAGAGGATGCTAATTAAATATATTCAGCCATGAAGGCAATGAAGGAAGGGAGAAGAGATTGTTTTCCAAATCCCAATTCCCAAGTTTGGGAGGAATTTTTGTACAATGTGAAGAAAATCATTTGAGACTCAATAAAGGAAGTGTGATTTCATGCAACTGGAATTAGGCACATGGAAATGATTAAAGGCCCAAAGTACACACAAGCACATAAAGAATTCCAGCTCCTTCATGTGTTTATGGACATTTATTGGGTGTTTTGTGTGTGCCCCAATGTGGCTGGCCCTAGAGGTGTGGAGCTCACCTGCCACTCACTAAGACCCGGGAGCTACAGGTATGTAAGGAAGATGTCAAACCTCAGAGATATGAACAAAGTGCTGATTCTGCCTGAGATGGTTAGGGATGGTTTCCCTAAGCTATGACTGTATCTGCATCCACACCTGCACCTGTACCTGAAACTGCACACCTACATCTGTACCTGCACCTACACCTGCATCTAAATCTACATCTACAGCTGCGTCTCCACCTGTCCCTGCACCTACACCTACATCTACACCTGAATCTACACCTGTCCCTGCACCTACACCTACATCTACACCTGAATCTACACCTGTACCTGTACCTACACCTGCATCTACACCTGTGTGTACGCTTGTACCTACACCTGTACCAACATCTATACCCGCACCTACGTCTACTCCTGTACCTGCATCTACACCTGTGCATACACTTGTACCTAGACCTGCACCTACATCTACATCTACACCTGCACCTGCATCTACATCTACACCTGCACCTACATCTACATCTACACCTGCACCTACATCTACGCCACATGTACACCTATAGCTACACTTATACCTACACATGCACTTGCCTCTACATCTACATCTACACCTGCACCTACACCTGCACCTACACCTGCATCTACACCTGCACCTACACCTGCACCTACACCTGCACCTACACCTGCACCTGCATCTACACCTGCACCTGCACCTACACCTGCACCTGCACCTACACCTGCACCTACACCTGCACCTGCACCTACACCTGCACCTGCATCTGCACCTACACCTGCACCTGCATCTACGCCACATGTACACCTATAGCTACACTTATATCTACACCTGCACTTGCCTCTACATCTACACCTATACTTGCACCTACACCTACACCTATAACTACACTTGTACCTACACCTGCACCTGCATCTACACCTACACCTGCACCTGTATTTACACCTGCATCTACATCTACATCTGCATCTGCACCTGCAACTAAACCTGTACCTGTACCTACACCTCCATCTACATTTACATCTACATCTACATTTGCACCTATTCCTGTACCTACCCCTGTACCTGCACCTGTACATGCACCTACACCTGCATCTACATCTGCACCTGCATCTGCACCTATATCTACATCTGCATCTACACCTGAACCTATGTCTTTGCCTGTATTGCACCCACACCTGTACCTACACCTACACCTGCATCTCTACCTACACCTATACCTGCAGCTACAGCTACATCCCATCTGCATCTGTACCTGTCTCTGCACCCACACCTGTACCTACACCTATACCTGCAGCTATTGTCCTCTATATGTGGACAGATAGCTATCAAAATTTATAAGCATTAAAGATGTGACTTTCCAAAGTGCATACATACATGTAACCATGTCCAGACCCAGATGCAGAACATGGCCCAGAAGCCTGTCTTCTGTCAAGGTGACATTTAACTTGGATATTGAAGCATGGATAGAAACCAGCCACTGAATGAGAGTGGGAAGAGACGTGTGGTGGAGAAGAGAAGAAATAAATTAACCTCTAAGCAGTTAAGTGACTTGATGAAGGCCAGGCACTAATTCTAACGCAGTTAGTGGCTGGTTGCCAAGGTGATGCACCCCACTGCTACGCTGTGCTCTGTCAGCTGGGGTTAGGGGTGGCTGCTGATAAGAGGCATACCCTTCCCCCACCCCAAAGCAGTGGCTTAAATAAGATTAATGTTGATATCCCCCAGGAAGAAGAAGCATCCAGGACATGGCAGAAAATAGCAGTTCCAAGGTGTCGTCTGAGGTTCCAGCTCCTTTTTTTGCCCTTGCCTCCAGCACATGGCTGCCATCTTCAGGATCAGCGCATGGTCCGGGGGGACTGCTGGAGTCACAGCCTAGGCTGGAAGAAGGAAGGACAACACAAAGTCTATTCGGTTGAGTCTTTCAGCTTTCCTCGAAGTCCCATGTGATTCCTTTTGCTTGTATCCCTTTAGAAAGGACATAGCCAGATGACCAGGTGAAAGTGTGTGGCTACGAATGTCAGGGTGCTCCCAGGGAGGACGTGGAGAGTGTCTGAGGGACCCATGCCCCACATCCCATCTCATTCATTTCTGAGGAGGAAATTCTGGCAAACCAGATCAGGCCAGTGGCAAGGATTTTGGAATGAGAGACAGTCATCTAAGTGAGAGTTGGTATTTCCATAGCAATGGTGGGGTTAGAGAGGGTAACATGGCACACAAGACATTTCTGGGGCAGATTTGGCAGAATTTGGTGACTAGAGATACTCGGTAGCAGAGAAAGATGTGATGTGTTTAAGTGTGGGAGACGGGGTGGGTTGTGAGGCCTTTAGTTGGAAGTGAAGCGAAGGAGTTTGAAATGTCTGCAGGGCTTTGAGGTGATGGTGGAGTAGGGAGTTGTGAACAGCAGGAAGTCAGGAGATGGTCTAGAATGGGACAGAGCCGCCTGGGAGTTGACAGTGTATCAATAATTCCGGAAACCACTGCAGGGGTGAAGTCCTCCAAGGAGACAGAGGCTGGAAGAGGATCGTAGAGGCACCAGGGAAGGACCATGGCAAGGACCACTATCTAAGAGGCCAGTAGAATCTCACCAGACAAGTGCAGGGTGGAGACGGGGAGAGCCCAGCCATAGAAGTCCAGGAGGAGAGAGTTCCACAAAGGGGCAAGATGCTGGGGTCCACAAACCATTCCCCACCAAAAGGAGTCAGGGCTCCAACAGGACCCCATGCGTGCAAGGGCTGGAACAGGACAGAACACAAAGAAATGGGAACATCTTGATATGACAAAGATAAAGAAGTGTCTAAAGTTGTAGAGACAGAACAAAAGGACACCAGAGCCAGCTCAACGGGGCTCCCACTGGCCAGGGCTTAGAGCAATTTTAGCATCAAAATAAAAGCTATTGGAATAGGTTATATGTTATCAAATAAGAAAAAAAGAGAAAGAAATCCATGAGTCCGCACTCAGATAAACAAACACACAAACATTTGAAAAACTTAGGTTACATGGGAAAGCTCCTTTTTACAGAAGAAACACCAACAAATAAATGTAGAGGAATAAAAGACATTGTAAATCACTGCTTTACAGCCACCATAATAATTACTGATTCAGGCAAAAATCTTCAATGGATGTTGAAATCATTGGGTGGAAAATGACGTTGAAGAGGCTCTCCATGCCGCCTCAAAGTCTAGCGCCATAACTTATTATTAATTACTAAGGCAAAATATCACTTAATAAAAGAGAAAATGCCAGAAACCCCCTTCACTGAATGATCAAACTTAACATAATGAATAATGGGACAAGGTAGCTTCATGCATCCTCTAAGGGGTGCACTGGGAAGGGACACACCCTGCGCAGAATTCAAACCAAGAATGATTATCCTGAACCACATCACCAGGAAGAGATCAGAGAAACACACTTGAGGAATTGTCTACAAAATAACTGCCCTGGACTCATCACAAGATCCATGCCAAGAAAGACAAAAAATAAAAATAAAGTCAGGAGAACTGTGCCAGATTACAGGGGATTAAGGGAATCTTGCAACTAAAGGCAATTCGTCATCTTTAATTGCTCCTAAAGGTTTTCTAGAATAAAAAATAAAATGGTTGTAACAGGTGTTACTGGGGCAATTGGAGAAATTTGATTGTATTTTATTCCAATCTATTTTAGATCATAAACTTATATAACTGTTGTGCCTTCTGTGTGTGATAACAGTGTTGTAGCTGTCTTTGTTCTTGGGACATACCTGTTGATATATTTAGTAATGAAGTGTCCTGACGGCTGCACCATTCACACGGTTCAATAAAACAGAATATACCATAAAACCATATGGATGAATCTCTGTGTGTACGTGTGTGTGTGTCTTGGTGTATGCTCATTATACTTGCCTGGGAACTAATGTGTAGGTCTGAAATTTTTCAAACTAACAAGTTGTGTGAAAAGAAGAGGCACATGTACCCAATGTCAAATACTCTGGATGTGTTTGTGAATCTGTGTGAATCTATATCACTACATAACCATCCTGATATTTGAACTGATCCTATGGAAATGAGGGCACATTCTCATACAGATGCATGCTTATGGTTCTTTTTTGTGTCAAAAACAAATAAAAGAGTCCAGAAACAAACTGACTATCCGTCCATCAATGATTTTAAAAGTGGGCCATTTATAATGTGGAATTTTATGCAGCTATTAAAAAGAATGCCTCCTGGCGGAATGATGGGCCAGATGTAAAAACTCCCCCCACCAAAAGCATCTAAAAATGCTAGGTTAAACACACACACACACACACACACACACACACATTAAAATGCAGGATGTGCCAGCAAGAAAGTAAGCTGCACTTGGAAGCCAGCAACTGATTATTACTGGGAACCCAAGGAGGTGACAAGCACAGGAAGGCTGGCTCTACCTTGAGGGCATTTGACAACCGAGGACATTTGAGCTTCAGTCTTGAGCCTCCAGGGGCTCAGGGGAGAGACAGGAAAAAGCTCAGCATCTGTCCAAGGTGGTGAGTCTAACAGGAGCTCTTCCCAAGTAAAACTGGGTCCCCAAAGGGCTACAACCTTACTGTAAGGTGAAGTGGAAATAAATCCACCCCTCAGGGGACTGGATGACCAACTGTCTGTCTCAAACCTTGAGGAAGATTCGAGAGGGAAAATCTACCCCGAAAATTTATAGCCTGAGAAATCAGCTTTATGGACTGAATTTACATTACCACCAAGTCTGTAAAACTGCAAACTGAGAATTTAGTTTAAAGTAGTCCTGGCTGATAATGTCCTGGGGAACCTGCAGAAGCAAAAGGAGATAATTTCACCTTCAATACAGATGGCAGGGAATTCCCATAGATGAAGCTCCAAATAAATACAAACTCATGCAAAAATTATAAACTCGTAGCAAAACTAGGCACCGTGAACAAGAGCTATAGAAAACAACAGATGGTTTAATAACTATGTGAAATGTTTGATATTAGCATTATCAGGTGCAAAATATAAAATAGGTATGTTTAGTTGGTTTAAATAAATAAAGGACTGAAAATATGAGAAAAGTGCAAGAGAATATGAAACTATCAAGCAAATTACAAAAAGAGCCAATTACAAGTGTAAGAAAAACCCCACAAAGATAAGGATGAGAATGAAAACTCAACAGATGGGTTTAATAGCAGATTACACACAGATAAAAGAGAATTAGTTTACTGAAATATGTATCTGAGAATATCATCCAAAACGCAGCCCAGAAAGATGAAAAAATGAAAAAAAAATGTGAGAAGAACACTGACATGAGGCATGGACTGAAAAAATACAATGTATCCACTGAGAGTTCCAGAATTGGGGGAGCAGGTAGTAGGGACAATATGTGAAGATACAGTGGCTAGAATTTTTCAGAACTGATGGAAGACACCAATTCACAGATTCAGGAAGTGCAATTAATCCTAAACGAGAAAACAAAGAAACAAACATGCATTTAGACATATTTTAGTGAAAATGCAGAAAATGCATTTAGTAAAAATGCACTAAACTGCATTTTAGCGAAATGCAGAAAACTAAAGATAAGAGACCATCCTCAAGCACCTAGAGAGAAAAGGCAGGTTGCTTAAACTCTCAGACAATTAGGCAGCAGTAATCGGCTTCTCAATAGCAACTGCATGTATTCTCTACAGCCATTTTTTTTTTTTTTGAGAAGGAGTCTAGCTCTGTCGCCCAGGCTGGAGTGCAGTGGTGTGATCTTGGCTCACTGCAACCTCTGCCTCCCAAGTTTAAGCAATTCTCTTGCCTCAGCCGCCTGAGTAGCTGGCATTACAGGCAGGACACCCAGCTAATTTTTGTATTTTTAGTGGAGACAGCGTTTCACCATGTTGGCCAGGCTGGTCTTGAACTCCTGACCTCAGATGATCTGCCTGTCTCAGCCTCCCAAAAGTGCTGGGATTACAGGCATGTGCCACCATCCCCAGCCCAGAAAAAACATTATGAAATTTGAAAAAGATGCCATTATCTGCCCAGGCTCTGAGCTTGTGGTCTATATATTAAAAGGCACATGAACAAGAGGTAAAGAGATGGAAGACTCACTGATGGTGAATTGAGGTCTTCTCCTTGAGTGGTCAAAGTATTGAATAAGATGCATTGTTATTTAACACTCATACTTGTTGCACCAAAATTAACGCTGGGACCACCTGTGTGACCCTGATTGCTTGCGAAACCACCCAGGGTGTTTCTGAAAAGCACCCATGCCTGGAGGTCAGTCCCAGGCGTTCCAGCTTCTTTGGTCTGGGGTGGCACCCAAGCACCAGGCTGTTTTCAAAGGTCTGCACCGAGTAGAGATCCTTCCTCAAACATGCTTCAATGTCTGTCATTTTGTGTATGTATGTGATGGCGATTGAAACCAGCAGGCTCAGTTTACAAGATAATTCTCCCTGTATTATCCACTTTAAATCCATTCAGCAAGTGTTTCCTGAGTGCCTACGAGCAGCATAGCTCTGTGTTCCAGAGAATGAGAGAATGAGCTCTCCAGCAAGAGATGAAGAGGGCTGGAGCTCATGGATGTTTTGAAACCTGAAAAATTATATCAGGAAATTACTAAGTGTATGTGCATTACAGAAACAAAAGAGGCCATAGTCATAGCCCATGTTCCTCCAAGGCCTGGGTTTTTTTTCCCCTGTGGTAGAGGAATGCCATTTTACTAAGCATTCTATGTGTCACCATGGGCCATGGGTCTCCTTTTAGAGCAGAAATCCCTAACGCCTGCTCTAAAGGTCACCCTTAGTCCACTTGCCATGGAGGTCTAGAGAGGGCACACATGCAAGAGAGAGGCGTGACTACAGACATGGAGAAGAGGCCTTGGCCTCAGGCAAGAGTAAAGACTGGCTGGGGCTGGCTTCCCATGTAAAAGATCATCCCAAGCAAAATATCAGCACCAGCCAAGAGAAAGGTGGTTTTGAGTGACAATGAGTTTGGTTGTGGCCACTGTTATTCCAGCAAAACGCTGACTGAACCTGGGTGCTGTAGACCCAGTTGCAATCTATGCTTTTCTGTCAGGACAAATGAAAATGACTGCCTGATCTTTAAGTGAATATAATTTTCAAGAGCCCATAAGGTATTATTGGTTAAACAGAATAAAGGCATAGTAAATTTCCCTGCAGGAAACAGTGCCGTTATTCTTTTCCAAGGAAAATAAATACTAAATTCTAAGTGGTATTTTTGGATGTATCTATTGAGTAGCTAAATCAGCCAGTCCTCCCCTCCATGGTGTCTCGTATGCGTGACAGACAGCCTCTGAATTGCTGCATGCAATGGGTAATTTTGCCATTCACAGCCTCAGTCTGCTCATTTAGCATTAGGAAATCTCAATACTTTTGTAAACGACTTAAAATATTTGACATGTATGTCTCAGTCCCTGGAATACTGTGGAGGTTGTAGAAAGAAATCTTTATCAAAAACTCAGCTTTTGAGGAACACTGAACAGGGTGCTCCAAGACAAGGAGAAAAGGTATGTGAAGTAACCGATGCAGGCAAATTTGAGTGCCGGCTCGCCTGTCCTGTTGCAACAAATTTGTCATTACACACCTGGACATATCTTCGGAGGCAGATGAAATAACAGGAGGGCAGCCGTCTCTGACTCCTCTTTAGCAGATAAAGCCTCTTGTTACTGAGGTATGCAATGCCATGATTTCCACTAATGATTCCCATGGAAGTCCAGTGGACCTCGCCACAGATGTGAGCAGGATCATTACAGCTACCACCAGCCCTGCAGATCAGCTCCATTCCAGATGAGGCGTCACTTTTTGCCAGTGATTTTGAGATCCAAGAACTGAAGCAACATCTTGGGAACTGGAGTCAATGGGGGTTGGAACTGCATATGCTTTCATAACTTAGAGGTTGAGATCCCATTGGAACTGCATGCTTTTATAACTTACGGGCTGAGATCCGAGACGTGTCCCTGAAGAATTGCATAAGATGGGCGGTCCGCCTGCAGTCAAAATAAAAGGAAGTCTCAGTGGCAAACAGTACAATTCCACCATGTGCCAAAATGGCTGCACCCCCAACTTTGGTTCCCACTCTATCTAGGTAGAGGTGACTAAGGAGAAGAAGGTAGCAGTGAAACAATAAAATTATTTTTAAAGGCCCGGATTGCTTAGCTTCGATTAAATTAGATGTGTTCTTATCAGAATGACAGGAGACACAGGGTCATATTTTCCTCAGTGACCAGGAAGAAGGGAGGATGAACTTTCCCAGGGGGTCCCAAATTGCGTATTTGACTCCTTGGTTACTCTTTGCAGACTGAAAACCAAGTTCACTCTGGTTTAAACAATCAGTGGAATATATTGGCTCATATACCTGAGGATCCTGAGTTAATGGCTGGTGTGAGGGGCCTCTATAGTGACACTGAGGGCTCATTTTGTTTCTATCTCTACTCTGCTTTCGAGGGTCAGCTTCATTGCAAAGCCATCTGCCCTCAGGATCCCATGATGGCTGCATCTCCTGGGGACAATTTCCTCTCTGCCCCTGTCTTCCTGGAACACCCTCAGGTTAATTTGATGTGAACTGGCTCAACATCTGACCCGAATTCTATTGCCAGGGTGCTGGAGCTCACAGATGGGTTTAGCCAGTTTCACTCACTGCTCCTCTGCTGGAGCCTCAGGTGGGGTCAGGTGCCTGGCCGCCGCATGATGCTTCCAGAAACCCAGAGCTCTGGGAAAGGAGTATGATCAGACGGGTGGTAAGGCACATGTCAAATATCTCATAGAGGTTGTAAATGTTACTAACATTTTATTTTTTTTTCCAGGTGAGAACATTACAAACACCAGGACTCAAACCAACAATAACCCACAACAGTAATGGCAGCAAACATGCAACCGCATTCTCCTTTTCCCACTACTGCCTAAGGAAAAGCTTATTTCAGCACCCCCAAAGTAGGAAGGACACAATTTCAGGATAAAATTATAAATAAGTAAGTAAATATATAAATAAAGTACATCAATAGGTAGATAGAATTAGCACTTAAAAATAATTCCTACATTGTTTTATTTTATTCAGTTTGTGTCTGCTGAAAAGTTCATCAAAGATTATCATTGGTTCTCTGGTGTTTGGGACCTGTGACCTGTAAGCTTTCCACTCAGGGAGGCTGTAGCGTGTACATATATTGCTAAGTTCGTGGGCCCAGGCATTAATAGGGGGAGTTGTAGGCCTAGTGCCACCACTCATCAACTAACTGACCTCGGACAAAATATTAAAATTCTTGGTGCTTAAACTTCCTCGACTTCACATGAAGAGAATGGAATGGATGTGGAGGAGATGGCAATGAAGATGAAATGAGACCATGTGTAGCCATCAAGGCAGAACATGGCCTGCCCTCTGAATGATTGTTAGTCTTTGTTAGTTACTATGTTTTCATGCTACCACTAAGGAATAGGTCCATTTTACCAGCTGCCTTGTAGGTACTCTTCCAAAGATACACAGAGAAAAGCCCAGCTATGAAAATACCTTTGTGCATTACAAGAAAGTCCTCTTCATCTGCATGTCTGGTTATGTCAGTGCGGCCCAGATGGTCTGTGGTTGATTGACTGCAGCTGCCCCAATCCTCCCCTGCACTTTTATTGGTGCCCTTTTCAAAATGACTCTAGAGCCCAACCCATCTAGAGATAGAGTTTGTTTCCTTTTCCCTTGAATCTGGGTTGCTCTGTGACTAACAGAAGTGGAGGAAGGGGTCGGGCATAGTGGCTCACGTCTATAATCCCAACACTTTGGGAGGCTGAGATGGGTAGATCATCTGAGGTCAGGAGTTCAAGACCAGCCTGGCCAACATGACAAAACGCCATCTCTATTAAAAATACAAAAATTAGCCGGGCGTGGTGGCGCATGCCTGTAATCCCAGCTTCTTGGGAGGCTGAGGCACGAGAATTGCTTGAATCCCGGGAAGTGGAGGTTGCAGTGAACCAAGATCATGCCACTGCACTCCAGCCTAGGCGACAGAGTGAGACTCTGTCTGGAAAAAAAAAAGGGGGGGGGTGGAAGGAATGATGATGTACCAGTTCCAGGCTTGCTGGGTGATGAGAGACAACGTGGAGGAGACCAGTCCAGGCGAAGCCCTCCTAGAGCAGCCGTCCCCACAGACTGCAGCAAATCCAGCCCAGACCAGCCTAGAGCCTGCCAGGAAACCCAAGTCTTGTGAGTGATCATAACTGATTATTGCCTTGAGCCACTTATGTTGGAGTGGTTTGTTACACAGCAATAGTTAACTGATACAGAAACTCACTTTTGCATTTTCTCATATAAATAACAATTTACCAAGTATGAAATGCAATTATACCTGACTTTTCACCATATGTACTCCTGGAAAGATTCTGTTTACTGGATTTGTAGAAAGAGGGCTGCCATTCTCTCTGTTGTGCTTTCAATACACCATCCTCATCCTCATCTTTTTTTTTTTTCTTTGCAGTGGGTTGGGGGTGGGGGCATTGTCTCCAAACAGTATTCACTGGTCTGAGTCTAGATTTTTTAATGTCTGAGAGGATTTCATGCATGGAAAGAACACTCACCAGCACCGCCTAACAGCTTTTGGAACCTTTAGTTGATAATGTACAATGTTCTAAACATTTTACGTTTAATCTTTATAATCTTCTAAGATGAGTGCTGTTGATGCCACCCCCATTTTGTAGATGAGGAAATAAGGACAAGTGTTGACATTTTGCTGCAGCTGCCTTACCATTTCCCCTGTGTCTAGCTGGCTTCTCTACAGATTACGTCTCATTTCTCTTAGACGGGCCCTGCCCCGCCAGTTGCTGCCATGACTGTGATTGGATGAAGAGCTGAGCTGCCATCCTGTAGGAGGCACCATGTTCTGCCTGAGTCTGATCAGGTCTCGTGACAGCCAGCCCTTCTACACCCAGTATTTTCTGCAGGCTGGATGTTAGGTCCGGGGCCCTCACTTGGTTCAGGTAAACACGTTTTGGTGTCTACTTTGATGATGATACCATCTTTGTACATCACGTGTGTCACATCCTGACACACACGTCCAGCTGCTTCACCATGAGGGATGTTGTTTTGTCACCGGGTTGTGGTAAGCGCAGTCAGATTCCTCTGCTTTATAACTATATTTTCTCCTACTGACCCGCAAGTAATCTGTGGAGTTATAATCTGGCACCAACACATCTCCAATTCCTCATCAACCTTTCACAGATGGCTTTGCAAACTTTATAATAACTTTTCCCATTTTGAGTAGCATTATAGACCTGTGGTTTTAAACAAAGTGACTAGTCCTAATTACCCATAATTATCACTCTCTTGATGATGGTTACATTGGCATAATATGTCCACTGGGAGCCTCTTGGGCTAGCTTTTTTGTTCTTTTGATATGATTCCCAAAAAATTTGGAAATAATTACTGCTTTCTGGCAATAAGATGTACCAGAACCATCTCCACTTTCCTCTTCCTGGGACATCAAATCAATTTCTCCCTGAGGAGCTCTGACTCATGTTATTATAGACTAATATTTAAGATAAAAACCTAGAGGACTGGAAGATGTACCAGGCTGTCTCGTGGGAATCTTTGTGGCTCCTTTACAGACAGAGATGGGGAAGGTACTTAGTATTTAAAGCATGAGTTTGCGATGTAACCATTGCATTACTAGACCTTTCAAACAAACTGTATCCTAATGTTGAAAAAGGAAATATTTTTGCCTTCTAATATGCTTACCTGAATGTTTAACTGTAATTGTGATTATAATTCTTACATACGCTGTGACCACCACCCTGGGGTCCCCTTGAGGTAGGAAGTGGGGCTCAAACTCTGGAGCAGATTGAAGAGTGGCTGAAACAGGGGAGAGGTGAAAGCACCTTTCCATAAGACTGCTAACCAGTGCCATGTCAGTTTACCATTGCCATGGCAACACCCAGAAGTTGCCACCCCTTTCCATGGCAATGACCTGGAAGTTACCACCTCTTTTTCTAGGAAATTCTGAATAACCTTTTCCTTACTTTGCATGTCATTTTAAGTGGGTATAAAGCTGCGGCTGTGCACACACTGCCTAGGACATGGCCCTGCTCTGCAGGGGCAATCACAGAGCTGTAACGCTGGGCCTCAGTGAGGCTGTTTTCTTCTACCACCAGCTTGCTCTTGAATTCTTTCCTGGGCAAAGCCAAGAACCTTCCCAGGCTAAGCCCCAGTTTTGGGCTTGCCTGCCCCCCAACAGCCTTGCCGACCACCTGGCCTGTTTCCCTCTTAACTGAAAGCTCTCTCCTCCTTCCTCTGTTGTAGAAAACCACTTGACGCAAAGTCACTTTGTGCCAGCCCTGGAGCTATGTTCTGGGCATAAGCATGAACAAGACAGACACAGATGCTGGACTTCGTGAAGCTTATAATTTAGAGGCAGACACATAGCTAAGCAGTTACAGTGCAGTAGGACGAGGGCTGTGCGAGCCATGTGGAGCTGGACCAGACTCTGAGCAGGAGCTAGAGGTCGGGAAAAGGGGCCATTTCCTCCGGCTCCCAGACTCCCCTCCTTCCTTCCTGTTCTTCTGCTGTTTCTCGCTCTGCCTGCGTTGATGACCTCCCAAGTGCCAGCTCTTACCCAC
Source organism: Homo sapiens (assembly GCF_000001405.40). Taxonomy (NCBI): domain Eukaryota; kingdom Metazoa; phylum Chordata; class Mammalia; order Primates; family Hominidae; genus Homo; species Homo sapiens. The sequence goes on along the minus strand of NC_000020.11, from coordinate 61,206,398 downwards.
AGACTGCTCCTTTCTACCTGCTGGCCCCGATCCTCACAGTGGGGAGTGAGGGCTCAGTGCCATGTGGTGGCCCTGATGGGGTTGGGCGGGGCATGTTCTCGAAGATGGGGCCGTGACTGGGGAGCTAGTGGTGTGTTGTCTCTAAAATAACCCCTCCACGCCGGTGGTCTGGAGTCAAAGGGCACTCGGTGAGGTGGACGATGCTTTCACACCTGGGCCTCCCCGCTACCCACTTCCCGCTCCATTCCCAAGCCCCACTTCTGATGCTAGGCCCCTGATTGTGCTAGGACAAGTGCCCTGGCTTCCTGGGGCTGGGGGGGGGGGGGGGGCGGGGACACTGTCCTTCAGAGGGTGCTGTTTTCCTACAAGGATGCTTTAGAAGTGAGAAGACTCAAGAGGGATGCCCCAAGGCCATCATGACTCAGGTGAGATCATGGAACCTCTGTTCCTAGACAGCCTCAAGAGGACAATGAATGCCTCCCGGATGTTTCTGGTTATGAATTAAATAGGTACATGAGTATGACAACTATTCCCTAAAGAGGGTTTCCTATAACTGATTGACCCGTGGTTCCAGCGTTTCTAAAGTTGCTCTTTGGACATCCGAGATGACCCATTTTTCCTTAAAACACAGATCTTATCAGTTAATGGACTCATGTCAAATTTTTAAGATGTTTTCAGTGAGATGTTTAGTTTTAAAATTATTTAGTTTTTACAATAGAAATTTCTTATACCTTATATTAGGAATACAATACAGCAAAAAATAACTCGCAAACCTAAAGAACACAACCCATCCCCAAACTAAGGGAACCAAACCATGTCTAACCAGAATAAAAGGAGGGGAAAAAGTCAGCGATAAATATGCCACTCAATAGATGGTGTTCCAGTGATTGAATAACCACAGCTGCACAGATGCAAAAACAAGATATTTTTCAGAAACAATTACCCTTCAAGTGACTTGATTCTGAAGAATTTGCTCAAAAAAGAGTCAATCAGAAATAAAACAGCTGCTTTTAATGGGGGTGGGAGGAGGAAGTTGCCTTTTGGAATAACTTCTAAAGCGGGGAGAGGACCAGGGGAGGGCAGGACACACCTGGGCTGAGCTCTACGCTGCAGCCGTGGCAGCCGTAGCTCATCCTGTGATCCACATGCCCTGACCATGTGGTGGGAGGATTCAGAGCTGCCATGCTGGGGTGATCCTCATGATCCCCCCTCATCCTCCTGATGAAACAGCAGATTCAGGAACACTAATTTTCTTAAAGGCTTTTAAGTCCAAGTTCAAATGCTGAAAGTCTTTTTCTTGGGTACCTGAGTCGCAGTTGGACTGGGATTCAGGAACAGGATCCCAGGGAGTTGGAACTGCTGGGCCATTTCTTTTTAATTCAATAATGGGAAGTTAAATCCCACTGCATGCATGCCATGTTGACGGAAGGTGAAGCATTCACTTCATTTTTGTGTCATTCCTTGAGGGCCTAGCTGCTGGATGGGGATCTGAGAAGCTAGGCACCAAAGGCTGCTATAGGGGGTCTGAGCTGCTGTGGATTGAGCGCCAACTACATGCTAGGCAGTTTGCTGATCTCAGGTCATCTTCAACCCTAGGAGGTGGAGATCAGTGCTACAGGAACATGGAGACAGGGCTCTGAAAGGCTGTGAAACTGGTGAAGGTTCAAAACAAGTCATTGGCAGACTTGAGGGATGGAGCAAGACAGTCTAACTCCAAGACCAGAGAGTTAACTTCCACACCCTTGGGCTGTGCAGAGCGCCTCTCTCCAAGTGCACAGAGCTCGCATTTGCTCACCCTGAGCCAGTATCTTCAAATTTTGTCCGCTGCTCCCTTTATGCTAGTAAACTTGCTCAGCACGCTAGGTTTCAGCCTAGGTTTCTCTCCAGATAAAAACAGTCTGTACCAGATCTTCCGGGGAACTGGATCTGCTTAGCTCATGGTGCATAGAACTCTGAACAGCTTGCCAGTCTCTTCGCTGCAAACAGGACTGTTTCCTCGAGTACACATATTCCCATCTGAATCTTTGAATCATTTTCAGCATCATGCTGGAACTGCGTGTAGAAAGGGGAGAAAGCAGCAGTTGATTTGGATCCGTGGGTGTTTTCCAAACCCTGCACCCATGCCGTTGATCAGCAATGGGATTTCATTTTCCCTCCAGAAGACATTATATACAGTGCTACATAAGGGTGCATTCCTAAAATTTCCTTACTTAAGAAATCACATCTTTCTTCCAATCATGCACTTGCCAAATTTCAATATTAATTGTGTGCAGGTCTCTTTTCAGGCCACAGGATAATTATGCCTATTTATAATTTATCATCATTGTTTCAACAATGCCCCTATCACTCTCTAGTTAAGTGTTTTGCCTCAAGCATAAAGAAGCTAAACAAAGACATTCAAAATGTTGGCCAAAAACACCCATCTAAGAACATATGATATGGTAAGAAATACGTCTGCAGTACTCTACCACGCTCTCACTTTCCTGTTCACAGCATGCCAGAAAGGAATTGTCTGTCCTTTTCCAAGCCACACTTTCTAATCATGAAAGTGGCTAGAAACTAGCCCATCCCACCCCTTTCTTTGGGTTTCTTCCCAGTTTGTTACAACAAACCCTAGTCTATTGATAAAGCTCACAGAAGACAGGTTGGATCCGGGGTCCTGCTGCATAAACAAGGTAAAAGAAGGAAGTACACAACCTTGGTCTAAGGAAGAGTGAGCCCCTCAAAAGGCATAAAGGAAATCAGGTGACCCTTCCCACGGCCAGGACATGCAAGCTGATTTTCCAGAAAGAGTAGCCCTGGGCGGGAAGGACCCCAGGTGGTGCTGAATTCTGGAGGAGGCTGGTCTGTCTTGGACACCTTCCAAAAAGTTAATTACCAGAAGGTCACCATGGAAACACATTCTTAACTCTGAGCAGTGCCCGTGTGGGCTAGTAACTTGTGGGGAGCAGATGCAGCTTCTGTCTATTAAATCAAGGTTGTGGAGTTCCACCTCAGTAAGGCAGCCTGATGGGGAAGCTGTGGTCCCATAGTATGCCACACCGAGGCCACATCGAAATTAGACTGTATCAGAGAACAACCACGCCCAGGACAGCTCCCGCCAAGACCTCGCAGGCTCAACACGGTCCATCTCTCTGTCTTCCTCAGCACCCGTCCTTCTTTGCCATCCTCTTCTTTTTTTTTGTATCCTATAGCCTGTGCTTCCTCCCTCTCTTATTAAACAAGAAATATTTACTGAGTTCCTAGATGTGGCAGGTACTTGCTGTGTCCTGGAATAAAGAGATGCCCCAGAGACAGAGTCCCTGCCCTCTAAATGCTGGACCTCAGTGAAGGACAAGCAACAGCCACATAAACAACAAATGCTGTGAACCTGTTCGTGCAGGCTCCCTGTCTTGGCATCCACCCTGCAGTAGCAACTTCCATGAGTGCTTATGAAGTGTGAGCCCTGAGACAGGGAACATGGGGTGCCGGAAGGGAGGGGTGGGGGGGCGTGTCATGTGTGCACCTGCACAGGAGTGAGTGTCTCTGTGTGGATGAGTGTGTGAGTGTGTGCCTGAGAGCAGGTGTGCACAGTATTGAGTTTGCCAGTGTGTCAATGAGTTTGTGTATATCTGTGAACGTGTCTGGGAGCATGAGTGTGTGAGGCTGTGTGGGAGAAGGTGACTGTGGCCACCTGACTGCAGAAGGATGTGAGGAAAGCAGTGAACTCTATAACTGTGGATGTGAGTTTGAGTGTGAGTGAGTCAGTGTGCATGTGAGCAGGTGTGAGTGTGAGACACCAGACAGTGAACAGGAAGGGCTCTGGGAACTGGTGTTGGAGCTGAGCCTAGTCTGAGAGAGAGGTGCCCAAGAGAAGCTCGGAGAAGAGCTAGGCTCAGGGGCCACAGCTCAGTGTCCAACCCTGAAACAGTCTGGGTCTAAGAGGGGGGAGTATGGATGGCGAGGACATTCACAGAGGGTCCTGAGGGTAGATAGAGGAGACACTCATGGAGGGTCCCGAGGGTAGACAGAGCTGGCACTCACGGAGGGTCCTGAGTGAGGATGGAGGTGACACCATGGAGGGTCCTGAGTGAGGATGGAGGTGACACCATGGAGGGTCCTGAGTGAGGATGGAGGTGACACCATGGAGGGTCCTGAGTGAGGATGGAGGTGACACCCATGGAGGGTCCTGAGTGAGGATGGAGGTGACACCATGGAGGGTCCTGAGTGAGGATGGAGGTGACACCATGGAGGGTCCTGAGTGAGGATGGAGGTGACACTCATGGAGGGTCCTGAGGATGGAGGTGACACTCATGGAGGGTCCTGGTGAGGATGGAGGTGACACTTACAGGGGATCCTGGTGAGGATGGAGGTGGCACTCATGGAGGGTCCTGAGTGAGGATGGCGGTGACACCATGGAGGGTCCTGAGTGAGGATGGAGGTGACACTCATGGAGGGTCCTGAGGATGGAGGTGACACTCATGGAGGGTCCTGGTGAGGATGGAGGTGACACTTACAGGGGATCCTGGTGAGGATGGAGGTGGCACTCATGGAGGGTCCTGAGTGAGGATGGCGGTGACACCATGGAGGGTCCTGAGTAAGGATGGAGGTGACACCATGGAGTGTCCTGAGTGAGGATGGAGGTGACACCATGGAGGGTCCTGATGAGGATGGAGGCGACATCCGCAGAGGGTCCTGAGTGAGGAAATTCCTTCTCTAATGGTGAAAGCTTAGGTTATTGATTTAAATTTTTTTTTCTAATATAAGCCTCTAGTAGTATAGATTGTCCTCTGAGCACTGCTTTAGCTGCATCCCATACATTTTGATATGCTGTATTTTTATTGTCATTCAGTTCAAAAGAATTTTAATTCTCAGATAATTCCATTTTATCCACATTTTACGGACAAGTACATTATTAGTTTCCAAATATTTAGAGATTTTCAGATATCTTTGTTATTTTCTAGTTTAATTTGATCTTTTAAAATATACTTTGTATGATTTTTATGCTTTTAAATTTGTTAAGGTGTGTTTGAAGGCCCAGACTACAGTCTCTCTAGGTGGATGTTTCATTTGCAGTTGTGAAGAAGGGTATTTTGTTATTGTTGTCGGAGTGTTCTCTAGGTGTCAATTATGTCAAAATGGTCAATGACACTGTTTAGGTTATCATTATCTGTACTTATTTTTGCCTTCTTGTTAAACCAATTGCTGAGAGAGAAGTATTCAAGGCTCCAGCTGTAACTGTAAATTTTGCTGTCACTTTCAAATAAATCAGTTTTTGCTTCACGTATTTTAAAGCTGTGTTGTTAGTATTGTCTCTTGTGGGAGACTTGATTCTTTTATAATTATGTATTATCACTCTTTATCTCTGATAATATTCCTTGTTCTACATTCTGCATTGTATGGAATTATTACAGTTGCTCCAGCTTTCTGTAGCTTGTGTTGGCAAGATCTATCACTCTCCATGCTTCTACTTTTGATATTTCTATGTCTTTAAATTTAAAATAAATGTCATGTGGACAGCATATTGTTGAGTCTTTTTTTTCATTCAACCTGGCAATCTCTGTCTTTTAACTGCTGTGTTTAGATCATTCACATTTAAAATGGTTATCAATATAACTGGATTAAAACTACCATCTTGCCAGCTGTTGTCTAGTTGTTTCATTTGTTATTTGTTTATTCCCCCTTGTTGTCTTCTCTAGATTTGATGGACTATTTTTATAATTTCTTTTCACTTCCTCTATTAATTATTTATCTCACTTGATGTTTTAATATTTGCCCTGGTATTTATAATATGTACTTTAAAAAATCTAAGGTCTTCTTCAAATAATAGTATACTAATTTGTATGAAGTGCAAGGGCCTCTGTATGTTTCTAAGTCCTTTTCTCATCCTTTGTGCCATAGCTGTCGTGGATTTCACTTTTTTTTGTTGTTGCATATGCTGTAAGCACACAGTAGTGGGCATGCTTGTAAGACAGCGCAAACCCCATCCATGCTTCTAGTCCTAGGGCTTTACACTTTCCCATACTTGGCTTTAAGCAATTAGTTAAGAATTCATAGCTGGATTTTATTACCAGTGTATGTAGAATCAGGCAACATCTGCTCCAAGTAAATGAATGCTTGGTTCTTCTTTTTCTCCGCAAGCATCTGTCTCTCCCCAGGTTTGGGGCGTTTTGTTTGCTCTGCAACTTCAGTTCTTTTATGATATCAGGAAAAGTCAGTGGTTTGCAGTTTGTTCAGTTCTTTACTCATTGTAAAGGTGGAAGCAGTACCCTTTCCAGATCTCTTTGTCACTTCAAAATCTGAAGTCCTGGACTCCACTTTGTTTGAACTGTATTTTACCATCTCTCGGTGTACTCAAGTTTTATCATAGAAACTTGGTCTTATCTGGCTATCTGCCTGGCGCATCTTTTAAGAAACTGTTAGAGGGTAACTGCCAAGACTTGTGAACACCTACCAATTGTATCTCACACCAAAAACTTGCAAATGATATCTTACCTTTCCATTACCTTGAAGATTCCTTTCTCTGCAAAAAAATTCTCAAGAATCCTCCAAGGTGCCCTTAGAATGGCAATAATGCTTAGAATCAGGGAGATCTGGGTTCAAATTTGTGATTCACCACTTCTAGTTGAACCACAATGTTGACATTCTTGATTTCTCCAAGTCTTCCTAGAGTGGGGGTGATCACGATGTGGAATTGTGCATATGAAAGGAATTTTCACATACATGACAACCTATGCAGCCACCATTTTGTTTTATCTTAGGTAGTTACTCCCAGTAAGTAACAACTATTTGAGTAACTCAGTAAATGCCTCAAGCACATTTGTTTCTGTAGGAAGGATTCTTTGGTAGACTTCCATGAAACACTAAATCTTTTTTTTTTTAATCACAGAATGGCCAAATCATCACCTCTTGCAGGCTTTACCCTTCCCTACAGGTCACAGCTGCTCTTTGTCCATTGCTCTCCAAGCCAGTCCATGCCTCCCCAGTTAACTCAGATGTCCAAGCTCTAAATCTAGGAGCCATTCCTGATTCTTCTTTCTTCTTCACCCTCATATCTGGTTTTTCTCCAAATGATATCTCCCTCCCTTTCAAAACGACCAGCACCTTCCATTAGAACTGCTCCATCACCTGTGAACTTGCGTTTCCTCCAAGCTCTTCTCCACTCTGTTGCCAAGTGCTCTTCCTAAGATAGAGTCCTGGCTCCTCAGGGCTGTACGCCTTTGTTGGCTTCCCAAACATTTGAGCTCCCTGCCACTGTCCCTGGGCAGATTCCCTTCTTGTGTTCCATTAGCGTCCATGCCTCCACTTCATGCCTCTCTCTTCTCCTGGACTTGGAGGTTTCCCTTGTTCACTACTTCATCCCCCACAACTAGCTGAGACATTGCCACCAGCTTTCAGAAGGCACTCAATAAACATTGGATAAGTAAATGAACGAATGAGTTTGTGAGTGAGTACATGATGGTAATCTTATATTGTGGAAAAGAGGATCAGACTTTAGAGAGGAAGAATATGAGCACCAACAGTCAGTGCTGCCACAGCCCCTGCCATGTGCTCAGCACTGTTTTTAGATACTTGACTTAGCACATGCCAAGCCTATGAGGCAGGTGCTATTATGTTCATTTTACAGAAGACAAAATTGAGATACTAATTTACAAAAGTCATAAAGTAAGTTGCATGTACACTTAGAGAAATTTATAGAACTGGCTCAAAATGACGCCTTAATTTTATACTACACATGGAGACAGCCATTTTTTTTCATGAGTCATAATTTTAAGTCCATTTTATCTTGATTTATATTTGACCAAACGCATGAGAGATTTCAAAGATTGTCTTGGTAACCTTCCTATGCTTTCAGCCTAGTGCATGGACCCCCATGCCAAGATTAACAGTGGTAGGGTCCGTTGCTCTACCCGCATCCTCATTCTTGGAGGAGTCTTTCTTTCCTGAGAGTTAGGATGAATCCCAGCCCAGACATGTGGACTGTCAGAATGTTCGGGCTGGAGGAGCCCTGGGTTGTCTGGTCCTTTGTACATGACCATCGATTCATGTTACTTCCTTGAGTGCATCATCTTGTTTCTGAGCCTGCTGACCAGAAAGACTTGGGGGTGTTGGGAGTTGGGGTGTGGCCCCCAACAGCAGAGCCCATCAGGACCTGTAACTATGGAGAGCCAAGCTTGTTAAGCCTTCTGGAGGGTGTCCACAGCATTTGCTCAAATTTTGGTCTTTCAAAAATGCAGAGTTTGCTAATTATGAATTAATTATTTTTTAATAAAATTGCTATTTTTTAAAGCAACTTTGCTATTTTTTTTAAAGCACCTCCGTCTCAAAAACAAAGATTAGTCTCCATCATATCTTCTGGAGGTGAGCATTGTTGGGAATTTGATATGAGTGCGTCTATCTTATGCGTGTGCATAGACACAGGCACACACCTTACATATGCTTATATACACATTTAAGTACTATTTTATTTAGTTATGTAAATGTACATATGAATTTTTTAGATATTTTCTTTTATTATTTGTTTCCCTTAATTAGCTTGATTGAGCCACTCTACAACATTTCCATATTTCAAAACATCATGAGTACATGATAAAATATACAATTATTATTTGTTAATAAAATAAATAAATCAATTTAAAAAAAAACAGAAGCTAAACACGTCCTGGGTGCAAGCTCCTGCTCCTGGTGGGAAAGCAAGATGTAGCAGCCACACAGGAAAGCAGCTTGGAAGTGTCTTAAAAAGTGAAAGCTACACCTACCACATGGTTCAGCTATTCCACTCCTAGATATTTATCAAAAAAAGAAGTAGAAGTCTGTACAAAAATGCGTCCATGAACGTTCATAGCTGCTTTATTCCTATAAGTCCTAAACTAAAAACAACTCAAATGCACATCAACAGAAAAACTGGTAAAACCCTGTGGTCCATCCACACCCCCGAAAGCTGCTCAGCCACAAAAGCAATGAACTATTGACACAAAAAGGCAGATGGATTTGAAAACAATTATCTGAGTGAGAGAAGCCAGACAGAATTGAGAACATAGTGTGCGATTCCATCTGTATAAAAGTCTAGAGGAGGGAAATTAATCCTTGGTGACAGCAGACGAGTGGTTGCCTGGGGAGAGAGAGTGCAGAGGGACCCCGGGAGGACTTCGGGTGCGGATGGGTTCCTGTCTTGATGATGGTGATTGTTTCATGAGTGTGTTAAAATGTACCAAATTATACACTTTACATATACGCAGTTTATTGTATGGCCATTATGCTTCAACAAAGCTGATTTTAAAAATGCCCCGAGCACCTTGCCGTCATTATAGATAGATGTGCATCATTGGATTAGCGTACAGAATGTGCCATAATAGAGATGCCCCAAATGACAGAGCCCATTCTTGATAAATGTTTAGGTTTTTTCCCATTTTCCATTATTCATGATGATTATCCATATACGTGTGTCTGCTCGTTTTTGGTATTACTTCTGTAGATAGATTTCCTAGAAATGGAATTGTTGGGCCAATGGGCATTCTGATTTCTAAATGATACTGCCAACTGCTCTGCAAAAATTTAAAAAATCAATCTAAACAAACAAAAAATAATCTAAAAGTGTTCCATGGATATACTCTCTAATCGGCAGTGAGTGAGAGATCCCATCCCCACATCCTCAGCAACATTCCCGGGATAATGGGGCTGACAGCGCCGCTATTTCTGATACGATAATAGGGTGGTTGCCCCTGGCATCTTAAGGGTAGAGGCATAGTTGGGGCATGCTGCCATGGGGGCAGATCCCTCTTCCTAGGGAGTCTGTGAATAGAAGGAGAGGGTGGAGACATCATGCATTTAAAAAGTAGCTCGATTTGTAAAGGGGCAGGTAGAAATTACCATTGTGGAGAAGAGTTCTAATTTCAGACTGCAGCACTCACTGGTGAGCACAGGCCCAGCTCTGCTCCACTGCTGCACACAGTGGCTGGGGCAGCAGGAGCCAGGCAGGGGCCGATGGAGATGCTCACCAGCCTGCGGTCTGCTGCCACTGCCCCATCACACAGATGCGGGCTCTTCTGAGGCTGCCATCTCTGTGTTGTGCATGATTCTGCTGGCCATACTTGGCCTTTGCATCGGCAGCTGGGCTTCCAGCCCTGGTAACTGCCCATGTTTGGGTTACAGCTGAGTCCCAGATCAGTGCTCCCCATTGTCTCACCCATGGCCAGGACGTCCTCTCGTTCACACGCACACAACGCCAAAGCAAAACAACAAACACGATCCATGTGACTTGCTGGTGAACTTTCAAGCCCAAGACCCTCTTCACTCTACATTAGCCAAGATGCATTCTTTTTGCTCTTTAAGGTGAGGAAACCCAAGGCAGACAGCAGATCTGGCATCCCGCCCTTGAAGGTGAAGTAGTTGGGCTTTGCAGAGGTCCTGGGCACTGGATTCTCATCCCCAAGCCTGCATGTAAATGTTGGATTTCTATTGTAAAGGCCCGTCTCTTTTGCTGACCGGAGGAACAGGGCCAGTGTGAGAGAGGCTGGTGTTTGAAATATGAGAGTCAGGCTACAGGTCTGCCATTTCCTGGGCTCTGGTTCCTTTTTTATCTATGGTGAAAAATTATTCAAACGCCAGAGAAACTAGGAATTTGAGGTTTCGTGAATGTTAAGACCTCCTTTTATATTGATATATTTGACTATTATTCTTATTTTGAAGGAACTGTTTTGCTCAGATGTTCTGGAATTTTGCTTATATTTGAAATTAAGACTTTAGAGCTGCAGGGCTGTTTTCTGAAACTGGAGTGCGGGCTTTTAAAAGCCATTTCACTAGGTTTAGATAAGCATTTCCAAAGACCTCCGGGAAGAACACAGGTTCATGAGCACCTAGAAATGAAGCTTAATCTAGTTCTTTCCTGAAGGTTCTGATTGCCGGAGGCTGGAACCATATTCTATTCAACAAGAAAATTTAGACAAAGGTAATGAGTAAACTCGATGTGTTGGATAGTAGCCCAGGCTTCCTCAGAGTAGGAAAGGCAATGTCTCTGTTCTCCTAGAGTTTGTATCGTCACTGTATGGGTGTCAGAAAGGCAAATAAATCAATAAGATAAATTTAGATATCAGAATAAATGCGATAAAGATATGATCCTGGGAAGTGTACGGTGAACAACAACCAAAGTCGGTATGAAAGGGAAAGGAGAGAACTTGATGTTTCTTCATGTTCTCCTGCAAGGCTGGGGTACCCATGGTCTAGCCCTGAAGTACCTGTGACCAATCCCTGTAATACTCATGGGCCAGCCCTGCAGGACCCACAGTGAAAACCTGCAGTTTCCATGGTCCAGTCCTGCAGGACACATGGTCCGCCCCTGTAGTACTTGTGGCCCAGCCTTGCAGTACCTGTGGTGCTGAAGCACCTCCCGTGGCCCATCAGACGTGACAGTTCACACCTCTTCCCAATTCTGCTTCCAGTCACGTCACATTGGTAAGCTTGCCGAGGGCCACAGAGAAAGTATTTACACCACAGGAATTGTTTAATGCTACAAATCGGGGCTTTCCTACCCTCCTCTCCTGAGAGCTGGATGTTAAACATTTACCAGCACACCAGTGCCCCTGCCTGTCCCTGGTCTCCACATTGATGTGATTGGGCTGCTGGCTGAAGGAAGAGTCTGGCTGCCCACTTTGGAGCTCATGGGTCGTCTCCCCAGGTACCCACTGGAGCTTAGACGGGTAATATCTGTGGCTTCATCTTTGGAGAACATAGTGGGGATTGCAGACCACTTTCAGGCTGTGGCAAGCAAGGGAGACTTAGGGTGTAAAAGAGAACCAAGGCACGCCTGCAGGGAGACTCCCACCTGGCCCGTGTCCTCGGCAAGCCCTGGCCCCAGCATGCTTTGCACACAGAACTTGAGAGCGAGACTCGTGTCAATGGGTTCCTAGCAGCCCCAGCAAGGGAATCCAGGCACAGAAAATCACCAGCAGAAGAGTCCACCGTCTCTTAGGTAAATTGTGCTGAGTTAACCAATCTGAAAATTGTAAGGAATGGAAAAAAGAGGGAGTATAGGAAAGAAAATTTGGAAACTAATTAACGTGATGTAATTCTAAATATTAGAGGCACTGTGTTACGGGAGTAATAGAGATAGGTTGACCAAATGGCTTACTTTTAGATTCAATAGAATTTGCAAAGTAGGGCATAGATTGATCGATTTGTCTATTGATCCCACAATTTATTCAATCAGAAGCATATTGAGAGTACACTATGTGTTAGACAAAATATGCTGGGGCTACTATATTTGCAGAAAATAAAAAGATTTTTTTAAGTGTTCTTTTTTGTTAAAGAATAAATCACAAGTGTTATAAATAATAGTTTCTTTTAAAGACTAACTTTATGCTAGACATGCTCACAGGCCCGTAGTACATTCTAAGTCCTTGTACTTTAACTAAAATATCTGTGCTGGACGTGCTCACACGCATGTCTCAGCTCCCAGCCTATGCCCCTTCTTTATTTAGGAATGTTATTCCTTTTCTAAGTCCTTTCGTAAGCAACTTCCTCTTTTCCTTTGTCTTTTCATTACTGTTACCTATTTTAAAAAGTTTCAAACTCTTAGCCAATCGGTTTTTAGTTTAGAGCGTAAGGTCTGGCTCCAGCCAATGGAGACAGGACACAGTAGCAAAGACAAAATGTGTAAGGAATAAATACGTCTCCTTTTCCTTTGTTCCGGTGTGCTCTTGCCATTATTCCATCGGCAATGAGCACCCTTTCTGCAGAAAGTAAAAATTGCCTTGCTAAAAAAATTAAATTTATGTTCAAATGCTATTTCTTTGTGGCATCAGGGAACAAACATTCTATTTCTAAATAAACATTTTTACATATAACAAATGGTGGCCCGTACGGGGATACATTCTCCTCCGGGGTGGTCTCTAGTCCTCTCTCCCGAGGGGGCGTCCCACTGCCTTACTGCAGTGGCCTCAAGGGTAAGGAATCGAGACCCTCCCGGTGTGACAAACAGACCCGGACTCTCAGCAACACGGAAGGAAACTGACCAGCAACCTGGCGTAAAGGACCCTCACATATCACGTGGCCCAGGCGACCTCCTGCATGAGCCAAGGAAGGAAAAAGACTGGAGGAGCTGGTCAAGTATTTCCTTGGTGGTTGGGACTATGGAAAAAGCCGTGGGGCAGTAAAGCATTCCTTCCTTGGGACACACCAAAGTGAAAGAACCCCCAGGGGCGGTAAAGCATTCCCTCGTCAGGACTGAGGAAAGAAAAGCTGCGGGGGTGGTGGTGGGGGTGCGGGGTGGGGGGTACGGAGGGGTGGGGTGGTGGGGGATGCGGGGGGTGAGGGGGTGCGGGGGTTGGGTGGTGGTGAGGTATTCCCTGGTCGGGATGTCTTAGAGGTTAAAAAGAAGTTAAAAAAAATCCCCATCAGGGGAAGACTGAACATCACACAAACCTCCAGTAGATAAAAATAATTATATATATGCTTATATATATATGTGTGTTTATATATATGTGTATATATGTATATATGTGTATATATATGTCTATATGTGTGCGTGTGTGTGTGTGTATGTATGTGTGTGTGCATATATATATATATTTAAAAATTCCCTTTCCCCTCTTCTCGGGGGAAGAAAGAGGCTAAGCTCCACTTCCGCCGGCTACTCCCTAGGGGAAGGGGAAGGGGAAGGAGAAGGGAGAAGAGCAGCATAGGCGGCTGGCAGAGGCAGGGAAAAACCAGCAGAGAGAGAAAGAGACAGGCAGAGACAGAAAGCAAAAATCTTTTGGCAAAGTTCCAAAGTTTTCTAGAAAAGGTGAAAAAAAAAGTTAAGACATGTCAGGAATGCCAAAAAAAAAAGAAGGCAAGGTCAGTACTTTAAAGGAGAAGGTCAAAGTCAGCGCAGTAAGGGCAGTAAACATAAAAATAAGGAGGAAAGACAAAGGGGCCCTCTGGCCCAAGGTTAATGACCTGTGCAACTTGCGCAGGGCACCTGCCAAGCCTCTGGGCCAACAGCGGCCTGGCCTGGGGCCTGCACTGCAGTCGCACGGATCCCATCCAGCAAGTAAGTGTGAGAGAAAGAGGAAACAAGGGATGATAGAGAGAGAGAGAAAGCTCAAATTAAAAAAAAAAGGAAAAAATAAGTAAGAGAAAGACTGAAAAAGACAGAGATCAAAGAAAGGCACAGAGGGTAAAACTATGAAAAGAAATAGTGTAAAAGGAAGGCCAAAAGTTAAGGCATGTTAAAAATTATCTGTGAAAGTCGTAAAAAAAAGTTACAAAGGGGAATGTATGCAAAAAATGTTACATAATTTAAAAGTAATTAGGCCTCCTAAATGTAAAACTATTAAAGAAACAGTTTATGTGCAAGATATGTAAAAAAAATACTTTTAGTACAAAAATTGTAAAAAAGCATAAAAATGTAAATTTTTACCTACATTAAAAGTTTAAAAATGTATATATTTTGTTTTAAGGTTTAAGCAAGTTTTAAAATGTTAATTATAAAGAAAATTCTATGTGTAAACATATTAGCTAAAGTTAAAAAGGTATCATCCAGTTTTTCTGTAAACTGGACATTAAAATAAAAGCACAACAGGTTTTTTTCTAAGCACTAACTGCTCTTTAACAAAAATTATAAAAGGTTAAAAAAGTCTATAAATATCTTACCTTATAGTCAGACATTAAAATTAAATAATGTCTATAAGGTTTTATTAAAATTAAGTTTAACATTAATAACACACTAATATAAAAGTAAAATTTAACTTATCTGGTATAAAATCACACAAAAAGCATTGTCAAATATAAAATGGTGTTTTGCTTTCTTTAGTCTAAAAGCTAATTTTAAAAAATTTTTTTAAAAATTAAAAAAAAAATATTGCTAAACCAAACAAAAATGTTATCCAAACCCCTTATAAAGAAATTCTTGTTCCAACTGCATCAAAAAACCCATTAGGGGCCCTCCAGCACAGGGTTAATACCAAGGAGTTTCCACCTCCAGAGTCTCCTAAAAAAGCCACAGCACAAGCCGGTGGGGGTTCCTAACTGCAAACAACCACTTCTGTGCAAGGGAGGGGGCCAAGCAGCCTTGAAACCACACAGCCCAGCCCAAGGCCAAGGGCCGGACAGCAGGGGCTCAGGCAGGAGCCAGGTCCAAAGGTGGCAGGTGAATCACAAGACCTCTCATCCCAACAACACAATGCGCTGGAGCTGTAAAGGCCGCAGGGAGGCCAAGACCTCAAAAGAGGGCCAGGCCATGGCGGCCCCTGGGCAACGCTAAGCGGGGCTAAAGCGGGAGGCATCACCGTAGGGCCTCCAGCCCCAGAATGTGCAAAGTTCTAGCAAGGTGGAAAGCCCCAAGAAGTCCCTCAAAGGCAACATCAGTAGGAATTAAGAAAAAAAAAAAAAGAAAATCTCAGCAAAAAGGCACTAAGGACTGTAAAGTCCACTACTAATATCCCCACATTTAAAACAAAAATCAGTTTCTCAAAAATTATATGCTTAATTTATCTTCCACTTTCCCTTCCCTCAAAACTAAAAATCTTTTAGCATGGGTACCACCCCTAACATTTCCAGTACACCAGCACCAGCCTAAAGACCATGTCTTCATCAAAAGATTAAAAAAAAAAAAACCCTCAAGCCAGCCTAGGAAGGACCCTATCTTGTGCTGCTAACCACCAAGACTGCCGTTTGCACAGCAAAAATGTAAATAAACATGTCATACCCAAGTCAAAAAGGGTCATTGCCATCAGAGTCATAGGCTATTATTCCAGGGTCAAGCCCTACCAAGTTAAAGCTAAAAAAACTTAATCTATCTTTTCTTTTTCTTTTCTTTCCGTGACTCCCCAACTTACTATTAATGTAACTAAATCTAACTCTCCTGAAGTTATTACTTTTAATGCTTGTTTAGTTATCACTCCTCCCAAACACAATAACAAGACCAAAGTTTACTATAACAAGACTATAGTTTACTATGGAGACCAAAACCTCTATAGTAAAAGTAAAACAACCTAAGGCAATAGCCATGGTCCAGCCCTGCATGACCCACAGTGAAACTCTGCAGTTTCCGTGGTCCAGCCCTGCCGGACCCATGGTCAGCCCCTGTGGTACCTGTGGCCCAGCCTTGCGGTACCTATGCTGCCGTACCTCCCGTGGCCCATTGTTTCATAAGGCAAACAATAGCAATTAAAACAAGGTATCAAAATATAAATGCCCGGCTGAAACGAATTAAATATTTTGTGCACACTCTTAATAAAAGCGACAGTCATCCTTGTGCGCACAGGAGGCCAAAGGCCGGGTTGTCCCTTTTCCACTCTAATCAACCAAACAGGAGCTGCATAGTAGCTCTTTTTCAAAATCCTGCAACCTAGGATAATAAACTGTGCCCAATTCTCTCTGCTGTTTCCTAAAGTGCAGTACCCTGCAGGTCAGCCATCATGGGCCATTCAGCCTCCATCATCCAAGACCAGTTTTACCTCGTGTCTCCAATGACAAGGGGAAAATTGGGTGTACCTTAAAGACTTAACAAAATGCAGTAAAGTCAGGCACTTCTGAGAGCTAACCCTTCAGTCCACCTTTAGCCATCCCTAAGCAAATATATGGTAGTATTAGAAAAAACCTTGACTGAACACTCGGCCAAATAATTAAAGCAGTACTTATGCTGTAGTTCAGTTAGCTATCCTTTTACCCTGGCATTTCATCAACCAAAAAAAAAAAAAAAAATGCAACATAGGCAAATAAAAAAAGCCTCAAAAGAAGCAGCCCCTTATAGATCTTTTAATTCCCATGTCTATTTAAATGCAAGTTCCCCATAAAGTACCAAATAAATGTAAAGCCAAAAATCAAATAGCTGCAGGGTTTAAGTCAATGTTGCTTTGGTAAGTAACAATTAATACAAATGTAAGTTAAATAAACTACATTCATTACAACCAGCAGCAATTTGTTAAATATATCAAAAATACTGTGGAAAAAAATAGCTAAACAATTAAAATCCACTAGTCAAATGCCCTAAAAAAAAATTTAAATATAATATTAGCAAAAAAAAGTAGTATTTGTGTTATAAGCAAAACTCAATATTGCACTTTTATCCCAAACAACACTGCTCCCAGTAAAAGCATAACAAAAGCTTGCCAGGAACTTACTGCCTTATCAAATAGGTTAACAAAAAATTCTGGCATTAACAACCCTGTTTCAAATCGGCTCAAAAAGTGGTTTGGCCAACAACAACAACAAAAAAACACAAAAAAACCCCATAGCCTCAGTCCTTAGCTCTCTAGCAACTGTAGTAAGTATATTTCTCCTTGTTAGATATTATATTATACCATACATCCAAAAGTTAAACAAATAAGCCAAGGCATATTAAAAAAAGGTTAAAAAAACTATAAAAAAAGAAAAAATTGTAGAAAATAAGAAGTTCCTCTTCAAAGTTTCCCTTCTTGTTAAAGAATAAATCATAAGTGTTATAAATAATAGTTTCTTTTAAAGACTACCTTTATGCTAGACATGCTCACAGGCCCGTAGTGCATTCTAAGTCCTTGTACTTTAGCTAAAATATCTGTGCTGGACGTGCTCACACGCATGTCTCAGCTCCCAGCCTATGCCCCTTCCTTATTTAGGAATGTTATTCCTTTTCTAAGTCCTTTGGTAAGAAGCTTCCTCTTTTCCTTTATCTTTCCATTGCTTTAACCTATTTACAAATGTTTTAAACTGTTAGCCAATCGGGTTTTAGTTTAGAGTGTAAGGTCTGTCTCCAGCCAATAAAGACAGGACACAGTAGCAAAGACAAAATGCGTAAGGAATAAACACATCTGCTTTTCCTTTCTTCCGGTCTGTTCTCACCATTATTCCGTCTGCAATGAGCACCTTTTCTGCAGAAAATAAAAATTGCTTTGCTAAAACAATTAAATTTATGTTCAAATGCTATTTCTATGTGGCACCGGGGAACAAGCATTCTATTTCTAAATAAACATTTTTACATATAACAATATTGAACAAAATAGACAAGGTTCCTAATTCACTGCCTGGCAGGAGAGGCAAACATTGATCGAATAATGGCATCAATGAACGTAATGACTACAAATTGTGGAGCGTGTGCATGTGAGGTCACAGACAGACAGTCAGGCACATGCCAAGGCCCCGGGCACTGGGAGAACACAGAGTGCTAGGGATGTGGTGGTGTCAAGGCCCAAGGGCCGAGCAGGGGCCATGGCAACTAAGTAGGTCCTTTTGGTCGCCAGCGTCAGAGCAATGGGAAGCCAGTGAGGGCTAAAAGCCAGGCAAGGGCGTGGCCAGATGTGCTGGTTTCAGGAGCCCTCTCCAGCTCGCTGGTGGGGGCAGGTGGGTCAGCGGCAGGTCCTACTGGGAAACAATCATGGTAGGGTTGATGGTGCCGAGTTTCTCTTGCGCTCCCACGTTGTGAACCTGCCACTCTGTGGTTTTGATGACTGGGGAAGTAGACAAACTGGTTCCTGCTCCCATGCTTACTTTTTGATTTTCATAAATGCAAATTAAAATATTTATCTGCTCTATAAAGACTTGGCATGTTTAAATAACCATTATCCCTTCAATGTATTCCAGGGATGTTGGAATCATTATTCTCACGGATAGAATAGGCATTAAATCCACAGGGGAGTCATTAAAAGATGGCTATTTCTCTCCGTTTGACCGAAGCAGCAGTTGTATTTATTCAGGATTTAGAAAATGGGATTCAATTAGAACTGAAACGGTGTTAAATTAAGTAATTCCTATTGTATTTGCCTGATAGACAGGGGTGGCCTGACCTGGGAGGGAAAGGGCCCCTCCCAGCAACCAGGTTCCCTCATGCCGCTGACGAGATGCCACTAACCCGGGGAGAGCCAGCTTAACCCCTTAATCACTCCCGTAGTTCCATCCGTGACATCTGAGAGCCACGCAGCTTTATTGATATGATTTGATACCTTAATAGGAATAATCTTCTTTATTCGAGTTGTCTGGAAGGGGCTTAACTTTCTCAGGGTTGCTGTCAGGTACCAGTCCTGAGGTTTGATCATGCTCCTTTTAAATAACCAGGTATTATGAAAGGATAAAACACATGGAAATGGATGCGCCAGCTGCCTTTTTTATCTCACCTTTTTACAGCGATAGAGTTTGAGATTTTCAATGACAAGGAGACTCGAGCTGTTTGGAAAGACACCGTTCTGACGCCTGCCTTGTCACAGTTAAATTCCCAGTTGCTGTCTCCCGAAGGAGTGTACGTAAGACAATTGTTATGGACCTGAATGAAGACAGAATTTGCCAGCCAATTGAAAAGCAAAATGAAGACTAATAATGATTTTAAAATCAGTAACATCCTACTCTCCCCTGCAAACAAAACAAAACAAAAAAACCCTACTGATTTTTAGTTCAGCTATCTAGACAGAACACATATTCCAAATAGCTATTACATGTCTCCGTTCTGCTGCACAGCCATGATGTAATGTAAGCATTTAGATACTACATTGGAACAAATCAACACCCACAGACATGGCTAAAACTTCACACTACTATTACAACAATTACACGCCCAAATGTGTATTCTGAAAACATAAACCTCATCCTGCATAGCAGACTGTGCTCTGCTGCATTGACTAATTTGAGATTATAGCTAGAGTGCTACGATGAAACTTCCGCTGGCCAAAAATTATACTGTCCTCCTGTAAGGTACACAATATATTTGTAGAAACTGATAGCACCAATGGCAGTGACATCTTTTCTGTTCTTAGAAAATAAATGATGGATAATTCTGGTTTGAGTGGAAAAGGCAGGAGGATGAGGGGCTTAAAGCAACTGAGACTGTGGATTTCTGTGACGGGTGTTGAAACAGAAGCATGGATTGAGACAAATGATAGGAAATGTTTGCAGCCTCTTGACAAATAGCAACCTCAATGAATTCTTCATACATGCGGAATGAGGAAGGTGGACTTGGCAGCTTTCGAAATATTTCTTCACTCACAGAAGTGGCTAAGATATGACCAACAACCCAGGAGGCACAGACGTCCCCTTTGGAATGTCTGGAAGCAGATGGTGCATCTCTGTAAGGCGTGAGGGAGCTTAGGGGCATGGGCTTGGGGCATTCAACTTAACAGAATACTGTTCACCCGGAAGGCTGACGCCAGCTCTTTGCTGATCAGGAGAAAATTCTGGAGTTCAAATGAAAGGTTATTTCCTCCAAACATATTGAGGAAGCAATAGCTCATTACATGAATTACTGTTTGCATTACATGAATTCCAGAAAACCTGAAACAGCTAGTGCTCATTCTTCAAGAATGAAGTCATCAGCTGGAATCTCGGATCAAAACCTCTATATACCAAGGAACAGGAGAAACCTTCGGAGATTTGTTGGTGAGATGGAGAATTATAAGGACAAAATGTGCTCTGTTGAGCCTGCCAAGCTTGGGTGGGTGGGATGCCTGCGTATGCAAGTGATGAGTCTCATGCGTGTGCTGCTCTGTCAAATGAAGACTCTTTTCTTAGTTCCTGGGATGCGTTTCATATATACCACTAGGGTGTTCGAGGGACAGTGTATGTCATTTAATAAGAGACATATCTCAGCTTCCTTCTGGAGGGTGAATGCCTTGAATCCCAAACAGAAAACCACAGCCTCAGCACAGTGGCTTATGCCTGTAATCCCAGCACTTTGGGAGGCTGAGGCTGGTGAATCACTTGAGCTCAGGAGTTCGAGACCAGCTTGACCAACATGGTGAAACCCTGTCTCTACTAAAAATACAAAAATCAGCCGGGCATGGTTGTGCACATCTGTAATTCCAGCTACTTGAGAGGCTGAGGCAGGAGAATCACTTGAACCTGGGAGGCAGAGGCTGCAGTGAG
Organism: Homo sapiens; assembly: GCF_000001405.40. NCBI lineage: Eukaryota > Metazoa > Chordata > Mammalia > Primates > Hominidae > Homo > Homo sapiens. The sequence goes on along the minus strand of NC_000020.11, from coordinate 61,185,614 downwards.
CTGAGATCACACCATAGCACTCCAGCCTGGGCGACAAGAGCAAAACTCCATCTCAAAAAAAAAAAAAAAAAAAGAAAAAAAGGAAAAAAAAAAAAGAAAAGAAAACCACGGCTCTTTCTTCTCTCCAGATTTACCTCCAAGCTCCGGGGCAAAGCAGGGTGTGTGGAATGCAGTGATGCATGCTGTGGCCTGAACCTTTGGTCCAGGGCTCGGTGTCCTCTGAACTGCCCTACCTTCTAATGAGGTGGCACACTTGTTACTCTTATTCATGGCCTGTAGTTTGTTCCAAAGAACCTCTCAGCTTCTCTAACGGTGACTCCACTGTGATCGCTGTCCTGCCTGAAATGGTATGCAAAGCTCGTGTTCATGTCATGAAATGCATGCAGTGACTTAGCATGATGGCAACCTTGGATCTTCGTGGTGAATACCAAGCAAACAAATGTCTTAATTGTACCCTGAGAATGGCCTTGAGTCCTGGAGATGTTATCTCCAAGAGGCTTTATTAACTTGGATGAATCCATATTACCTTCCCCCAAGAGTAGGAATTACAATAAAAGCCAAGTCTATGTAAAGAAAATAAAAATTTACAATATTGCATGAATCATGAAATGCTTCACCCACCAGGAACAAATGGCACATTTACTAAGAATGTTCAGTAAGCCTTTTCGTCTCTCCAACGCGTGGCCAGTACACCCGTATCGGGTTTGTATTCCTCTGGCAGGCACACTGAAGTGAACATTTAGAATCAGTTCCTACAGTGGACAGGCAACGAACACTATTTTGCAGTGTCTTCATTTGTGAAATCATTGACTGGGAAATGATGTTCCAAGTTATTGGCAGGAGTGCTGATCAATAGATATCCAATTTATTTGCCCACGTCCGGCCAATTCCTGAAAGATGGGTCCTTGAAAGATAAGAAATCAGATTATGTCTTGTGGTAATAATAATAACAACAACGACAACAACAAATAATAATAGTTATATGCTTGCCTTGGGCTACACTTTGCATGTTATCTCATGGAATGCTTGCAATGTAAAAGTCAGTATTCTAATTTTATAAATTAGGCTTAGTGACCAAATAACTTTTCCGACACACACAGAGGAGCACCCAGATTTGAACTCCTCACCCGTTAATGGCTGTTATTTAGTGGCTTCTCAGCAGTTAAGCCAGCACGCATCCATCATTACCTGAGTGCCGGGCAGTGTGCCAAGCATGCTATGCAGCCTGCCACCGCACTCGGGGTGTGTGGAATGACCCGCTGCATGCCAATAAGGCATGTCAGATCAATTGCACGTCAATAAGCCAGAGCAGCCATCACAGAGTGGATGGTTTCTGAAGCCTGTTTTCTCCCAGATGTGTAGACCAGTCCTCTGGGAAGGAATCTTGTAACAGTGACAGGGCTCTAGGCTACCTCGGAACTTCCTCCTGGCCTCAAATGTAAGAATTGGGAAACAATCTTCAAAGAGCTTGTTTTCCATCCCAAAGGCATCTTCAGTGGGGCACCTCGGGGTCTACATCAGGGGAGGAGGGCAAAGCCAAGGTCGACTGCCCACTTCTCAACTGCTTCACCCGCTGGATACCCCATTGTCAGGCTAAGAAGTAGGCACCATGTAGGGCTGAACCTTCCCTAGAAAAGAAATGACAACAACAACAACAAAATCAGTTTCCTAACTGCGTGGCTCCAGTCTTTCACTGGCGATTTAAATTATATAGCGTTTCTATTATAAACTCCGAAGGATGGCTTCATCGTAGCCACCCCTTGAAAAATCAGTCAAACTTAGATAATAATAGGAAAGTTGAAAGTAGAACGATAAAGACTTTTTCTAACACCTTTTCCCCATTCAAGTTAAATGACACTTTTGTTTACTTGGTTCAGGGAAAATTCCAGTTGCATTGTGAGCTTTTTAGAAGAATGAGAAATTGATTTTCTCCTCATACAGCATGGAGCACACAAACTCTTATAATCTTTATATAATCTTTACAATGATATATAAAGAAAGCCACCTCTGCATATAAATTCATCGGGGCCTGGAAAGTCTGCGTTTTTCAACTGCTCAGCCATATCCTGGTAAACCCTACTGGCCTATTAGGGAAGATAGTTCACTCATATTCGGGGTCCTCTTGCACAAGAAGTCTCAAAATCAAGTGTCCTGGGGTCAGGGTGTGTGAGGAAGCAGAATTCACTGGGTGTGCAGAGCAGAGAAAGAAAAACCCCCTTCTCCCGTTCTCTGTAGCTATAGCCAATTCCAGTGGTGTGGGAAGGTAGCCACAGAGCTATTAGATCTGAAATTTCTATGAAAAGCCAGGAATTCTTTTTTTATATTTAAGTGAAATCGCCTAAGTTTTAAATATCAGCAGGTCATTAAAAAATGAAAAAGGCAAAAAGCACTGTGAAAGTGAAGCACAACGAACCAGCGGGCCGCCCCTTGCTGGCAGGCTGGGGACCCTGGCTTGTTCCTTGATCACGTTGGACCCAAACACTTCCTTGAGCTGCATCCTTGACAGGTTAATTACTCTGAGCGCCTGCCCTGGACAGCGTGGCTTTTATATTCACACATTTTACCTTGTTTCTGCTAATACTTCATTACCTCATTTATGGCTTTGCCTCATGATCTGCTGTCACCCAAATTGTGATATCAGCAGCCTGATTTGACAGGTTATCTCAGGACCTGCTCACATTATTATTCGACTTGCTTTTGGTTCTGTTTTGCAATACTTTATATGCACACACAGACATACTGGGAGATTTAAATGCATTCAGCACCAAGCATTGTATTTAATAGAGTGATTGCTTAGTGCCCTTTGAAACAATTGCATTTAAAATGCATCGTTCTTTTATTTACTTGTTGGGTGTGCACTCTCTACTTGATGCTAATATTACTTGACTTATCATTCAATCAATAATTCCAGAGAACGATTGGTTTCCTTAAACTCTCCTGCAAATGTCCTTAATTTCCTTGCTTTAATTCCCAGAGTCATTCTTATTACCTCCCCAACCTACAGAGGCTGCAGCTTTATGGCTTGTGGCTGTTGATTGAGAGGGCCCCACACCAAATGCTAAAGATAATTCAAGCTTGTGTGTTGCAGTAGGTCCATAGCTTCTACCCTCTTTACATTCCATTTTTAATCCTTCATTGGAAGCTATTTAATTTGTGCACCCCAGAGTAACCTCATTTTAAATTCATGGGCTGTCATTTAAAAAATTAATCAAGCCATATATGTTTCTAAATATATAATAAACATCCATACTATATGGGATGCAGAGGAATTTAGAAAAATATTTCCTATAAATTTTCCATGAGGATCATGGTAGAACTAGAAACACAGAATGCCAGTGGCAAATGCTTTTTCTAGCAATTTGTTTTTACAAATAAAAGACGTGCTCTCGAAATTGGATATTAACAGTGGTACACTGGAAATTGACATGAGCCATGTTTTCACAGAGTGTTGTTAGGTTCCCTGATGCCAGACAAAAGTTGGCTCCGTGAAAATCCATGATTTTATTAATATATACAGGACCTAGATCCTCACCCTGCTTAGAGGTTTTTTAATGAGGTCAATGCTGAAAACATGGGGTTTTGAAAAAAGTTGAATAAATGGCATGTCAGTTCTGTTAAATCATGCTTGGTTATACATTTTTTCCTTTTTCTCCTCAAATATAGCAAGCTAAATGGCCACAGCACTCAGACATCATGTGATCTTGTTAAGATGGGCTACTCGCCCCTCAATAAAGTCACAAAAATGAGGTTGAACAGTGCTCTCTCCTGATACCACACACATGTCCAGATGTCGAGGTATCTATGTGGGGCTTGTCTCCGTGACACACAAGATCATGATGCTCATTAGTGCCACAATTGGTATAATATTAACTTTCGGAGCTACTGAAAGATCTAATTAGATGGAATGAGTGATTTTTAAACACTTCAGGCTGTGATGACACTCACTTTGCAAAATAAATTAAGCTTCCACGCATGAATCTGGGCCTAGTGGGTTGGAAGAAAAAATGCAGCCCTGTCTTTGTCTGATGCAGTTGCTTCTGTAATTCTCATTGTGAAGACTAAAGCACATTTTGTTGTTGTACAGGGTGAGTGGGAGAACCCCGTGAAGTTCATAGATAGTTCTAGACCATATTATTTAGTTACTAAGTCTTAATTGGAATATTTTATTCTTCTAAAATAGGAGGGAAAAATGGCTAGCTTATGGGAACTCCAACATTAATCCCCTTCTTTCTGTATTTCTTTTCTTTTCTTTTTTTTTTTTTTTTTGAGATGGTGTCTGGCTCTATCGCCAGGCTGGAGTGCGGTGGCGTGATCTCGGCTCACTGCAACCTCCGCCTCTCAGGTTCGAGAGATTCCCCTGCCTCAGACTCCCAAGTAGCTGGAACTACAGGTGCGCGCCATCATGCATGGCTAATTTTTTGTATTTTAGTAGAGACAGGGTTTTACCATGTTTGCCAGGATGGTCTCGATCTCCTGACCTCGTGATCCACCTGCCTTGGCCTCCCAAAGTGCTGGGATACAGGCGTGAGCCACTGCACCTGGCCCTTCTTTCTATATTTCTAATTGGCTATTTCGAAGGCAAGATATGTTGTATCCTGTTCACAAATTCAGCAAGGTGAGAAGTAATGTGTCATGATTTAGTGTCTTCTTGAAAACTGCAGCTCGACCTAAGTAGATGCAATCTGTCTCTGGCAAAGATGCTGCAGTGCGTGTGAGCCCAGGCTGGGCTGGGAATTTGTGACCAGGGGCACACATGGGGCGTTAAGATTTTCCAAGTGTTACAGTACCTTGTCACAACATTATGTCACCTCTTCCCAAAGTCTCAAGCAAATTATGACAACATGTAACTTGTCAAATAATTTTCTGTTGAGGCTAATTAAGGTAGACAGCCTATGGGAATATTTCAGATAAGTGGAACCTTCAGAGGCTGGTGTCTGGGTGAGAGATAGGCAGGTGGTTGCTTTAACATGGCGTGCCCATTTCTTTGGAAGACTTTAACTTCGAGTGAAGAGTTCTTACGCAGGCAGTCCGTTTCTTAAGTTTACAGATCTGTTCTAGTCTATAGAAATAACAGCTTGAATGTACAATGATGTATTTTAAAAGGATTCATCTCAGCACCATTTGTATTAGGAAATCGCTGGGGGTCATTATATTGCAATGTATAGGAGTGCAGAAGCAGTTATATAAATTGAGGTATATTCATATGGAATGTGTTGCAGCAGTGAGAAAGAATGTGGTTGATCCTGTGCTCTGACATGGAAGGGTCACCAGTATGGTCAAATGTGGAAAGCAAATCTTAGGATGATGTGCATGTGTAATCTTAATATTGTCAAGGAAAGACAGTAGGAAATCAAATTTTCCGTGTGTGTGTCTGTGTGTGTCCCTCTGTGTCCATGTGTGTGTCTCTGTGCATGTGTCCCTGTGTGCATACCTGTGCATGAGTGTATGCATGTGTGCAGGTGCACGTATGCATGCCCGTGCACATGTATGTATATGTGCACACATCACAGCATTTGTCTGGAAGGTCACACATGCATCAGTTCTCTGCTTTTATCTGTGTGGATGGTATTGAGGTATATGGATGGAGTTTTTATCTACATTTATATTTTCTGTATTTATTACAGCTGGTGTGGATTATTTTGTAACAAAAGCAAACAACCTACAACACAAGAAAAAGCAAAACGTTTGGTCCTTCCAGGGTGAACGCAGCATTTGCAGCAACAGCCCATAGGGAAAGTGAATAACTTAACAGGAAGGATTTAATCTGATTCCGTCGTGGGATGTGCTGGACCAGATGCCTCCAAGAAGGTGGCTTTTGGCTCTTTCTAGAAGGAAGCTGCTGGCCTTTTCTGGGCTTCCTGAGGACTGAGGCAGGCACAGGGATCCACACACACAATGGAGTGGGCCATGGTTTCTCAATGTTCTTTCCCCATTGGTTTCCAAAAAGATGACAAGAATTCAAATTCCACAATCACAGAAATAGCAGCCACCATGATTTAGTTAATAGGCATTATGTATTCTAAGTATTCCCCTAATGTTATCTCATTGAATCCTTGAAACCAGAGTTTCAGGGAGATCTATTACTATTATGAATTTACAAATGAAAATACAAAGCTTAGCAGTAGAGTCGTAATTGTTCCTTAAAACTAGTTGAATTGCAGTGATTTCAGAGAGGTTAGTGCACACATCTATAGCTGTTTCTTTACCTGCTTCCTTTAAGAAGGAACTTTAGAGGAGGAAAAGCTGTTCACACTGGAGGAAAACTCCCTGGTGAGTCTGACTTCTGCCCACATTCTGTGGCTTTGGCCAGTAACATCAATGCACAGCCTTGGTTTCCAATCTGAGAAGTGGGGTCAAAGACTTCACATACCTCCCAGTAGACGTGAGGCATTGAACATCTAAGTGTGGAGATGCTCCAAAACTCTTCGAGGGCCGCGTCCTCCCAGGCCAGCGATGATTACCTGAGTCTGTGCAGAGACCAACGCAAGGCTGAGTCCAGTGCCGCACCTTTGCTACTTTAAGTGGCCTTGAGAAGGGGTGTGGGGCTGTCCCGATTTCCCTGATTTACAGGTTTCCCTGTAAATGTGTACCTTCATGTGTGTCACAGCTCACTGGAGAGAGTTTTATGAGCAGGGGCCTGACTTGACAACAGGGCTGGGGTTGGAGCAAGCTGCTCAGAGGAGGGTTGGGCTCATTAGGGGCCTGGTGGCAGATGAGCAACCTGTTTGCATGGCAGACACACCTACCCCGAGGGAGAAGGAGCATATCAGAGAAGACTGTTCACCTTCACCCTCCAAAGAAACACAGTGACCTGAGCCCTTCGTGCATCACCCCTGAGGCTGCAGCCTGCTTGAATAGCGCATGAAAGAGCTTGGGTTTTTGCCCTGCCAGTAGGAAAGGAGAAAAGAAATGCGCTTGTGTTCTGGGAGAGGCTCAGTAAGTCATCTGCCCATCTAGCTTATGTTAAAGTGGTTGTAAAACTGTTTACTTGACACCCGGGCCCCAGGTCATAAAATTAAAGCCAATCATTAACTAGTGCCTTCCTTAGAGAGAGGCATTCTGTAGAAAAGCACAGGACTGAGCCCTCTCAGCCCTCCAAGGACGCCCCAATTAACAATTGCAATACCCTGTGGTGTCCATAAATATCTTCGTTTTATGTCTAGGAGTGGAAAGAAGTAGAAACTGGGCATTATGGGAATGTATTAAGGTCTCAGAGCCATCAGCTGTAAAAATGTTCTCTACTTCTCTGGGCAAAGCATTTCCCCTGGATGTCAGGGTAGAACACTGGGGTCATATGGCATACGAAGAGAATCACGGGGTTTCCCAAGTAGAGAAAACCACTGTTGTAATGCAAATCTGAATCCCTTCTTTCATAATTTTTGCAACAATCATTTCGAATTGTGCAAGTAATTTTTTTAAGCTTATTAAAAGTGCAAAAATGTAAGGTAATACAGAAATTCGCCTTGACCTTCACCCAAGCCCAGTTCATTGGCAGGCAGATACGCACATGTAAAGATATGTATTTCTGTTTTTCCATAGATAGGATCACACCACACTATATCACTTTGCAAGTTGTTTTTGTCACAGTATATCTTGGAAATCTTTCAGTATCAGTACCTATAAAAGTACTGAATTCTTTGTCATTGACATAATTTTTCATAGCATAGACCAGGGGTTCGGCAAACTGCAGCTCACAGGCCAAATCCTGCCATCAATCTGTTTTTGCTCAGCCCTCCAATGAGGAATGGTTTTTACATTTTAAGCTGTTGTTAAAAAAATACAAAAGAAAATACAAGGCAGAAACAGAATGTCCAACAAAACCTAACACATTTACTGTCTGGTCCTTTCTAGAAAATATGTGCCTGCTCCTGCTGCAGAAGTACCAGGGCTTATCTCCCAAGTTCCCTACTGGTGAGCAGTTTAGTCTTGTTATGGCCTGAATGTTTTTGTCCCTCCTGGATGCACAGGCTGAAATACTAACTCCTAAGATGATGGTGTTAGGGGATGAGGACTTTGGGAGGTAGTTAGGTAAGAAGGGAGCGCTCATGAATGGGATTAGTGCTCCTGTAAGGAGAAGCCAGAGAGCTCTATCACTCTTTCTGCTATGTGAGGATGCAGAGAAGGTACCATCTGCAAATCAGGAAGTGGAAATCAGGAATCTCCCTACACAGCAGATCCACCAGTGCCTTGACCTTGGAGTGTGCAGCTTCTAGAACCATGAGCAATCCATATCTGTTGCTGAAGTCACCGAGTCTATGATAACTTGTTACCGCAGCCCAAACTAAGACAAAGCTGCTTCCAGATCAGTATTTTTTTGTAAAATATAGCTAATGCAAAATTTACCATTTCCACCATTTTTAAGCATACAATTCAGTGGTATCTGATACATTCACAATCCTATGAACCATCATCACTATTTCTAGAACTTTTTCATTGTCCCAAGCATAAACTCTGTATCCATTAAGCAATAACTCCCCATTCCTCCCTCCCTCCCTCCAGCTCCTGGTAACCAACATTCTATTTTCTGTCTGTTTGAATTTTCCTATTTATTCTAAGTACTTCATGTAAGTGGAAACATACAGTATTTGTCCTTTTGTGACTGGCTTATTTCACTCAGCCTAATGCTTCCAAGGTTTACTCGTATTGGAGCATGTGTCAGAACTAACTTTCTTTCTTTCCCTCTCTCTCCCTTCCTTCCTTCCTTCCTTCCTTCCTTCTTTCTTTCTTTCTTTCTTTCTTTCTTTCTTTCTTCCTTCCTTCCTTCCTTCCTTCCTCTCTCTCTCTCTCTCTCTCTCTCTCTTTCTTTCTTTCTTTCTTTCTTTGTTTCTTTCTTTCTTTCTATCTTTCTTTCTTTCTTTCGAGACAGAGTCTCACTTTGTTACCCAGGCTGGGTGCAGTGGCATGGTCTCAGTTCACTGCAACCTCCACCTCCCAGATTCAGGTGACTCTCCTGCCTCACCCTCCTGAGTAGCTGGGATTGCCACTGTGCCCAGCTAATTTTTGTATTTTTAGTAGAGACGTGATTTCACCATGTCAGGCTAGTTTGGAACTCCTGACCTCAGGTGATCCACCTGCCTTGACCTCCCAAGGTGCTGGGATTACAGGTGTGAGCCACTGCACCCGGCCAGAACATCCTTTCTTTTTAAGGCTAAATAATATTTCCTTGTGTGCACACACCACAATTTGTGCATCCATTCATCCATCGTGGCCATCTGGTTCATTTTCCCTGTTTGGCTATTGGAAAGAGGTACTGCTATGAACACTCATGTACAAGTATCTGCTTGTGTCCCTGTTTTCAGTCCTTTTGGCCATATACCTAGGAGTGGTATTCTAGTTTAATTTTAATTTTATTGCTAATACCATAAATGCTGCAATGAACCCCCTTCTGTGTGCCGCCTCTTGTTCTTGCATGCAGGCATCTCCCTAGACTGGGAATGGAGAAGTAGGACTGCTCTGCCGAAGGTGAGGTGCATTTTAACTTTTCACTGGGGCAGTTTCACCTTCAGGAACTGAGTAGGCAATGCCGCCTCCATCATTGTGAACATGGCAGTGCAGGGAAGCCTTCTGATAGACAAGCTCTTGGGGTCACAGGGCTTCACACAACATTTGATTTTCCTGTGTCTCCCTGGGGCTGACCATTAAGAGCCTCTTGTATCTCCAGTATATCTATATTCTGCAGAATGGTGTTCTGCCTAGCTCTGATTTATCCTCAAGATCATTGCCTCTAATTATTTTCATTGACAGATTTCATGAAACAAACATTGGAATACACCATCACCTTAATTTTCTGAGGTGCCATAATAAACCTCTGGCTTGTGAGAGCAGCCAGCTCACTTTACTTGCTGGTCCTCATTCAGTGTGCTGGGCTGAACCACAAAGCAGCCCGCTTTTCAGGATCCTCACTTCTGCCTTCTCTTTTGGGTGCTGGCAAACCGTGTTGACCTGTACGATTGAAAAAATGTGGGCACATGTAGGTGTTGTCCAGCATCCTGGCTGGGCATCTAGAGGCCACGTCTCTGGTGGCTCAAACCCTCTGGAGGGTAGGGATGCAGGAAGCTGCTGGTCAAGAGCAGCAGACAATTAGGGATTATAAAAGTCCTTTGACCTTCCAAAAGGTGTCCTAACCCCAGTGCAGCCTGAGATGAGTTGACTGGCTTGAATCCATGGAAGAATCAATGGCTGGAGGCTAAATGAAATTTGAGGCTATCCAAAGAGAAGAGAAGAGGTGAACAGAGTGAGGATGGGGACCCTCCATGAAGACAGGGCCATCGGGGGCTCAGAGAGCCCCAAACTGGTGGAGCACCCATTTCCAGGGGCTCCTGAATAAAAAAATTCTGCTGTGGATAAGCAAAATGTGGTGCATACACACAATGATATATTATTTAACCTCTGAGTTTGAAGTTGCTTCTGCCGTTGTGATGCCTATCACAGAAACACTCATCATCACCATCTTTCTTTGAGTTCCTCTTGGTTTCCAGCCATGCAGCTGGGAGGAGGGAGGGATATGGAGGAAACCCTGCAGGTTCACACTGTAGAGGGGCAAGGCCTACTCCCCCAACACCTCCCATCCGTTTCTCTTTACTTTGCAAATTCAACATATTTTTAGTTTTGTTGTCTTGGGTCTGCAGCTGCAAGAGCCCCTCTTCTGGCTCCTAGGACCTACATGGAAGCCTGGCCTCAGCCCATGGGAGTGTTCCTTCTCCTTCAAGGCCCCTTGGGGACACAGGGCTTGTGCAATGCCACAACATGTGCCTTGCCCAACTCGGGGAGAGAACACATCTGCCTGAGACCGGGCTCTATGGCAGAGGGTCTGTACCCTCTCCTCCTGAAAATCATCCAGGTCTGCTTCAGCGCAGCACAGTGTCTGTCTATATGATGTTCACAGTTGGGAACCTGGCCCAGCAGCAGCCTCTCTGCTCCCTTTTAAAGGAGAAGCTGCAAAACCTGTCCTGCCCTCACCGCACTGTGGGGACAGCAGGAGCATCGGCACCCTGTGGTCCTGCCTCTCCCAGGCTGACTGGTCCAGGGCCAAGCATCTGACTGAGGAGCATCCCCTTCCTGGCTAAGTCAATGACATAAAACCCCTATGGTCTGGATTAAATCCAAGCATGGTCAACTAGGCTCATTTGTACCAGACACATGGGAGGGATTTGCCAGTGTTTGGTGCAACAGGAAGAAGTAGGGAGCAGCCAGTTGCTGGGCAGTTTCTGGAGGAACCTGTGAGACACAGCCTCCTAGTCCTGGTACAGAGGACTCTGAGCCACCCAGATTCAGGTTTGCCCCCATGGGTCCCTGGAAGAACCTGCCCCACAGCCTGCACACCTCAGATTCCTTGGGATTCCTTGTATGGCTTCCTGTACAACCAGAGTGAAAACCCTGCCCCCAAGTGAGTCTGAGTGGAGCCTTTGTTGCTTGTAACCAAAGAGCTAACCTAAAACATGACATTCCTAAGTGCTTAATAGCAATACAGACACTTTCTTGAGTTCTTGCAGGGTGTCCAGAGCTTAGCTAAAATCATTACAAGAGTTGAATCACTTGATACTCACAACCCTATACACATGTTTATTCACATGTCATGCATTTTTTGGGTACCGAGTGCAGGCCAGACAGTTCTAGGCACTGAAGAGACCGTCATAAGCTAGGAGAAAGTAATCCCAGCCCCCAGGGAGTGTGCAGGTAGTAGGCACAATATAAACACACAAATGAACAAGATGCTCTTAGAGAGTTGGGTTTTGAGGCAGTAACATGTGATAAAGGAAGGAGAGTCCAGGAGGGACGGAGGATCTTGAACATCGTTTCAGCTGAGACTTAATGCTGACGAGTATTTGGCAAGTTAAAGATCTGAGGTGATCTTGGAGATGGATTGTGGATATGGTTGTTGGGTGTGGAGACAGTTGATGGATGGTGGTGATGGCTGATGGATAGTAGAGATGGTTAATGAATGGTGGAAATGATTGATGGATGGTGGCGATGGTCGATAAATGGTGGTGATGGTTGATGGATGGTGATGGTAGATGGATGGTGGAGATGATTGATGGATGATGGAGACAGTTGATGAATGGTGGAGGCAGTTGGTAGATGATAGTGATGGTTGATGGATGATGGTGATGGTTCTTGGATGGTAGAAATGGTTGGTGGATGGTGGAGATGATTGATGGATGGTGGAGATGGTTGATGGATGATAGAGATGACAGATAGATGGTGGAGATGGTTGAATGGATGATGGGAATGGTTGATGGATGGTGGTGATGGTTGATGGATGGTGATGGTTGATGGATGGTGGAGATGGTTGATGGATGGTAGAGATGGTTGATGGATGGTGGAGATGGTTGATGGATGGTGGAGATGGCTGATGGATGATAGAGATGGTTGGTAGATGGTGGAGATGGTTGATGGATAGTGGAGATGGTTGATGGATTGTGGAGATGGTTGATGGATGGTGTTGATGGTTGATGGATGGTCAAGATGGTTGTACACAGTGTGAATGCACTTAATGCCACAGATGTGTACATTTAACAATGGTCAAAATAGTGAATTTTATGTTATATGTATTTAACCACTATACACACTCCCACCACCCACCCCATATATATATGTGAACATCTTTTGTGGGGAAAAAAACATTCATTGTTATCTTGGAATATTTAAAACAAAGCCAGAACGAACTGTGAAGTTGGGGAGAGAACAAGAGGCCCTCACTGCAGTCACTTTCCTGAATGGTGTGTCCACATCCAAATCCCTGGACCTTGTGAACATGACCATATTTAGAAGAAGAGTCTTTGCAGGTGTGATTAAGTTAAGGATCTTCAGATGCAGAGACCCTCCTGGATTATCCTGGTGGGGCCTAAATCCTGTGACAAGGGTCTTACTAAGAGGGAGGCAGAGAGGTAAGCCAGACAGAAGAGGAGGAAGCAGAGATGGGTGTCATGGCTGGAAGCCTCCAGCAATGGGATAGGAAGAAGAGGAAGGAATGGAGCCTCCCCCAGAGCCTGTGGGGGATTGTGGTCCTGCCAACATCTTGATTCACGTTTCTGGCTTCTAGATTGTGAGCCATTACACATCTGTTGTTTGAATTAAAAAAAATAAAAAAAATTAAAAAGAGATCTGGGACAGAGCCTAGGCAGAGGGATAGTGAGTGCCCAACCTCCCAGGAAAGGAGAGAGCCCAGGGATGGGAGAGACCCTGCACTGTAGGGCAGGAAGGTGGGCAGTGGCAGCAAGCAGGTCAGACATACAGGGCCTGTGTAGGTATTCCTTCCCCACGTACCATCAGGCTCGAGGAGGCTGGGAGCTGGGAGCCTAGGGACATTGGGAGAGGGAGCCAGGTGCAAGCATCTGGGGTGTCCAAAACACATCAATGTGATGGTACAGCATGTTCAGAACCTCTAGGACTGGATGCCCACATCAGGCGACGCTCACGCAGGTGATGTATCCCTGGGTGCTTCTAAACCCCTCCACTCAGGAAAGAAAACCAGAATGCAAGAATAGTGCCTTTGCATCTATTGCAATATGCTTAAAATATATTATTTACCAGCTGCAGTGCTTAATTTGCCACAGATTATTTGCAACCACATACGACTGTCTGCAGCCATAGCAGTGCACATAACCCTCTGGTTGGGAAGCCTGCCTAAGTGCCCAGCAGCAAAGGTGCTGGCAAAAGAGTGGAACATGGGATGGTTAGGGTCCCTGGCAGCAGGAGAGGTGGTCCTCAGAGGAGCCGTGCTGAGACTCACTTTGTCTTTAGTTCCCCTCTGATACTTTCCAGAGAGCCCCATGGGTGTCTGGGGTGTCCACTTGAACCCACAGGGACTCAACTGAATGCACCGATGGAACTTATCCCTGGCAGGTGTAAGCAGAAATGAGGATCTACTGGTGAACGGAGCTGAAAACATGCGGTGCTCAACAGTGCCCAGATTGCCTTCTCACTCTCCCTCTCCACGACCTCCAGGCACAGGCAGAGACCTCCAAGGTGGCAGCTCATTGGAAAGCGACCTTCTCTGTCCCATCTTTCTAGAAAAAGCCCCATGGCTTGGATCCCATCACAGCTGCCAGGGGAATGAGCCCTTTATTAGACCACGTCTGCAGTCAAGCTGGAAGATAAGAAGTGTGTCAGTGTGCCAGTGCCTGAGTGTGCATGAGTGTGAGCAGTTGTGATGGTGCATGATCATGTGTGGGTGTGAACATGTGTGGGTGCCCGAGGAGGGTCCTGAAGTCAGGGTGTGGGTTTCTTTTATGAGGCTCTGCAGTAAAGGGAAGTAAGGGGAACAATGTAGCGGTGGGGTTTTCCTGGCCCATGCATGGTAGTCCACCATGCCCTTCATACAACATATGTCTCATTAGCATCTGAAATCTCCACCTCCGGACATGAGTTTTAGCATTAACATAAGGAAAAGGTAACTATGAGTTGGAAGTTAAGCCTAGCTGTGCATGCAGGGCCTTGGGAAAGTTACCGATCCCCTAAAGCAGAAACATGTGGTTAAAAGCTTCTTGGGCCTTTGACGCTGATTGGCTGGAGTTACAGCTAGAGGAAGGGGCCTTTGTTCTTTTTTTTTTTTCTCCAGACCATGTGGAAACAGGAAACCAGCCAGCTTGCCTGTCTCAGGCCCACCTGTGTCACCCTTGCCTGTCTTATGAGCAGGGCCTGGATGGGCAGAGGCAGCTGGGTCACTTCTTCGTTTTAATGACAGAGGAACCTGTCCACAAAGTCGCCGTCATTCCTGCCCTCTCAGTAGACAGAGGTCTTGTGCTTGCACCAAGAGCATTCCATGCCGAAGCAAGGACTCCACTTAGCCTCAGGTGTTCCCTGAAGACAAGTGACTTGTGAGCCAAGCCACTCCTCTTTAATGCATCTGAGGAAGGGCCAGAGTTTTCAAAGAGCTCATCCTTGGCCTAAGCTTTTGGCCAACTGGGAAAATGCGCATCCCCAATGAGCCCCATAGCCTCATGCTGGGTGAAGCATGTCTAAGACCCGGCATGGACTGGCGCAGGACCCTGGGCCCCGGGCTTGAGTCAATGATGCAGTGATCTGGAAAGAAGTATTTAGGAACATCTATTTAGTTATGGTCCAATTCCCTTTTACTGCATCCTGCTGAAAACTTTATCCCCAACAGTTTTGCAAATGAGTTGAGCTGGCTGTTAGCAGAAATCCATTCATTAATGTGGATATTTTCATTCACAGATGGATACGTTTGGAGCATCACAAGCACTTGGCGTGTGTAGGGGAGAGTCGCAAGGCACTTGCTGTTCAGGACAGGACAGAGCTCCAGCACCCCCGACCCTCACTCAGCACCAAAGGGGCGTTTGCTACTTTTGCTCATCTAGCCCAGTGCCAGGCATGTCCAGGACTTTAGTGATCCTTGCACTCAGTGAATAATTTAATTAATGGGAGGATGAACAAGAAGGCAAATGACTCCTCCAGCTTCTCCCTCTTGAGTCTGCTCCTGGGCCAGCAGAAAGCAGCTGAAAATAAAAGCGAAGCCTCCGGCCATTCACCGGGCCAGCTCAAAGCTGCTGCTGGTTGTGGTCATCGATGGGCAATGACCTGGAACTCGGGCGGGCAGCTCCAACTCATTCCACAGCAGCTCTTTGTTACGTTTATAACCCTTAGAAAGAGCAAGTGATTTACTGTCAGTGTTTTATCTAGCTGTGGGCTAAACAGTCTCATAGCATCCTTGGCTTGGTGATTCGAGAAGAAGCAGGCTATTTTTGTTACTGTTTTCTTAGCATACAGTGAAGACAGATCCAGCCAATGGATTTCACAAAGGACAGACTCAAGGAAGGAAGAGACAGAGGGGCACAGGAGGATACAATGATGGCACTTCCACACTCAGTGGCAGTAAGCAACCTGGCCATCATTCCTGCAACACCTGTTTGCTTCTGTTAAAGGGTGAATATTAATCTGCAAATCAGGGCAGCTATGATACAACACATCCTTTTCTTTGAGATACATGCAATCATTAATGAGCCTGTGATGGTTAATTTCAGGTGTCAACTTGATTGGACCATGGAAAGCCTAGATATTTGGTCCATCATTGTTCTAGGTGCGTCTGTGAGGGTGTTTTGGGATAAGATTAACATTTATTTTTATTTATTTATTTATTTATTTTTATTTTTTGAGACACAGTCTTGCTCTGTTGGCCAGGCTGGAGTACATTGGTGTGATCTCAGCTCACTGCATCCTCCGCCTCCTGGGCTCAAGCAATTCCCCCACCTCCACCTCCCAAGTAGCCTCCCTGGCTAATTTTTTGTATTTCTGGTAGAGATGGGTTTGCCATGTGGCCGAGGCTGGTCTCAAACTCCTGAGCTCAAGCAGTCTGCTCACCTTGGCCTCTCAAAGTGCTGGAATTACAGGCATGAGCCACTGCGCTTGGCTGAGAGTAACATTTAAATTGGCAGGCTGAGTAAAGCCAATTGTCCCCTACCCCACCTCAGTATGGGGGGCCTTGTCCAATCCTTTGAAGGACTGCATAGAACACAAAGGCTGACCTTCCCCCAAGTAAGGGAGAATGCCTCCTGTCCGATGCTCTTTGGTCAGGGGCAGCTGCATTTTTCCTGCCATTGTGTAACGCAGGATCCCTGGGTTTGGGACATGCATGGCACAAAAACACCTGTTTGTAACTGTTGTACCTCAGTTTTTGTTGTTTCAGAAAGTTCCAGGAAGAAGCTCAGCCCTGGAAAAACAAAATCTGGTCGGTCCAGAGATGCCTGAGTTGGAGATGAGCTTTGGAGAACTCTCCTCATTACCACGCTAAACACCCGGCCCAGGGAGGAGCTTATTTGCCGTTTTCTATACATGCAATGTACATAGAAGCATGATCAGCAGCCACGCCTGCACCGCTTTTACCCCACCTCTGCATGCAATGTCTCAGCTCACCAGCCTAATAAAAGCCCTGTTATCAGCTTTGTTCGGGAAGGCACTGCTTTAGGGTAGGGACTATCCCTGGTGTCCTCTTTACTTGCTGCAAGTAATAAAATCCCTTTGTTAAATCTTCGTTGCTTGTGGCTACTGGACTATCACCTGACAAGCAATGGAACCCACCCATTGTGCAGGTAACACTCCCGGCGTCCCAGATGGGAGGAACACTGCGGACTTGTACTGCAACGTTGGCTCTTGCCTGGTCTTGAGACTTCTGACTAGAACTGCATCATCGGCTTTCCTGGGACCCCAGCTTACCAGCTCCCCCTGCAGATCTCAGGACTTGTCAGCCTCCATCATTGCATGAGCCAATTCCCTACAATAAATCTCTCTACACATACATCCTGTTGGTTCTGCTTCTGTGGAGGACCCTGGCTGACGCAAGCTCCCGTGATGAGAATTCAATGCAGTCATTGCGAAGGCTTCACCCCCAGGTGGTTGCTGCTAGGGTGTCAGAGGAGGTGTGCAGGGACAGAAGCCTGGGGAGCTGCCTCGGGGTTTCGTCTTTATTGGTCCCTGTAAATGTGCCCTTGTCGAGTTGGGCATGGCTCCTGGAAGGGGGACTCTGCAGCACCCACCCTAAGCCTGGGCGTGTGGATCTTTGCTGGCACTGGGAGCCACCCTCTGGGCTGCAGCCTGCTACAGAGCGCCACGGGGCCAAGTCCAGTGTGGCTGTGAGGACAGAGCCCCTCAGCACCTGTAGCTCCCTCTCTTCCCCACATGTTCTTGTCTTTCCTCTGGCCACCTCTTCGTCATCCCCTCCAGGGGTCCTCAATGGACTGATGCTGTCATGGCATCAGGCTGACAGGTGCTCTCCAGGCAGCCTCTCTGTTTGGTTCTGACACGGCCTTCCAGGCAAGAACACACATGCACTCTCAGAGGGTGGAAGAAACACAAAATCTTACTTCCAAACCTTGTCCTTTCACAAGGCCTCGGGACTCCTGTGACATCACCAAGGGGAGGGAGGATTCCTTAAGGAGCACGTTTAGATGGATGACTTGCCTCCATTTTATTGAAGGTTCTGAACTAATGATTACTTATTTTAAAACTGCCTCATTACTTCCATCTTGACTTCAACTTGAATTCAGCTGACAGGGAAATGCCCTTTGGGATTAGATTTTAAAAACATTTGGGGTAAGTAGAGAGCCACCTTCACCCAGGAGGTGCAATCAAAGAAGATTCCACTTTCTATTTTACATACTCTAGTTTTTTCATTATGAGGACATATTATTTCATAATAAAAATTAAACACAGGCAAAATGGTTTATAATTAGCATATCATAAGAATTTATAGGGAAACGCATGTCTGGAACCTGCTTGGAAGCTGCATGTGCTCCTACACATGGTGTAATACAACAAATGTAATCCCTGTGTTTGTACAGGAATTGGATTTGCACCTAGGTGTGTCTACTAAAGCAAAAGTTTTTCATGAAGATTTTTTTTAAACCAAAGCCTGCATGAGCACAAATTCTGAATTAGCAGAGTTCAAATTAATGATAATTTCCTACAATTAAAGTGGTTTTCAATCAACCAATTGGTCAGCGTTTACTGTGTTCTGTGGGCAGCACCCTGGAGAAGGAACAAATGGGCAGCAGGTGCTTGTGCTGAGTAAGCAGCATGGTGGACGTAAGGAGCACCAAGAGCACACACATTTATTTTCCCTTGGGCTTCTAATATCCTGTTCTATGTCTTTGCAGAAAAAAAGCACCTTTCTGTCTTTTGATTCATAATTCATATGCTTGGTACACCAGGTCTACTTATGATCACAATTGTTAATGTTTTCTCTTTGTAAGCGTTTGAGCAAAGTCAATATTTTAGTGTTGACAGTTAGTGCTTGCTCCACATAATTTGTATATTACTTTCCTTAGAAACTGAAAAGAAAAGAAAGAACCCCCCCACCCCGAAATAAAGTTTTAGGTTATGAAGATCACCACCACGTTGAAGATTCAGGACCCATTTATCTTATGATTTTAAAGAAATATTGGAAATATTAGCAGTGGCAAGATATCACTAGAGCAGTCTACAAGATAAATTAGAAACAATGGTGTTTTGCTTTTGATTTATTACACAGAAAATATAAATGCATTCCAATGAGTATTACTCAATGAGTGAAAAATGCCAAGGACGGTTGATCATGATTATTTTAGGCTAAAAATTCTGTCCTGTTGTTCTATCAATAGACCAGTTGCTAGGAACTTTAATCTGTGTGACTTCCTTCTCTTGGGGAATGCCGGGATTTTATTCTCTTTCACTGGCCGAGAGGTGAGTGGAAGGATGGTTCTGGTGCACCTGACTACAGACAGGAGGGCTGAGATTTCTTGGCTGAATGGCTTTGTTAGGCAAATGATTGCTAAGGTGGTGCAGATTGTGATAACATGTCAGGCACCCTCCCACAGTTCAATCCCAATCATCGCTGGTTTCCTCTGTGTCCTGAATTTGGTTATAATACTATGCCCAGACACACTAGGATTTCCCCATGGTTGGACTGGCACCCCCTACACCTGGATGGATCTGATGTGAGGATGACTCTGGAATCTTCCTTGGAGGTGGCAGTTACTCCATCAGCCAGTTCTCATGAAGTTGGCTGGATAAGCCAACCAGAGCTGAAGCACTTTACACAAGAGTAAAGATTAAAAAAAAAAAAATAGGACTCTGGCTGGATGTGGTGGCTCACACCTGTAATCCCAGCATTTTGAGAGGCCGAGGTGAGTGGATCACTTGAGGTCAAGAGTTCGAGACTAGGCTGGCTAACATGGTGAAACTCCGTTTCTACTAAAAACACAAAACTTAGCTGGGGGTGGTGGCACACACCTGTAATCCCAGCTACTCAGGAGGCTGAGGCAGGAGAATCGCCTGAACCCAGGAGGCAGAACTTGCAGTGAGCTGAGATTGTGCCACTGCACCCCAGCCTGGACAACAAAGCAAGACTGTCTCAAAAAAAAAAAATTGGACTTGAGTGCCTATTTTAACTATGGGTCACAGACTCACCAACTGCCTACACAGCAAAAGGCTGTCAGAGCCACAGGTCTTTTCAATGGAGCACCACCAGCCAGACATGACCACAGCCTCCTTCCTGGGCATTCCTCAAAATGAACATCAGGAAAAGCCAGAAAAAAAATGTTTAAAAAACTTGGAAACACTAGTCTGATGTCATGGCTCTAAAGTAAGGGGCAGAAACAGATGCACCAAGGAGAATCCAGAACCTCTGACCCCAGCGCCTAAAATGTGGCGGGCATGTTTAAACACGTTTCAAATTCTTTGAGTCCTTAATCCCAGTTCTGAGGGGTAGTTTTTATTATCATCAACCACATTTTTCAAAGGTGGAATCTAAGGGCCTGAGAGGTAAAGAGACTGGCCACAGTGACACACGAGCTGCGGCGGAGGCGAGATCCGAACCCCAGGCTGTGGCGGTTTCGCTTTTTTAGCTTCGTCGTGGCCTCTCCTCCTTCCCCTAGCATTCCAGCAGCAATGCAATTGCCACCTAAATGAATGGGCTGGTGGCAATTTGGAAGAAGACACTTGAAGAAAAACATCTTTAAATGGACGGTGGTACTTGTCATGACTGTTCTAAATTTCTCTGCTCCCCAAAGTCTTCACTTTACTGGGCACTGAGAGGTCTCTGGGCTTCTGACACACCTTTACCAGCAAGTCTCATCTTTGTGGGTGACATAATGAAGGCTCATCCTCCTGCCAGGGGCTCAGGAGATGAAATATAATTCTGAGAGATGCGGTAGACTCTTTGGTTAAGAAAACAAAACTAAGGTATAAGAAATAATTAAAAGCTGCCCAGTGCTGAAATGTGTGACAGTCTCTCTAGAGGAGCATTTCTCATTTCTCAGCATCTCCACATTTCTCCACATCTCCACAGTAGCCTGATTGGCTACTGTCATTGTGGACCAGAAAATTCTCTGTTTTGGGGGTCATCCTGTGCACTGTAAGGTGTACGGCAGCGTCCTAGGCCTCCACCCACTCTTCTCCAGCTGTGACAACCAGATGTGGTTCCAGGTGTTTCCAGGTATCCCCTGCATGGAGGGGCAAGACCTCCTCTGGCAGAGTGCTGTGACTCTACCGCGTGGACTAGCATGGCTTCACTGCCTGGGCCAGGATGGAAAACCCTCCAGTACTCCTCAAATCGTGAGCTTCTTTCCTTTCTGTTTGTTCTTTCCATTTCTAGGATGGAAAAGAACGTTTCTAGGACAAAGCCAGTCTCTGTCTCAGGGAAGTACACAGATTTTTTTTTTTCCAGAATCATTAGTTCATCATTTTTTAGAACTTCAATCCACCCATCTTGGAAGGACGGGAAACGTGGAGCAGGCTCGAGGAAGGGAAGCATTTCTGGGCATTCTCTTCTCTTCCTTTTTGCAGCCCAGGTTCTTGGTGAGTTTTGGAGACAAGTGTTAAAAAGGGAGAAGGAGCCTCTCTGCTATAATCCTTGCCTTTGTTTCAAGTACAATTTCATTATGTTCTCCATTTAGTCAGTTTGACCGGAACAGAGGAAATGACCTCCTTCCATACGGCCTCATTCTGAAGGTACATTTTGTTTCCAGGAGCGGAAGAATTTTGACTAACTTAGAGCTTTTAACTTCAGAACGACCCTGGCACACAGCTTGGGCTACTCAATTCTGGTCGGATCACTTGAGACCCTAAATGGTCCTTTAGAAGCACGGTATTTAGTGTGTCTATCAATTTCTTAGTATTCTGAGACATGGAGTGCCTATCACTGCTTATTACTGAGATCAGCTGTGGCCACGTGCACGTGTCACCGGCCACCCACGTGGCATATCAGTGACTGACCTGCAGTCTCTGTGCAGCTGGGTTTCTGGCTTTTCTTTCTCTGCTGCCTTAGGAGGTCTTGATAAAATACCAACAAGCAGCAAGGGAGAGCCCTGATTGTACATGAAAACAGCATCCCGTCAAACAGTGCGGAGACTGCAGCCTTTGAAAATAAAACGAGAGAGATAAATAAGGGTACAAATCTCCTAAAGCAATAAAGAAAACTTTGACATTTTAGAGCCAATATGGTATCAGAAATAGATTTTTTATCTCTATTTTTCATTTGCCCTTTAGTCTATAGATCACAATTCAGGAAAGCAAATAAAGGGACTGATGTTACGGGATGTGTATTTTACCCGTGATGGAGACATCGTGGTAAAGCCTTCTCTTATATGTCGGTAAATAAAAGAACGCTATTACAAGAGGTAATCAAAGAAATAAGAAATATAATCGCCATTGAAGAAACAGACTGCTACTCTGGGCATTCTCTCAGGAAAGGAATAGATACCAGGGCAGATGAAATCATATTTTCTCTCCCTGGTTTGTTATGGCTCTTGCTGACATAAAAAGAAAGCCAGCGCTTCTGTGTCCGTGGGCCCCAGCGCTGCACAAATCACACAGCACAGCGTGGTTTCTACTCTGCTCCTGCATGACACAAGCACCTGGTTCTGGGGCTCGAAGCTGGAACTGCCTCTCCTGCTTGTGGAGGGCTTGGGGACTGCCAAGGCTGGTGGCTGGGGAGCTGACAGGTCTGTACTGAGACCCAGGGAAGGAAAGCGGGTGGAGGGTGTGGGGTGACAAAGGTGGGCGTGAGTTGGTGGTGACCTACTTACTGAGATGAATCCATATTGCAGAACCTTAGCAGGAGACACCTCCCTGACATCACCCCAGTTTGGCCGCCATGTCCCTGGCTTCTAGAACACTTCTCAGATATTATCGCCTGGGTCTCCTCCCACCCACGATGGGCTGAACGCATCAGTAGTTGCACTTTGGTTGGTTTCCTGTCACCCACAATTTCCCCCACTGTACCCCCTCCTTGCGTTACTCTCCTTGGTGCAGCTCAAAAGGGGCATATTGCTATAATATATTCATCCTCATTTCTATAATCCCTTTGGGGGGTTGAATTCTTAGAGATGTGGCACCTGGTGTCTGAATCTCGTAGCCTCTCGTGGGAAGAGGCGTGCCTATAAATAAGCCTCAGGGAGACGCCAGCAGCCTTGCTCCTGCAGCAAGCACTGAGGTGCTAGGCGCCTGGGCTTTCCCTTCCCTTTTCCTGAAATACAGACTGGCTTCTCTTTGGATATTGGCATCCAGCCTTCTGGCAAACTGGGATTCAGAATGGCAGAATATAGACGCCGTGAATCTAGTGTCAATAACAGACCGATACAGGGGACAACTCAAGCTGAAGGAGGTTCGCCGTGCAGAAAGGGCTTGCTTCTCGCCAAGCGCAGTAGCCAAGGTTTGAAATGCAGCTTCTGAACCCTTACCCGGTGGTTTCTCCTCTGCTCCCGTGGTGGTCTGGGCAATGCCAACTTGTCCTATTGGGTGGATGATGTGGTGATTTTGCTGCAGCTTTTCTCAATCTCAATATGTTTTGTAGAAGTAAAGGATGGCATAATTTATCACAGTTGAACATGCGCTTTGTTCAATGACAGGGTAATTAGACATTCTTTCAGCAGACACATTAAATATACACTTATGCATTAAAGTGCTGCGTCTCAGATCAGCTCTGTTGATTTATTCTTTATGCTTGGATCTTTGCCTGTTGATAGCCGTATAAAACTAAACTTCCATGCCAAAAGATAACAGTGACAGGAGAGAAGAAATGGCTTCCATATGTTAATGAAGTCAAGTTCAGGGAAGGTGGGGGTGGGTTTATGGGGGATGGAGACACACACAAGCGCGCATGTGCACGCACACACAGGTACACATAGATATACACGCATAGCCCTTGTGAACAGGCTGGGGCTTGGTTCTCCTTCCTACCTCCGTAAACATTAATTATGCAGCAATCAAAATAATTTTGCATGCATAATGCTGACCTCATTCACTAGAGGGCAACAAAACCCCAGCTTAAGGAACTTCACCTTCTGCTTCCAGTGACAGGAAGCATTTAATAAGATGCCACATAGATTTTATAATGAATACCCTATTAATTTTACATAAGTGTGAAGTTATATTTGAAAATCCAGTTATGCTCCTGAATAGACGTGATCTGGCCTTCACAACATGTGGTGAGTAGCTGTTTCCTGTTCCTGCCACTGCTCTGGTGGGTCTGGTGGGGCAAAGCCATGTTTTCCTTTGGGGGGTGCATTCTTTCTTTCTTTATTTTTTTTTGAGACGGAGTCTCGCTCTGTTACCCAGGCTGGAATGCAGTGGTGAAATCTCAGTTCACTGCAACCTCCACCTCCCAGGTTCAAGCAATTCTCCTGCCTCAGCCTCCCGAGTAGCAGGGACTACAGGTGCGTGTCACCACACCTGGCTAATTTTTGTATTTTTAGTAGGGATGGGGTTTCGCCATGTTGGCTAGGCTGGTCTCGAACTCCTGACCTTAGGTGATCCACCCGCCTTGGCCTCCCAAAGTGCTGGGATTACAGGTGGAGGTAGATTCTTACAAATGAATTATACTTAAAATCCACCCATGAGCTGCCCACTCCAGAATGGAATTGTCACTACTGCACATCAAAAATACACGGACTCACCCACAGATCTTGGGAGCTCCTGCTATTTGACATGGGACCGAATGTATCTCTCCATTTATGGACAAAACTTTCCTTTTGTGCGTGTGCCTGGCTTTCTGCTGCCTTCTTCTCTGCCATCCTCCTTGGGAGGGATTTTGGGGTAGGAGCTGCGGCTTCTGGGGAAGCCATCCTTCCCAGGAGTCACTCCTGGGGTCTCTTTTTAGAAGACTTGGAACTTAATTGCAAGGAGTAGAGTTAATTTTCATCTCTGCCCAAAAACCCTGAGGATAATTCATCACCACCAGAACTTGTATAAGTGAGCTAATTTAAATTTTTAAAAGTTCAATTGATTTAACCAAAGAGGCTACTGGATCCTCTTTCCAACTTAGGAGTAAGAAGTTTCTACTGCCGCCATGCTGTGCGGAGGAGGGAAGAAAATTAAAAACCCTGAGAAATTGATTACACAGATTCAGCCAATTGGAAGCTCATTACATGAATCTGTCTTTTGTTCTTAAACATATTCAAAATATTAGGAATCATCAGAGAAATGAAAGCAGGCTTCCCGTTTTGAGAGTCTCGTACCGATTGTTGCATATGCGAAGAGCAAGTTGAATTTCTCCTATCAGAAACAACTTCAGGCCAAGATGAATCAGGAGGGACTGGGTTTCCTTTAGAGGCTGAGCCTGACAATTTGCAAACAGCCTTACTCGGCATTTCTAGTTCCAGAAATAGCCACAGACTTTTTTTTTGAAGCGAGTTCTTTGAAATAGGTGCTCATCTCTCTAGCACGGCTTCATTTTCTCTGAGAGGCAGAGGGGTGGGTGTGTGCTGGAGGAGGCGGGTAAAGACATGCAATTTTAAGACATACATATACAATATACAAATATGCAATATACAAAAGATGTACACATATACAAATATAATTTTTCATTATTCAACTGACAGCCGTTAGGGAGAAGGGGGCCAGAGAACATTCAGGGAAATATCTGCAGAGCATGGAGAGGTGTTTTCAATGTGAGCTTGTGTCCATGTGTTCAGCGTCCTTAGTCACCGGGCTCCATGGGGCTGAAAAAGCCCCTGAAGAGGCCCCTTGGTGACTTTCACCTTTGCCTTCTCTCTCTCTGTAGGAAACCACCACCGAGGACTGGCCCAGATAGAAGTGGCGTGGCATGGCGCCTCTCCTTCCAATCCGCTGGGCAACAACGTGGCCCATCGGTGCTGAAGTTTTTAACAATCTCCTTTGAAATGTAACTCATTATACAAAAGCAGAACTAAATAAAAAATACTCCAGAGAGGGAACAGATTGTTAGCTATAGATTAGAAGTGTAGCCTAATCCTTCACAAGCATTAAATATTTAACATCATTGCACCACAGGTGCCAAGAAGATGTCAGCATTGTTTAATTAGACTTAATTAAACATAAGGAAAAATCTAATACTAACGCAGGTCGAGTTTTTTAATCGATTTCAAAACCTCCCCCTTCGCGGTCCCCATGCATTCTCCATATTTTATCTCACCCTCTTACTAACCAGAAACAGTGGCGGGTAGGAGTTGAGAAGCGGGTTCCTGAGAAAAGTGAGAAGGAGGCGCTGTCTGTGAGCAACTGGACTGTATGAATGGACTGAGCCAAAAATATTTTTGCAGAGTAAAGAAATTGCGTGGGCCGGGCATGGTGGCTCACGCCTGTAATCCCAGCACTTTGGGAGGCTGAGGCAGGTGGATCACCTGAGGTCAGAAGTTCGAGACCAGCCTGGCCAACATGGTAAAACCCTGTCTCTGCTAAAAATACAAAAAGTTAGCCGGGCGTGGTGGTGGGTGTCTGTTATCTCAGCTACTTGGGAGGTTGAGGCAGGAGAATTGCTTGAACCCGGGAGGCAGAGGTTGCAGTGAGCTGAGATCACGCCATTGCACTCCAGCCTGAGCAACAAGAGTGAAACTCTGTCTCAAGAAAAAAAAAAAAAAGAGAAAGAAGAGAAAAGAAAAGAATTGCATGAATGCTTGGACACTCCAGCATGTGTACTGTGGGTATATGACTTCTATTTGTCATGCATCTCATTATGGATCCGAGGTCTTCTAGTTGGGATTGGCTGTACTGAAACTTGAATCTGTCTGCTATTTGTACATATACATGCATGTGCACACCTGCAGATACACGGAAAGGATAGCATTCAAGCGGTACTATTCCACACTGCAATGCTAACCAAAGACGTGGTCAATCATATTTGGACACATATTTACAACAGTAACTCGAAGAGCCGCGAAAGGGCAGGCAAACACATTTGCCGCACGTAAGAAAAGTTTGAACATTACATATTCATCACAGAAATAGTCTGCTATTTGTACATACATATACATGCATGTGCACACCTGCAGATACACGGAAAGGGTAGCATTCAAACGGTACTATTCCACACCGAAATGCTAACCAAAGATGTGACCAATCATATTTGGACACGTTTCCAACACTAACTCGAAGAGCCGCGAAAGGGCAGGCAAACACATTTGCCGCACGTAAGGAAAGTTTGAACATTACATATTTATCACTGAAATAATGTTCTTTCTTGATGCCAGTGCTGGAGTCTGTGATATTACTATTTCAATTCCCTACATGCTATGCCCCCCACCAAAAAAAAAACACAGAACCTGAGAAAAGACGTAGTCATGAGAAACACAGTATTTAATGCCAGCTTTCAAAAACCTTTTGCCTCTGTGTGTGATTGTGCAAATGTACACTTCTCATATGAATGTATCTGGCAACAAGAATGTTGACTGCCGTGTCATGTCACTGACGTGGGGTTTGCCCTGCATCTTGTCATGTCACTGACACGGGGGTTTGCCCTGAGTCTTGTCCAACAAGAGCCTTGATGTGCTGTCACACCATCCGTGCTGGAGTTCAACTTTGAGAAGTTTATCTTAAGAAAATAATCATGGATGTGCCCAAAGATTTAACTAGACAGATGTTCACTGCAGTGTTGTTTAAAATAGAATATATTAGAAACAACCTACATGCTTCAACTGTACACAGAAGCCTTTAAAAGATTAGATTGTAGAAAACGAATGACATTGATGACACGAGGACAGAGTGAAGTGAGACCACCTGGTGGAGTGGCTGCTTGATTCCAAAGCACCTGGATGCCTTACTGTTTTTGGAATCCCAAATAGACAGCAGGTGGGGGTCTGAGCTCTGCAGAGGAAGGTGAGGCCACAGGGGAAGGCAAGCTGTATTAGTCCATTTTCATGCTGCTGGTAAAGACATACCCAACACTGGATAATTTATTTAAAAAAGGTTGAATAGACTCACAGTTCCACATTGCTGGGCAGGCCTCACAATCATGGCAGAAGGCAAAAGGCACATCTTACATGGCAGCAGGCAAGAGACAGAATGAGAACCAAGCAAAAGGGGAAACCTCTCATAAAACCGTCAGATCTCATGAGACTTATTCACTACCACGAGAACAAAATAGAGGAAACCACGCCCATGATTCAATGATCTCCCACAAGGTCCCTCCCATGACATGTGGGAACTACGGGAGCTACAACTCAAGATGAGATTTGGGTGGGGACACAGCCAAACCACATCACAAGCCAACTCCTTGCCTGGTGGACAGAGCTGGGGCCACCCTGGAGGAAAGCCACAAGGGGCATCTAAGGATGTGATTTCCTGTGGAGTGAATGAAGGCACGGGGTCAGGCAGAGTCAGTGGGGCAACTGCAGGGAAGGTGGAAGCCCATTGTCAAAGGGCAGTTGTCCGGTGGCAGGGGACGGAAGTCCCTGTAGGGGAAGCTCTGGGAGCGAATCCAGAGACAAACGTCTGGGCGTCACGCCGGTCATGCTGTGAGCAAGCTTTGGCTGCACCTTGCTTCCTTGGCTTGTCTGTGCCAGTCTGGCTTCCCAGCATCCAGTGGATTCTGTGAGCTAAGAGATGCCTTTCAGATAAGGCACCTATATTAATTCTCTTTGGCTGCTGTAACAAATGATCACAACTTAGTGCCTTAAAACAACATAAGTAGGCCTGGCACCGTGGCTCAAGCCTGTAATCCCAGCACTTTGGGAGACTAAGGCAGGTGGATCACTTGAGGCCAGGAGTTTGAGACTAGCCTGGCCAACATGGTGAAACCCCATCTCTATTAAAAATACAAAAATTAGCTGGGTGTGGTGGTGCACGCCTATAATCCCAGCTACTCAGGAGGCTGAGGCACAAGAATCACTTGAACCTGGGAGGCAGGTTGCAGGGAGCTGAGATGGCAGCACTGTACTACTCCAGCCTGGGCAACAGAGTGAGACTCTATCTCAAAACACACACACACACACACACACACACACACACACACACACACACACACACGGACACACACACAGACACACACACACACACACACAGACACACACACACACAGACACACACACACACACACATAAGTGGATTATCTTACAGTTCTGGAGGTCAGAAGTCCAGACTGGATTTTAGGGGCTAACATCAAGGTATCTGCGAACCTGGTTTCTTCTGGAGGCTGGAAGATAATCCCTTCCCTGGTGATTTCTAATTTTGAGAGCTGGCTCATTGTTCCATGTCACTCCTACCTCTGCTTCCGTTTTCTAACTCTGACCCCTGCCTCCCTCTTATCAGTCCCCTTCTGATTACATCCAGGCCTGTGATTATCCAGGATTATCTCCCATTGCAACACCGTTAACTGAATCACACCTGTGGAATCCCTTTTACCAGGTGAAGTGACAGAGTCACCAGTGCTGAGGATTAGGATATGGACAGCTTCAGCTTTAGGAAGCAATTGTTTTTCTCCCACAATCACTCTTCTACTTAAGTTAACCAGAGGTTGTGTTTGTTTTTTGGAACCAAGTATCCTGAAGACAGCAGGCTTCTGTGCATGAAGAGGTGCCCTTTGTTGGAGCTGGGGGAGGGGCATGAATGCTGTCTATGTATGTCTGTGTACCTTCTACACATTAACATGGGGAAAAGGATGGAAAGTATGCATGCCAGCATGG
Organism: Homo sapiens; assembly: GCF_000001405.40. Lineage (NCBI taxonomy): Eukaryota > Metazoa > Chordata > Mammalia > Primates > Hominidae > Homo > Homo sapiens. The sequence continues at coordinate 61,156,245 of NC_000020.11, read as the reverse complement.
TAATGTGGTTCTTTCTTTCCTTCTTTCTTTCTTTCTTTCTTTCTTTCTTTCTTTCTTTCTTTCTTTCTTTCTTTCTTTCTTTCTTTCTTTTTGAGATGGAGTCTCGCTCTGTTATGCAGGCTGGAGTACAGTGGTGTGATCTCGTCTCACTGCAACCTCCACCTCCCGGGTTCAAGCAATTCTCCTGCCTTAGCCTTCCAAGTAGCTGGGACTACAGGTGCCTGCCACCACACCCAGCTAATTTTGTATTTTTAGTAAAGACGAGGTTTCACCATGTTGGGCATGGTCTCGATCTCTTGACCTTGTGATCCACCCGCCTTGGCCTCCCAAAGTGCTGGGATTACAGGCGTGAGCCACCGCGCCCAGCCTAATATGGTTATTTCATAGTGGGGAGATTATGAGTGGCAATTTTCCCTGGTTTGTTTACCTCTGTTTTCCACATTTTCTACTTTTGTGTTACTTTTTGCAGTTTGTATTTTTGTATTGTAAGTTAAAAAATCTTATCAATCACAATGTAAGTGCAAATATAGGAATAAACTGTTAGTTTTCTAAAGGAAACCAACCAATTTGACTATGAATATGACATTCATCTTTGGAAGATGGTCTTGAACTTTATGCTTAGTGCATTACCAAAAGTCAGAAAGATCTTCCTGTCCACAATCTTGTAAAGATAATTTTTCTTACACTGGTAATGTCCCTGAGTTATTGGCAAAAACACCAGAAATTATGATTCTCTCTAAGAGCTAAGAGGGTTCTTTTTTGGGAAACAAGCTTTCTGTAACAGGGATTCTCAACCCAGTTGCCCACCAGAACCTTCTGGCTGAACAATGACAGAGATGGAGCATCCCAGGCTCCTCCAGCCCCATTGACTCGGGGGTAAAGGCCTGGACATTATGTTTTAGAGACATTTGCAAGGTGAGTCTGCTGCAGACATCCTGTTATCCATCTTGGGAATTTGGAAACTGACTCTCTAGTCTTTAGAAATAATGCATCTATTTGCTACCGGGGCACCCATCCAGTGGAAGCCACATCTGCCAAGTGCTATAGGACAGGCATAAAAACAGCACCTGTGTCTGGGTGTGCTGCTGGGGACCCTTAACAGTGCCATTGTCACTGGAGAGTCTTCCCATCACACACTGTACCTGGCTGCCCCCATCCCGGGAGGCAGGGCCCCAGGGTAAGCTTCTTACAGCAGAAATGGAGAGAACAAGAAGGCGTCTATACCTAACTTTTTAGGTTCAAACAGACCTTGGAAACCAAGGTACAGTTCACAGGCTGGGCCAGAAAAGTCTCTTGAATCGAAGAATAGAAGCTCTGGAGTGACAAATAGGGAAAGAAAAATGCATAATCAGTTGTTAAAACTAGTATTCCCCATTTGCCCAGACCAGACAAAAGCTTCGAATGCTTGGGGATGGGAAAGAATCTGAGAGCAAAGCAATGTGGTTGCTGCAGTTTCCCACGAGGCGGCCCTGAACCTTCCACCCTGTGTTGAACCCTGAGGGAAGGCATGGCAGTTAGGAGATTGAGAGTCGAGGGTGGTGTCCAGCTCCCCAGCTGGGGCCCTGGGATGTAGAAAACCCCCATCAAGCTGCTCTCAGCCACAGGTGTGCCAAGGCAGAGACGATGTGTCGGGCAGTCCCCTGAACCCCCTTCAGCTCCAGAGCAGGGGAGAAAGGCACAGAGTGTATGGAGGACCCTACCCCACAACCATCAGAAGTATACATGTAACTGAGATAGGGCCAGAGCCCAGTGGTGAGGACCAGGTGGACACACGGTCAGTCAAGGCTGACAGTAAGAGGAGGCAGGCCCATGCTCAGCTGGGTGAGCAACAGGTTGTCCTTGTCCCTGGTCCTGCCTGTAGCCAGGACCAGACTCTGGCAGAGACAAGGACATCCTCTTGTGCTGATGTGGATGATATCAGTCCCTCTGCCCATCAGACCTGCCATATTCAATACCCTGAAGACTAGACTCAGCTGTAGGTTAAAACTGGGAAGGACAACTCTGAACTGCTTGAGAAAACCCTGTGTGGCTGAGCCCATGGGGGTAATGAGGCATCCATTTAGTTGGGATTTAAATTCTCTAGGGGGTTTCAGTGTGTGGGGAGAGCAGTCATTGCCACTTGGTTCCCATTACTGTGTAATTTATTAAACTTATGGAAATGGACCAAGTTATTTTGCTATTTAGTAATTCAAATTCACTTTTACATTTTACACACTTTCTTTTTTTTTTTTTTTTGAGATGGAGTCTCGCTCTGTTGCCCAGGCTGGAGGGCAGTGGCGCGATCTCTCGGCTCACTGCAAGCTCCGCCTCCCAGGTTCACGACATTTTCCTGCCTCAGCCTCCGGAGTAGCTGGGACTACAGGTGCCTGCCACCACGCCTGGCTAATTTTTTGTATTTTTTAGTAGAGACGGGGTCTCACCGTGTTAGCCAGGATGGTCTCAATCTCCTGACCTTGTGATCCACCCGCCTTGGCCTCCCAAAGTGCTGGGATTACAGGCATGAGCCACAGCGCCCGGCTTCCACACTTTCAAAATTAAACAAAACACAAATTCCTGCAATCCCCGCCTACCCCAAACCTTATCAGGGCATCACCCTCTAACCTGGCTCGGAGTATGACCTTCAGAATCTGTTCCTTTTCCTCCTCCTTGCTCCTGGGGTTGCAGCCTCACTTACTACAAAGGAAAGCTGAGAGCCTGGAATCTGTGTTGTCACCACGAGGTCCTTGGGTGAAGTACTGTGGTCCTTCCCAAGGTGACTGCAACCCACCCCGACCTGTGCTAGACTGGATGTCCTCTCTGGCTGGTCACTCCAGTGGGACTCTTCATCTCCTGCTTCTTGCTGGAATGTCCCAGGGGCCTAGTCAATCATAAGTCCTGTGATCATGGAAACAGAAGGTTGTAATTAAATGAGGAAGGAGCTGCGAGCCACAGAATACAGGGAGCCCTTGAAGCTGGAAAGGGTAAGAAAATGAAGTCTCTTCCAGAGTCCCCAGCAGAAACCAGCCCTTGACTTTAGTCCAGTGAAACTGGTTTCAAGTTCGTGGCCTCCAAAACTATAAGAGAGTAAGTCTTGTTGTTTTGGGGCCACTGAGCTGGCGATGGTTTGTTATAGCAGCAACAGGAAATGATGTGCCTTGAACTCACAACATGCTCTTTTCCTGGAAGTCTGCCTAGACTGTTGCCTTTGGTGGGTGTCCTTATCTTTTTGAATGTGATGGCTGCGAAAGGGAACCCGTGAGTGAAGAATGCAGAGAAAAAAGTCACTCATGAGGATTCTGGAGCCTTGGACTGTCACTCATGAGGATTCTGGAGCCTTGGACTCTAGCTCTGCTTCTACAATCTGCAAGCCGAGTAGCTTCTATGGCCTGAATATGTCCCTACAGCTCATATGTTGAGACTTCATCACCAATAGGATAGCATTAAGAGGTGGGACCTTTAGCCTGTGCTTAAGTCATGAGGGTGAAGCCTTTATGAATGAGATTAGGGCTCTTATAAAAGGGCTTGAGTGAGTATGTTCTTTCTTTTCCTGTCTTCTGGCAAGTGAGAATACATAATCCATCCCCATTTGCTCTTCTGTCTCTGCCATGTGAAGGCACAGCATTCCTGCCCTCCAGAGGATATAGCAACAAGGCACCATCTTCAAAGCAGAGAGCAGCTATCATTAGATGCTGGTCTTACCAGCACCTTGATCTTGGACTTCCCAGCCTCCAGAACTGTGAGAAAATGAATTTATGTTCTTTATAAATTACTCAGTGTCAAGTATTTTGTTATTAAAGTAGCACAAACAGACCAGGACAGAAAAGTTGTTACAACAAACACCTGAAAATGTGGAAGTGGCTTTGGAACTGGATAATGCATAGAGGCTGGAACAGTTTTGAGATTTATGCCAGAAAAAGCCTGCATTGCTGTAAATGGACTATCAAGGGAGATATGGTGAGGGCTTGGAAGAGGACAGCTGTAGGGAAAGCCTGAATCCTCTTAGAGATTACTCAGGTGGTTGTGACCAGAATGTTGATAGGAATATGGATGGTAAAGGCAATTCTGATGAGGTCTGAGACAGAAATGAGGGCTACTAGAGGAAAGGCAATCCTTGTTATAAAATGGCAAAGAGTTGGCCTGAAATGTGTCTCTGTCCTAGTGCTTTGGCAAAGGCAGAACTTGTGAATAATGAACTAGGATATTTGGTGGAAGAAATCTCTAAGCAAAGTGTTGAAGGTGGTGTATGGCCTCTCTTGACAGCTTATAGTAAAATGTGAGAAAAGAGAAAAAAATTAAAGATAGAATTTATAATTAAAAGAGAGCTAGAACTTAAAGATTTGGAAAACTCTTAGCCTGGCCATTTTGTAAAAGCATGTTCAGGAGAGAATATCAAGTGTGTGTCCAAGTGAACATTTAAGGGGAGATTAGTATGGATAGAAAGAAGCCATATGCTATTGATCTAGACAGGGGAAGAATGACCAATATTTCAGATATCTTCAAGGCTGCCATATCCATCATAGGCCCACAGAGCAATGGCCTTAAGGGAAAGATGATTTCAAGGGAATGCCCAGGACACTTGTGTGGGACCTCTGAGCTCACTGCTCTAGGCCACCTCAAGTGTCTGCCCACTATATTGTGACATAGCACTCCTTGGCTACCCCAGGTGCAGCTCCAGCCACCGTTCCAGCCACCATTACTGCAAGCAATAAACACGTAGTGGCATCCACGTGGTGCTAATTCTGCAGGCTTTCAGAGTGCAAGAGCTATGGGGGCATGGCTGCCTCCACCCAGATTTCAAAGGATGCCTCAGACAAACTTGGGGCCCAGACATAGCACTACCACAAGGGTGGGGGTGCTGAAGACAGCCCACACTAGAGCAATGCCCAGTGGAGCCATGAGTGGTAGTAGCTAAAGTGAGCCCCCGTTAGGGCAAGGTCTAGAAGAGTGGTGAGAGTAGGGCCACCCCTGAGACCCCATAACTGTTGAGTAACGAGTGTGCAATGCCAGCCAAAGAGAGTCACAGACATATGACACCAAATGGAAGAGCTGCTGTAGGGTTGGGGACCCGAGGCTTTGGGGGCTGAACCCCTAGAGGGTGGGACATGAAGCCATAGCTGAACTTTAAGGTTTGCCTTGTTGGATTTGGACTTACTTGGAAACCTGAGACCTACTCCTCCTTTCCTCTTGTCTATTGCTTCCTTTTGACTAGAAATGTCTGTCCTGTTCCTGTCCCACTGCTGTGTTTTGGAAGCACATAAACTCTGATTCCAGGCTTGCAGCTGGAGAGGACTTTTTCTGATGTTGAATCTTAACCTGAGTCTCACCCATATATGATTGAGATGAGACTCTGGACTTTAGATTTTCGAGATGGTGCTGGAATGTATTAAGATTTTGGGGGTTACTCGATGGGAGGACTGTATTTTGCATGTGAGAAGGACATGAATTTTGGGGTCTGAGGCAGAATTCTATAGTCTGTGTGGGTCACCCAAAATTCATGTGTTGAAACTTAATTGCCAATGTGATGGTATTAAGTGGGGTGGGGGCCTTTAGGAAGTGATTAAATCATGAGGGTAGAGCCCTCATGGAGGGGATTAGGGATCTTATAAGAGGGCTTGAGAAAGTGGTGCTTTCTCTTGAGCTCTTGCGCCATGCTGTGTGAAGACATAACATTCATTCCCTCCAGAGAAAGCAGCACTCAAAGAGCCCCGTTTGGAAAGCAGAGAGCAGCCCTCACCAGACACCGAGTCTGCAGAGGCTTGGTCTTGAACTCCCAGCCTCCAAAACTAAAAAAAAAAAAAAAATTCCTGTTTGTTATGAATTACCCAGTCCCAAGTGTTTTGTTGTAGCAGCACGGGTGGACTAAGATAGCACCTTTCAGCAGGATGCTCCCCTCCTCTTGACCACGTGTGAAACAGAGGTGATGCCATCTTTCCCTCCTACCTACCCCAAATTTCTGAAGCTAAATTAAGGTAAGACAAGAAAAGGCTTTGAGGTTATTTAAAGGAGATTTCTCCAAGATGTTATTAAAAATGTTGAAGCATTGCTTTTTTAGGCAAATTCCTTTCGGTTCCATTTAAAGATTCACATTTTTCTTTTTTCATATTTTTCTGTTCCTGAAATTGGGCTGTAGTATAAAAATAAAAGCTACAATAAATGTAGTGTGTTCTCCCTCCTCCCCCTGAGAAAGTTGTTTTGAATTTAAAATGTGTGTTTTGCAATTAGTGGTGTTAAAGAGTTGAGGATTTATGGAAACACTTTTTTAAACCTCAGTGATTTAACAGAATAGCTGAAAAGCATTTTCATAATGACTTTAGGCCGGTGAGTCTGGTGTACATGTGCTGCCATTTGTAATCATCCAAGTAGGTGCTTAAAGTGAAATGAGGGATTAAATAACCCCAGGAATTTCACTGTTTCAGGCGAGACCAGGAATTCCCATGATCCGCTCTGTAAAAGACAGTGTCGCATGGATGAGCTGCACAGGGATTTGATGCCAGAGGTTGGGGCTCAGTCACTTTGTCTGCAGAAATCACAAATAGCCCCAGACTTATGGAACTCCATTAGTGATTTCATTTCTTCTTGAATTTTCGCCTCAGTCACAATGTTCTGTGTGGTTTGTTCAAGGGCTTGAATTCATCTTCCAAATAAATTGCTTTGGCTTTTCTGGAAATACAGATGTTAGCAGCAATTGCATGAAATAGCTTAATCACAAGAACAAGGAGGTTGTCAAAAGGAAAACTATCTGGAAAAGCTTACTTTTAAGCACCATCAGTCTCCTTTTTGTTTGTCTCCTTGCCCTGGGAAGAGGCAGGAGGGTGTGGCAGCCTCCAGCATCACTCCCTGCCGGCAAAAGCCTTCCATGGGACCACAGGTGATTCACACAGGCCTTCATGGGAGAGGACGATCTGTTCAGCTCCGGCAGCTGCCTGCCCATCCTGCATTCCCTTGGAGCCCCTTCCTGGTCACTCAGTACTGCCATGTCCTCTGTTGCTCCCAAGCTCTCCTAGAGCTGCCCTCTCTTTTCACCCTGACTTTGTGCCTGGCCTCTCTGATGGAGTCTGCCACACCGTCTCCCTTTTTCACTGCATTAAAAATATTTGCCGGGCGCCGTGGCTCACGCCTGTAATCCCAGCACTTTGGGAGGCCGAGGTGAGTGGATTGTCTGAGCTCAGGAGTTCAAGACCAGCCTGGGCAACACAGTGAAACTCCATCTCTACTAAAATACAAAAAATTAGCCGGGCATGGTGTTGTGTGCCTGTAGTCCCAGCTACTCGGGAGGCTGAGGCAGGAGAATTGCTTGAACCCAGGAGGCGGGGGTTGCAGTGAGCTGAGACGGTGCCACGGCACTCCAGCCTGGGCAACAGAGTGAGACTCCATCTCCAAATACATATATATATATATGTATATATATATATATATTTTTTTTTTTTCCTGTTCTTCTCCAAATCATTAAAGGTCTTGCTCATAAGAAAGCATGCATTTGAATGAAAATATCTGACCTGGGATGTTAGTAGGTGATAATGCCATAAAAATCATCTGAGTGTTACCTTCTGATTGATAAAACCAACATGGTATAAGACTGAGGAGACCTCTTCTTCTGGGGTTGGGAAAATTGTTAATTTCTCTGAGCCTCAGTTCCTCATCTGTGAAATGTAAATGAATCCTGTCCTACTCTATATATTTCAGGACATGAGAAGTTTAAGAGTTGGATGTCCCCAGTTAAATGGTTGTGGTTTTACAATCCAGCTCTGCCCTAATAGCTGGATGAGCTCAGGCAAAATTTCAAACTCTCTGATACTTAATATTCTCATCGGTGTAAGTCAGGCAATCAAATCTATCTTGTAGGTTGTTTTGAAGTTTACATTAAATGAGATTTTGTATGTGAGGCCTTTGGCATGATGCCTAAGTGCACGATGAATGATAGTTATTATGATTGTTATTTTATAGACTCTCCAAAACCCAAAATGAGTTATTTTTTAACATCATTTTAAAAATGAAGAAGCTGATTTGACATTCATTCTTATAGAAGCCTCCAGAAACCCTCTTCTCTCAATTCCCAGCACCCCTCCTGCAGCCTAGAGGGTGAATTTCTGAGTGTTAAATCTGATCATGTCAACTGTCTTCTTTAAGATCTGAGAGTGGGTTCCCATCACCTTCGAGATGAAGTCCAAGAGCTTTAACCTGAGCAAAATGGAATGGACACTATGACCAAAGGCCTATATTTCTCCAGCCATATATGCTGTGTAGACAGGTGCCTCTCTCCAGGTTCTCTGGTCATAGTGCACTCTTCGGGGTTCACTGACTCATGCTGAGGACCCTGATCCTTGATCCACTGGCCTCTTCTCTCCTTGGAGTGTTCTTCCCATCCCCAACATCATTTTCCATGCTGTTTCTCACCTGGATATTTGCGACAGCTTCCATCGATCTGTCCACATACCCCCTTCCTTCTCTATCCACTCACACACAGTCATCTGTTCAAAGAATGTGTCTGCCCAAACTCTCTTCTCATAGCTTCTGCTGCACTAAACTTTCAGGTGCAGCTGTGTTACCTGGCATTGGGTGAGTACCCAGGAAATGTTGGCGTCTCTATCATCCACCTTGACCCTAGCCAAGCCCAGTGCCTGGCATGTGGCGGGGACTGGGTATATATCTGTGGAATGAACTCTACTCTGGAATGTTCCTGGTGGGGCAGAGGGGCCAGAGACTAAGAACTTTCCCAGCCTTGGAATCTGTGGCTCTGTGGTCTTTTCCAGGGTGGTGCTGAGGGCTCGAAGTCTGGAAGAGTCTAGACTCATGCCTTGGAATCTCTAAGGACAGCACCAGTGGAGCTGGAGACATAATCTTGCTAACAGAATGCAGGGGTTCTTAATGAGAACACTTGGACACAGGATGGGGAACATCACACACCGGGGCCTGTCATGGGGTTGGGGGAGGGGGGAGGGATAGCATTAGGAGATATACCTAATGTAAATGATGAGTTAATGGGTGCAGCACACCAACACGGCACATGTATACATACGTAACAAACCTGCACACTGTGCACATGTACCCTAGAACTTAAAGTGTATATATATATATATATATATATATATATATATATATACATACACACACATATATATAAAAGAATCCAGGGGTTCTTGGCCATCCCAGGTTCCCCTCACCTAGGAGCTGACCCTGTGGCTCAGGGCTTTGGTGTCCAAGCCTGGCTTGGTGGTTCGCGCCTTTAATCCCAACACTTTGGAAGGCTGAGGCAGGAGGATTGCTTGAGGCCAGGAGTTCCAGACCTACCTGTATAACAAAGCAAGACTCCAACACTATAAAAAAATAAAAAATTAGCTGGGTGTGGTGGTACGTGCCTGTGGTCTCAGCTATGCGGGAGACTGAGGTGTGAGAATTGCTTGAGCTCAGGAGTTTGAGGCTGCAATGAGCTATGATCAGGCCGCTGCACTCCAGCCTGGGTGACGGAGCAAGGACCTGTCTCTCCATAAGTAAATAAATATATAAATAAATAAAGGTATCCTGGAAAGGCTGAGCTGGTTCACCATAATCATGCTTTTATTTATTCTGGCAAGTAAGGTGATTCTTTAAAATATATGCTAAAAGTCACACCCACCCCTCAACACTCTCTCTCTCTCTCAACAAGGAAGACCCAGAATTCAGATCTTTCTTTCAGATTTGAGACCCAACAAAAGGAGCTAGATATTAAAAATATTGTGGTATGGTCCCCTAAAATCATTATTTCATGCTGATTTTGCTTCACAGAACTAAGGGCAAGCTGCACTTGTGCTTGTGTTGTCAGAAAGAACACCAAGTCCTGCATGCCTCTGACTGATGCTTCCTTTTGCAGGAAGTGTGCTCACTGAGAAGACAAGCAAGTCACACATTTCCAAGGAGGCTCGTTGAATACACAGAGCTGTGTCCACAGGAGTGAGGATGAGACAGTTCTCAGCATCCCCAGGATTCCCCGTCTCGATTGCACATTGGCCTCTCCCTTTGACCACCAGGCCTGTCTGCCATGTGTGAGTTCATGGAGAGCTGGCAGGAACCCAGCCTCTGTCCAGCTGAATGCTGGGGTCAGGCTGAGGGCCTGGGATGCCTTTTGACTTGCTGAGAATGAGAGGGGGTTGACAAATGTGCCATGCAGTGGAGGCAAGCACAGCGCTTGGCAACCTCCCTTTCCTGGGAGAACCATTTGCCTCACAACTTTCCACAACAAATCAGTTGGCTTATAAAATGAAATTGAACTTGTCAAACAGACCATGTTGTAAAATATACTTAACTTTCTGTCACAGATATGCTCTGCAGGGAAAAGAGAAGAGAGAACACACGTTGCAGGTCACATTATTAAAAAGGTTTTCTTTGATGCGTGAATACTCTATGGTATCATTTAATCATTAATGCAGTCAACAGACATTTGTTGAGTGCTTTTGATGAGCCAAGCACTGGGATAGGCAGGGGCTGAGGTTACAGCTGTGGTGGGAATCTTTTTGTTGTTTTGAGACAGGGGCTCACTCTGTCACCCAGGCTGGAGTGCAATGGTCTGATCACAGCCACTGCATCCTTGAACTCCTGGGCTCAAACTATCTGCCCTCCTCAGCCTCCCAAGTAGCTGGGACCAGAGATGCATGCCACTATGCCTGTCTAACTTTTTATTTTTATTTTTTCTGACAGGGTCTTGCAATGCTGCCTAGGTTGGTCTGGAACCCCTGGCTTCAGTCAATTCTCCTGCCTCAACCTCCCAAAGGTTAGAATCTTTGGTTATATGTTCTTTTGCTGAATATCTTCATCTAATAACTCAATAACGTATTCTTGATTAAACAAAAGTTGTGCTTAAAAGGGAATGTATTAGTCTTCTTGGGCTGCTGTAACAAAACAGACTGAGTGGCTGAAACAGTAGACATTTATTTCTCACAAGTCTTGGGACTGGAAATCTAACATCAAGGTGCCAACACATTTGGTTCCTGGTGAGTGCATCCTGGCTTGCCACCTTCTTGCTGTGTCTTCACATGGCTCAGAGAAAGTGATCTCTTGAGCCTTGTTTTGTAAATATTTAGATACAGAAAGGCAATGGGATCATAGCATCAGTTTGTTATTTCCTGGCCATACGCATTTTCCCTGTGGAACATATTGATATCAGATTTCAGTAAAGTTGCGGGATACAAAATTAACATACAAAAATCAGTAGTATTTCTATATACTAGCAGTTAAATAGCAGAAAAAGGAATCAAGAAAGCAACATAATTACAATAGCTACAAAGAAAAACCCTATAAATTAATTTAGCCAAGGAGGTAAAAGATCTCCACAAGAAAAACTATATAACACTGCTGAAATAAATTAAAGTGCTCACAAGAAAAATGAAAAGACATCCCATGTTCATGGATTGAAAGAATTAATGCTGTGGAAATCACCATGCTACCAAAACTGATCTACAGATTCAATGCAATCCCTATCAAATAACCAAGGACTTTTTTTTCACAAAAACTGAAAAAGCAATCCTAAAATTCATATGGAACCACAGAAGACCCTGAATGGGACAATCCTGAGCAAAAACAGCAAAACCTTGAGGCATTACACTATCCAAGGCCAACATATACAACAAAGCTATAGTAACCAAAACAACATCATATTGGCATTAAAAACAGACACATAGATCAATGGAACAGAATAGAGAACCCAGAAATAAATCCATGTATTTACAGCCTACTGTGTATTTTCATGTATTTACAGCCCATCATGTATTTTCAATGAAGAACATTCAGTGAGGAAAGCACAATATTTTTAAGAAGTAATGCTGGAGAAACTGGATATTCATATGCACATGAGAGCTCTCCATCTTAAGATGCTTTAAACCATATACAAAAATCAAATCAAAATGGGTTAAAGACTTAAGTGAAAGACCTGAAACTATAAGATTACTAGAAGAAAACACTGGAGAAACACTCTAGGACATTGGTCATGGCGAAGATTTCCTGGGTGGGAAATCAAAAGCACAGGCAACAAAAGCAAAAATAGACAAATGAGATTACATCAAACTAAAAGGCTTCTGCCCAGCAAAAGAAACAAGCAATGGAGTGACAACGCAACCTACCAAATAGGAGAAAATATTTGCAAACTGTCATCTGACAGGGGATTATTATCCAGAATATATAAGGAACTCAAACAACTAAATAGCAAAACAAACAAACAAACAAAAAGCCCACAAATAGTTTGATTAAAAATGGGCAAATGATTTAAAAATGGGCAAATGATCTGAATAGATATTTCTCAAAAGAAGACATACAAATGGCTAACAGATATACAAAAAATGTTCAGCATCACTAATCAGGGAAATGCAAGTTGAAAGCATGATGAGATATCATCTCATCCCAATTAAAATGCCTACTACCAAAAGACCAAAAATAACAGATGTTGGTGAGGATGCAGAGAAAGAGGAATGCTAGTACACTCGAACACTGCTGGTGGGTGTGTAAATTAGTACAGCCACCACAGTAAACAGGATGGAGGTTCCTCAAAAAACTAAAAATAGATCTACCGTATGCTCTAGTAATCCCACTATTGAATAGATATCCAAAAGAAAGGAAATCAGTATATTAAAGAGATAGCCGCATTCCCATTCATTGTAGCACTATTTACAATAACCAAAAAATGGAATCAATCTAAGTGTCCATCAACAGACAAATGAATAAAGAAAGTGTAGTACATATACACAATGGAATACTATTCAGCCATGTAAAGTAATAAAATCCTGTCATATGCAGCAACATGGTTGGGACTTGAGGTTATGTCAAGTGAAACAAACCAGGCACAGAAGGGCTAATGTCGCATGTTCTCACTCATATGTGGGAACTAAAAACACTGATCTCATAGAGGTAGAGAGTAGAATGATGGTTACCAGAGGCTGGAAGGGGGCAGAAGGAGATAAAGAGAGCATGGTTAATGGGTACAAAAATACAGTTAGATGAAATAATTAAGTTCTAGTTTTTGATAGCACAGTAGGGTGACTATAGTTACAAAAATAATTTATTATAGATTTCAAAACAGCTAGAAGAGAAGATCTGAAATATTCTCAACACAAATAAATGACAGATACTTGAGGTGATGGATATCATAATTACCCTGATTTGATCATCACACATTGCATGCAGGTATCAAAATATTACATGTACCCCACGAATATATACAATTATTATGTATCAATTTAATAATATTTGTAGAGACATCATTTCCCATCCCATCCTGGACTGAAAACCTCCCCAGGGCAGCTGAAGACTGGCCAATTGGAGGCAGAGTGGCAGAGACTCCACAACCTGTGAATTTTTAGACACAGTGGGCAGAGTCAAGGAAGCATGTGTGTCATTCACACCAGCATGGGCATGGCATGGGCCTCTTGCCAGAGAGTAAATTTGGCAGTCCAGGACCCCAGAGATGGGGCCCCATGAAAACCAGCCACCAGAGGGTGACTCGAAAGCCTGCTAGCGTACCCCTCCACAGCAGTGTCACATTTTGATACCCAGGGCAGTGAGCCAGCACCCCACCATCCCTGATTGTTCCACAGAGACCCCTCACACTGTCCCCCATATCCCTGCCTCAAGTTGCACAGAGAAGCCTGTGCAGTTGGGGAGGGTGTACAGGGTAAACCCTGCCCAGCGTGGCCCCTTCTGTGACATCTGGGTCCTGAAGCACTCCTGCGAAATATGGGCAGAAGACTTGAAATAAAATGACCTGACCTAATTTCCAACTCACCTAAGACACTGTGTCACCAAAAGTGGTATCTCAGTTTGGACTTCCTCCTGTTCACACATTTTATTAGTATTGATAACCCTTTTGCACTGTCATGAAAGTCAACCTCAACCTCGTTTCTCATGTGTACACGCATCCTTTAATTTAAAAGAGGGAAAGTTACAATGGTCAAATTTTCTATTAACATGGTGTTAATGGAGGATGGAGAACAGGAAGAACATTTTTGTTTGGTGAAGCAGGTTATCACTGAACAACCACAGCAGCAGCAGCAGCAGTTTCTTTTGGAACTGCTTCATGTGAAATTGGACTGTGAGGGTGTATATATGTGGGTTTTTGGAAGAAACATTCTTACTGAACCTAAGAATGCATCCAAGTCCATTCAGCAATCTGTACCTCTCAGAATTGGGAATCATTTTCCTGGAGACTTGAGCATAGCAGTAAGCGTCTTTCCAAGTATCACTAAAACCCATCAGCAGGAGATCCGAGAGTCTTATCGTCAGATGTGCCCTGTCTTCCTCATTTTGAAATAGAAGATAAACTAAAAAGAAAAAAAAAGGTCAATTATCCACAAATTAAAATTTCTAAAATTAGAAATAATAACTGAAATAGAAGATAAACATACTGGAGAACATTTGGAATTCATGTAAAAGGCAATAAGTTAGTATCTACTTGCTTAACAAACTACTCAGACTAACATCATGGTAGTAAATTAATATCTATCTACTTAACAAATGACTGAGACCAACATCAAGGCTTCAACACCCTGGGACACTAGTGCATGGTAGATCTTTAATAAATATTCTTTTAAAGTAGGGTTTCCAAATGAAATACAGGAAGCCTAGTTAAATTTGAATTTCAAAAAGGAATAAGATAATATTTTAGTATATTGCACAGGACTTTTTTTTTTTTTTTTTTTTTTTGAGACGGAGTTTCACTCTTTTTGCCCAGGCTGGAGTGCAATGGCGCAATCTCGGCTCACTGCAGCCTCCGCCTCCCAGGTTCAAGCGACTCTCTTGCCTCAGCCTCCCGAGTAGCTGGAATTATAAGTGCCTGCCACCATGCCCAGCTAATTTTTGTATTTTTAGTAGAGATGGGGTTTCACCATGTTGGCCAGGCTGGTTTCAAACTCCTGACCTCAGATGATCCACCCACCTCAGCCTCCCAAAGTGCTGGGATTACAGGAGTGAGCCACCGCACCAGGCCAGGACGTACTTATACAAAAGTTCTTTGTTGTTTACCTGAGATTCCAATTTAACCCAATGCCTGGTATTTTTATTTGCTAAATCTGGCAACTCTACTTTAAATAAACGAGTCAATGACAATTCAAGGAAATGGCTGAGAATTACGAAGGGACCATTTCTGTGCTGCCGTGATGTTGGTAATAGTGACAAAAGGTTCACCCTTTTAAAATAGAGTAAAATAACAATGAGAAACTATTAAAATCTATTACATTAACATATTTTAAAAACTGTAATAGTTAATGCTATTGGGGTTATCCTGTGCTATAATCATAAATTGCTGGTAGCAGTATACATTGGTACAGGCCCTTGCAGGAATAATTTGACTACACATAAAAATAACCATAAAAATATAAACAACCTTAGACACAATGATTTGGCTCCCAGGAATCCATCCCAAAGAAGAAGCTGCCTGACTAGCAATGATTAGGAGCCACCCCCAAGCTGGCCCCCCTGCCGACCCTCCCCTAGACCAGCCTGGCCACCCAGAGACTATATTCCATGTCCACACCACCTGGAGCCTTCCTCCCCTAAGTGTGGCTTCCTCGCTCACCTCCTTGTCTTGGCCCACATCACCTTCTCCAGGAGGCCCACCACGCTGCACACTTTGAAGCCGCAGACTCCCCTCTCCACCTCCACACACCTACCTTCCTCCTCCACTGCTGTTGTTGACTTTTCCAGTAACCTCTCACCTTGGGACATAGAATAAAGTTCACTCACTATTCATTTTTTAATCCTCATGCCCAATGAAAACCTTTATATCTCAGCATCTTTATCTCTTTAATTCAGAGTAGGTGCTCAATAAGCATTTTTTAAGTGAATGAATAAATGAATGAACCTAAAGTTTCAACAGTAGCAGAATATGGGACAAAACGGCGACCTGGCCCCTTGATAGTTTGCACCCTTAAAATGTAGGCAAATGGAGGCAAGAGACGGAGGTGACCAAAGACAAGTGAGAAAACAGAACACAGAATCCTGTCCAAGCCAGGAGGGTGACTCTGTAAAATTATTCATCCTTAGAAACTAGGACCAACAGAAAACCCAAAAGTGATAGTCATGGTGAAATTATCAGTGACTAGACAAACAGAACATGTTCTTATTGTCATGATTTTCTTTGAATTATAAATTTGAAAGCAGGCCAAGGCAGGAAAAATGACCACTTCGAGTAAATAAAAACAAGGGACAGATTGGGCCACTGCACCTGAAGGAAGCAGCTGGCGGCAGGGTGATCGTCAACCACAGCAGCTCTGGAGGGGCTTCACTTCGGCCACTTAAGACATCTGAAAAGATCCTCCTCGTCTCAATTGCCGCCGCATGCTGGGATCTCAATTGCCTGGAGACCTAGCTAAAGTTTGGTTCCAACTCGTGCTTGGTTTGAGCTCTTTTCCATTTCCAGCCTCATTGCCGCAACTCCACTCTCTCACTTACAAAGTGTAAGCATTTTATTCTTCATGAGTATTTCGCTGTTGGGATTCTTTGAGCATGAAAGGTGTCACATGAAGCCAAATTGCCTTCTTCCCGTCTTATAAAACGTCCTCTGATTCCTCATCACGCCACTTTGAAGGAAGCACAATGAACATATTCAAGAACATATTCAAGCCCCCTCCATGTGGACTCCCGCGTAAATATATTGTAAACGTCTTGCTTTGTGGGAAAGAGTTGACAACTATCCTTATGGTGAAAGTACCTTGGAGGTATTCATGCTGATTGAATATCCCCTAAGTCAGATTTGAAGGAGCAGATCCTTTCAAAGGAGAGACAAGCATCAGAACCTTTTGTGAAAAGCACCCATCTAATAGCTGCTGTACTTATTATGGGCTTTTAACTATTGCATTTAAGAATTATGCACTGCTAGGTTTTCACTTGAATTCTGCCTTCCTGATTCCTTTGACTGTGGAAAAGGAAGAGTGGAAGAGGGAGAAACGACTTAATCTCTGATTATACTTAAGCTTTTTGCAGCAAACACTCATCAGCTTCATACAACACCCTCCCAGGCAACAATAAAAGGCTGGAATTGCAAGAGCTCCCAGGAAAGCAGCTAATAAAAACCCAATCCTCCTGTAACCTGAGTTCTGAGCTAAGTCTTTAGTGACATGAGGACAGTTCATTAATTTGCCATCCCCGCAACAAGCTTGGAATCAAGTTCTGATTTTTTACAAGTAGATTCAAAGAAGTCAGCCAGAGAAAGCTGCCTTTGAAATTCCTTTTCATCCAAGGCAGCCCTGAATTACACCTTTGATGACATTGCACGGCTGCGTTAATAACAGAATTCAGTGGGAGCACCATCACTGTGCACTTTGCAGAGAGCTCTATTATTGGGTATGAATGTCTAACTAGTAACAAAAGAAGCCGTTGGTTCTTTCATAAGGTGGGTAAGGAAACCTTGAAGGTGCCCAGGCAGGGCTCTCAGGAATGGCAAAGATCTAGGAGAGGAAAGAGTCGTGCGTGGGTCCCCTCAGGGACCTCCTTGCTGGCAAATTGGAAACCATCTTACAAGCTTGTTGGCATTTTTCTGAGCCCAGCTGTCCCTGGCGTGCTACATAATGCTGCTGAAGCAGTAAGCTATGCCTATTTTTTAATTTCACTGGGAAGGGGGTGCAGCATTGAAGAGAGAATTTGAATAAACCCCCACAGCTCACTTTAGGTTTAATCGTGGCCTTTGTGGTGAACAAGCAAGCTTCAAGTGTCAGCAGTTAGGTCAGCCATTGCTGGATTGGTGACAATTGGTAGGTTAAGGAATCCCTGAATTAACATATGTGATTGTCCAAACTGTGTGTATTCAGCCTTACTCAACTGTGTACTCCAAGAGGGGCTACAGGATAGTTACCAAGTTCAAAACCCAACTGAAGTTAGAGAGAGAGGGTGGGAAGTGGGGGGCGGATGAGGGGAGAGAGAGAGAGAGAGACAGAGAGAGAGAGAGAGAGAGAGAGAGGGAGAGGGAGGAGAGAGAGAGAGGGAATAGGCCCAAAGAATTGAAATTAAGAAACTAGAAGACAAAAATAGATACCATGCATAGGCGAAGATGACTGTCGCTGGGCACTTGCAGCTTTGTGTCCTGGTCCTTAAGCACCCGCAGAACTCCCACAGGGCAAAGCTGTCATTCCTGATGAGCCTGGAGGGTGTAGCCAGGCTGCATCACCACATCAGGACTGGGGAGGGCCTTGTCCATTTGCAAGCTGACCAGGTTCCTTCCATGTTTGCTTAGAAACATATGAGCAAAGCCTCTGAATTAGTACAGCACACCTTTGGGAAAAAAAGCTTTAGAATAGGTGCCGAGTCCTGATGCTGAGAAATGTCAGACCTGGTCCCTCTCTTGAATGCCTACCCAGGAGTTCGCATTTAGGGTCAGCATTGTGTGTCATGCAGGATACCTTTGTGGGATGATTTAATTAGTCAGTGGCTGCCCAGAGTGCACTGGGAAGCCCTGAGGACAAGGAGAAGAATTAGAAGGGGTAGCCACTGACCTTATCATCCACCAGGCACTTGAAGAACAAAACAACACGTATGGAACAAATTTGTAGGAACATCACAACAAAGTTTATGGGTGATTGCTAAGGTGTCCCATTCAGAGGAAAAATGCTTAACCTGAGAAAGAATGACCTCGAGGAGGCTCTGAAATGACACCTGCTCCTCTGGGGTATATGAGAGCCAACTCGCAGGTCCTGTTGGGGAAGGAGCCGGAAATGCATCTCACAAATGCTTAAAAAGTGGAGGGAGGTATTGGCCCACATGCCTGGAAGATTCAGCAGCGGGGCGGGCTTCCGCCGCAGCTTAGTTAGAACTCTGGTCAGTTTCTCTGGGCTCCTTCCCATGCTGGATTCTGATGGCTGCTGCTGGCAACCCAGGCGCTTTCTCATTGACAGAGAGGAAAGGGCATGAGCGAGCCTCTTGAATCAAGGGCCTGAGATACTCCTTGCTTCAGTCAGCTCAGGTCATGGATGGGGTCCTTGCTTCAGTCAGCTCAGGTCATGGGTGGGGTCCTTGCTTCCGTCAGCTCAGGTCATGGGTGGGGTCCTTGCTTCCGTCAGCTCAGGTCATGGGGGGGGTCCCCACACCATGACCAGGTCATGGCCTGGTCTCCCTGGAACAATCCCGATTGTCCTGATTAATTAGTCATTGAGCCCTTCTCACTTGCCACGTCTCCAGGTTGTATGTCTCAACTCTGCACCAAACATATGGCAGGCAGATGACTTGAGGCTGATGGTTTTGGGACAGTTGTGGCCATTCCTTAAGACTTGGGGTCTATCCTATTCATGTCATAAGATATTGAGCTTCTCAGCCTGTTGGGAGCAGGAGGAAAGGAAACCAGCAAAGTGTGACACATTGGCTCACGGGAAAGCTTTAAGGCCCCTGCCTTCATCCCCCAGATCCAAAAATGATCCACACAGGGCCAGTCTTCTCATCTCCTCTTCTTTGCTATGCTGCCTTCCCTCGGTTCTTTTAAAGCAGATCTCAAAAATCCTATTGTGTTTTGACTTTGAGAAACAACAACATTTTAGCCTCTGAGAAATAGCAGATATTATTTTCTATTTGGCCTCTCCACTTTAGAATTCAACTTGCTAAATATTATAGTTCAAAACTTATATTTAAGCTAATTAATAGGCCCTGGTTTATTTTCTCCTTCGGCAATCTGATTAGCTTCTCTGTGGAGTAAAATGGTGATGTACGGAAAGCAAATGTCGTCTGAAGCATTAGTACATTTAGACAGAGTCTCCCTTGAGTTAGCCGTTTCCTCCTGAAAATGGCAACAGCTTCTCCGCCCAGGCGGTGCAGCTGTCTCCACTTCTGTCTTACGTCTCCTGACACGGGTTCGGGGGTCGAGGTGTGTCAATGTGGGACACATTGTGGAGGAAGTCAGGCAGGGGTTTGGTGGGGGCCGATGACCTGACATGTTTTCCCTGCTAGGGGCAGTGAACGCAGGAGCCTCCCTGCCTCTGTGAATGAACCAAGTTGCTCAGACCGAAGCTGCCCCAGCCTCAGAGTGAGGGATGGTGCGAGCTTGATCTAGACCCTGTGAGGAGGGGCGAGACACCAAGAGCTCGCAGAGGCAGCTGCAGTGTGCAGATTGTCAACAGAGCCTCGGTCTTGCAGCGTTTCTCTCTCTCCTCACTAAGCCATGCGAGGTGTGTGCCCTGGATTTACTTCCATGTCAAGCCTACTACTGCTAAGCTCCTTAGCAACGCGGAGCCCAGGGCTAATCTCTGACCTGTGTGTAGCGTAGAGAGCGGTCCCTGGGGGGTCTCCGTTTGATGTCCCGGCCTGACTCCCCTCACCCGCGGTGCACAGGGCCATAATATCCACATTCAAAGTTGCTCTGGGGCAGCTCCTCTTGCTTGGAACTAGGAGGGGATTATCTGGTGGTCGTGTTTCATTCTGGGTGAATTCTTTCTTTTTCTGTACTGTTGATGGGGAACTCTGCGGCACTCTGCCACTTATGCAGTGATTTTGGCCCCAGTTGACCCACAGAAATTCAACTCTTCGATGCCTCTGGCTGCTTCTGATATCGGAGGCTGGCAGTGCGCTAGCCTCAGCTTTATTTAGCACTGTGGATGTTTGTTTTACTTTTATTCAATTAGACTTTTAACTTCTTTTACAACATGGCTGTAAAAGAACTGTAACCTTCTCAAGAAACACAAAAACTGAAACAAAAGAATGTCCTGGAGCTATTTAAAGTGGAAAGTGCGGCCCACGGAGAGAAGCATCAGGGAGAGGATGTGGGCCTGGATTCCTGCCCCACCATGCGCGGCTGTCCACACATTCACACGCCCTCGCAACACAGAGGGAGCACCAGAAGCAAATCATTGGATCCCTTTGCTGCGGTGAATCCTTTCCAACCTTCTGTTTATCACCCTGGATGTTTGGTCAAAAAGGCTGAGCGTCATCCCAGGTCACCTGTTGCAGAACTATGGATCTGACTTGATTTGGAATTCTTTTGATTCCTCCAGTAGAGCCGCTCCTCGGTTCCACTTAGGAGGATAAAGTGGGTGACAGAGGCTGTCTTGCATTGGGGGCGACTGTATCCACTCGGAGGGCGGTCATGTCCAGTGTCTGCTCTCTCCTCAGTTACTTGCGAAAGCCCCCAGAAGAGGGAGAGTTGCGCTATCCCCATTCTCTGTGAGGAACCTGAGTCCCGGCAAGGGGAGATACCCCATAAAGATCACACGGTTAATCCAGGCACCCCTGGCGTTAGGTCCCTGGATGCATGTCACTGCCCTGTGCTTCGGTGTGGGCCTGAGCTCATGAAAGTTACTTAGGGTCACTCCACATGGGCTGATTCCTAAAGGAGTCTGTTTAAGAATTACTTTCAAGTTTGTTTTCTCCTTGCTTTCAAAATAGACAGCTTTATAATGCCCTGATCTTCTTTCAAAAAGATTGGGTCAGAATCTGTGCTCATTCCAAAGCAATTTCAAAAGCAGCTGTTTATTAAAATGTCAGCAGCAGTGATTAATTTCGGATGCCCTGCAGTGCATCTGTTTGCTGCTGATGACATCCCCGGGCTCAAGCTGATGTCTGGGGTGGTAGTTCTGCCTGGACTCCCCTGGGTGTGTTTGTCCCATAAGATGCATTTATTTCATTCAAGAAAGACCTATCGGTAAGTCCCATATCCAATTAACATTTATGCCCTTTGACATCTTCACAGACAACTGGCACTTCTAAAAAAAAAAAAAAAAGCCAGAGGAATCTGGAGGTTAACAATTTGGATTAGAATCTCTAAAGAGGACATCTGCTCACTGAGATTCCAGAAGTGACGATTGATTCATGATGCCCTAAATCACATCTGTGTGGGGCAGGGGACGGGCGGACTGTGAACTCTTGCAGAGAAACATCTGTCACCCACCAAATACCGACCCAAGTTTAAACAGCATCCAATGGCGAATCTCCTTGTGACAGGAGGTGAGATGGGGCTGAGCCAGTCCATTCCACATCTCCTTGTGCTGCAGCAGGAAAGGAGGAAGAATGGACTTCGTAACTAAGTCTTTCTACACCCTGGGGTGTTGGAAACAGTATTTAGCAGAGTTGTGCATGTGGCCAGCTTGTGGATTGATACATTCAAATGAATGAATTGAGGTTCCAAATGTGTAATGTAAACAAGTCAGCAGAAAGTAGGAGCTACTTGGAGCAGGGTGCTGGTCCGGGAGGGCTGTGGCTGAGTAGGGAGATAAACTTTGGATCCAAACAGATGGGTTGGCAAAACTAATCTGTGGTCAATCAGTTCACAAAATAAACGCTTTGCTACAGGACCAAATCCCTGAAATCGAACATAATTCAATTCACTGAAATCAATTTGCAAGTTTATCAGTTGGGTGAATTACCTATGTTCTAAAATGTGTTTCGGTTAACTTAATAAAGTGCCTAGCAATTTCAGGTGCAGGGACTGGTTTTAACAGCCTCTGAGGATATTCCCAAGTGTCTTGAAAGAATAAAAACATCTTGCGTACTTTGAGTTTCAGGCGTGGTGCCTATTATGCATGTAAACGTCCCCCCCCCCAATGTGTTTTTCCTCGTAAATGTTACACAATTGGAAGCACATGCATATTTCACTAGATTATCCTAAAAATCAAATGGGAGAGTGTAAAAAGGCCAGCACATAATGAGAACTCAACCAATGTCCATGCATTCCTTCCCTCGGCTGGGCTCTCAGCAATTCCATCTGAGGCCTTCCTGCTTCACTACCAAGATTGCTGTGAATTTTCCATGCCACACATGTGCCTTTCATAGGGCATCCCAAGCCCGCCATCCATCAATGGAGAAATCACGACACCCTGTCTTTAAAATAAGGAAGGCTCTGGGTGTACCGCAGGGCTGTTGTATGGTCTGGAGAATAGAGCAGCTTTCTGATCACCTTGGCTTCCAAGGTCAGTGCACACCTATGGGAGGGCTGGGGAGCCTGCAGTCTTGCTCCCGGAGCAATGGACCAGACCACACGGATGCTGGGTCTCAGAAAAGGTGGTCCATGCAGGTCTCAGCTGCCTAGCAGGAGGACTGAGTCCCATCTTCTCCAGCTCACCAGGGGATACTGCCATGCGCTGTTGGCAGCTAAGCATATTCTGCCTCACATCCTGATCCTTCTCATCCTCTCTTTTCTCCTGTACATTTTTAGCAATACTTTTGTGCTTTTCTTCCTCGGCACGGCCTCCCTGGTTGGCTTCCTCCCTTGCCCTGTGTCAGTGTGGAACTTGCGTGGGCCAGCTGAGCTGTGGGCATTCTCCACAGCCACACTGCTGAGAATTTCTGAAGAACCCCCCGCCCCTCGTGCGGATCAGTGTCACTAGAAATTCCTGGCTTCCCAGCACACTGGGCCCTCAACAATGTCTGGTAGTGTTTCTAAGATTCCTGCAGGGACCGACCTTTCCCCTTTGCCCCAGTGACCTTCAAACCCTCTTGATTTTCTGCAATTCGTGTGCCTTTTCAATGTGGAGGAGAAAACTAGGAGCCACCAGAGGCAACACCCTCAAGGGCACTGAAGAGACAGTAGGGAAGAAATCCAGCCAAGAAAAGACCATGT
Organism: Homo sapiens; assembly: GCF_000001405.40. NCBI lineage: Eukaryota > Metazoa > Chordata > Mammalia > Primates > Hominidae > Homo > Homo sapiens. Next base: position 61,132,781 of record NC_000020.11, on the reverse strand, counting down.
CCTGTCCTCCTGCAGCGTATGTTCTAGTGGAAGGAGACAGGGAGTAAACGAAGAGGCAAATTGTGGCCTATATACACCAGGGAATACTACTTAGCCATAAAAAGGAATGAAATAGTGTCTTTTGCAGCAACTCGGATGGAGCTGGAGACCATTATTCTAAGTAACTCAGGAATGGAAAACCAAATATCACATATTCTCACTTATAAGTGGGAGCTAAAGCTATGAGGATGCAGAGGCATAAGAACGACACAATGGACTTTGGGGACTCAGGGAAAGGGAGGGAGGGGGCTGAGGGATAAAAGACTAGACATTGGGTACAGTGTACACTGCTCAGGTGACAGGTGCACTAAAATCTTAGAAATCACCACTAAAGAACTTATCCAAGTAACCAAAAATCCACCTGTACCCCAAAAACTGTTGAGATAAAACAATTATAAAAAGAGGTAAATTACATTGTATGTAAATGGCAGAGTGCTGTGGAAAACAATAAAGTGTGAGAAGGGAGGCAGGGAGGGCCGGGCTGGGTCTTAATTTTAAGGAATGTTCATCAAAAAGGCGGCACTAGCTGCGGGTTGTGGCTTACACCTGTAGTCACTGCTACTCGGGAGGCTGAAGTGGGAGGATCGATTGAGTCCAGAAGGTTGAGGCTGCAGTGACGTCTGATAACGTCACTGCACTCCAGCCTGGGTGACAGAGCAAGCCCTTGTATTTAAAAAAAGACATCACAGAGAAGGGGACATTAGAGCCAAAACTGATAAAGAAGGTGTAGGGTTAGATGTGCGGATATTCCCGCCACCCTGGAGATAAAGACCAGCAGCCTTAACACTGTCAGAAAGTCCAGGTGGCATGGCATCTGCTAGCCCCCATCCCAGCCGTGTGCGTCTCCCCCAACATGCCCTGGTACTCAGCATTCCAGTCCCACCTGCCATTCTGCAGACCTGCCACGCCCCCTTCATGGGATGTAGCCTTTCCTGTCTCTGACTCCTCCTCATTGCCAAACACTTGGCCACCCCTTCCCAGCTCAAGCGTCACATTCTAGATGGGTTGGCTCTTCCTGTTAGATCGCCAGGCCCATACGTAGGCCAAGCTCTCAAGCCACCCTTCATGTTTCTTTCACAGTGCTTATCACAAGTTGTAATTAGACATTATTTATTATTTGGGGCATCAGCTGATGAATGTTGGAGCTCCATGAGGTCAGAGGTGGCTCAGCCTTCTTGTCTACAGCAGCGGGCAGCCCACAGCCTGAACGTGGCTCAATGCCTCAGTGCAAGAAGGCCTCAGCTTTGGGGGCACACATCTGCCTTCATGGTCAGAAGGTGAACTGCAGGGCAGGGCAGCGACTTCTTTACCTTGGCACAGTTGAGAAGATCCTGGCCCTGAAAAATGCTGGAATAGTTCTGCGGGGTGCGAGGGCTGAGGAATCCACTTGTGGGCAAGGAGGGGTGAGTATGAAGGAGGTGATAAACCAGTGCCCAGAACAGAGGCAGTGTTCAGCCCAGCCTGTGTTGTGACACTGAATTGCATTTTAGACCCAGCCTCCTGCTTTAATTCTCGATTGTTTCTGGGTCTCTGACAATGCTTTTGTCCCTTGACTCAATCACCATTCCCAACAGACAGGTGCTCTGTCTGCCTCAGTTTAAGAGAGCCCAAGTCCACCCGAATGCCATCTGTGTCTTGATGGGATATAAAGTGCCTTTTGCTCGGAGTCTATCATCCTTCTGTGAGGCCAGGGGGCCGTTCTCATGCATGACATTGAGAGTGGCCTCTGCCTGCTGCCATGTACCTAAGAAGGTCTAAGTCGTGGACGCTTCCCAAGGGCACCACCTCTTTCTCCCACTCTGGGTTTCCACAGGGTCAAGACGTTCATTTGTTCACCCAGCATAGATTTGGGGAGCTTCTCTGCACATTCAGCACTGTGCAAGGTGGAGGGTTGGGGGCTCTCATGGCGGTCATGGCCACTCCCTGCGTGGACCACCATGGTAGTGGTTGCTGAGTGGACTGGAGGGGCAATTCACATGTTAGCCAAAAATGAGGTCTTGTCAGACAGGTGCTGTGAAAAACAAAGAAATAAGGAATAAAGTAGGGTCAAGAAATACAGGGTGACTCCCAGGAGGGCAGCTGTGAGTGCCGAGAGCTCAGTGGGTCTCTGGGGCCCTGCAAAATGCAGGAACAGTTCTGTAGGGTACCGGGGCTGAAGAATCCACTGTGGGCAAGGAGGGGAGTGTATGAAGGAGGTTATAAACCAGACGGGGGCGAGACTAGGTAGGAAGGTCAGGACAAACAAAGTATTGACATTTTATCTTAAGACAAGACTAGGGAGGGACCATCCCAAAGCCTGTACCTCCCCAGCATGAACTGGTTTCTCAGCTGCTAACTGCATGCTGGCCCATCTGTTCCTTGTCTGTTCCTCCGAGAGGCTGGAGCTGAGGGTAGGTGCGCGGGGAGCGGGTGAGGATTCTGGGGCTCAGGGGCTGGCAGCTCAGGGCCAACACAGGCTTCCTGGGAGAGGCATCAGGACACTGAGTTGGGAAAAGCTCCTGCCCAAGGCCAATTCTAGGAACCTTTCTCTTCTTCTACGGGTGACAGCATTGGGTTCCAAAGGTCTTGTGAGCTGATTTCCCACACTGTTCCGCAGAGATGCAGTAGCTTCCTACAAAGTGCCATGTGGTGTGTTTGATACACACGTAGATACGGTCCACAGAACATTCACTGTAAGATGCGTCTTTGTTTAAAGCAAAGTTTCCCTGGAGCACCTGGCTGTCTTTACAGTTATGCATACTTTAAGTGCTAACAAATTAAACACTTTTTTTGAAGATGGAATGAGCACACACAGCAGACTTTATACCAGTCACCTGCGTGTTTGCCTGGGAAATGAGGATGAGTGGGAGCTAGCCAGGTAGGTAGTTAGCATGGGAAACTACCATAGGAGGGTGGGTGCTTCAGGGGTGGAGACTGAGTGATGAACAGTGAGAAGTCCATGCAGGTATTTAGATAGCTTATTTCGGCTGTGGCAGGGGTCCCCGGGAAGCACTGTGTGGTCTGTAACTTCTAAGCCATTCCTTTTCTCATCACCGCAGGAAAGGAGATGCTGTCATTTAAAGATGTCCTGGGGTGGTTTGAAATTTCACACTGTTTTTATTACTTCATTAGAAGAGTGTCTTATGACGCCGTCGGAAGACAACACTGGCAGAGTTGAGAAATGCCAGCTCGCTCCCTTCCTGCCCTGCCATATTTTCAATATGCAAATCAGTCTTCAGCATGTGCTTCAGAGATAATTAGAATGACTGGGTTTGGGATCTGCCTGTACCGTCCTCGATGAGGCAGTGTTTATCTGGCAGGGCTGGGCTGCTGGGTGCAGGGGACTTGCGGCTGAGAGACGGAAGTGTGGTGGGGGGCGCGTATCTGGGGCTGCTTTCCCTTTGCACATGTCTAAGGACCTCTGCCGCTCTTTTCTGTTAACTTGGAAGGCTGTGGACGATTGTTCTTGTGGGCTGAGTTCTTGGGTGGGGATTTTGCGATGGATAAAACTTGGCCTCGTTTTCATGAGGACTTTTTAGAACTCACAGCTCGTCACTGACAGCCACATCTTAATTCCTCCATTCTCATGGCATTATCAGGGTCTGAAGAAAGGGCAGAATCAGATGTGGATTCCCGCCTGCAGAGCGGGATTGTGGTGGGCACTGGCTCTGTGAGGTCCAGGCAGTGGGACGCCCGTGGGTCGCTGGGCATCTGTGATCCCTGGCTGTGCTCATGTGTAGGGAAGTGCAGGCTGAGTTCAACCCCCACAGCATGTTTGAAGATGGAATGAGCTCTGCCCCACACTCTCCCTCTTCCATCTCTGCCATCAAACACCCTGGCCCTCTGCCGTCTGCCTCATTGCAGCCACAGCACCTGCAGGCAGTCACCTTTAGAAGCAAGGCGTACAGAGCTGGGCACTGCCAACGAGACCAGCTGCTATGACCGAGAGGACTCACACACGTCCCCCCCCATCCTCCTGCACTCGGGGCTGTTTATGGCCCATCCCCATCACAAGCTCCAGGACAGACCCTTGGGGTCTCATTCACCCTGCCTCACCTACTCCATGTGCCCAGACCTAGGCCCAGTGCAGTTAAAGAAGATGAATAAATCCTGGAGGTGTAATGTATAGCATGAGGTCTAATAATATTACATTGTATATGGAAATTTTGCTGAGAGTAGATTTTAGGGGCCCTTACTACACACACACACACACACACACACACACACACACACACACACACGCATGGTAACTATGGAAAGTGGTGTAGATACTAATTGGCTTGATGGCAATAACCATTGCACTATAGATATTTATGTAAAGCTTCACGTTGCCCACCTTCAATATGCAGAATCAAACAAGGAAGATTAGGAATTAGGACCTGTGTTATTTTTCTGTGGCTGCCTTAATCATAGGACAGTCTGGGTGGCTTAAAACAACATAAATGGGCTGGGCACAGCGGCTCACGCCTGTAATCCCAGCACTTTGGGAGGCTGAGATGGGCGGATCACGAGGTCAGGAGATTGAGACCATCCTGGCTAACACAGTGAAACCCTGTCTCTGCTAAAAATACAAAAAATTAGCCGGGTGTGGTGGTGGGTGCCTATAGTCCCAGCTACTCAGGAGGCTGAGGCAGGAGAATGGCGTGAACCTGGGAGGCGCAGCTTGCAATGAGCCGAGATCGTGCCACTGCACTCCAGCCTGGGTGACAGAGCGAGACTCCGTCTCGAAAAAACAAAACAAAACAAAACAAAACAAAACAAACAAACAAAAACAGAAATGGAATCTCTCCCAGTTCTGGAGGCCAGACACCTGAGGTCAAGGTGTGGGCAGGGCCCGCTCCCTCCGTAGGCTCTAGGGCGGGTCCTTCCTGCCTCCCCCTTCTTCCGGCAGCTTGGGCAGCTCCTGGGCTCCTGGCAGCATCACTGCAGCCTCTGTCCGCGTGGCCACATAGCCCCTGCTCTGTGTGTTTCTCACAGCCTCTCATCTCATTCCTGACAAGTTACTGGATTCAGGACACACCCTAAATCCAGGATGATCTCATCTTGAGACTCTTGACTTCATCACATCTGCAAAGGCTGATTTCCAAATAAGGACCCATGCACAAGTTCTGGGGCTGGAACTTGAACATATCTTTTGGGAGGCCACTGTTCAACCCAGTAGAGATTCCTAGACTGGGTGGGGGTGGTGCTGGGGTGATGACACTCAGGGGCATCCATACGCAGGGCCAGGTGGGGAGAGAAGACGCAGCCTCATGGGCACCTCGGGGTGGTCTTTGGCATCAGTATGGTGAGCACCCACTGGACTCCGCTAAGCCCCTCTTCTTTCATAGGAAACCCAGACATCTGGGAAAGTCGGGGCTGAGTGGTTTTATTCAGCATGTTTCCTTGTTACCTCATCTACTATACATGGATGACCAATTTTCCAGGAATTAGAATAAAATGCACTTAACACTAAAGCTATTTTAAAACTTAATTTCAATTAAGTTCCTTATGAATATCAATTATCACTGTATGGTATGATCGCTAGTTAATAAGGATTTCCAGTTGATAGAATGGCAAATTAAGCGGCTTTATTGTACTCAGCACGGGGCCACTTTGAAAGGTGCATCGCTCCACGTGCTTTTAGGGAGACGGCACAGACCACGGATCCAGGTGTGGCTTCCCGTGAGGGCTGGCACGTGCTCTGCTCCTGCAACTGTGGGCCAACACTCACCTGGCCTGGCCTCGATGGCCTCATCTGTAGGTGACACAGTGACAGCCTCAGCAAGCGCAGGTTGCCAGGATAACAGAACAGAACAGCTAAGGTGTGCTGCCCTTCCCAGGAGCCATCAGAAATAGGCGCTCTTTTTACCCCCATTGTAGAACAGTGCCGTTTCAGATGAGGAAGTCTCTTGCCCAGAGTGCTCCACAGGTGGGCGTCAGGCTCTTACCCACCACGGGTAGACTTGGGGAGGCTCTGTGTCCCCAACGCTCCCTGAAGCTTCTCCCAAGCTAGAAGCGCATTCATCCTTAGGAGCCCCCCACCCTCCAGGTCCTGCCCAGAGCACAGACATTGCAGGTAAAATCAACACAGAGAGAGCGAAGGGACAGCAGTCAGTGTTGACCAACATCTGGGATCCTTGGGCCTCCCCTGGCAGCTTCGTGCTCATGGGACACACCCTGCATAGGGTGGTGGCTCATCCCTGACACTCCCTGGACACTAAGAGGCAAATTGCTGCCCAAAAGCCCTGGGATAATTTGTTCACCTGCTGCCGGGGTTTCACAGCCAAGGCCCTGAGTTCGTTCGTTCTTTATTTTATTAATTAATTAATTAATTAATTAATTTATTTATTTATTTTTAGTAGAGATGGGGTTTCACCATGTTGGCCGGGCTGGCCTCAAACTCCTGACCTCAAGTGGTCCACTCTACTCGGCCTCTCAAAGTGCTGGGATGACGTAGACCTGAGCCACTGCGCTCGGCCTCCAGCTTGTAAATTGAGTCCTTTTATTTTCATATGTCCTACTTTTTGTTCTCAATGCTTATTTTTTTTTTCCCTTGGTCATACCTGCTATGTTGTGTTGATTTGTCTTTAAGAAACAAAAACATCTTGTGGTTTTCATCGATCAGCAATTTTGTTTTCCTATTTTATTATTTCTTTCTATGATTTCCCTCAGGGTTGGAAAGAGGGGCCCGCTTTTCCTGAGTGCATGGGTGGGAACTGACACGTAAACATACCCATGGCAAAGCAAGCTCTGTGTGTGTCCAATCTGGAGCCACTCATCTGAGCCCAGGCCGCCCCTCCTGCCGTGGCCGTGTGGAGACGGGACTTCAATCCTGCTTCTAGGGACGGCGAGGGTGAGATGGTAAGGATACTTGGAACGTGGCCTTTCAGTGTCTGACCCATGAAGGGGGCATGAGCAAGTTTCCAGAGTAACAATTTAGATGTCTTGCTTGGAATTAATATCTTGCAGCTCTTAAAGCCCTGGGAAAAGTTGAGTATTAGTCAGGTATTTAGTTGCTAAGAGACCGGTAGAGAAGCAGGCGGCCCGGCTTGGAGAAGATTCTAGCAGTGCCGGATCCTGCAGGGTTTGAAATGTTTGATTTGTGGAGAACAAAGCTCCTTCTCCCCAACCCCCCAATTTGTTTTTAAACAAAGAGTGGGTCTCCAATTTCTTGTCATGGTTCCCTTGTTCTGTACTCAGCCTCCTTGAATATGAAAACCAAGCCTAGATTTTCCTGTCTTAACCCTCGGGGAAGGGGCTTCTTGGGGTCTTGGCTCAGCATACCTGGTCACCCTTCTCCTTCCCCTCCCCCTGGTGGGGCCCATTTGCCATATTCCCACCACCTGATCTCACACCTGGCCACAGCTGGTTGGACCATGGTGTGAACACACGATCCAAGTTGGGACAGATTCTGTGTCCTGGGAATTTGGACCTGGCTCTGAGGGATTCTTGTATAAGTGTCTCTCCAGCACAACAGGACGCCGACTGAGGGACCAGGGGCCATGGTGCGTACCGCCATTGGAATGGGCAGCAGAGACAGCCACAGAGGGGCCAAGCGTGGCTTGGAAGCTAAGAGAGGCTGGTGGTGTTGCCTCTTTCTGCCCGCCACCCCTTTCCTGGGCCTGCGCCTCTGACCTGGGCCTCATGAGATGCGGGGTCCTTTGTATGAACCCTCCTTCTCCTGGCTTACACTAGCTCAAGTTGTCTTCTATTTCTTGCAACCAAAAATATCCCAATTAATCCCTTTCTGTTGCTGGAGTACACTCAGAGACACATTTGCATCTCCCCCCCTTTTCCCCAGGGACCTCGATATGCAGAGTCTTCGTTTTCAAACATCCTCTGAGTCTTAAAACCTGGACTTGCAGCCTCTGTGCCGCTTCCATTCGGGGTTCTCAGAAATCCAGGTTAATCCCCTTCTATTTCTCATTACCTGGCAGACCTCTGGGACTCCCCACCAGAGCCCTTCCTGGCGGATGAGGTGCCATCTTGCCAAAGATGGGGATCGCCAGCTATTTTTTGGAAATGTAGGTTGATTATAACTCAGGGTGTTTTGATGTTAAGCTACAGTTTAGGGCATATTTTAGCAGAGTTAGGCTTGGGCCTCACTGGGATCTCAGTCCTGGCTCCACTATTAACTGGGTACATAGCCCTGAGCACATTATTGAATCTTTTTAAATCCTCAATTTCCATATCTATAAATTGGGGAAAATAATATTTTCTGTTTTGAAAATTACAGGAGGGGTTCTATTGTTAGGAGTTGAATTGTGCTCTCCTAAAATTTGTATGTTGAAGTCCTAACCTCCAGCATCTCAGAATGTGACCTTATTTGGAGACAGGGCCTTTACCAAGTTAAAACGAGGTCACTAGGGTGGGCCCCAATCCAATATGACCAGTGTCCTTAATACAAGGGGAAACTCGCTTGTATTAAGGGGAACACACACAGGAAAACGCCATGTGAAGATGAAGGTGGGGATCAGGGTGAGGCTTCCTCAAGCCAAGGAAGAGCAAAGATTGCCAGCAACTACTGGAAGCTGGAGAGAGGCCTGGAGCGGAGCCTCCCTCACAGCGCAGGAGGAACCGGCCCTGCAGACACCTTGGCTTCAGACCCCTGGTCCCCAGAACTGTGAGACGATGCAGCCCTGCTGTTTATGCTCCAGTCTGTGGGCCTTTGTTGCAGCAGTCCCGGAGAGGAAAGCGTCCATGTAAAGTGCTCTGCAGGGATGGGTGTGTGGCCAAGGATCTTGGCAGGTATTGTCACTGCCTCCCCCAGTGTCCCCTTCCTTTGGGCGGTCTCCTTGGGCTGCCTTACATTCAGAACCTCCGTGGCCGAGCCAGCCCTGCCTCTAAGCTCCTGCTGCGAACCGCCACTCTCCTGCCTGGGAGATGCCTTCCGTGGAGCCCGGCACAGCATGGGTGGCTGGAGCCTAGAAGGCCAGAGGCTCCTGGGCCACGAGGGCCCCCAGTTGAGCTCAGTGCATTTCTGGAGGCTCAGCAGGCCCTGAGTGCCCTTCTCCACACTGTGCCCATGGAACCCCCATCTGGAGCTGCGCCCCCCTCACAAGTGAAGCAAGGCACAGAGCAGATGAGAATGCAAGGTCCTGGCCTGGTGTTTTCTGTTGGTGAGGTCAGGGCAGCCTCTGCGGGACTGGCTGGTGGGAGAAACAAGGCCCAGAGTCCAGCAGGTTCTCTACCCTCTGCCCTGGAGCCAGGGAGGGCTGAGCCTCAGCTTCCCCCTGCCTGTGGCCTTGATGTGATCCACTGTCTCCTCCAGCCCTGCCGCCCTGCCCCGAGGCCATCCTGAGGTCCTTGTCAAGTGTGGTCTGGAGGCTCCACTCTGCATCCAGGCGGGAGGGCAGGGCCCACCCTGGCCAGTGCTGCCACTCCCGCCTCAGTCAGGGCTGGCACGAGAGGGCAGGACTCCAGTCCCTGATGCTTCTGTGTGTTTTTCCTTCACCACTTGTCACTTGGGACTCCTGGGCTGGAGGGACGTGCAGGGTGGCTGCTCTGTTCCTCTCCTGTCCCCTTTCCAGGGATCAGGTACTGACTCCATTTGTGCCCAAGCACGTCGTCCCCTCCCCTGCATGCCTTTTTTCCTACTCCTCATCCCTCTAACTCCTGCCTGCTGGCTTCTCCCTCCTGGCAGCTCACCCAATTGCGCGGAGGTTAATGATGCTTTGTGAAGATGTTTCGCATCTCCCCAGAGTCAAAGCAGCCATCATGTAGGCCGTCATCATGGTGACGGTGTAAACAAGGTGGGTTTCACAGTGTTCCCTCTCTGATTACTGAGGCTCTCACTGGGACGGTGTACTCTAAGATCAAGCCGCTTTACAGTGAGACACACAAAGACAAGCTCAAGTCCATCCTCCCCCAGATCCACCAAGGTGGCCCTCGGTCCAAGTAATTTTACGAACAGGAGTTTCTATTTCAGAAATCTTCCCGAGAGAAAACTCTAGAAAGTTCAAAACCCCAAAGAATTCTCCAACAACTAAAAAAAAAAACGAGCAAGTTTAACCGTTTCAACCATTTTCATTCTCCTTGTTGCTAAAATGTACAACTCCTAAATGATTACTTAAAAAACAAAACAAAACACCTTTTGGCAAGGAAAACAATAAATTCCCTAAATAATAATGTGTTTGTCCCTGCCACAAAGGGAGCATAAGTGTGTACACATGATGATATTTCCAGATGTGGAATTTCAATTAATTAGACAGAGGGTTCTCTGGGGTCAGCGTCAGTGTAGTCAGCTGAAAAAATATCTCCCAAGGATGTTCACATCCTCATCCCTGAAACCCATGACGATGTCACCTTACTTGGCAACAGGAACTCTGCAGGTGGGATTAAGGATCTTGAGATGGGACATCATCCTGGATCATTTAGGTGGTCCCAGTGTCCTCATAGGGTTCTTATGAGATGGGGCAGGAAGGTCAGAGTCAGGGAGAGATTGGAAGATGCTGACTTTGAAGATGGAGGAAGAGGCCAGGAACCAAGGAGTGCAGGCGGCCGCTAGACTCTGGAAAAGGCAGGAAACGGATTCTCCTGCAGAGCCTCCGATGTAACACAGCTCTGCCCACACCTTGATTTTGGACATGTGACATCCAGAGCATGTAAGAGAATAAATTTGCATTGTTGTAAGTCACTCCCTTTGTGGTGGCTTGTGACAGCAGTGGCCGGAGACTCAAATGGTCAGCGTGTAGAGCACAGGCACGGACCTGCTCTCGCTTGATGGAGCGCCCACAGTGCTCTTCAACCCTGCCCTCTGCTCCCTCTTCCAAACACAAAGCAAAACTACTCACTGCGGGGCGGAGGTCCAGCTGTGGGCAACAGGGCCGGGCACTGGAAGCTAAGCCACACAAAAAGTGACCACGTGAGTCTCAGAGCATCACACTTTATCCCCAGCCTGGCTTTATTATTCCTTGTTGCACATTTCCCCGTGCGACAGGCTGTGCAGCTTTGCTTGGGTTGTCTCTTTCCTAGGGCATGGATGTGCAATAAAGCCAGAGGTTCACTCTGCTTGTGGCACGGCTGCCTCTTCAGTGAGCATCTGCTGGGCACATAGTAGCTGCTCAGTAAATATTTGCTGAGTGAGTGATGGTGTCCTGCTAATGAGATCAACATCTCCAAGGAGAACCAGACTTTTGGCCGTGTTGTATCATTCTGATTGTATCCGGATCAAAATTAAATAAGGTACACAAGGCAAAGTTTGTCCTTGGCAGGATGTGGCCCCTCCTCAGGTGAAGCCAGGCTTCCCGCCTGAGCCCTTTCAACCCCCTGCTTTTCCTTCCGCAGCCCAGGACAGGGGTCATGCTGTCCTGGAGGAAAGTGCTTTCTGGGGGGTCCTCTGGCTGGATCTGATTTCTAAACATTTTCATTAAGGACATTCTCCAAGGTGCGCATTATCACCCCAGGTAGCAAGTGCCGGCTGCTCTGCCTGGAATCACTTTGGTTAGCCCCTGAGCCGGCCGGATCACCATAGCTCTGTGTAGTTCAGATCCGTGTCAGGGTCCTGGAGAGCGTCAGGCCTGTTTGGAATCACCCAGGGCTGTCACTCAGGGTGAGACCGTGAGCCTGTGCTGTAACTCGGGGAAGGTGGCCAGGTCAGGGAGCCATGGCCTTTCTCAACAGAAGCCACTTCATGCTCTTCCTCTGGAAGGTGTAGCTTTTGCTGTGGGGGTGGCTGTTCTAAGTTCTCCCGGGTGATGGTCTGAATCTTGCTGTCAAGCGATTGGGGAAATGGTGGGAAAGTGTGTTACTGCTCATTTCTGGGGCCGTCTAATGCCTCCTGCTGGGTGGTTGCAGAAGGGCTCATTCTATAAAGGAACCCCTGAGGCTGGGTCATTCATAAAGAAAGAGGTTTAATTGACTCACAGTTCCACAGGGCTGAGGAAGCCTCAGGAAACTGACGATCAGGGTGGAAGGTGAAGGGGAAGCAAGGACCTTCTCCACAAGGTGGCAGGAGAGAGAAGTGCGAGCAGGGGACACGCCAGACACTTACGAAACCATCAGATCTCTTGAGACTCACTCACTATCATGAGAACTGCATGGGGGAACCGCCCCCATGATCCAGTCACCTCCCACTGGGCCCCTCCCTAGACATGTGGGGATTATGGGCATGACAATTCAAGAGGAGATTTGGCTGGGGTCACAGCCAAACCATATCAGACAGCAAATAGGTGAAATCAAAATAAAGACTAAGTACAGTGAATTACAAAACTAAGCAAAACTGAAACAGGTGGAGTGTTGGGTGCTGAGGTCCTGGTTTCTTGTGTGCATAGAGATAATTTGTTTGCTTAAGACTTTATTTTTTATTAATGTTATTTTTAATGAACATTTATGGGGTACAAAGTGATGTTTTGATGGATGTATACAATGTGGACGGGTTAAGTCAAGCTAATTAACATATTCGTCTCCTCACTTACTTACCATTCTTTGTGGTGAGGCATTTGGAATTTGCTCCTAGTCATCTTGAAGAATTAATTTTTTTAGAGTTGTTTTAGGTTTCCAGCAACATTGAGCAGAAGGTGCAAAGATTTCCTACATAGTCCCAGCCCCCACATACGCACAGCCTCCCCTGTTATCAACATCCCCCACCAGATGGTATACTTGTTAACAAGCAATGAACCTATGCAGACACACTGTAATCACCCAAAGTCTGCAGTTTATATTAGGGCTCACTTAGTGTTGTAAGTTCCACGGGTTTGGACAAATGTATAATGACATGTATCTCCCATTATAGTATCATAAAGAGCAGTTTCACTACCCTAAAAGCCCTCTGTATTCTGCCGATTCATGCCTCCCTCCTGCTGACCTCTGGCAACCACTGATCTTTAGATCGTCTGTGTAGATTTGTCTTTCGCGGAATGTCATGTAGTTGGAACTCTAGGGTGTATAGCCTTTTCAGCGTGGCTTCCTTCACGTCGGAATGTGCATGTAGGTTTCCTTCATGTCTTTTCCTGGTTTGACAGCTCGTTTATTTTTAGCCCTGAGTAGTATTCTATTGTCTGGATATTCCATTGCTTGTTTATCCACTCACCTGCTGAAGGACATCTTAGTTGCTCCCAAGTTTTTGCAACTATGCATAAAGCCGCTATAAGCATCTGTGTGCAGGTTTTTATGTGGACATACGTTTTCAAACTTCACTTGGGTAAATGCCAAGGAGGGCGATTGCTGGATCGTATGGTAAGAGTATGTTTAGTTTTACAAAATACCAACATACTGTCTTCCAAGTGGCTGTCGCATGTTGCGTTCTCAGCAGCGATGAGTGAGGGTTCTGTTGCTCCACATCCTTGCCAGCATTTGGTGTCATCCGTGTTCTGGACTTTGGCCATTCTAGCAGCTGTGTGGTGGCATCTCGTTGTTGTAATTGGCATTTCCCTGATGACGTAGGATGTGGAGCATCTTTTCATGTGCCGTTTGACATCCACATGTTTGTCCTCTTTGGTGATGTGTCTCTTAAGATCTTTGGCCCATTTTAAAAATTGGATTATTTTCTTACCATTGAGTTTTAAGAGTTCTTCCTCTACCAAATATGACCATTAGAGCTAGGAAATAAACTCCAGAGGAATGTCAAAACATTGACTCAAAATGACCCCCATTCTGTTAAAAAGTCAAAGCTCAAAGACAATGCAAACCAAGAAAAGTCCTTCTCTGCAGGTTGTCAGAGCCTTGTTCTGAGGCTTGGTGGCTCTGAGGAGAGAGGCAGCGGTGCTGGAGGAGAAGGAGCCTGTGGTGAAGAAGGGCTGCAGCTGCTAACTTCATGGAAACACAGGGGCTGTTAGGTACCGCCCGCAGGAAATAAGGGTTTTGTGCTGGAGTTTGCCTTTGTCCCCAGCATTGGCTGGAATCTGGCAGGAGGTGAGTATTAATGGCATCTTCTATGGGGCACTTATTAGGTGATGAGAACTGGGCCAAGCCCCTTTGCGTGAATTGGTTTGTTTAACAGCCCTCGGTGATACTCTTCTCTCTCCCTTGTTGCAGGTGTGTAGGCAGATGCTGGGGAAGTGGGTCACTTGCGGGAAAGGGCAGAGCTGGGATTCACCCCGACTCTGCCAGACTTTCCAGCCCAGGTTCTTCGCTGTGTCATTGTTTTGTGTCTGCCTCACAGGATATGAGACAGATGAAGTGGTTCTGGTGATGAGCGAGGTGACGTGGGCGCTGAGGAGTCAGGATGTTGGAGCTGGAGGGAGGCCCTGGGATGGAGCCTCTGGAGGTCCAAACACTGGGCAGCTGGGAACAGACTGCATCTGAAAGCAGGCATGGGCTGGAAGCGAGAGGACTGGACCACAGTCAGGGTGTGGAAGCTCAGCTAAGAAAAGCCTGGGCGGCCAGAGCCAAGGGTGTGCGGCAGCCTCTCCTCCAAGCTCAGGAGAGCCAAATGGTAAATTTGCAGGGGTTGTGCTCACTGGTTGTTGAACACAGACATTGTAAACATTAAATGATATAAAATTACAAGTAAACAAATCGTATTAAAAAGAAAGGTCATAAATACTCAAAAATGTATAACTTTTTAATTACTTGACTACATTTTGCTACTATCTATGTGGTGAAGATTATGAATTGATTTTACTGGGGATGGTAAAACACTACATCACTGTCTGCTGCTGTACCTCTCTTCCCAATGTTACATTCAGTAAAGTCACATAGATGGCTTGAAGTTGACCACGGCAGGAAGATTTACACTATGAAAACTGGCAAATGCTAAAAATCGGGGCTTTTTAAAAACTTTTTTTTTTTTGCTTTTTTGAGAGCTGGTTGTTAAACATTTGCTAGCAAGCATGCTGAGGATTGCAAACACTGGCGTGACTCACGGAGGTTGTTTCCAGCCCTGGGAGAACTTAGGCATGTTACTGTGGACCCTGGCATGGGGGGCAGCCCCAAAGGAGGGAGCTCCCCAGACCAGCTTGCTGAGTCATGCAGGGGCCTGGGTGGAACCTGCAGGGGCCTGGGCCGTGCTATTCTTCCAGACAGGGGTGATACCCACTGTATTAGTCAGAGTTCTCTAGAGGGACAGAAATCACAGGACAGATGTATATATGAAGGGGAGTTTATGAAGGAGTATCAACTCACACGATCACAAGGTGAGGTCCCACATTAGGCCATCTGCAAGCTGAGGAGCAAGAAAGCCATTCCGAGTCCCAAAACCTCAAAACTAGGGAAGCCGACAGGGCAGCCTTCAGTCTGCGGTGGAAGATCCAAGAGTCCCAAAGCTGAAGGACTTGGAGTCTGATGTTCGAGGGCAGGAAGCATCCAGCACAGGAGAAAGATGGAGGCTAGAAGGCTCAGCCACTCTAGTCCTTCCAGGTTCTTCTGCCTGCTTTTTCCTAGCCTTGCTGGCAGCTGATTAGATGGTGCCCACCCAGATTGAGGTTGAGTTTGGCTTTCTTAGCCCACTGGCTCAAATGTTAATCTCTTTTGGCAGCACCCTCAGACATACACCCAGGAACAATACTTTGCATCCTTCAGTCTAATCAAGTTGACACTCAGTATTAACCATCATAGCCATGGCCTCTGGACATCCAGGTGGGGGCCCAGGAAGGCAGAGACCACTCAGCTCACAGAGCACTGGGGAGGAACACTGGCCCTGGTGAGTGTGGGTGGGACTGGAAGGGACCATCTTATTTTTACCTCCATTCAAGCTTGCCCTCGTGCCAGGAACCATGCAGGGCGAATCCAGGCTTTGTCTGACCATCCTCCCGTCAGCCCTGTGGGCTGACATCATCATCCATGAGATGTTAGAGGGAAACTGGAGGCTCCGAGAGGCTCCATCATTTGTCCAAAGCTACCTGGGGTGGAACTGGGTCTCGAAGTTGGAGGCAGGGCCCATGAGGAAGCCCAGCCTCGTAGTAAACAGGGGATTGTGTCATTTCCCTGTGGGGCTCCAAGGGCAGGGACGCATCAGAAGATTAGACCCAAGGTGCTGAGCAGGTGAGCTGGTGGGGCCCGGAATCCAGACAGCCCTGCAGGGGGTAGAGTGTGGGCCTTCTGGCCACACCAAGAAGAACTTTGGTTCAGCCTGAGCTTTTGGGTCTTTTCCTTAGCTGCTCTTCTGTTTTTAAAAATATTGGGCCTTTAATCAGAGCATGCATTCTAATTATGGTCAAGGTTTGGACCAGAGGACTCAGCATCACTGAGCTACAGCCGTGTAAGCAGAAACATGCCCTTGAGGGCTGCCTGGGTGCCAAGTTTCTGCTGGGAAGCACAGCACTTGGGAACTATGAGAATCCAGGACTGGCCACTTCTTTCTTTTCTCTTTTTTTTTTCTTTTTTTGAGACAGAGTCTCACTCTTGTTGCCCAGGCTGGAGTGCAGTGGCACGATCTCAGCTCACTGCAACCTCTACCTCCAGGGTTCAAGTGATTCTCCTGCCTCAGCCTCCCAAGTAGCTGGGATTACAGGCGTTAGCCACCGCGCCTGGTCAGGACTGGCCATTTCTTAACCACACTTCTTGGGGAGAAAAATGCAAGTTTCTTAAACTCTCAAAGTGCTAGTTTTCTTCCCTTTAAAAGGAGAATATAAACAGGAGCCAATTCACAAGGTTGTTAGGCTACAGTGCAATAGTGCAAGGGAAGCATTTGGAAAAGCCCTTGGCAGGTAACCCACACTCCATAAATAATAGCAATTCATATTAATTTTTAATTGCTCTTGTTATTATTCAAATGAGCTTTAAAACAAGGTCTCCGGAATTTGAACTGCACAGAAACAAAATTATTTCCAAAGTGCACTTTCCCTTTGATTACCAACCTGGAGCCGGGGAGAGGACCCTGGAGGAATTAGTGCTGATGGGCTTGTCCTTTTAAACTGTTCATCAATATCTGTGGGCCGAGCTGTCTGGCTCCAGCCTGCTCTTGGGCTGAGCCCCACTTGGCCAGGGCTGCTCTGGTACAGGGAGGGATACTTCCCCATGGAGACAGAGGGAGATCATGAGCCTGTGCTATTGTTTGCAGAGCTGCAGTTCCGGGACCCAGTGTAGGATGGCTCTTCAGGAAAGGCGCTGGCGATGACAGGTCTGGGAAGGTCTGAAAAGAGCAGGACATCTAAGGATGGCAAGGCTGACTGTCAAAAACATTTCAACAGTCAAGGCTTGGCAGCTCGTGTTAAAATACTTCTGGAAAGTGGTTTCTTGATTTGGGAAGAGTTCAGGGAGCCTGGAATAATCCATATTAGGTAGCATAGAATGGCTAAGAGCATGTCTGCGTGCATTCATCAAGCAAATATTTATTGAGCACTGCTCTTTGCCAGGGACTGTGATACCCAGTGAACAGCAAGAGAAATCCACCTGCCCTAGCAGAACTTACAAACAATGAACAGAGTAAATAATAAAATACAGATTATGTCGGATGTAGCATTAAAAAAAATGCTGCCATGGAAAGGAAAGCTGAAAAGCAGCCCTGGGTGCCACTTAGCTGGTGATGCTTAGAGCAGGCTGTGGGTCTCTCAAGCCTCAATGTCCTCATCCATAAACATGGGGGCAATGAAGTAATGACCTCGTGGAGCCGCAGTGAGGGTTTTGGGAGTGACAAGGACTAACTGGTGGCTTGGTGGCTGGCACAAAAATGCAACCCTAGGAAGCTGGTATGGTCAATTATTATTCAGTTTAAGGAAAAGCCCCCCACCAGCAAGCCTGCAGTAATGAAATACAACATTTTCTCAACAGAAGAGATGGGTGTGCCGGCCGATCCATCCTGTTTCCCTTACATCTGTGGTAGCATCTGGTGGACCATTCTAAACACACCCCACCTTCAACATCGACTGTAGAGAAGGGACTGCCGTCCGTCATTCCCGAGCTTTGCCGGGGGGGGCAGGGGTGGACTTGTGTCTCAGGCTTGCCAGAGGTGGAAGTGGATTTGCCACATGTTCCAGGGCCCCTGACCCCTGCCCTCTGCCCACTGCCCACTGCCCACAGTGGAGTGTGTGTGCTAAGGACAAGGCAGATAAGCCGATTTGAAAGTGGGAAATCAGATGGGAGTTTTTGTAATTATCCAATTAGCGTTTCTTCATTCCCAGCAATGCGCATGTCTAACTCCAAAATTAAGGCAGGGATGTAGAACAAGGAAATACATTATTTTGCTCCCTTAAGCACCCACCGCCATATGCACATGTTTGCAAAGATTCCGCATCACTGGGTAATCTCGGCAACACATCAGTTCTCGGATCCTGTGGGTTCCCCAGAGGAACCCTTGCGGGTCGCTGTTTAAATGAGGAGAAAATTGGTTATAAATCAACTTAATTTTCAAAGATATTAGTCCAAGGAGAACCCGATTTTGTGTGAGGCCGTGGCTCCATTAAGAAGTACCAGAACTTGTAATAAAAAAGAAATAAATGTGTCTTGAAAATCAGACTCATAGAAACATTTTAAATTGTGGCGATATTACATTTTAACAATGTTTTCCCCAAGCCCACTCCCTTCTTGGGTTTCTCATATATTTCATCAGTTTGCTCTAACAAGGAAATACTGCATGTTGGAGGAAAATGGCAGAAGCAGCCCTTATCTGTGGTTGAGCGCTTGGGATCTCTCTGATCCCTGTTCTCGTCTCCCCACCCAGCAAAGACGAGGAACAAAAAGCTACATGTGAGCTCCAGAAAGGACATTTCAATTAGAGGACGTGCGATGAAACGATAGGTCAAGGCAGGCTGGAATTAAACTTCTGAGACCAAGAGATTTTAGAAGTGGCTCCCTTTGTTTTGAGTCTCGAATGCTGTCTGCAGTGGGGGAATGAAGTGACACACCTGACCATTCCCCAAGGTCGCCCTGCAGCCTCAACAGGGATGTGTCCAGATCCCATGCTGGGTAGCCCTAGGATGCACCTGGCCTGCTGGAAGCTGTGCCCACCGCTGATGGGGGGCCGATGGTGCCGTCCGTCACTCTGTGAGCTCTCGGTGCCCCTGCAGCACTCTTCTCTTCAGATGGCCCTTTGGAGGGTGTTCAGACATGGGGGCACTCCTACCCCAGCTCCCTGTGCACCACCTGCCTACGATGCATGCACCTGATGTCCTTGCATCCCTCCCAGGTGCTCTACCTAGACATGGTTCCCCAGGGCCTGGGTTGAACCTGAAGGTCGAGCTGGATTGCAGTAGGATGAGGGGGCAGAAGGGGGGTGACCCTGGCTCCTATGGTGGGCCCTTTGGGAAGAGGACACTCTATGGGTGCACAGTGATGGCGAGTGTGTCCCTGCGCTGTGATCTTCCTCTTCCCTTGACAAGACAGGCGGGAAGAACGAGGCAGCACAGACCTTCCCCAGGGAGCTGCAGAGTTGACACCTGGATCTCAACCCCTGCACCATCCTGGGGGAGGAGACCCCTGGGGTTGGTAACCACCTATAGCAGGGAGGGAAGACGTGTGTTTGGAGAATGACCACTGAGCACAGGTTTCACATGATTTTGAAATTTGTTATTCATGCACATGGATTTTTAAAAGTGATTTTGGTGCCTTTGGGCCAAAGAAGGCGTTTTGTCTGAGCTCTTCATGGTGCCTCTAAAAGCACATTCCAAATCTCTGGAAAGCACAGCCTTTGGAAGTATATTTCCAGTATTTCTTATATTTTTAAAAATATGATGTTTGTTCTAATTACCAAATAACTTTGTATTTTTATAGAAATTTTGGAAAATACAGGAAATTATTCAGAAGAAAATTAACATCTCCTGCAATCCCAGCACCCCTGTGTGCCTCCTTGTGGTGCCCCCTCCCACTTTTGGGTCACTCAGAAGCCTGTGTGTGTGCATAACACAAAGTCAAGACAACCTTTTATTCACACGTTTCTCTATCTTGTGTTTTTTTATTTTTGATTCATGAGAATTTCCCATAGTCTCAAAATATTTTTCGAGAGTGAATTTGTTAATTGCTTCATGTCCCGTCATGTGTCTGTGGCATAATTTTTCCAGCTGGTCTCTGATTGTAGAGCATTCTGGCTGTTAGAAATTTTTCATGGTGACTAACCATGTCATATAGTGCATATCTCTGAGTTTATAAGGAAAAAAAACCAGTTTCTCCTATACTCTCACTTGACAAACAACACAGAAGACTTCTGCGACCAAATGTGTGTGTGTGTGTCACGGGGGTGGTTGTGGTTTCCTTCATGCCAAGAAAGCCACCCGTTCTGCCGTAACCACCAGCTGGGTGTCTTCTAAAGCAATTCAATTCTGACATTCTCCACCTGGAGATGGCCTCAGGCCCCACAGGTTGAGGGCTCAGTCTCCAAGATTGCAGCCCTTATTCCCCACTTGTGATGCCATCACAAGCCCCCCATCATTTTGCCTGTGCTTTGGACCACAGCTGTAAGTCAAGGTTCCCACAACTGCCCCCTTGGGTTCCATTAGTTTGCTAGAGTGACTCACAGAACTCAGAGAAACACTTACTTAATGTTTACTGGTTTATTAAAAGGGATAACACATGACTACCAAAGAACCGATGAAGAGATGAATAGCGCAAGGTGTGGTGAAGGGGTGAGGGGCTTCCATTTCCTCTTCGGTACATGGCCCTCCAGGAACTTCCAAGTGGTGCGTTCAGCTTTCTGCAAGCTCATCTTAACTCTGTCCTTTGGGGCTTTTATGGAGGCTGCATTACTTAGGCATGACTGATTACATCACTAGTCATTGGTGATCAGCTTAATTTTTAGCCCCCTCCGCCCCAGAGGTGGGGGATAGGAGGTCAGCGTTGCAAGTCCCAACACTCTAATCCTGCCAGGGTCTTTCCTGTGACCAGCCCCACACCAGAAGCCCCTACCTAGGGGCCCCCAGCCACCCATCATCTCATCAGCACACAAAAAAACACTTATCTCTTTGGAGAACCCAAGGATTTCAGGAGTTGAATGCTGGGAAACAGGAGGAAGACGAAAGATATACTTTACAATATCACAATATCCTTTTATGTAAGTCTCTGGCCATATTTGTTGGGTAAATCCAGTGATGCTTCAGATGAGCAACACTGACTGCCCTCTGGCCTCAGGGACTGGGTGCTGGAAAGCATGGCCTGAACTCTGTGCTAGGCAGATGATACTGACCTTATAAGCAGGGTCTCGGTCCTGGCTAAAGGGCTGGGGCTGTGGCTTAGCCTATAAATGAGGATGCAGAGAGAAAGGATTTCTGAAGGGCTCAAGGCTGGCTCTGGTTTCAGACAATCTCAACAGAGTGAGTGTGTTGCTGGTTTCCAAATCAATAGTGGCTTCTTCAGAGATGTAAAAATTTGGGGAAACTTTTTAGGAATGGCACCATCAGTTTCTAAGTGAAAGGAAAAAAGTGATCCAAAATAAAACCTACATCATTCAAAATATTAGTGTTTTCTCCTCCAGCTTCCTGGTGTGCCCTGCTGATTAGACAGAGAGATTTCAGGACAGAGGACCAGGAAAGCCACAGTAGAATCCCTGACCATCCATTATGCACAGGATGCTCCAAGGGCCCCAGGCTCTGACTCCAGCACCAGGCAGGGGATGGGTGGAGGTGTCCTGGGCTGCCAGTCCTGCCCAAGGAAAACCAACCATTTAGGGTGGGATAAAATAAACAGTTGAGCCCGACTCTTTTGACCCCAAAGCTCAAGGGCAGAAGTGTTGCTCGATTTCCCGAGGTTGTGTTGCTCAGGACTTATCACCGATGAAACCAGCACTCCCTGAGGAGCGGCTGCCTGGCAGGAAGCACCTGACCACACAAAGGTGTGTCCCTCAGTTTGGGGTCCTTTGTTTGCAGGTGACTCAAGAAAAAGGGCAACTTTATGAAGAGGACCCAAGGCAATACTATGCAACCCAAGAAGAGGAGGAAGACTCGGGTGTCCCATGAGGGGATGCAGCTAAAACAGGTACTCCAGCAGAAACCCTGGGCCCCCTCTCTCTCTCCCACTTTCTGTGTGTATGGGACCAAAGTGGCTGCCTCGAAATTCTCTTCTTTCCCTGCCATCATATTGAGCGATTGGCAGGAGTTGACTCTTATGGCTCAATCACATGTTCTACCGAGGGACACACCGATTGGCTCAGCCTGAGTAGGGTGACCATCTGTGCTTTTTTCCTTGTGACCAGGGCCACAGATAAGCCAACCTCCACTTGGGGCAGGACAGATGGGTTTTCCGAGAAGGAGGTAGGGCCCAGGCTGGCTCTTTCTGCTCCTCCTTGGTCTCTGCAGACATTTAGACTCTAATGGTCTAGGGGGCACAGGCACAGGGGCAGTGCAGGAGGCTTGGACTTGGCTCGCTACTTGTGCATACGTTACCCCCTTTAAACATGACTGCAAGAGTGGCGAGGACAGGCAGTAAACATCCCTAGTTTCTCAAAACACGTACAATTTATCTGATGTGTCAGCAGCAGTCAAGGACCTTTTCAGTTTTTGCTCTGGGAGAGATGTTGCTGCTGTTCTTTGAATTGTGCCTGCAGATACCGTCCCTCCCCAGTGCCTTTTGCCCCCTTCTGTGGGTCTGGTGCCTCCTTCTCTGGTAAAGGCCGTTCGAACACGTCAGTATATATGGATGATGGTTACACAAAAGGCATCATTAACTGTGATTGAAAATCAAACTGCTATTTCATTAATAGGCCCATTATCAGGAAACACAGTGGCAATGGAATGCCTGCACACTGTTTCTATAGATACTTTTTTCCTTGGTGGCACTTCAAAACAAATAGCATTGCATTCCTGGCTCTGTGCGGTGGCATGTGTTCCTTGATAGACATAATTATCCAGGTATGCTAGGTGATCTTTATTTGAATGCTTTGAATTGATGAAAAATGCTATAATGCAGATTGTAGAGAGAAAAAAAAGAGAACTGTGTAATTCATATCCTACCAGGTATTATTATTCCTTAAAAAAACGAAAACCAACTCTTCCATTATCTGTTCCTGATTCACAGAGGTAGCCTGTTCGCTTGCGGAATGAGTTACATGGAGTTGCTCACACTCAGCTTCCCTGAAAACACTGCTGCCACAACCCCATGAAACGGGACCTGATACCCCTGGGAGTGGCCATGGGGAAGCTGGTGTCCGGCAAGGCTGACTTGTGAAACAAGGGACAAAAGGCCCAAAGACAAGAACTTGCCCTGACCCAGAGCTAGACTAATGTAAAATACTTACGGAATAAATGACTTCTTAATGCCCTCTTTTTCTAAGTCTGCAGAAAATAAGCCAAGTCAGGCCCAGAAATGGAGACGATGAAGTCTCTACAGCGATGGGGCAGCAAGGCCGGAGCAGCAGTGCTCACCCTGGGCGGGAACGCTCAGCCATGAAAAGTGTCCAGGAAAAGCAGGGAAGGAATCCTTCTCCGGATTGGGATTTTAACATTGAAGCCACAGCGTCCAGGAAGGAGCTGGTTCTTCGGCTCAGGCGTGCCCTTAACAGGGGTTCTAATGAGGGGTGGAGAGAATCCCTGTCAAGCTGCCCACGATGGTCATGGCTGTGACTCTACCCCTCAGATGGCTAAACGCATGGTGCCGGCTCCGCCACCGCGTGCCCATCAAAGAGACAAGAGGATGTTGCATGTCTTGAGATCATTCTAAGTGTACTTTGATACCCCAACTTTTAAAATAAAATATTGCCTCAACCCAAGAAAAGGAGGCCAGCAACCAGCTAATGTATTGGCCTCCCCGGGTAGAGATCTTGAACTTCTACTTCCAATGGCAGTTGAGTCCAGGAGGTCATGGGCTGTGGTGGTGAAGAGCCCTGTCTGTGTCAGTGGGAGAAAGATGCATGGAGCTTGCCCCCTGCCCTCGTGGCGGAGCCTTGTATCGAGGAAAGAATGTTGCAGCTAACATCAGGGACCCCAGCGAATGTGGGGATTAACCAAACACCAGGGCAATTTTTTAATGTCTAGGAAACCTGATAAAATCTTAACTTTCACCATGATGTGTTGGGACTGGTCCACATCACGCATGAGACCTGATGGTTTGCATCTCTTCCCTGCCTTGGTTCAGTAATGTCACGTAGACAGCTTGAAATTAGCCACGGTAGGGTAGGGCCATTTATAGCATGACAATTGGCAGATGCTATAAGTCAGGGCTTCCCCCATCCCAAACTGAAATCTGCTTGTTAAACGTTTACCAGTACATCATGGATGTTAGGGATACAGTGGGGTTTGAAACGAGGGTCTCTGGGCACCTTCTGCAGGTAGGCACCATGCTTGCTTCACACAAATTGTTACCTTTAATCCCAACATTAGCTTCTGTCCGAGAGACTCATGTTAACCATCGACCCAGCTTTTCGGATGAGGAAGCTCGAGGTTTAGAGGGTCTTTAGTGAGTTGTTCTCATTGTAGCCAGGGAGGAATCAGGGTTTAAACCCAGGTCTGGGGTCTCAATCGTGGGCATTTCTTCCAAGAGAGTAGGGGGAGAAAACAACACGGTTGTGGGGCTGCTTGCACCAGCTCCGGCGGGGCGCTTGGGGCTGGGATTGATATTGATCCGCACTGGGACATCTTCCTGGAGCCTCGGCCTCAGGGGGTTCCAAGAGGATGGGTGTGCCCTTTCTCCCCACCCTGCTCACAGTTGTGCCCAGAATGTCCCATAATTCAGAGACTAGAATGCAGCAGCCTGGTCTTATTGATGTTCTTCTAGACCAAGGGTCAGAGACCTTTTTTGGTAAAGGGTCAGATAGTAAATATTTCCCATTTTGAGGGCCATGCAGTCTTTGTTGCAACAATTCAACCGTGTTAGTGCAGTGTGAAAGGAGATATAAAGAGATGGTGTGCTGTGTTCCCACAAAACTTTATTTATAAAAGCACAGGGTGGCTGAATTTTCCCAGCAGGCCCTAGATTGCAAATCCGGCTTTAGACAATAACATAGGTAACCAACATTTAAAAGTATATGTTTCCTCTATGGAGCTTAATGAAGTTTCCATTTTGTTCATTTTGAATGAAAACAAGGGACCTTTAAACAATTTTCTCCTGAAACTTCTTCCCCCTCCCACCAAATAACCAAATCCGTGATGGAGAAAGAGGAATCTCCTCAAATTTATACAATCTATTGGGACCTCTTTTTTTTTGTTTGTTTTCTTTTGTTTTAGAAGGAGTCTAGCTCTGTTGCCCAGGCTGTAGTGCGGTGGCGCCATTTTGGCTTACTGCAACCTCTGCCTCCTAGGTTTAAGCGATTCTCCTGTCTCAGTCTCCCAAGTAGCTGGGATTACAGGTGCATGCCACACAAATGGCTAATTTTTGTACTTTCAGTAGAGATGGGGTTTCACCATGTTGGCCAGGCTAGTCTCAAACTCCTGACCTCAAGTGATCTGCCCACCTCAGCCTCCCAAAGTGCTGTGATTACAGGTGTGAGCCACCACGCCTGGCCAATTGGAACCTCTTAAAGCATTCATTCCACAAATACCTACTGAACGCTCAGCGTGTGCAAGGCACTGAGGATGAATACCTAAGCCCAGGCTGAGATGGTTGAGGCCGAGGTGCAGTGGGTTGACTCTCACCACGTCTGAGTACGGAGTCTCCCCACACAGAGCAGTGAAGAAACCAGGGGCCACCGTTGCGTCCAGCAGCAGAGATCCCCAGCTGGGCACAGGTTTCTGTCCTCGGGACCCAGTTGTTCAGCTTTCCTCTTCAGCTCTCTGAGATACCCTGGTACCTCCAACCAAACTCTTTCCCTCCTTCTCTATCTGTGGGTGTCTGTGGTTGGCATTACAAGCAGGGGATCCCGTCCACCACATGGGCCAGCATCACAGAGGTCTTGCTCTCATGCTAAGCACATTCTAATGGCGCTCACTCGGCTTGTTCACAGCCGTGGGTGACTATTACATTAGCATCATCAGGAGCAGGAGGCAATAGTGAAGACGGCCATTACAGACCCATACGCTCTGGCGGCCCTACACCACGTCACCGCCTTTTTACTATGTCTCCCAGTAAAAAACGAACATCGCAGTGTGGCTTTTGGGATAAATGTGCTGATGGCATCTCACAGGGTTGCTGATGGGCAAAGGGCCCCTTTTGTCTCCTACAGACCAGTTCAGGGTATCACTATGAAACGTGGAAATAAGTGCCAATTCCTGGCCCAGCCATTCAAGGGAGCATGTTGGAATCATTCTCTGGTAGATGCATCAGAAAGGAAGGAACATAGCAAGGTCTGGTTCGACTTGATTCACAGACCCACTGGTGGTTTGAACTTCTGCAGTGAAGGGTGGAGTTACAGAGAAACGAAGCCACATGATGTTCTGAATGAAGTTGCCAGGCCAGATGCGCTCCAGCTGTCATTTTACAAATGAGATTGGGGTCTGGGAAGTGAATGTGTCTGAGACCAAGCTGGCAGCTGCCCCTGAGAGCTGAGGATGTGCAGGAAGAGGGGGAGCAGCTCGGCTCCAGTGTCAGATGGCTCTGCTCAGGGAAGGGTGGAAGGGGGGACCTCAGCCTCCTCTCGTACCTTTGAGTGTCTTCTCCTCTTACAGAGCAGAGCAGGACTATAGGGAGAAGGGGAGAAGGCAGACACATGTGATTCTCCCAGAGGAGGTTCCAGGCTCTGTGGCCAAATCAGTGGCCTTGGTTGGCTGGTCTTATCCCTCATCTGCAAATTGCACCGAGACTCCATTGTTTAAAGTTCTAAGCTGGGTCTCCCAACCCTGTAAATGGCACTGCCCCGACTCTGACTGATCTTCCCTTCCAACCACCCACCTCTCTCCAGCCTTTCTGCCAGCTCAGGCATGCATTCCCTCTTGGAAACTGGGGAAATGGCCCCTCCTGCAGTGGGCAGAAGGAGATCTCCTCATGCCTTTGTTTTACACTCCTCCCTAGGGCTATAGCGAGTTATAGGACCTTCCCATTTTCTGGCCTGGTTTCACCCCTTCAGCAACATCTTCCCACCCCCTCTCACCTTTGCCCCAGTGAGATTAAACTCCTGTCAGGGCCCTGAAATCACTCTTCCTTAAATTCCCTCTGGGGCCCTGCAAATGGAGCATTCCTCCCTAGATCCTCCTGGGGGAAGAACTCTTCCCATCTTTCCAGGCTCCATGTGGCTATCTCATTTCCCTTCCCTTCACTAAGAAGCCTTCCTGGGGTGCCTGTGGCTCCCTTAGCTCCTCCTTCACCCTGGTGCCCGCCATGGGTGTGGGGGCTGTGCCTGCAGACTTCCCTCTGTCGGGGCTTCTGCATCTCTCTGCCCAGGGTTTTCTCTGGCTACACAGCCCTCTGCACAGCCCCCACCCTGCTCCGTGCCCAGAGGGTCAGAAACACCAGAGGATTAATGGTGACCAGGAGCAGCTGTCCATCAATCACTCTTGGGAGTGGGTGTTTAAATACCCCAGCTCTCTCTCCCCTCAGGCACACCAGCTCTGCATGCATGTCTGCAGTGGCTCCGGGAGTTGCCCCAGGGGCTCACTCTAGTACCCCACAGGTGTAGCTGGCTGAATAACATACGCTCCATTGTCTATCTTTCCTTCCCTATCTCACCCCTGCACTCCACTGCTGCAGTTTCCTGGGATTCCCTCCCAAATTAACAACTTGAAGCCTTGAATTCTGCTTCTGGGGGAGCTGGAATTAATCCAGGGACCTTTACCATGCTGTTGAAGTTCCCACTCCAAACCTCACTGGCAGGGCAAGCTCCATGAGGCCCCAGATGGGCATTGTTGGCTGTGTAGGATGCTATATCCCCAATCTGTAGCCTGCTGCCCAGCACAGGGCCAGGTTTCCACGAACATGTGTGGAGGCAGAGGGCATGATGCCAGTTCACTATGCAGCCACCCAGAAAATACAAGGACACTTGCTGGCTTCTGGGGGCCCACGAGTGCCTGATGGTTTGAATACTGGAGAAACAGTGGCCAATCATGCAAATGTGCTGTTTGTACTCTTTTCTTTTTTTTTCCAACTACGTATGATGTGCTAAGCCTTTCACGACTTACAAGCTGATGAGGGTGGGTGGGGGAAAGGTGAGTACTTGTCTTTAAAACACGTAGGTGACCTTTATCCTTCTCTTGTTAGAGAAATTCACAAGCTCCCTGACATTTGGGATCCCTGCTAGAAATATAGTCCTGCAGCCGGTTATTCCTCATGACTTTAATTAAATTGAGAATAGTATCTCACCTCCAAGATAAGCCCAAAAAGAAAAGAGACTATGAGATGTCCCTGCTTCTTTCTGCTTTAGATCTTTGTTGCAAGCATTTTTTTAAAGAAAAAAAATTAAGGTTATTTATTGACTGAAACCCTTAGCACAACTTTCTCCATTTATTAATAATTATTCTTATTACTATGGGAACGGTACCCAAACAAACTGAAATCAACCACAATTTTCTATTGTCAAAATTCACTCATAAGACTGGGCAGCTGAAGTGAATCCCCAGGAATGCTTGAAAAATTACATAATTATCTACAAAGTGCACTAATGGTGCTAAAGCAGATGGCTTCCACTGCACTTGCCATCCTTGACCTCGCAGTACAATAATTCCAAAGAGAGAGACCACAGCCATTTCCCGCTAATGGGTAGGGGTAACTGCTGTGAGGTGTGAGGTTATTTCTGGCAATTTCAGAGAATTAATTCTCTGAAATAGAAAAGAGTAATACCACGTAGAACGATGGCTTGACAGATAAAACTGCGGCAGAAAGATGGTATTTGAAGTCTGTCCAGCTCAGGGAAAATGGATACAGAACTGAGGGAAGAGGGCCCCAAACTCAGGTGTATTTGCTCCTCCTTTCTGTGCTTGGAAACTCAGCTGGGGGAATGGAGGAAAGAGACATCTACGGCTGAAGACTGTGATCAGATGGAACCTGAAGAATGTTAGATAACGAACACAATTTCAGGGAGAAACAGGTTTAGCAGACCATAACCAGGAAGGGGACTTCCTAGATGCTTAAAAAAATGCAAATAAACAACAACCAGAACTTCCTTAATTAATAAGATTTTATTTAAAAACAGCTTCCACTTGCAGCTATATCTGCACCTCATGCCGAGCTGAGTAATTTCCATGGTCAACTGGGTGATTAAGTGTTGCAGCAACTGGAAGTTAAAGAGTTTTATTCCAGGTTGTCGATAGTAGCGATGAAGATCATAATGACACCATTGCCATAGCGCTGTGCAGTTTACAAAGCACTTTCGTGGTCCATGCACCGTTTGAGTCACAATTATCAGGGAAGGGAATCGTTTTAGAGGCTGAAGAAGCAGAATGATTTGCTGAAGGGTGATTCAGTCTTTAATCCATCATCATTGATCAAAGTTTGATTTTCTATTAACAATTAAAAGGTTTCCTTTTATATCACAAAGTGTTTTTACTAATGTCATAGGCAAACTTTGAATACTTTTCAAATTTGGGAGATCTTTTTTCAAGTTTTCTTCATACAAATGAAATGATTTGGAAGGATTTTCCACAGACTGGCTCCTGCTGCCGTGTCTCCCCTCCACTCTCCATATTCTTCTGGAGTCTAGCACCAGAGTAGTCATTTATATCACACCAGAACTTCAGCTTTTGCCATATTGTGTAAATGTTGAGTGATTGATGTGGGGAAGGGGAGCAGAAACACTCCTGGAAGCCGCATCTACACTAGCCCGGCTGTCCTCACTGAACTGGAAGCTGAGTCTCAGTGCAAATGCAGAACACTCTTAACCAACACCACTCAAAATAGCTTATTTTTGCAATTTTTACAAAAGTGTTTGACCATATGAACATATTGCTAGGGTTCTTCCTAGGGCCTGGAGGAAGCCCATGCAGGTGAGAGGCCTCAAAGTTCATCTCTACCAGGTTCACAAAACCTCCACCTGCCTTGGGATGGTGAATGGCATTGGAAAGAACGGGAAAGGAAACGGCAGGGAGGCCCTTGCCTTAAACCACACCAAGGCATGTGGCTTCTTCTTGCGTATGGGTAAGATAAACACGGGAGAAAAGCAGGTGCACTATTCTTCCTTGTTTTTAAAATGGCAGCAATTCTTTGCTGAGCATAAAAAAACAGGTGTAATTCTCTCTTATACCAACAATGGACACATGGATACTAACGTGTTGGCTGCGAGGATTTGTGAGGAGAGGCCTGGAGCTGGGAGTCTAAAAGAAAATGACTGCATCAGGCACCAGAAATCTTTCTGGAGGTGATGAAAATGCTCTAATATTGGATTAGGTTGATGATTACACAGCTCTGTAACCATCAATGTTATTAAATTGATAACATTTTTAAGCTTTAATATTGAATCATATGCTTGAAATGGGTGAACTTTCTGGCATGTAAATTATACCCCAAAAAAGTTCTTAAAAATAATTAGAGGAGGTGGCCATCTGCCTTAACTCAGGGTGTCTCCAGGTGTGGCACAGGACGTAGAGGAGGTGGCTGTCCACCTTTACTCTGTGTGTCTCCAGGTGTGACACAGGAATTAGAGGATGTGGCCATCTGCCCTCACTCGGGGTCTCCCCAGGTGTGACACAGGAATTAGAGGATGTGGCCATCCGCCCTCACTCGGGGTCTCTCTAGGTGTGACACAGGAAGTAGAGGATGTGGCCTTCTGCCCTCACTCGGGGTCTCTCCATGTGTGACACAGGAATTAGAGGATGTGGCCGTCTGCCCTCACTCGGGGTCTCTCCAGGTGTGACACAGGAAATAGAGGATGTGGCCGTCTGCCCTCACTCGGGGTCTCTCCAGGTGTGACACAGGAAGTAGAGGAGGTGGCCGTCTGCCCTCACTCGGGGCCTCTCCAGGTGTGACACAGGAAGTAGAAGAGGTGGCCATCTGCCCTCACTTGGGGTCTCTGCAGGTGTGACACAGGAAGTAGAGGGGGTAGCTGTCTGCCCTCATCGGGGTCTCTCCGGATGTGGCACAGGACGTAGAGGACATGGCTGTCTGCCCTCACTTGGGGTCTCTCCAGGTGTGACACAGGAAGTAGAGGAGGTGGCCATCTGCCCTCACTCGGGGTCTCTCCAGGTGTGACACAGGAAGTAGAGGAGGTGGCCATCTGCCCTCACTCGGGGTCTCTCCAGGTATGACACAGGAATTAGAGGATGTGGCCATCCACCCTCACTCGGGGTCTCTCCAGGTGTGACATAGGAATTAGAGGATGTGGCCATATGCCCTCACTCGGGGTCTCTCCAGGCATGACACAGGAATTAGAGGATGTGGCCGTCTGCCCTCACTCGGGGTCTCTCCAGGTGTGACACAGGAAGTAGAGGAGGTGGCCGTCTGCCCTCACTCGGGGTCTCTCCAGGTGTGACACAGGAATTAGAGGATGTGGCCGTCTGCCCTCACTCGGGGTCTCTCCAGGTGTGACACAGGAAGTAGAGGACATGGCTGTCTGCCCTCACTCGGGATCTCTCCGGATGTGGCACAGGAAGTAGAGGACATGGCTGGCTGTCCTCACTCGGGGTCTCTCTAGGTGTGACACAGGAAGTAGAGGAGGTGGCAGTCTGCCCTCACTTGGGGTCTCTCCAGGTGTGACACAGGAATTAGAGGATGTGGCCATCTGCCCTCACTCGAGGTCTCTCCAGGTGTGACACAGGAAGTAGAAGATGTGGCCGTCTCTCCTCACTTGGAGTCTCTCCAGGTGTGACACAGGAAGTAGAGGAGGTGGCTGTCTGCCCTCTCTTGGGGTCTCTCCGGATGTGGCACAGGACGTAGAGGACATGGCTGTCTGCCCTCACTCAGGGTCTCCCCAGGTGTGACACAGGAAGTAGAGGATGTGGCCATCTGCCCTCACTCGGGGTCTCTCCAGGTGTGACACAGGAAGTAGAAGACGTGGCCATCCGCCCTCACTCGGGGTCTCTCCAGGTGTGACACAGGAAGTAGAGGAGGTGGCTGTCTGCCCTCTCTTGGGGTCTCTCCGGATGTGGCACAGGACGTAGAGGACATGGCTGTCTGCCCTCACTCAGGGTCTCCCCAGGTGTGACACAGGAAGTAGAGGATGTGGCCATCTGCCCTCACTCGGGGTCTCTCCAGGTGTGACACAGGAAGTAGAAGACGTGGCCATCCGCCCTCACTCGGGGTCTCTCCAGGTGTGACACAGGAAGAAGAGGAGGTAGCTCTCTGCCCTCACAGGGGTCTCTCCAGATGTGGCACAGGATGTAGAGGACATGGAGGTCTGCCTTCACTCGGGGTCTCTCCAGTCACAGGACTTGTCAGTGGGGTTTTGTTTTAAATACAGTGTTTGGGGCCTGCCTGCCCAGTAACCAGACTTCTGCTGTGGAGCCCGGGGATCTGTCTGGTGTCCTATTGTCTTGCACAATCTGTACATGTACCAACGTCTGAGAACCTGCTCTGCACCTGTGAATCACCCTCATGGCCACCAACCCACAGCCTCATGCTGAGTTCATCACCCCGATCACTCCACAGCTCCTCCTGCGGAACCTTTCCACGGGTGCAGGGAAGGGGGTGCCGCTGTGCCAGGCCCACCAGCACCTGCTGGACCCCTGAGTGAAGGCCTCTCCTGCTCCCCTGCAGCCCAGCCCTGTCTCTATGCGGCTTTCTCAAGATAACCTGTGCTCACCCCTGTTTTTCAGTAGTTCTAGAAAGCACTGTTCAATAACTGGATGCTGCTTTAGCAGTTTGGACAAGGAAGTTTGGAGCAATTTAAATGTTAAAAACAGGAATCCTTATATTTTGATTAGTATTACTGATTTCCAAAAGAGACGTTTTCCTTTCAAAATCCGAAAAGAAGAAGAGTGGAAAGCACCAGGGAGAAGCGTTTTGGGGCCATCCGTCCTTCCAGGACTTCCTTCCAGATACTGGAGGCTGTAAGACCCTGCTGAGCTGCTGAAGTCAGTTTCATTTGACTGCATGGTTTACAGTAAATAGCTTGGACAACTCGGAGAGGAAGTTAATTTATCCTCTTGCTGGAACATTTCATTAGATCAGGGGTCTCCTTTTCTTTCAGTCAGCCAAGAAATTGGAGCGAGCAAGGACAGGGAGGCGTCCGTGAAGGCCAGACGTGCCGGCTCCTTTGTGCCGGGAGTGATGGAAGGAGTCAGTTTGGGCAGCGCTCCAGACACGCCTTCGCTGCTCTGTGCAGCCTGTTTCTTCTTCCTTTTCTTTGCTGGCTGAAAATTCTGGATACTTAGTGGAATAAGTGAAATTTTGTGGGGCGTAAGACACAAGAGGGCAACGAGGTGGGATGAGGGGAGGCTGGGCTTGCTTTTGCCTGGGTGCCCGCCGCGACTGTGCTGCCTGCTTCTGATGAAGCTGCTACCTCTGAACGCAGCACCCCGAGGCAGTGCTGAGTTGGTGGGAGAGGCTCTGGCACCAAGCGAGGCCTTGGGTTCAAAAGGCCTGCCTCCAGGCACTAGCTGTGTGACTCCAGGCAGGCAGTTTCTTCCTCTGAGTCTGTGAAAATGGATTTAACTGCAAAATTCACAGACCCTTGATAAGGTTAAATGCAAAGGTGCCCACCAAGGGCTCTTATACCTGAGGACCAGGAGGCAGTGGCTGAGAAGACTAACCTGGGAACCACAGAGTCATGCCTATTCCTCTTGCAAAGGGCTTGACCTGGGTGGTGATTTAACCCCAGTGCAGCCAAACGTAAGGCAGGGAGGCTGATATCCACCCCTCCAGGCTGGGATCTCACGTCAGGGCACCCAGCCTGGGACCAGGGGTTGCATCAGAGGCTCCCCATCCTCACGTGGGATTCTCCTTCCTCCAGCCCCTGGCTGGAGTGCTCGGACTCTGTGGTCAGATAACCCTGGAGCTGAATTTCATCTCTGAGTGTTATCAGCAGCATGGTCTTTTTGGCGAGTTATTTCGACTCTCTGAGCCTCCTTTTTATCTTTTAACAAATATTTATTGAATACAAAATTTGTGCCAGACACTGGGTAGGTATGAGGATATTGATAATGAACAAAAAGAAGCATATTTTCAAGAGGGGGTGGTAGGCATTAAGCTCTGATAAATGGGAGGCTGCCACCCAGGGGCAAGACACGGATGAACCAGGGATGCTCACAGGGGCATGCTGAGTATGGTGCTGGCCCCACCACAGTGCCAAAATCATGGTTTGAGTCATTATTATTATTTGTGCTATTACTATGACTATTATCACCCATGCATTTTAGTCCTTCGTAGGCATGAACCCTTAATCAACATTATATATTGCTGCTATTAGTAATTATTTTCCAGCATTATACACACGTGGGAGCTGTCAGACAGGGGAGAGCCCAGTGTAGCCAGACCTGGGAGGGTAAAGCTACCGATAGAGACACTGCTCAGCCTTTCTTGCTGCCTCCTTTACCTTGGTTTAAACATGGTCTCCCCAGAAGTGGAGCCAGCATCTGATGTGCTTCAGGGTCCAGCATTGCCAGGAAATTTCTTAGAAATGCAAATTCTCAGACCTGGTAAATTAGAAACTGTAGGATGAGGCCAGCGCCTGTGTGTCAGGAAGCCCTCCTGATGACTTGGTTGCTGGCTAAGTTTGGGGTCAGTTGGTCCCCCAGGGAGGGGAAGACCAGGAAGCCAGACAAGCTGCACATCTGAGGTAGCACCTTCAGCTGCATAGAGAAGCATCCTGAAGCCTCTCCAGAAGTCCAGCAGATGTTGGTGTCATGCTTGTTCATCCTGCAGAATCATGAGCCAATCAAATCTCTTTTCTTTATAAATTACCTAGCTTCAGATATTTCCTTATAGCAATGAAAAAAAATTGTTGGACAGGGTGGATATGTTCTGGAGAGCTATTGTAAGCGCGGTGACTGTAGTCAATCATAATGAATCCTATACCTGGAAATTGCAAGACAGTTGATCTTAAATGTTCTCACCACAAAAAAAATGGTAAGTGGCTATGTTAATTAGCTTGATGTAATTGTTTTACAATGTATACATGTGTTAAAACATTATGCAATGTAGTATACTGTAAATATATATAATCTTCATTTAGCAATTATACCTTAATAGTGCTGGGGGTGAGGGGGGAAGAGAATTGTTTGGAGCCTGCAGGAGATGGAGGGAATGGAAAAAAAAGGAAAGAAAGAAGAAAGGTTTAACCTTCTTTCCATGTTCAACAAAGTGTACATAAATGGGGATGTCCCTCTGTTTCTCCAGGGTGAAGGCATTTCAGGATGTGAGAGGGAAGTCAGCCTTGCTAAGTGTTGGACAAGCACTGTGGGACCTCCCCAAGGAGAGAGAGATTTACCTCTTGCCTTTCCCATCCTTTCTTTCCTTTCTCTCCCTCCTTCCTTCCTTCCTCTCTTTCTTTCTCTCTCTTTCTTCTTCTTCTTTCTTTCTCTTTCTTTCTTTCTTTCTTTCTTTCTTTCTTTCTTTCTTTCTTTCTTTCTTTCTTCCTTCCTTCCTTCCTTCCCTCCCTCCCTCCTTCCTTCCTTTCTTTCTTTCTTTCTTTCTTTCTTTCTTTCTTTCTTTCTTTCTTTCTTTCTTCTTTCTTTCATCTCTCTTCTTTTCCTCTTTTTTTATTTTAAAAAACTTCGCTTGGTTGGGTTGTTATTTTGCTTTTTGCTGGGTAAAAGAACAGATGATATGGTTGGACGTTTGTCCCCTCCAAATCTCCTGTTGAAGTGGAGTCCCCTGTGTTGGAAGTGGGGCCTGATGGGAGGTGTTTGGATCATGGGGGTGGATCCCTCATGAATGGCTTAGCAGCATCCTCTTGGTGATGAGTGAGTTCTCACTCAGGTCTTGTAAGATCTGGTTGTTCAAAAGCTTGAGACTGCCCCCTTGTTTCCACTCTTGCCATGTAATACTCCAGCTCCTGCTTTGCCTTCTGCCATGATTGTAAGCTTCCTGAAGCCTCTCCAGAAGTCCAGCAAATGTTGGTGTCATGCTTGTTCAGCCTGCAGATTCATGAGCGAATCAAACCTCTTTTCTTTATAAATTACCAGCTTCAGATATTTATTTATATTAATGCAAAAGATGGCCTAACACAGAGGCTAGACCATTAAGTAAAGCAGCTGGTGGTAATGGACTTGCTCAATTTCCAGACTTGCATCTTTGTAAATTACCCTGGCACCAAACACAAGCATTAATATGTAAAACATACATCAGTGAAGATTATCTTACCATCTTCAACTATGCTGTCACTGGAGATAAGAACCAAAGCCATAGCTAGACAGATTGGCCCCAGGTGTCAAATGGATCTTTTCTAGTGAGGTAGGGGGTGGGGATGAAGGACAGAGAGATGCCAGAATCATCTGATGAACTTTCAAAGATCAGTAAACAAATAGAAAAACACTGATATTTAGGGAACTTTAAAGTAAACAACATGAAACATAATTTCCATAATCAGACCTGCAAAAAAAAAAAAAAAAAGAAAAAAGAAAGTCTGACATTACCAAGTGATGGCAAAGATGTGGGGGAGGCTGGACATCACACAAAGATCCTTTCAGTCAATTTCATTGCGGCTTCATTTATCAGAAACTTACAGAACAACTTCGTAGGGTTTTGGATGTATCTATAGAGTTTCATGTAGGGTGATATATACTATACAGGTCATTTTTCAAATTTGAAATTAATATAGAGATTTACTTTAATGATAAAACAAAAATGCAGCAGCAAAACAACATAACAGAGAAACTTAGAGAATTAAATATTATTTTCCTATGGTTAGTGTTTGCATGGTATGTCTTTTTTTGTCTTTTTAGTTTTAACCTATCTGTGTCTTTAAAGTGCTTCTCTGATATACAGCAGGGTTGGGTTTGCTTTTCAGTCCAGTCTGACACCCCCTTGCTTTGCTGTTAGGAATGAGCAGGCATAGAGGGTGAGTGAGCATTACCACCTGAGCTGTGCCTCCTCTCAGATCAGTGGTGGCATTAGATTCTTATAGGAGTGCAAACCCTATTGTGAGCTGCACATTTGAGGGATCTGGGTTGTGTGCTCTTTATGAGAATCTAATGCATGATTATCTGAGGCTGAGCTGAGGCAGTGATGCTAGTGGTGGGGAGTGGCTGCAAATACAGATTAACATTAGCCGGGAGGTTTGACTGCAGAGACCATAGTAAATCAACTGCTTGCAGACTCATATCAGAACCCTATCAGTGAGTGGCAGGTGAACATTAAGCTGTGTCTGGTGGCACGCTCTATCGTGGCAAGTGAGCTGATATACTTCAGTTGTACAGCTGCATCTGGTGAGCCTAAAAGTATGTTTGAGACAACTTCACATCACCATACATTCTGGATTAAAGTCAAGGCAGAATATCCTGAGATTGCCACAAAATCACTGAAAAGCCTGTTTCCATTTCCAACATCCTATCTTTGTGAAGCAGTTTTCTGCAGTGACAGCCACCAAAATGAGATTACAGAATAGACTGGACATAAGCAACACACTTTGGGTGTCACTGTCTCCCATCACCCCCAGATGGGACTGTCTAGTTGCAGGAAAACAAGCTCAGGGCTCCCACTGACTCCACATGATGGTGCGGTGTATAATTATTTCATTATATGTTACAATGTAATAACAATAGAAATAAAGTGCACAATAAATATGATGTGCTTGAATCATCCCCAAACCATCCTCCCCACCACCCAGTTCATGGAAAAATTGTCTTCTGCAAAACCAGTTCCTGGAGCCAAAAAGGTTGGGAGGCATCTTTTTGTTTTTATTTTTTCTGGCCACTTCCAACACTGCCTCTTTATCTTTGATTTTCAACAGTCTGACTCTGATAGGTCTGGTATGTCTAGGTGGGTGTTGTGTATGTGTTTATTCTGCTTAGGGTTCATGAATATTCTTGGTTTTACAGCCTGTTACTTTTCCACAAGTTTGGAAATGCCCATCTTTTCTTTATGTATTTTTTTCCTGATCAAATTCCCTCATCTCCTTTTTGGTATTCCAATTACATCCATGTTAGATCATTTGGTATTGTCCCACAAGTCATTAATTTCCATTTGTTTTCAATCTTTTCTCTCTCTCTTTCCACTCCCTGCTTTATTTTGCATAGTTTTAATTTCTCAGGCTTAAAAATCACTGATTATTTTCCTTCTCTAGTTCTTGTTCTGCTGCTAAGTACATCCAGTAAAATTTTCATTTCAGATATTTTATTTTTCCATTATAAAATTACCAAATTTTTCTTTTTAGTTTCCATTTCTCCCCTGAGATTCCCCATCTGCATGCTCATTATGTCCATCTTTTAGTTTAAATACTTAAACATATTTATAATGTCTGCCTTAAAACCCTCTTCTGTTAATTAAAACATTGCATCATCTTTTAGTGGGCCACATTTTTTTCTGTTCTTTATGTGTCTAGTGATTTTTATTGTATGCTGGACAGTATGAATGATCTATCACAGTGAATCTAGATTATGTGGTCTTCCTTTTAAGAGTGGTGAGCCTTTCTCTGGCAAGCAGTTAACTTACTGGCAGATGAGTTCTATGCTGTTGGACCGTGCTTTTAGGCTTTGTTAGGATGGGTCTAGGAATAGAGTACTTCTCTTCTTAAGACCTTGCCAGTCCGGGTATCAAATGACTGTCAGGGATGCCCAGTCAGTGTCTCTGCACTGACTGTTCAGGACTGCAAGTTCCCCTAGTCCCAAGCATCCTCTGAAATCGCTAATATCTGTTCAGCCCACAGCTTCCAGGATCTGTTCTCTGCCCATCCTTGCAGAATCTTTCTGTGGGCACTTGCAGCTTAATATTCAGCCATGTAGTCAATGGGATCTATGTAGATATCTGAAGCTGCTTCTCTGCACAGCTATCTCTTTCTCCCATTTGTGTACACACAAATTCCAGTCAACTCGGCAGTCCCGGTTCTGATTTCTGTTTCCTCCCCACAGTGAGACCATTGCTCTCCACTCAGCTCTAACTCCTTGTGTGACATTTTGGAAAGTCCTCTTGGAGGGAG
The DNA here is from genome assembly GCF_000001405.40 of Homo sapiens. Classification (NCBI taxonomy): domain Eukaryota; kingdom Metazoa; phylum Chordata; class Mammalia; order Primates; family Hominidae; genus Homo; species Homo sapiens. Next base: position 61,094,173 of record NC_000020.11, on the reverse strand, counting down.
TGCCTGGGTCCATGTGGACCTCACTTTGTTTGTTTCTCTTCTCTCAGGATTATTTAAAGCCTGAAAACAGGTGAAGCTGGATGGAGGGTAAGCCCAATACCTGTCACTCTGATGTGGCCAGGCCTGGAAGTTGAGCCTAACTAATTCCTAGAAGAAGCTGGACTGTTCTCAAGTCTGACTCCGACTATCATTACAATCATGTGTAATACTATTGATGCTTACTGTGTACCACTAGGCCATGTAGAAGCACCTTACAGTCAGTTACTGGTTAGATAAAACATCACCTCTTAGATCAAGGAGCACTGCATTGAAAATATACTTATTACTTAACAAATATTTACCAAGCACCTATTATGTACCAGGAGCTGCTTTTGGTGCTGTGGGTATGGTGATGATTAAGACAGATGAGGTCCTTGTTGTTGTAAGAGCCTATTCTAGTGGGAGATCGGTGATAAGTGCAAAATAAATTAAAATAGTTCAGACTGTGATAAAGCCTATGGAGAAAACAAAACTGAGTGATGGACAGACTGATGGAGATGGACATTTCTGAGTGACAGTTGCTTAAAACCCCTGTATAGGTTAACATTTGAGCTAGATTGATGGTTCTCAGCTACAGGTGATGTTGTTGTTCCCTCTCCTCCAGGGCATGTGACAGTATCTGGAGACATCCTTGGTTATCACAGCTGAGTGGGTGCTACTGGCATCTAGTGGGGTAGAGGCCAGGAATGCTGCTGAACACCTTGTAATACACAGGAGAGACCCCACAACAGGGAATCATCTGATCCAAAGTGTTACAAATGCTGAGGTTGAGAAACTGGGGAGAGAGCCTCCTGAGTAAGCTCGGTACTTCTGGATGCTTTTAGCGGGCATGTAGTTGGCTTTCACAGGATTCTGCCATAGTCTTATTGAGCTCAGTTTAATTGAGTAAGAAATGAGACTGGAGAGAGGGTGGGCAATTCTTTCATATCAAACTGGGCATGCTCTGATCTTTCTGCAAGCTTGAGTATGTGGTCAAAACATCCTATTTTATGGGTTGAAATTAACCAAGTTATATGAACTACCATTATGTAGAAGAGCTTGCTGGCCATGAAATAGGCAAATGGTGTACTGAAAACTCTCTATGGGCTCGGACTTTACTGGATTCTCTGGAGAAACAAATAATCCATATATTGTTGTTGCCCTTAAGGAACTCACAGTTTAGCCCAGAACATTCATGCATGACTCAGTTAATGGGCAGTTTAGTGTTTGCCTGTTTTTAGCCACAATGGTAAAGGAGAGATGGCTGTTGGGGGTGGCCTCTTGCAGGAAGGAGGTGGGCATGGGAGAGCTCTTCCTCTCAGGCTGTGCTCTGGTTGTAGAATTACCACCTCCCCTGTTCACCACAAACTCTGAAGCCAAAAGGAACTCAAAAGTCACCTGGAAGAAGCTTCTCTCCCCAGAAATGGCTGCAATTCCTTCTCTGAAGAGGCTCAGAGACGAGGGGTGTGAAACTAGTGCTGACAAAAAGCTGGGCTTCATGTAGAGTGGGAAGCTCATTTAAATAATAATAAAATACTAACTGAATGGGAAGATCCACTTGTGTATTGGTTTCTGAAATGAAAGAAGTGGTCTGCCTTCTCTGTAATTGCTGTCAGGTTTTAAGCATCCTCTTTTCAGAACTGTCCTTTTAATGCAGCCGTGAAAATTGTTACCAAGCAACAAGCGGGTCTTGAGAGGTAAGCATTCAAGAGTGACTGACATGGAGACTTTTCATCCAGAGGAAGCCGCCGTTATGCCAGCCCCGAAAATGGTGTGATGTCAGCTGCTCTGGCCTGCGAGGGCCAGGAGGTGATGTTCGGTTCAGGGAAGATCACAAAGCTGAAAATAAATAAATAAACAGGTACGTCCTCTCATGCCAGAGAACAGCACGTAGTGGATCTGACTTTATTTTGCTGCAAAGGGACTGCACACAAAGGTGTCTTCTCTTTATCTGGAAAGTTGTGTTCACTTCAGTCTTGGCCACCAGAAGCAAGAGGAATCCTGCTGTGGGACTCTACGGTGGCATTTCAAGATGGCGGGTCCCAAAATCCAGTCCACACCCAATAATGCATTGACCATAAGAGGGGCTTGAACTCAGCAAAATCGCCTTTATGGTGCAAGGAATGTAGATTGGTAAGATTCTCATCAGCACCTCCTTATCTTTATCTCTGCCCCGGGCTCTAACTTGACCATCTCCTCCCTTTGAGGTCTTGGTAAGTGAGACCTACCTCCTTTTCAGTACCTGCCTTCGTTCTAGGCCTCTGTGGACTGCTTTATATGATTTTCACAGTCATAATTCCTTTAGGTTGGAAATTCTGCCCTGATCTAGGGACTTTATGGGTTTGATTCTTAGCCATTAGCTACCTTCTTCTGGAGCAAATTTTTCCTTGGACTTGAGTTACTTGTCTTGGGCCCATAAGCCACTGCCAACTCCATGTAAACAACAACAACAACAACATCAATTGACTTTCCCCAAACTCATACATATCAATGTGAACTAGTTAAGAAAGCTATGGGTGGTTGGGGGCTTGGGGAGAGATAGCATTAGGAGAAATACCTAATGTAAATGATGAGTTCATGGGTGCAGCAAACCAACATGGCACATGTATACCTATGTAACAAACCTCCACGTTGTGCACATGTACCCCAGAACTTAAAGTATAATTAAAAAAAGAAAGAAAGAAAGCTACACAAGAATAAAAAAGAATGCATTTTGAAGCCTACGGCCACATGGAAATGCCTAGCAGACGGGACCTCCAGCAACAGAAGCCAGCTGTGTAAAGGTGGGTGCTGTGCGGTTCCATTTCCATGAAGCCCAAGAGCGAGGAGCACAGTCCATGCTGACAGAAGTCAAAACAGTGGCTTCCTCCCAGGGCCGTGACTGCAGGTGCAGGTGGGAGCCTTCTGTGTCTCCGTGGGAGGTGGTTACATGGGTGTGTAATGAGGGCCTCATTCATCTCCTAAGATTTATGCACTTTATTCTCACATAAGGTACTCCTCAATTTTTAAAAAATGGAGGACCAATATAATTTGCCCGCAAATAGAAAATTCATAATTGATGTAGGCCGTTGTCAAAGTCAGAAGTCTCTCTTCTCTAGGCCCTATCTGTTTCTTTTAAGGGAAACACACAGCAGAACTTGCAGGCTCTGTAGAGAGGGGGCCAGTGGGGGCTGGCTCTAATGTCCTGGTCGTGGCTCACTGCCCCCAGATAACGCTGAACCATGAGGACGCAGCTGGTTCCCCATGCTGACTTCCACTCCTGCCCAGGAAAATTCTTTTGTCAATTGCTGGAGTGGTTTGGGTGCCTTTTAAAAGGGAGAATAGGCCCAGAAAGTTTATGAGGCCTCTCCGGGGCTGCTACAAAGGGAGGAACGTGTGTTGCCCGTTTTATTGTCTTCCCTGAGGAGAAATGAGATGATGAAAGGTCCAATCATCAGTGAACCCCTCGAGTTAAAGCAACACTGCAGGATGCAGCAAGCCACCTGGGGCTGCAGTTTAGATGGAGCCGGACCCTCTTGTGGAGGTTTGCAGAAGCTCCTTGCTCAGCTCTGTGTTGCCCTGTGGCATCCCTTTTTGTGAGCCTGGTGCAGGTGGGCGTGCTCTATTTGTTAATTCCCCTTCCACAGAAATGTAAAATCATTACTTGTTGTTTCAGCACCCAGGCCTTCAAAGGGGAACTTGATCCTGGTCATTGCCTTATCAAAGAGTTATATATAAGTATATATTTTTTCCTTGTACAAATTAAAATTAATTCGTGTAATGAAAACATTTATCCATTTTATCACCTAAATTCATCTCACGTAGCACTAGGGGTGTGCAGTCATTTACTTAACCATGGAGCCAACTAGTAGTATTGGAGATTGCCTTGATGTACCAGGCAGGATTCTAGGCACCTGGGTACAGAGATCGAATCTTTACTTGAACTCAGGTCAGAGGAAATAGACACTCAATGAACAAAGTGGTAAAAAGTGTCCTGAAGAGATGCAGCGGAGTAAGGGTTGGGTGGTGGTGAGCAGTATGCTACCAGGTCAGTGCTCAGGAGAAGTTCCTCTGATGTGGTGGTTTCTGAGCAGATGCCTGACTACAGGGGGATGAGGGAGCCTCCCTGCAAATTGGAGAGAGCAGCAAGTGCAAAGGCCCTGGAGCGAGAGAATGGACAATGTGCTTGGGAAGCAGCAAAGAGGCACGTGTGGCCCAATTGGATCCAGCTACCGGAACATGAGAGCCAGCATGGCCTGGGTCAGGTCAGGCACCGGGATTCAATTCTGAGCACCATGGAAGCCACGGTCAGGCTTACTTAGAGCAGAGGAATAACATGCTTGAGACAAGGACTTGTCCTCCCAAAGGACCACACAGGCTTTGAACAGAGAACCAGCAGTGTGGGGCTTCATGGTGGAGGCAGGAGGCTTGGGGGGCGGCCTCTGTGGTTTGAGCACATTTTCTATTAGGCTCAGTGTCCAGACCCCACTGGATTTCAGGGGCCATTTTAATTTCCTTTAAAATCAGAAAAAGCAAAAGGGCTGGGAGAGTTGGCTTATGCCCAATACTTTGGGAGGCCAAGGCAGGAGGATTGCTTAAGCTCAGGAGTTTGAGACCAGCCTGGACAACATAGCAAGATCCCATCTCCTCAAAAAATAATAAAAAATAAATAGCTAGGTGTGGTGGTGCATACCTGTAGTCCCAGCTACTCAGGAGGCTGAGGTCAAAGGACTGCTTGAGCCCAGGAGGATGAAGCTGCAGTGAACCATGATCACAACGTTGTACTCCAGCCTGGGCAACAGATCAAGATCCTGTCTCAAAAAAAAAAAAAAAAAAAACAAAGAAGAAGCAAAGGAATACAATCCTGCCTGGATTGTGTTTGTCTTTTTACCAACACAACTGTTAAAAAATGTATATAGGCACATATATATCTATATCTATATCTATATCTATTTCTATCTACATACAAATATGCATATATGTGTGTTCATATGTGTGTATGTAAAATATCTTAAGGACTGTTGTCATTCTGCATACATATAAAATATTTAGATAGACAAACAGATGACAGATAGATGGAGCCAATGGAAGACAGAGCCATTAAGGCCATAGTGGTTGACTCGTCAGGATTATGGGAGTATCACAGCATCCCTGGTAGCCATTGCCTTGGTCGAGTATGATGGTGGCCTGCCTCCGGGTGGGAAAGTGGAATGGGAGAAGGGTTCAGAGTCTTGATCTGGTAGTGCTGACCACATCTGCTGACCATTGGAAATGGGGTGTGAAGAATGAAAAGCCTCGGTGCTGTGTTTGGGAGCTCATTCTGCAGGAGGACCCATTTCTTCTTCTGCAGCTCCTTCACACACAGAGAGGGGTTTCCAGGAGACTGGAGCCCAAAAGAGAAGCAGGGAAGTGGAGTGGTGAGCTGGCGCAGGTGCTAAGAAAAACTGCTACAATTCAACATGTTCCCTGGGGATACAGACTGTGACCCTCGGATGCTGCCAACACTCAGGTGCAGATGTGGGCCTTCTGACAAAACTTCTCTGCAGCAGCCCAGGGGAGGAGGTGAGGTGGGCTCCCATTCTAAAGTTGGGCGTTGTTCTCCTTGGTGTCAGCTTCTCTGAGTGTTGTCACCATGGTCCCCTTGTAGAGCGCCTTGATTGAGATTAAAGTTTGTGTGCATTCATCATTTTATCCAGAGCCTGCTTCCCTCCTGCCACTTTCAATGAAATTTGCGAGTCATTCCAGGCACCTTCAGAGGAAGCAGGCTTCTGTCTCTCTGGCTGGCTCAGTGAGGAGCAGCTCAAAGAGAAGTTACTTAATAAGCTCTTTCCCGTGCATGGCTTCTGTGAGCACGTCTTGCTTTTCCCGGCTCCTGGTTCTGGCCTGCAACTTTCCTGACCCATCTCATTTTCATGCCCTTTGTGGGGAGTTCCAGCAGGAGGCTCAGATGGGATCAATTAGTTTCAGCAGGTAATTAGGCTTCTGGGCTTGGGCTCCAAGAGACAATTGGAAATTTTTATTTCAAGTCTATTTAAAGTCCTCCCGAGTCTGAATCAGATGGTAAGGTGTTTAGGAAACCCAATTACATCCCACTAGCATACGAAATGTTCACAATATAGTCAAGGAAGCATATTGCCTTTTACTTTAAAGATGAACCTCTTTCCCGTCTTTGCAATTTACTGTTTGCCTGGTTGCAAGAAACACAAGAAACAGATGTCTCCTGGTCCACCTGCCTCCTGTCGCAGATCGGCTGAAAGGTAAAATGGTCCAGGGACCATGGCTTCAGGCACTTGGCCTGTCTATCTCAACCATGGAATGAGGTCAGAGACAAAGACAATTACTTTAGAGAATATTCCCCACCCAGTGGTCATGTGAACGTGCTGAAAGGTGATCCTACGTGTTGAGAAGGAGAGACTTATCGGGATTCCTGGAACGTCACTGGCTAAGATGCTGCTTCCTGCAAAGACAATGCTATTTCCTTCTGAATTGTTCCATGGTGTCCAGGCTCTGCCTGGTCTTCCCTGGAGATCGGGCCCTATTAATTTTAGAGAAGGAGCTCTCCAGCGAGCTTGAATAATCGGGCATTTCCCCCACCCCCATATCTGTCTCCCAGACATTTCCACTCATTGCTCATTTTTATTTTTTGAGATAAGATTTCACCCTGTTGTCGAGGCTGGAGTCCAGTGGCACAATCATAATTCATTGTAACCTTGACCTTTCAGACTCAAGCAATCCTGCTGCCTCAGCTTCCCAAGTAGCTAGGATTTCAGGCATGCACCACCCTGCTCAGCTAATTTTTAAATTTTTTTGTTGAGACTGGATCTCAAACTCTTGGGCTCAAGTGATCTTCCTACATCAGCCCTGCAAAGTACTAGGATTGCAGATGTGAGCCACCATGCTCAGCCTGCCCATTGCTCTTAATTCTGGTCTCTTGAACACACGGACTAGGAAGGAACTCTTTACTGAAGTGAGAATGTTTGAAGTGTTGAAACGGATCTCAAGGACATTAGGAAGCCTTCTTGGTGCTGGTCAGATTACTTGAGGAGCTCCAAAATGTTCTGTTTACAGCTGTATCTTCAGCTTGGATGGGGCTGCCCGTAGCTGACAGGAGACTGGGTGATATGGTTTGGCTGTGTCCCCACCCAAATCTCATTTTGAATTGTAGCTCCCATAATTCCCACGTGTCATGGGAGGGACCTGGTGGGAAGTAACAGAATCATGGGGGTGGGTCTTTCTCATGCTGTTCTTATGATGCTGAGTGAGTCTCATGAGATCTCATGATTTGATAAAGGGGAGTCCCTCTGCACCAGCTCCCTTGCCTGCCACCATGTATGATGTGACTTTGCTCCTCATTCGCCTTCAGGTCTGATTGTGAGGCCTCTTCAGCCATGTGGAACTGTGTCAATTAAACCTCTTTCCTTTATAAATGACCCAGTCTCAGGTATGTCTTTATTAGCAGAGTGAGAACAGACAAATACACTGGGAAAATTAGAGAAAAGCAGCAGTTGGGACACACAAATTCAGGAAAGGAACTTCATCTGAATGAGCACAGCTCCATGGACATGGGGCTACGTTAGAGGATGCCATCTGTGTGCAAAGGGAGAAGATGAGCTGGGCAGTGCAGGTGCCTCCAAATCTGTTCACCCTGGTGAGAGAAGGATTTGGACAGTACCCTGATCTTGTTGCTAGCACCCACTTGTGTATTTGTAAATTAATAAGAGGATGGGGCCAGGCATGGTGGCTCACGCCTTTAATCTCAGCACTTTGCAAGGCTGAGGTGGGCAGATTGCTTGAGCCTAGGAGGTCACAACCAGCCTGGGCAACATGGTGAAACTCCACCTCTACAAAAAAATACAAAAATTAACCATGGGTGGTGGCATGCTTCTGTAGTTCCAGCTACTCAGGAGGCTGAAGTGGGAGAATTGCTTGAGCCCAAGAGGTTTTGGCTGCAGCGAGCCATGATTGCACCACTGCCCTCCAGCCTGGGCAACAGAGTGAGACCCTGCCTCAAAAACAAAACAAAACAAACACAGATGGATGAGCTGGTTCTCACACAGCAGTCAAGCAAGCATCCTGGGAATGGGATTGAGAAAATAATGTCCAAAAAGTCAAACTGAGTGGCCATTTCCACCTTGTGGTTCATGTTTGTAGAAGCTGGAGGGTTTAAGCATGGCATCACTGGTGAAGTCACAAGAATAATAAATCACAGGAACTGCCATCATACGGCAGGAAGAAAGCATTAAAGCTAGTGTAAAATCTGGGTGAAGTCCTGGCTATGTCATTCCCAGCTGGTCAGCACATGTTCTGCTTCTGAGCCACAGTTTTCTCATCTATAAAATGGGGAGGGTAGGAAGCACACCTACTTCAGAAAGTTGTGTGGGGTGTAAAAGAAAGGAGTTCTGCAGCTTGGTAAATGATAGAGCCCCATATGTATTTGAGGTAGGATTATGTTGTCTAATTTGTGTTTGGCCAAGATTCAAAGTCTCTTGAATTCTCACTGAGAAAAAGCACTCAGGTATGTGGTGAGAAAATTGAAGGACTTTCTTCACTTTCTAGGAAACAATCAAGATACCAGGTGGATCCATCAGGGCTCTGTGCAGGAAACAGAAACTACTTGAGGTGAAAGTGGCTGAATACAGGGAATCAGGTGCTCATGAAATTACCAGATGAAGGAGAAGTGGACTCTGGAGATGCAGAGATGTGCCACCTTGCAGAGTGAGTGTGCACTGCAGAATGACCTGCCAGGCAGCTGCCATCTCTTCCACCATCAGGAAAGTGAGGAATCAGGAGACTGCCATGGAACTATCGATCCCAACAATACATGAAAACGGACGTCTCTTGGTTGGGCAATGGGGCTCAGGAATCTGCTGCCACCATTGTAACTATGAGGACACCCAGACAGCATCATGCAGCTATGGAGGCTGTAATGTCATCTCCACACCTGCTCAGCTGGTGGCCTGACACAGGTGCTGGTGCTGGCAGAATCAGCCATGGGAAGCCAGGAGATGGCCTCATTTCTTCCATATCCCCCTGGGAAGTGTCTTTCTGCTTGACAGAACTCAATCTCATCTGTGGGTGAAGGTGTGTTTGTGACCTGTTACTGCCTAACAGATTACAGCAAACTTGGTACACATTTATCGTCTTACAATTTCTGTGGATCAGGGATCCAGGTGGGCTTGGCTGTGTCCCATGTCTCCTGTGGCTACCATCATGGTGCCTTAGTTGGGGCTGGGGTCTCATCTGAAAGCCCAACTGGGGAAAACTCTGCTTCCAAGCTCACTCGGGTTGTTGGTGAGCTCAGTTGCTCCAGGGGTGACAGAAGCCTCAGTTCCTTGCTGGCTGTTGTGCAGAGCCACCCTCCACTCCAGTTCCTTACCACAGGGACCTCTGCAATGTGAGGGCTTACATCCTGGAAGCTGAGATGGCCAGAGAGTCTGCTGGCAAGATGGAGGTTACAATCTCTTGTAAGCTAATCAAGGAAGTGACATCTTATCCCCTTAATTACACATGTCATCCCATCATCCTATTGGCTAGAACATGTCACTAGCTCACCTCACACTGACAGGGGTGCAGGATTCCACAGGGGCATGAATACCAGGGGGTGGGGATCACTGGGGACCACGTTTCTATCTGCTCACCACATAAGAGATTGTAGAAAATGTATTGTTTAAGTTTTCAGTCTTAGCAGTACAAGAAGAACTTGTGGAGGAGCTGGGAATTCATGGTAAATGCCAGTTGACCATATCCAGTGGAAAACAGGAAAATAAAACCCACAGGGCAACACGAGGAGCACTCTGGACATCATAAAGCAAGTGGGAATCCCTCTACGTAGGTCTGGTGACAGGCAGGGCTTTGCAGCTTAGAGGCTACTTTCTACAAATGCCACTGCCAGTGAGTGGTCTCTGGTGAAAAGACTGTAAAGCAGTAAATTGTCCATAGCAGAGCGGGAAGAAATCCTCTGCTAAGAAAGGCATGCACAATGATGCATCTGAACCCAGTCATCAACAGCCCAGAAGCGAGCACCAGACCCCAGCCTTTCAGACGCAGCACATGCACCATCCTGAGCTCAATGACCCAATCTGATAAATGGGATTAATGACGATCTCCACCTGCTGGGGTGTTGAAGCGTTAATAACTACTTTTCAATGTTAATTGTCTCTTTAATAATCAAGCAATTAGCACATTGCCTAGCATATTGCAAATGCTAAAAAATGTGGGCTATTCTTACTTTACAATCCAATGTCTTCCTTTCCCAGATGAAGAAGCTGTGGACCAGAGGAATAAGGTGACTCACAGCACATTAGTGGCCAAAATGTCTATGGCTACTTAGTGGAGGTGAGCCTTGCAGCCAGGTCTCTTACAACCAATCCTCTTTTCATCATACTCTAAGAGAGAAACTTCCAGTAAAATAGGCAAAGGTCCAGTGTTTTGGTTGAAATTGCTGTTTTTATAGTTTAAAATGGTTGAATGTTCACATGGTTTAGGGGAGAAGCTGGCATCTTGAGTCTTCCTGCCAGGCACTAGTTGAGTTAGCCATCTGGCCTGAGCACACTTGTAGAGTCTCTGGCCTCTTGGTCCAGTGGTCAAGGATACTCTCAAGGTCAGGTTCAATGCATCTGCCTCAGATGGCCTTACAGCTAACACAAATGACCCGAAGCTCAGGTTGAGAGCATTTGAATCAGCTGGCTTCGTATGATGAGTGCATTAGAGAAACCCACACATTCTTCCGATTCCTAATTAACATGAAGTTCATACTTGCACATCAGGGTTTGGCTTGTTGTCTCTACCTTGCTTGCTGGTGTTTCTCTGACAGATAAAAGCTGGTGTGAATTGGGTGCTTCATTAACTTGCCTGAAAGGGACAATATTCATAATCAACATGCTGTCAAAATCCGCTAAGTCCCACCAGCTGTGGTTTTGCTCTGATATGAACGGGACTGGGAGCTCATGGAGGACAACAGGGAGGGGGGCCAGAGGGTCCAGCCTGCTGCCGGGTTCCCACCTTATGCTTCAGAGTTGAAAATCCCAGGGCCGTTTGGGTGCTCTTCTGGAACTGGTAAGAAGCTGAGTCCATGTAAGGCCCCATGAGGCTCCCCAGCTGACAGATGAGAAGCCCCCTTCCCCAGCCACATCTTACTGGTTCCAGCTCATTGGTTATCCTGGAAGCTGTTACATGTGCAAGCAGCTGCAGGGAAAACAAGTTTGTGAAGCCACCTGCAGGCATGTATAGAAGGGGTGGGGGCAGGATTTTTACTTCCTCTTGCCGCAAGTTTTGCTGGGCCTTCTCCTGGGAACACTATGCAAGATCTCCCTGGAGAGATGACATCACATCATGAGGGTTAGAAAGGAGTTGGCTAAAATTCTGTGTTTAAATTGAAATAGGAGAGAAGGGTAGCCGTCAACCCTCGCTGCACATCAGATTGACCCAGAGAGAATTCAAGCAATAGCTCTACTCAGGAATCCTTCAAATAGCCCAGGATGTTTTGTTGCTCCAGGATGGGGGCTGTGTGTTTGTGCTTTTCAGAACAGCTCAGATGATTCTAGTGTGCAACCAAAGTCAAGAAACATTAATAGATGCAAATAAGTGTGTGCTGGAATTGTGATGCATTGCTCGTAGAACTCCCCATATGTACATTTAGACCATTCATTGTCTACAAACACTTGTTGTATTTCTTATCATGCTTAAAGCTGCAGATACAGTGAGGAGGACTGGCAAGCTCCTGGCCCTTTCATGGCATCCAGGCCAGTGCCTATTAGGGAACAAAGCAGAATTCAGCTAAGAGTAGCCAGCTTCTGCTAGGAGGACATCCAGAACGAGAGCTGGATGAATTTGGTCCATCACAGGTACACTCTATTTATGCCAGAACAGGGTGATCTCAGGGAGAGGCCTGCTGTGGGAGAGTGACCGTCGCTTCCCCCATCATTGGGCATGAGTGGTGGGCTGGACATCTGCCTTGTATGGGTTTGTTCGGAGCAATCCCATTTTACAGTGTGATGAGTGGGTGAGCTGGGAGGATAAAATGCTGATGAGTGGCTGCAGATAGGAACTCCTGGCTCATGTTTATTTTTAGACATTCAAGGTGGGCTTTGCTCATGCCCATATAGCATTTCCAGAACAGGTCACATGACGTGTCAGCAGTTCAGAGGCATGGCTTAGTCCTTCCTGGTCAACATGAGTTTGTTGGTATTCACATGATGACCTGTTTATGCTCAGGGTGGGGCACCAGAGCCAGGGATTCAGGGCAAACTGTCATGGTGGAGGCAGGTAACTTGAGGGAAGAGGGGACTGCTGTGGGTCCAAACATAGCTTCTCACATGCTTACTAAACTCTACTGTGTAAGGCATGTGTCCTTATCTATATAAATGAGAATAATGACACCTGACTGGTGGCATCACTGGGCAGATCAGAGTTGAGTCTGTAAAGTGTCAACTTTACAAGGCGCCATCCCTGACACATAACATGTGCTTAATGAATGGCAGCTGGGGTTAGGTTTGTATCAGCTACCTATTGCCTCTATAGTGCCACATAACAAATTACCCCAACACTGAATGGCTTGAAAGAACTACCATTCACTATTTTTCTTTGAGTTTTGGATTGGCTGGGCAGTTCTGCTGATCTGAGCCAGGCTCAGCTGCCTCTACTGGGGTGGCTCGCTGTGCTGCAATCAGCTGCATGCTGGTTGGGGGCTGCTGGTCCAGGGTGGCTCTGGAGGCCAGTCCGTTCTCCTCTAGATATCTTTTAGATTATTTTTCTGTCAAGCAACCCTGAGTATGTTCTCTCGGTGGTGGCAGAGGTCAAAGAGAGTGAATATCTTTTCAGAACTTGGCTTGGGTCACATTTGCTAACATCCATTGGCCAAAGAAAGCCCCCTGGCTGAGCGAGCCAAGAGTCCAGTGGGACAGGAATACAAGGAGGCCATTAATCAGGTAATCAATGCAACCACTTGACCACTGTGGTCATGGGAGAGAGGAAGACAGTCTACAAATCCGATGTGTCATTTTTCCTTCACCTGATCTGAGGTGCTACCTAATTTTGTGACAGTGGAGGTAAGACATTGCAAAGCTGAATGTAAGATGTCTATGCTTACATTCAGCTTTGCAAAGTAATGTATTTTGCTGAATGGCCAGAAGACTATGATGAGGGTTTGGAGAGGTAGAAATAAGAATCTAATATTGAATCCAGTAGGTTGCAATGATTAAAAAACAAAATTATAGGATATGCCTTAGAAACTGTGAAAATAGCCTCATTTTTAAAGACCTTTCAGAATGTGTCTGTTGAATGCATATTTTCTTTTGCAGTTTTCTCAACAGTAAACATCGAAATAATTGAGTGTTTGCTGTTCAGAGATGCCTCTTTGTGTGAACTAATAAGTGCCCTTCGGTGCTGCATTTTGGGGGAGAACTTAAATAAAAATGGTCAAGCATGATTAATTCTGCCCACTGCCAAGATGTTAATTGCTTCATTTTCTTTCATTTCAGAGTCAGAACAATGGGTCTTAATGGGCAACCTATCTCTCTCTAAGAATGACCAATCAGAGAACAAGGCCAGGCCTTGAAAGTGATGGTGATCTGCCATTCAAAATAACAGAACCTTGAGGAAAGGTGAAAGACAGGTCCTTCTCAGAGCTGGTCTGGACCCCTGAGCCTCCTGGGTCCCCCTCCTTCCATGATCTTCCCTCTCAGGGAGTTAGTAACTCAAAAGTCGTTTGGGGGAACAATGTCTTTGCTTTTGCTCATAAATCAGTCCCACTGGTCACTTGAGGGAATTGTCGCATTTTGCTGTGACACATTGCTGTCTTTGAGAGAATAATTGCCAGATTTGGCCAACTTGGGAACAGCTTCCTTCATCTTCATTTCCTATCTGGGGATGCCCTAAAGAGTATTTACTTTCGTTTAAAAGAGAGCAATTTCTTCTCATGAAATCAACAGTTTTCTCCATGAGCCAAGCTTGTTTTATGATATTAAACATTTAAATAAAATTATAAATGTACCATAAAATGCTGATGGATGATTAATTTATTTTTATTTTGCATGTTTTAAGGCTGTGGGGATTACTGCTCTGAAGCAGATCCAAATATAGTTCTTGAATTCTATGTAGAGCTGAAAGAATCAGTCCCCAGCAACGGTTGAGTGGGCAGTAAGAGATGGCGGCCCACTCTCTGTGCTGTTGCTGTCCCAAGGAGAAGAGAGGAAAGAAGCTGGAGGTGGAAGGGAAGTTTAGGAGCAATAATGGGGATGGATGGATGAAAGGGAATTATTTCCCCTGTACCCTCTTTCCCTCAGCCAATGAGCCTTCCAGGATGGGCCTATCCTGTCCCTGCACAGCTGCCCCGTCCTTCAGGGTCACCCTGACTTTCCATCCAGAGCACAGAACTTGAGCTGGGAGGCCCGCGTCTGAGCCATCACTCTACTCCTTTTAGCTCTGTGAACTGGAGCATCACAGGAAACTCCATAAGCCTCAGTTTTGCCATCTGTGAAATGGGTGAACAATCGCCAACCAAACCACTGGGATACCCAGAAGACCCAGATAATACCCTGACAACCCCTAAGGTGTCTGTGGACTTGATGAGCACAGCACCAGCCCACACTAACTTCCCTGTGCTGCCTTCACTGGCCTTATGAATACACTGAGTATTTCAATCCGGAATAAAAACATAATAGTCACACACCATCTTTCCTTTATCATGGTGAAAATTGAGGATTTACTCAGTTAAGTAACTTGTCAAAGGCTAAAGGAGGAATCCAAACCCAGGTGAGCATCAGTCCTCTGATCTGTTCTTCCCAAGCTGTTAATAGATTGAGGAACCCAGAATTAGATCACGAACCCGGCACCTATGAAGCACTCACCTGTTCTTTCAAATACCACCCCTCAGCGGCAGGAGGGTCAGGAGGGGGTGGGCAGGACAATTGAACTAAACTAAGCTACATTGAAGAGCAGGCCATTTTGCTCTGAGTGTGTGTGTGATGCTGATGGGGCTACATCAGGTTGAGATTTCGCTATGATTTCCTCCGGCTCCCGGTTCTCAGCTTGGGGGCCAATCAGGCAGCTCTTGTGTGCCTCTTAACACACGAGGCTGTGGAGTGGCGTCCAAAGAGGCGCCTGGCGCGTAAGTAGTGGGTGTGAGATGCAAATCTGGGCTCTTAAGTCATAATCCTGTTTGTGACATCGCCTCCGGTTGCTACAGTGATGATTATGTTATCAGAGGATTACCGTTTTCTGTGAAGAATGGGTAGAAAGACCAAACCAGCCTCCAAGAAACCAAAGGCCTCGTTCATAAACAATCACTCTGAAAAATTAAAACAAAGCATAGGCAGGAACACATTAGCTGACAAATGTGTGACACTGTGGATTCTTTTATTCCAAATAAAATGCTTTTCAGGTTTTTAAGTTCAAAGCTTGTTTTAGGGCAGAAAATAAGCCATCATAACAAAAGGACAAAAAGGGGAAATTTAATGAGAAATATGACAGAAGACAAGGAGAGCAGAGAAAACACAAAAGTTGAAATGTAGCAGATAACAGAACAGAAGGATATTAAATGACTTTTAATGAAAGGATCACCCTGAAAAAATACAACTCGTAGAGCAAAGTATTTTAATTATTTTATTACAGGAAGAAAGCAAATTAGCTGTCACCCATAAATAAACACAATCCCCATATTAGAGTGAATTTTGAGAAGAAAGTTTTCAATTGAGACTGACTGAATAGAAGGCCCATGTTTGTACATGTATTTACATGTAAGTTGAACATTCTTCATTGACAGACCAGGTTGTCAATTGATGTTTCAATCTAGCATCAGTTTAGTGTTAGGTATAAACAAAAGCCTTTAAAAAGTGAGAAGTACGTTTTTGGAGATCTTGATGCTTCCATTCAAAACATCTCCAATGAAAAACGCCTGTCCCATCTCAAATTCCAATTTCCTTTTAAATTGTAAAGAGCTAGCTTGAATACTGGTTTCAGTTAGCATGGGGCCATCTATTTTGGATTTTATGTTGTACATTCTTTCTGAATCAGAGAATAATCTGTTATTCTAAAGATATATTCCATATTTGTTAACCATCCAAGTTTAGACCCATCTGTATCAGTTAGCAGTGCTGTAATAATGCTGAGTAACAAATCTTTCCATAACCCAGAGGCTGAAAACAACAGACATTTCTCACTTATGAGCCAGTAAGAGAGTTGCATGGCACCACGGCTGGGCTAGGTTGGGCTCTGGACTCCCAGCTCCTGGCTCTAGGTTCCAGGCTCCAGGTTGTGAATTGGGTTGAGTTCTGCTCCTTGAGCCTCCCATCATCCTTGAATTAGTGGCTACCCAGGGCATGGTTTTTTGTGGTAACAGTAGGAACACAACAGGCCATGAGGAAGCACCAGATGCCACCTAGGCTTGGCTCAGGATTGGCATGTTGTCTATGCTTATGTTCCATTGGCCTGAACAAGCTACTTATCCAAGCCCTACTTCAGTGAGATGAGGCAAGACTTCAGTGGGATGAGGGAAGTGGCCCGGGGAAGAAGGGAGGGAAGATTTTCTGTATTGTAACCCAGCACATGGTGCCATCTGACCAGAGGCTGCTCCATCCACTTTGGACCCTGAGGAGGAGGCATCTTACAGCAGCAAGAGCCTGGAATGGGAAGCAGTGGAATTTCAACTCTGTTCATCACTTCTCAGCCACGGGACATTGGGCAAGCCTCTGAGCCCCAGCACCTTCATCTGCAAGGCAGTTGCTGTGGGGTATGTGGGAGCACAGCCTTGGAAGCCTGGAAGACACGCATCTGAGTTCTGGTATTTGCCACCTGCTGGTTGTACATTCCTCGATGTTCAGTTTCCTTATCGTGAAATGGGGATAAGGCCACCTCTCTTCCTTGTTGGAAGTCCAGTGCAACTCCCTGTTGGGAGCGGGGGGAGATATGGCATAGGGACTATCAGATCAAATAAGCAAACAAAAGTGAAGTATGTAACACCTTGACTGGCATGCCATCAGTGTTTATACAATGTCCACAATTTTATTATTTATAAGTATATGGTGATCCCCAGAAAGATATGTGTGCTAATACCAAGAACTTGTAAATGTGACCTTATTTGGAAAAAGAGGTTTTGCAGAGGTGATTAAGTTAAGGATCTTGATATGAGATCATCCTGTATCCTCCAGGTGGACCCTAAATCCAATGACAAGTATCCTTAAATAGACAGGGCACGGTGGCTCACACCTTTAATCCCAGCATGTTGGAAGGCTAAGGCAGGAAGATTTCTTAAGCCCCAGAGCTTGAGGTTAGCTGGGGCAATATAGCGAGACCCCATCTTTAAAAGAAAAAAAATTAGCTGGGCATGGTGGCATGCGTCTGTAGTCCCAGCTGCTTGGGAGGCTGAGGTAGGAGGATCACCTGAGCCTGGGAGTTTGAGGCTGCAGTAAGCCATGACTGCATCTGGGAGTTTGAGGCTGCAATGAGCTGGACTGCACTCCAGCCTGGGTGACAGAGCAGAACTGTGTCTCAAAAAAATAAAAAAATAAAAGTAGACACACAGAGCAGAGACAGGGAAAGAAGAGGAAAAAACCATGTGAAGTGGAGGCAGAGATTGGAGTGATGTGTCCAAGCCAAGGAACACCAAGAGCCATCGGTGGTAGAAGAGGCCAGGAAGGGTCCTCCTGCAGAGCCTCTGTGGGGAGGATGGCCCTGCTGATACCTTGATTTCAGACTTCTAGCCTCCAGAATGCGGAGGGAATATACCTCCCCATTGTGGTCATTTGTTACGGAAGCTCCATGAGACTTCTACACACGGGTTGCTGTGCAGGGCATAGCCTCATGTGTGTGGCTGAATGTCCTGGTTGTGACTCCAGTTTGTACCTGGGGTTCGAGTTAGGCCCCTCAATCACAGCAGTTACAGAGTAGAGGAGGGTCTTATACCTTGAACCAGACTGCTCCGGCCACCCAGGAGAGCAGCCAGTCTATACAAGGAGCCAGAGCAGGCAGAGCTCGCTATGGGTGAGGAAGGCTGGATGGGGCTAGGCAGGGGGGCTGGGGAAAGGGCTCAATGGGGAGGTGATGAGTGAGCAGAGAACTGAATGAGGTGACAGGAATGTCGGGGTCAGAAAGCACTCCAGATATGGCAGGTGCTGGGCCCTGGGCAGACGTGTGAAAGAACCAGCAAAGAAGCTGTGGGCACAAAGCTTTGAACCTAGCAAATAAGAGAAACATCATGCACACCAGACACTGTGATGAGCAGGCTCAGCTTGAGTCAGGGAGAGTCACCTCCTGCACGATGTCCTGGAACCCACTCACGGAGCCAGAGGATGAGGGGGTCTGCTTTCCCGGGTGCCAGCCATCCTCCACGAGTTCTCCTTCTCCTCCCCTTCTCCTTCTTCCCCCTTCACCATGTGCGGTGTGACTTTTCAGATAAATGAAACAAAATTGCCCCTTTTAAAGATCTACTAAGAGCCTCCATCTCCTGGCTCTCTCAGCTTTTTTTCTTGCTACTTGAAAAAAGAAGGGGCCAGGTTGAGAGGAGCTGTGCAAATGAATATGAAGCCCACTTCCTTCCAGCTGTGGCTGAGAGATGGCTCTTCTCCCCCTCTCATTATTGAAGGCCGAATGGAGGCTCTTGGAGGCCTGTACCTTTCAGAGCTCATAAGCCTAGCAGCTGTGTGGAGAGGGAGCCAGGCCTTTCCAGGGTTGTGTCCTGTCCAGTCTGGGCAGTGTGAGGAGTGGTCCAAAGGATGCCTGG
This sequence comes from Homo sapiens, assembly GCF_000001405.40. NCBI lineage: Eukaryota > Metazoa > Chordata > Mammalia > Primates > Hominidae > Homo > Homo sapiens. The sequence continues at coordinate 61,075,461 of NC_000020.11, read as the reverse complement.
CCAGGGTCGCTGGGCCCTGATGGTAAGTCAAAATCAATGGCCCATGCAAGCAAGGGGTGGTGAGATGGCCTTTGTATCAGTCCATTTTCACACTGCTATAAAGACATACCCAAGACTGGGTCATTTATAAAGAAAAGACTAACAGTTCCACAGCATTGGGTTTGCCTCAGGAAACTTACGATCTTGTCGGAAGGGGAAGAGGCATGTCTTACAAGGCAGCAGGCAAGAGAAGTGTGTATGAGTGAAGGGGAAAGATCCCCTTATAAAACCATCAGATCTCTTGAAAACTCACTCACTGTCATGAGGACAGCATGGAGGAAGCTTCCCCCATGATCCAATCACCTCCCATTGGGTCCTTGACAGGTGAGGATTGTGGGGATTATAATTCAAGATGGAATTTGGGTGGGGACACAAAGCCTAACCATATCAGCCTTGCTTTGAGAAATCCAAGCTGACACCTTGCTGACCATCCACTCTGACAACTCAGGGCTGGGTCACTGTCTGAGGCTGGCCAGGACCACTGGACAAAAAGGATGTGGTTTGCATAACTGCATGTCTGTTCCTGCTGGTGGTTCCTAATGGCATCAAGAGCCATCAGTAGCATATGTATGTCATGTAAAATCACAAATGCAGAGCCCTCTTGACCAGGGTGCCTTCCCACTCGGACATCCCGTCAGTGTGAACCATCGCTTCACATTAAGATGTAGCCAGACATTAACAGACACAATATGTCACTAGAATCAGCTGTATCTGGCCACATCCAGAGTGGGTTTATGTGACAGCCAATGTTACTGGGGACTTCACAGTTTTAAAAGGAGATTGGAAAAGTGGCATTTGGAGGAGGAGTCTAACTGTGGTGATGGGAGATCTACAAGCCAAGTTATGTAGGGTCTGAGTAAAGAAACTGGTCATATGAAGACAGAAGAGAGGAGGCCAAGGGAAAGGACAATGGTTTAAAAATATTTGAAGGCTTCAGAACAAAAGAGGAGGGCACTTAGTAAGTTCCTGTGAAACAAATGAGCTGGATTTTTGTTTTGTTTTGTTTTGCTTTGGAAGAACGAAGTTTTAGGAAATGAGTTGCAGCCACATGGATACAGCCTTCCTTGACTAGAAGGCATCCCCTTCAATCTTGTCCAAAGAAGATGTGCTATTTTGGGAGAAGATTGAATAGAACTGAAAGACCAGACTCCTTGTGCAGCAAGTGAAAGAGAATCCATGGTCACTGGGTCGTCTACATAAATGTCCCCAAGTAGGGCTGCCTTCAGGCAAGGCTGGATCTAGAGGCTTGAACAACAGTCTTTGAAGACATTGTTGAGCTCCTGTTGACTCTCTCCCCCACCTTTTTCAACATCAGCTTCACCCGAAGCTTCTCCATTGTACCTGTGGCCAACTCAGGCTCTGGAGATGTGGTGTGTGGGCTCCAGACCTGGGTGGACAGGATCCCATCCTGGACACATGTTTTTGGTTAGAGGCCTGGGATCCACTGATTGGCTCCAGTCCATCATGGCCCATCCTGGGACTCAGTGTGTGGTCAGTTACAGCCACTCCATGTGGCTTAGCATGGCACCAGGATGTCTTCTCAAGCAGCATTGGCAGTGTGGCCAGAGGGTAGGGAGAAACTGCTGACCAGGAGACAGTCTGCCCCACTGCACCATCTGCCAGAGGTGACAGAGAGATGGTGGGTATAGGAGGTGGGGTCAGAGCAGGCGAGCTCTAATTTTCCTTCCAATGGTCACAATAACACAGTGACAAGGGCATTGCAAGAGTTTGGCATAATGTCCCTGTGCTGTAGGTTCTACTGTCATCGCTGGTTTGCGGATGAGACCACAGAGTCTCCGAGAAGTGTAGAAACTTGCCTAAGGCCACATAAGGAAAAGCAGGGGACTGCAAACTGAACTCGGATGGATCTGACTCACAAATGCTCACTCTTAGTCACCACCCTACACTGTTGGGGCACCAGGCTAACAGATGGAGAGGAACATGGGCCCTGTGTGGACAGAATGTTGCACCTCAAAGATGTCCATGTCCTAATCACTGGAACTTGTGGATTGAGTGTGCTGCCTCACGTGACAAAGGAGAATTCAGGCGGCAGATGGAATTAAGTTTGCTAAGCAGCTGACCTGGAAATTGAGGTTATACTCGGTTACCCAGGTGGGTCCACCGTGATCTCCATGGTTCTCATAGGCAGAAGGCAGAAGAGAGGCAGGGTCAGAGGGGGCCAGGGGGATGGAACTGTGGGAACAGCACTGAGAGGTGCAGTGCTGGCTTTGAAGGTGGAGGAAGGGGGCTCTGGAAGCTGCAGAAGGCGAGGAAATGGGTTCTCTCCTTGAGCTTCCAGAAAGAAGGCTGCCCTGAAGACACACTGATTTGGGCCCAGGGAGACCCATGTCTGACTTCTGACTTACAGAACTGTAAGATAATATATTTGTGTTGCCCTGCCTGCTAAATCCAGCAAATTTGTCACAGAGCTGCTACAGTCTCTGACCGTGGCCCCCATGAGTTCCCAGCACTACAGGAAAGACAGACAAGTGTGGCTGCCCCAGAGGACCTCACAGTGCTCAGGACCATTAGACAGCCTGGTGGGATGAGAAGGGCTCAGGGAAAGTCCTGACACCCAGCAACTTCGATGCAAAAACGTTGGAAACTCAGCGACAAACCTAATGGTTACATATTTATTTCTCTCTCTGTGAACTGCCAAGCCCCCTCTCACTCTGTCCCCTTGCAACCTCCTTCAGCGAACCTTGCAGGGTCCCCCAGCAGCGGGCACTCTCTCCTTCCAGTCTCCAGCTGTAGGAGGTGATCACAGCGGCTGCCAGGCTTGAGCCAGTATCAGAATATCCTGCAGGGCAGTGAACACAGAGCTGCCCCCACTACCCCCAACCAGAGCTTCTGAGTCAGCAAGTCCAGTGGGGCCTGTGAATTTGCATTTCTAACACATTCGCTTGTGACGCAGCTTTTGCTGGTCACACTTTGGGAACTGCAGATCCATTACCAGTGCTCTGTCTGTGGCTCTAACCCCTTCCTCTTTGCACCGTTGTCACTGGGATGGGGCTTGTCTTCCCTAATTAACGTTCACAGACGATCTTTATTGAGCAGCCACCGGGGGTAAAGTGCTATACTGGGCTATTCATATGCCAGATGATCTCATTAAATCTGCACAACCATGATAACATGCACTATCCTTACCTCCACTTTACAGAGAAGGAAACTGAGGCTCAGGGACTGTATCAGTCCATTTTCACATTGCTATGAAGAAATACCCGAGACTGGGTCATTTGTAAAGAAAAAGAGGTTTAATGGACCCACAGTTCAACGTGGCTGGGGAGGCCTCATAATCACGGCAAAAGGCAAAGGAGGGGCAAAGGCATGTCTTACGTGGCGGCAGGCAAGAGAGAGCGTGTGGAGGGGAACTCCCATTTATAAAACCATCAGATCTCATGAGACTTATCCACTATCATGAGAACATCATGAGAAAAACCCACCCCCATGATTTCATTACCTCCGACCTGGTGCCTCCGATGACACATGTTGCTTATGCATACAATTCAAGATGAGATCTGGGTGGGGACACAGCCAAACCATATCTGAGCTGTGAAATGACCAACTCAGTTTCAAGGTCAGAGAGTCTTCTTCCAGGGCCTGTTCCCATATCCGCTGCTCTGTCTGGGGAACAGGTCCATGGGGTCCCTCCCCATGTCCACAGCCGCTCCTGCAGCTCTGTGCAGACAGTAGGGGCCCAATAAAAGTGTACTGAAAGAAACAATGAATCTGAAGTGAGGCTTCAGCGGAGTTTCCTTATTTTGTTTCAAGGGAATATTCCTAGAATATAGGATGGCGCTACATTAGAGTAAACATAACCAAGGAAACACAGACCAACTCAAAATAATTTGGGGCCACTGATGTCATAGAACTCAGGCCCCTCTCACCCTCCACTTACTCAGCAGTTTTGAGTTTGACTTCTTGTCCTTCCTCCAGGGCCAAGAAAACTCCATCCCACAAACTGAGAGAAATGTGTAGAAACAGGCAACCTACTATATGACCTTCCTTGCTAAAACCAAGTGGTACCCAGCCCCGCTCCCTTCCCTGTTGTCCAGTCCCAGGATGCGAAGGACACCTGTGCTCAGAAACCAGCATCGTAGAGTGAGCCAGGGTAGGGCTCTTTGTCTCCAGTTTGAATGCCTCGGGGACATGCTTGTGATGGCTCTTGGCTCCTTCTTCCAAGCTCCCAGGTTCCTGCCAGCAGAAACTAAATCTTCTGGAACTAACCTGCTACATTTTTGCACTGAGACAGTCTCCCCAAGAGCAGGTCTCTTCAGGTACACCATGAAACTCATTGTGTTCATCATCTAACTGACTGTAATTAATTGAGGATAAGAAAAAAAAAACAGGCGCAGAAGAAGAAACACAAGGGAAATGAAGACGGATTGTTAAATTGAGTGCTGTGAGGAGGCAGTGAAAGCCTCACATTTCCCTGTTCTAATAACCTTAGTTAATATGCAATGATCAATCATGCCATCACGAGCATTTTTAGCTCACCAGCTTATCAATATGAGGTGGTTTCCCATCGATGGTTCTGACGTGTTGCCGATACAGACTAGAAAGGCGACAGGCGGCTACTCATCTCTGAATGCCTGTGACCATGATGCCAGATTGATGCGTGTCAGAATACCCTTATTCTTCTGGAAACCAGTCTGATGACAGTAATTAAGCCATGAGAGTTGGTTGGGCTGAACCCAGGACTATTCTGCTGCAAACAAATACTTCATTGATCAAACATATTTTATTCTTAATATTCGTGGATTAGATACACTCTCAAAATACCCCATTACTATGTGCCTGTGAAATCAGCCCTTTACCAAGATCCACACATTTGCTTCTCCAGATCAGCCACTAGATCAGGAAGGAGTATTTCGGTGCAGACAGGATTGCTGGTGGGAGACAAAGACCAGCACGTGTCATGCACAGACCTTGCCTTTCCTCACCCCGAGCAAACCCCACTGGAGAAGTTGGGCCCTGGTTGACGCCCTGACACTGTGTCTCCTGTGAGATGAAGTCACTCTGTGCTGACCCTGACCCCAACCCAGGGCTGAAAAAGGCTTCAGGGATGCCTTGGGGCAGCGCCATCACGTTTCACTCATGCCCGACCGCCACACTTTGCATTCGGGCGGCGGGCTGCAGACTGTGTTTTTTTTTTTTTTTTTTTTTTTGAGACAGAGTCTCACTCCATTGCTCAGGCTGGAGTGCAGTGGCACTGTGTCGGCTCACTGCAACCTCCGTCTCCTGGGTTCAAGCAATTCGTCTGCCTCAGTCTCTCGAGTAGCTGGGATTACAGGCGCCCACCACCATGCCTGGCTAATTTTTGTATTTTTTAGTAGAGACGGGGTTTCACCATGTTGGTCAGGCTAGTCTCAAATTCCTGACCTCAGATGATCTGCCTGCCTTGGCCTCCCAAAGTGCTAGGATTACAGGTGTGAGCCACCACACCCGGCAGCTGGCTGTAGACTATTTAACTAGAGACTAGAAATTAGGGGGAGGAAGTATTCTGGGGTTTTGTCTCCCTTTACCTCCAATCTTCTTGTAGGAATAGGTTTCCTTGGAGAGCTACCATCTCTAGCTCAGCCCATGTGCTTTTTATGGAGCTGATGCCAGGGTATTATCCCAGGAATGAGCAGGTGAGTGGGGACAGGTGATCAGGGCATCCGGCCCCAGATGCTGTAATTGGTCAGCAGTGATCATGTGACCACATCTGAGCCAATGAAACATGATTATAGAGTTTTGCTTGCATAGGGGAAAGAGAGTCACATGTGTTGGTGTTTTGTTTTCTTAACTGGGGTTTACCTGGGGCATATGAGCCTGGTCCAGGTCACCAGGTAGGCCTGAGAATGAAGCCCACTTGTGAGGAGGTAGAAACAAAGCATGGGTATATCTTTTGAGCCCAGAGATCAAGACGTAACTGAGATGCCCAGGTTTGTCCTTGGAACTCCCCAGTGACAGCCCACAGTCCCCACCTGCACACTTTTTAAAAACTTCAGCCAGCTGGTGTTAGGTGATCTTTTCACGGGCAGATAAATGATTCCCGGCCCAGCCAGACTCCCAAGCTCTGAGCTGAGCAGGAAAGACTTAGGAGGCTGTCCATGGTCACCTCGGGACAGGATTTTCCTGTGTGATGATGGAGAGTTGGCAGTGATATTTCAGGGAAGGCCTAGGGTTCCGAGATGCAGTGGAGACTATTGTCAGGGCCCGGCTCAGCACAATCCTGCGATTGCCCCAGGAGGCCTTGAGGGCGCGGGATCCTGGGAGTCCTGTGAAGAGACTGCAGCCTCATGGGCTGTGGGTCTGGCTGGATCCAGGGAAACGCATCGTTTTCTCCCAGGGCTGTAGGATTATTTGTCTGGAATGAACCTTTTGATAAAATATTACCATCCTTCCCCAGGAACACCGCTGTCAGTTAGGCACATTGTGTTTCTGCCATTTTCTAAGACATTCATGTAATAGGTGTGTCGGCAGAACAATGGCTCCCAAAGATGTCCGCATCCTGATCCCTGGAGCCTGTGAATGTGCCACCGTCCCTGGCAAAAGGGGCTGTGCATTTGGGGGTTAAGTTAAGGATCTTGAAATGTGGAGACTGTGCTAGGTTGTTAGGGTGGGTCTACTGTAATCACAGGGGTCTTTACGGTGATTCTATTTGAGGGACTCCACTTGCCCTTACTGGCTTTGAGGATGGAAGAAGGGGCCATGGAATGCAGCAGCCTCTAGGCAGGAGTGCAGGACGATGGACGCTCCCCTACAGCCCCATGAAGGAGCCAGCCCTGCGGAAGGCCTGACTCCAGCCCTGGGAGACCCATGTGGGAGTCCTAATCTCAGAGCCGTAAGAGAATCAGTTGTGCTGTGTGTGGTCATTTGTCACAGCCAATGCAGGCTGCCTGGACGTCAGGAGCCAGAGGGCATTAAGGTGTGGGGTCCGGAGGGGCCATGAAGCCTCTGCTCCTGGCTCTGCTGCACAAGGACTTACTGATTCTCCACTCCTCGTGGGTAAAACTGGATCCTGACAGTGCACGCCACACAGTGTTTCCGCCTCTGACACCAGCGGTGCAGGCTCTCCATTCGGTAAGGGTCTCAGGGAGGGAGGCCATGTGTCCTTGGAAAGGGGTCACCAGAAGCCCCCTCTAGAGGGACAGGGACGGGGCAGGAGTGAGCCTCAGGGCATGTGAGGGGAACGGACGCAGGTCCCAGGACCCAGGCCTCAGAAGAGTGTCCATGCCTCAGGGTGCCTGGGTGCCCTCACCCTCAGAAATGCTGGTCAGCCCCACATCTGTGTGACACAGGCCTGAGCTACAGTTTCCTGGGCATTAAAGAAAGGGAGGCTGTAGAGGGCAGGCAGACGAGGCCATCACCATGGACACGGGCACCATAATAACCAAATCACTTAAGAGCCTTGAACCAGCCCCAGCTTTGCCTCTCACCTCAAGTTCCCTCTGGGATACATTAGCTTTGTCCAAACTGGCTGTCTTTTGTTAGTGGAGCAGCACTCTTCGTAATTACACACACACACCCGGCCAATTCCAGGGAGAGCCTCCTGCTGACCAGCAGCGGGGCCTCCAGTGCACTCACCCTGGCACTGGAGAAATTTCCAGATACATTCAAGGGATCCTTTTTACTGAACTGGATTTTACCATTGGGATCTACGTGTCATCTCCAGACGTCTAGGAACAGTGCAGGTGTGAGCAGCAGTAGAACTGGGGGCAACTGGGCGGTCCACCCTGCACACACCTGAGCAGACTCCAGGAGACCAGGGTGGCCTGTGCAGCACATGTGGGAGCTGCAGCAGACTTTGCGGGGTTCTCAGGGGCCCACCCTGCAGTGGTCAGCACGAAACCTGAAGAAACCAGACTTGAAGAGTCTCCCCAGGGTTGGACTTTGCGTCAGATCGTGGAGACCTTGGTGCGGCTCAGGGGTGTGGGTGCAGGGAGCTCCTACCACGCCCATTCCATGTGTTGAGCTGAGGTGCATGGTTCCTCTTTCAGGCAGAAGGGCCACCTGAACCACGGCCCCTCTCACTTCCTCGTGAGCCTCACTGCCACCTCCCTGTGCTCTGGACACATGACCAGGCTCTAGTCAATCCTATTGAAGGTGACAAAGAACAATTGCCAATAGCTGTCACCCCAGCAGCGTTGGGCTGAGTCTTGCAGCCTGGCTTGTGAAATAACCGGACAGTGGATCTGAGGCCATGGCTGCTCAGGGACAGTGTCTTTGCCTCCGGGTCTCAGCTGCCAGGGTGGCTCTGCTGCCACCTGCTCCCTGCTCCTTCCCACCCCCAGCCCCCAGCTCCCAGCACCCTGCTCCTCCCCACCCACCCAGCCCCCAGCACCTTTCATCCTATCAACCCGTCAGTGCATGTTTGAGTCCCTTGCAAGCACGCCTGCTTTCCCAAAACTGGAATGCACTGTGGCTCGGGGCCTGCCCTCCCAGGAGATTTCAAATTGCATTCTTGTCTTTGGATATTAGACATGTGTACTCTTTATGCATCTTATTTGCTGAGAACTGCCTTGTTACCTGACTGAGATTGATTTCTAAAGTCTCAGTTAAAAAAATTAGGAAGATTATTTCTCGGGGAAATATTACAAATTATAATGGGAGAGCATTTTATTTCAAAGCAATGCTTCTCTCGCTTTCGATTTGCCTTTAACATACACCCCCGCAACACGCCCAGAATCCTTCCTGACAATTCTCTCATCAATTAAGTTTCCTACAGCGATGCACACTGAGATTGTGCTGGCACGTGCCATCAATCACGTAGGGCATCTGCCGGGCGATGATGGCTGCAGATGGACACGGTCTCCTTCCACTTGTCTGGAAGCATGGCGTCCACAGGGAATTCAGAGCCCCCCTCTGCTGTCCCAGCCACGGTCAGCCTGGTGGGATGAGAAGAACCATGGTAGGAGCCAGGCCTCTTGGGCCAGCCTCCTGGCACTGCTGCCTCTGGGTGTGTAAGGCAGTGGAACAAGCTGCCCAGGGTACCACGGGCTCCCGAAGGCATGCATGATCCTGGAAACGCCTTTCAGGAAAGTATTTAGTGATTGGCGCAAAGGCCCTGCTGCTGGTCAGCAGGAGGCTCTTCCTGGAATTGGCTGGGTGTGTGTGTGTAAGTATGAAGAGTGCTGCTCCACTAACAAAATACAGCCAATTTGGACAAAGCTAGCATATCCCAGAGGGACCCCAAGGTGTGGAGAGGCAAAGCCGGGGCTAGTTCAAGGCTCTTAGGCGATTTGGTCATTATGGTGCCCATGTCCATGGTGATGGGCTTGTCTGCCTGCCCTCTACAGCTTCCCTTTCTTTAGTGCCCGGGAAACTGTAGCTCAGGCCTGTGTCACACAGGTGTGGGGCTGGCCAGCATTTCTGAGAATTCCTAAATCCTCAGAATTCTGAGAATGCTGAGAATTCCTGGCTGGCCAGCAGTCACGTCTGGTCTCCATCTCTGCTCGCTCCTGGGTCCCCCTCTCATCTTCTGTCCTGCAGCGGCTGCCCTATCTCTGGGGACTCTTCTGCTCAGCACAATCCCGCCATTGCCCCACGAGGCCTTGAGGGCGCCGGGCCCTGGGAGTCCTATAAAGAGACTGCAGTCTCATGGGCTCGGGATCTGGCTGGATCCAGGGAAATGCATCGTTTTCTCCGTGGGCTGTAGGATTATTGGTCTGGAATGAGCCTTTTGACAAAATATTACCATCCTTCCCCAGGAACCCCGCTGTCAGTTAGGCACATTGTGTATTTGCCATTTTCTAAGACATTCGTGTTATTAGGTGTAGGGGGCAGAATAATGGCTCCCAAAGATGTCCACATCCTGATCCCTGGAACCTGTGACTTTTGTGCAAGTGGGAGCACAGGCCATGGAATGGTGGTTTGTGGGTAACACTGGGTGACTGCAGCCTGGGGCGTGGAGCACCAGGCGTCGCTGTCAGCCCCGTCTCTTGGACATCTGCCTCCGCCCCGGGATGCTTCCCTGGCCCTGCCCCCTTCCTCCAGACCCCTCCACTGCCTTGCTGGGGGACTGGTCTTCAGTCTCTCCAGCAAGCCCTGCCTCCAGTCTTCTCTGCTGGAGCCCCAGGATGCCTGCCCATTTCTTTCAGGAGGCCACTGGTACCTGAACTTTTGCATTACTTTTTAGGCAGAGCAATTTCACTCTGTCTTAACCTCTCCCATGGAAAATGTCAATGGGCCTTTACCTTTCATAGCTAAAAGGTCCATTTACAATTTTTCCTAAATTGAAAAAATCCACAGCTGAAATTAATTCATCCACTTTCTGAAAAGGAATAAACAGATGTAATCAGTTTTAGTATTTTTTAAAAATTGCTTCCCCTACCCCCATCACACAGGCAGTGAGCTTTCCTAAAGCCAAAGCAATTTGGCGCATGCATATGCAGGTTAAGAAAACAAAAACCACAGCCTCCTCCCACAGAAGGCTTTTCATAATGATCGCCCAGGGTAGTCTTCCCATCGCTATGACAATCTCAGTCCCAACTGCATGACCAGCACTGGGCATGTGGTCAGGGAGTGAGCCTGCCCATGAAACCTTTGCCCCCAGTTTGGGAATGTTTGCTGCTGGCAGTCTTATCGGTCTCATCGGTGACCTTGTCCTCTCCTAGTGGTCCCGGGGTGTCCTTCCAGTTGCAGCACTCACCCTGGCACTGGAGAAACTTCCAGATACATTCAAGGGATCCTTTTTACTGAACTGGATTTTACCATTGGGATCTACGTGTCATCTCCAGTGCCCAGCCATAGAAAACATGAACGGTAAAGTTATAGAAATCCTGCATAGGGGCTTGGCTAAACTCTAGGGTAAGGGAGTCCAGATCACCAGGGATTTTAATTGCAGGTGGAGTAAGGAAGAGTGCTAGAGAATAAGAAGGTCAGTGTCTCAGGAGGACATCTGAACAGATGCTTTACTGGAGAAGAGCTACAGAAGATCTACAAAAATCAAGCAACGGGACACCCAATATCATGAGCAGTAGGGGAATGGCAATCTGCTGGTGGGAATGCAAACTAGTACAACCACGATGGAAAACAGTGAGGAGATTCCTTAAAGAACTAAATGTAGATCCACCATTTGATCCAGCAATCCCACTACTGGGTATCTACCCACAGGAAAAGAAGTCATTCTGTGAAAAAGACACCTGCACATGCATGTTTATAGCAGCACAATTCACAATTGCAAACATAAGGAACCAACCTAAGTGTCCATCAATCAATAAGTGGATAAAGAAAATGTAGTATATGCACACCAATATATACACCATGGATACTACTCAGCCATAAAACAGAAGGTAATAATGGCCTTTGCAGCAACTTGGATGGAGCTGGGGGCCATTATTCTGAGTGAAGTAACTCAGGAGTGGGAAACCAAATATTGTATGTTCTCACTCATAAATGGGAGCTAAGCAATGAGGATGCAAAGGCATAAGAATGAAATAATGGACCCTGGGAACTAGTGGGGAAGGTTGGGAGGGGAGTGAGGGATGAAAGACTACATATTGGGTCCACTGTACACTGCTTAGGTGACAGGTGCACCAAAATCTCAGAAGTCACCATTGAAGAACTTATTCATGTAACCAAAAACCACCTGTACCTAAAAACTGTTTAAATAAAAAAAGCAAAACCATGAGGAGAGGCCATTAACATCTAATAGAATGGACAAAATTAAAAATATCGGCTGGGTGCGGTGCTCATGCCTGTAATCCCAGCACTTTGAGGGGCTGAGGTGGGTGGATCATGAGGTCAGGAGATCAAGACCATTCTGGCTGACACAGTGAAACCCCGTCTCTACTAAAAATACAAAAAATTGAACCAGGCGTGTTGGCGGGCACCTGTAGTCCAGCTACTTGGGAGGCTGAGGCAGGAGAATGGCTGGAATCTGGGAGGCAGAGGTTGCAGTGAGCCAAGATTGTGCCATTGCACTCCAGCCTGGGTGACAGAGTGAGACTCCATCTGAAACAACAACAACAACAATAAAAAATATATATATATATATGTGTATATATGGATAGATAGATCAACAATACCAAGTGTTGGTGAGGATGTGGCAACAAGGATGCTCATTTATTGCAGCTGAGAATGCAAAAGAGTCTGGCCTCTCTGGAAAGCCATTTAGCAGTTTTGTAAAACATTATACATACAGTTACTTTATCCCCCAGCACTCTGACTCCTTGGTATTACCCTAAAGAAATAAAATCGATGTTCACATAGAATTGTCCATGAGTGTTTAAAGCAGTACCCGGAGGCTGGCGCAGCTCCCACTCGGATGTTGATCTGCATGTTGGCTTGTGATTCACCCCAGTCCCGGGAATGCCTTTAAGATTTCTATTTCATCAACTGTTCCTTGTGGAAGAGCATTGCACTTACCTTAAATCCTGCCCTTAGGTCAAAACAATCTTGACCATTAATCCTGCCCTCAGGCAGATTCACATGACATTCTTGCCTTTCCCCAAGGAGTCAACTCCAAGTATCCACTGCATTCCTTTCCTATGGTCTATGAGCCCTGTGTCTGGGAAGGCGCAGCACAGGGATCCACCATCTCTTCTCAACGCCACCTGAAACACAGATGTGACTTGTGTTCATAAGCCCCTAGTAAATGTTTCTTTCTGAGAAACTGGATTTGTCAGCCTCTTGGCCTCTCAGCTTCCTCTGACTTGGAGGTCTGTTTGCATAGGCCTGCCCGCTGCAGAACACAGTACTCTTCATAATCACAAACGCCCAGTTATCCTTCAGTGAGTGACTGGATAAGCAGACCGTGGCACATCCACAGGATGGAATACTACTCAGCAAGAGAGAGGATTGTGTGTTGGTACATACACCCCCACGAATTGAATTCTGAGTACATTACGGTATGTGAGAGAATGCAGCCACAAAGGGCTGCCTACTATATCAGCCCGTTGATGTGACATTCTTGGAGAAGCACAACTGTAGGAACACAGAATAAATCCATGGCTGCTACAGATTGAGGTGGGGAGAGCACAGGAGAGTTGGAATGCTTCTGCCCGCGGACTGTGGGGGTGGACACAAGAAGCTGTGCATGTGGAAAAACTCACTGAATTGTAAACCAAAGAAGTGAATTATAGTGCATGTGAATTTTCAAAAATTAAAAATTAGAGGACAAAGGGAAAGAATGTTTCTTATGACTGGTTGTACTTCAACCTATTGCATTTAAGCAGAGTGACAAGTACAGACCTCCGTGCCTTGGCACAAGCTTCCTGGAAGCGGAGTGACCAGTACAGACCTCTGTGCCTTGGCACGAGCCTCCTGGAAGCAGAGTGACCAGTACAGACCTCCGTGCCTTGGCATGAGCCTCCTGGTGTGCTGGGCTGTAGCCTTCCTGCTCTGTTGTTTTGTTGACTATGAGAGTGTTCGGATGTTTACAGCTGCCGAGGAGTTACCATCTGGGCTAAAGTCAGAGCAGACAGACATGCTTATACAGGATCCAGGTGTGAGGGTTAAGAGGAAGCCTTTGGTGTGGAGCTTCTAGGGTGAGGAAAACAGATTAAGGCAGAGGTGCAGCCAGGCAGAGACTCCCAAGTCTACGTGGCCGACTTCTTACAGCTTGGAAGCCATGGCTGCAAAATGCCCCTAGAAAACAACAACAAAAAGTTAAAGATATAAATAAAATTATGATTAATTAGAACCAGACCACTCAGAATACAAAATTAACTGGACTGTGTTTTTCTCTTTATTTTCCACTGCCATCTACTTGTAGGGCAGAGGGAGGTAAGAGTTCTGTGCATCCATTACTATTTCAGCTGTAAGTCCCAGAAAGCCTCACTTAACAACCTAAATCAAAATGGAAAATTCTGGAGATTCCAGGCTGGCAGATCTAGTGATCGGTTATATGAGTGAGAACAAAGATCTCTCCCCTTTCTTCTCTGTCATCCTGCTGGCTATGCTTCTCAGATCTCACCCTCATGGTGACAAAGTGGCTGCTATTGCACGGAGCATCTTATCCGTAGACAACTTTGCCCCAAGGCAGAAAGAGAGAACAGTGTTGTGCCTCCCTTTAAGGTAGGGAAAATCTCCAGGAGTCCCTGGGGACTGCTTTTCATGTTCCAGTTTGTGTTGTCAATGCCAATCATTTTAGGACTATGCTGATCGCTGCTGAGCGGACCGGTTTATCTAATCAGGGCTGCTTGTCCCCAGCTCCTCTAAATCACATGGCCACTTGATGCATGGATAAAATACATGTGTGTTCTCTAAGTGAAGAGGAAGGGGTGGGGACAGGTTTGGGTTGACAGTATGTGCCAGCCTCTTTTGTGGCTTTTACAAAATACGTTCCACAGAACTTTTTCGGCTTACAATTTGGCACTTTCTAGTGCATATTCTCATAGAGTTTTGGATTACAATGGGCAAGGGAGCTGTTGATTTGCACTTAGGATTGGATGTACCTGGAAGCCATGCAATCCTTTATGAGAAGAAGTTTGCAGGAGGTGAGCACCGATGGCTGAAGGTAGAGTGGACAGCCTGGAGAAGCACCCATAATGAGAAATCATGACCACACAATGGTCCTTAGTCATCGAGGAGAAGTCAAATACTCATTGCATTAATGTCGCTTAGACAGATGGGTACTTCTGCGTTTAAAAATATGTTCAACAATGAGGATTTTCATAGGCATCAGAAAAATGATTGCTGATTACTCTTTAGTTAGCTTTAATCATTCATTCATTTAGTTAACTAGGTCATCTTCTCCGAGCCTAGCAGTTAATTGAGACTTCCCATTGTGGCACTTGCAAAGCCAAAAAAGTAGAGAAAAGGAGGGAGAAAGAGGAAGACGGCCTGGCCCAGACTGCAGAGATTTTTGAGGCTACCAAGCAATGACAGGAGCCAGAGGAAGTCAAATGCCTTGATTGTCTCTCAACACATGCTTTTGACTTACTCTTTTGCTCGTCCATGGGAACTTCTGGGAGATAGAACAGTGATGAGCCAAACCCCCTGTTTAAACATCTTCTAATCTAGCAGGGGAGATAATACAAGAACACACATAACTATAACGCACAGTGCTCAGGATAAGTGGCCAAGAGGCCTGGGAAGAAGTAGCGACAAGGAGATTCAGAGAACTCAGGGAGCATCCCTGCCTGGGCCAAGGAGGCGTCTGGGTGGCTGGAACTGGGAGCTGCCTTTGGCTTAGACCTTACTGTTCTGACTGATGCTGATGACTGACCAGAAGCAGTAGGTGAAGCAGTTTGCAGCCTTTTAGAACTCAGGCTGGGATCTATAATTTAAGTCATTCACAAACTTGACTGACAACTTCACTAGCCAGTCCCCACGTTAGGCGTCCTTCTGTTCCCACCCCACAAATGCACACATACCTCCAGCTTCTCTGAACTACCATCCCACAAGAAACACAGGTGCTTTAAAGAATGATTATCAGCTGGGCGCGGGTGGCTCACGCCTGTAATCTCTGCATTTTGGGAGGCTGAGGCGGGCAGATCACAAGGTCAAGAGATTGAGACCATCCTGGCCAACACGATGAAACCCCGTCTCTACTAAAAATACAAAGATTAGCTGGGCGTGGTGGCGTGTGCCTGTAGTCCCAGCTACTTAGGAGGCTGAGGCGGGAGAATCGCTTGAACCTGGGAGTTGGAGGTTGCAGTGAGCCGAGATCGCGCCACAGCACTCCAGCCTGGTGACAGAGTGAGACTCTGTCTCAAAAAAAAAAAAAAAAGAATCATTATCATGACTTGTGTGAGCTCTGCCATCACAACCAGGTAGGTCCTCTAAGGTGAGAAACAGAAGGAGTAGGGTTTGTGTAGAAGTATGTTCTGCCCTTCTGGAAGGAACTTTATTAGGGAATCACACCTGAAATGTTACTTCTTTGACCGCACACCTGGGTGAGCTGGTTCAAATCAATCCTAGAATCAGCTGGGCAGGAAGGGGTCCATGTGTTCACCTGGTCCTGTCTCGAATGCTCTTGACCCTTTTTGAGTTGCTGGCCATATAGAGCTCTCAAATTCTTGACTCTTCACTTTGAATTTAATTAAAACCATCAAGGTCATCCACTGACTCTTTCAGCTCATTCTGATGTCTGTTCAATTTTTATGGAATCCCATTAAAGTTCACTGCAGATATGTTAAAAACTTTAAATGTTTTACAGAAAGTTTTAAACCACTTTAGATGACTTTTGCTGTGTAGAACAAGGGCACTGGGGACTTCCCACATCACCCCAAGCTGAAATCACAGAGGAAACAGCCTCAGTTCCCAACACTGTGGGTTCCATGAGGTGGATGCTCAGGAGGTGAAGGCTCCCGTGTAAGACACACCTCCCCAGCACACTTGAGCCATCCAGTACGATGGCCACTGGCCACTTGGGAGCTTTGAACACTTGACATTTGTCTTGTCTAAATTGAGGTGTGTTGTAAGTGTGAAACATATGTCAGATTTTGAAGACTTGGTATAACAAAAGTATGTTCAACTTCTCATTTATATTTTTATATTGATTACATGTTGTAATCAAAGTGATAGTATTTTGCATATAGTGAATTAAGTACAATACACTACTAAAATTTATTTTGCCTATTTATTTCCCCTGTTTTAGTATGGCTACTAGAAAATGTCTGGTCACACTGGTGGCTTGCATGCATCACCTCCCTCTGCCTCTCCTCCTTCCTGCAACCCTGAGAAGCCTTTCCTGATGGGAGTGGGGTGGGAATTCAGTTATTTCTCAGGACATGTATCCTGGAGTACTCTGTCCCCCAAGGCAGGGACTTTGGGGGAAACAGATGACACCCCAACCCCATCTGCCTATGCATCCCCTTACCCCATGATCAATAACCCCCCTTAGCTTCTTAAACTTTCTCTCCGGTGGGAAAGATGGGTATGTGTCCCACCAGGCAATTCTATTAGTATCATTAATCCCATTGTACAGATAAGAACATGAAGGCTTATGAGATAAAACCGTTCATCTGAAGCTCTCAGAGTCTGCAGGAGGCCAAATTTGGGTCTTTCTGACCCCAAGCCTAATCTCTTCTGATTTTTAAAAATGTGATATTTAAGACGGCCTCATTGATGAGCCCAGTTTATTTTTTTATTATTATTTTTTTGCATTCTCAACTAATTCTAAGCCCCCTGGGGTAGGAGCCGTGCCTCATCACCTCTCCTTCCAAAGCGCCTGTGGGTAAATGACAGGAGCTCTCTGTGTGTCTCCCGAACTTGTCTTCATCCTTGCTTCATTTTCTTTCTTTTTCAAGATGGCAAGAGAAGGCAGGCTCCTCAGTTCCCCACGAACTCTTCAGGGGTTTCTGCGGCCCAGACCTTTCCCCAGCTCTCTTTAGTCACCTCTGTGTATCCCAGAGTGGACTTGGGGGAGCCAGCGCTTAGGGCTGGCCACTACCTTCCCGTCATTCTCTCTCTGCGGCCAGCATATTTTAGCCTGTGAGAAACACCGAGCCGCTGCCTGAGGCCCTTCCAGAACACTCAGCCCTGGTGTTGCCGCTGGCTGCAATTGGCATCATTGAGAGGCACCTGCCGGGTTTTTGAATCAGTGGTGTAAGGGTGGCCACACACCACCTCTCATGGTCAGAAAAGAATGCAGACTTGGGCTGTAGGGGGCTGTCCTCCCGGCAGGTGGAGAATGAGATCGACTCCCCAGGAAAGCAAAGACAGTCAGCTCAGGGGCTGATGGAGGGGCAGACAGCTCTGGGCACTGGGAACCCCCCTTCCAGTGTGCGAGGTCCTGGCTCCCAGCCCGCTGAGCTTCCTGGAGTGTCGTTCAACTCCAGGTCATGTTCGGCCCCCCATCGATACGGCACCAGCTTGCTGCCACTGGGGTCTTTATGTCCAACATGGTCCCTCAGGGCTTGCTGTCCTCCCCTGCAGAGTGAAATCCTGGACCTGTCATCTCCATGTTCCCCTGCAGTGGAAGCTGCGATTCTGCTGTGAGCCCTCTCTCACTGGAGAAGCGGCTTGGTGTGGGCCCTTGAGGAGTAATCCGTGTGCTGAGCCGTGAAGCTTCTTGTCCCTCTAGGAACCCCTGTTGCTCCGGCAAGGTGGCTGTCAGGCAGGTCCACTGAGTGCCCTGAGGAGCGCAGTTTCTCTCTTTGTTCCTGCGGGGCCAGGGTCTGTTCTCGCAGATGGGCTTCGGCCCAGAGGTGAGTTGGCTGGAAAGGAGCCCTGAGAGAGGGCAGCCCCTCTCGCCTTCCCTAGCTCTGAAAACACTCAGCTCTGCACAGCTGTCAAAGCAAGAGGCACGGCTAAGCCCACAAGGCTCCAGCCACTTAATGAGGCCTTTAGCCATCTCTTCCCCTGGCCTCTGAGAGTGTAAACCACAGGTGGGGAGGAGGCCCTGGGGCACTTGTTTCTTCATCTGAAAGACACGGAAGGTGTTTTCTTGCACCTTGTGGTGGATCACGGGTGGCTGTTGGTTACAGGCAGCTCTGCAGTGTGGCTGAGAGGCTGGGCTGCTGCTGGGTGAGGCTGGGCTGCTGCTGGGTGAGGCTGGGCTGCTGCTGGGCGTGAAACTTCAAATCCTGATCACTGGGCCCTGCGTACCTGTGTTATCCTGGACAAAGGGGCCTTCTTGGCATCAGATTCCTGCCCCATGGGTGGGAATGGTTGCTGACCTCACCTCGAAGGGCTGCAGAGAGTCTAAGATAGGGTCACGCATGCCCAAGGTGCAGTGCAGAGGCCTCAGGCCACACACAGCAAGGGCAGCCATTGCCGCTCACCCCGCCCTAATCATCACATTCACGTGGTACATGAGAACAGCCAGCTGCTTCTCGAGTTCTAACCAGGCCCCCCAAACTTCTCTACCTCCAAGGACACACAGACCATGATGAACTTTGTCTGGCTCATGGAGTTGGGAGGATGAGGCTGCTGGAAGCCTCTGAGACAGCCTGGGGGCTCCGACTGGCCCCACCCACCAGGCTGCCTTGAGCACCCAGCAGGGGCACAGGCAAGTGTAGCCCACTCGTGGCCCATTTCCAGGCTCTGCAGGGCATGGTGCTGCCCTCTCTAGGACAGGGTTTCCCCATCTCGGCAGTACTGACATTTGGGAGCAGAGAGTTCTTTGTCATCAGGGCCGTCCCACCTAGGTATTGTAGGGTGCTCACAGCAGCCCCGGCCTCCTCCGAAGCTGGGGATGCATCTGTAAATGCTGGTAGCGCCTACCCAGCTGTGACAACCCAAAGGTCTCCAGGTATTGTTCCTTGTCCCCTGGGAGGTAGAACTGCCCCTAGAGGAGAAGTCCTAGTGTGGACAGTCCCGGCCATCATCTGCTTTCACTCCTGCGACCATCCACATTTGTGCTCAGAGCTTCCACCTCTGTCTCCGATTTATGGAATTGGATTGGAGCACGGGTAACTAAATCGCAAAGAGCTCAGGGTCCCTGAGTCCCAGCAGCATGGGCTGAAGTGCAGAAGTGGCTGTTTCTCCACCGTGTGCCTCTCATCAGGGCAGATTCAGAAGAGTTGGGAAAGACTTCCGCTCCCTCTTCTGTCCCATTTCTTCTCCCCGGGGATAGATGCCTTAGATCCCTATTGCAGGAGATAGATCTCGTCTAACGCAGGAGTGGTCCATGCTCACTGTTACTCCACACAAGATGCTTCACTCCTGCCAGGTTGCAAAACATCCACAGCAGAGGATCCCCCATCCGGCTCAGGCCATGGGTCAGGGCCCCTGGGACCCAGGGGAGCCAAGGAAGGAGGCGGGAGATGCAAGCTGGTTCTGTCCACGTCACTGTTTCTCCAATCTGGTCCCATCTGGATTTGCTTTTAATTCCATGCAGTCTGGGGGCTAAAGTAAAACATTTTGCTTCCCTAAAAATAACTAAGGCTTGGTAATACTGAAAAGAGCCATTTGCATGTTTACTGTGGAAGCCACATGGAAATTAAAGTTCTATCAATTCTAACATAGAAGCTCTCCTTAAATGTAAACACCCACATGCAATTTACTCTGTTTGGAAGTGTGTACACAAAACTGATACCAAACAGTATTAAACGATCATTAGTGACAGACCACTGAGGCTTTCGGGCTGGTGCCTCTTCAGGCTGAAGATGCTGCTGAGCAGTCAAAATGCCTGGCACTGCTCCACGGAACCCGCTCCCGCTGTGGGTTCTGGATGTGCCTGGCTGTGCTTCAGTCCTCGGTGGCCATGAGCTGGAGTGACACTGTGGGAGAGGTGATCTGTGTAGTCTGAAATCAAGTCTACTTGTTTAAATATGTTAACAGGACTCTCTACAGAGCAGAGAGTTGACAGCGCACAGGCAGAGGACCTGTGGGTCTAGTGCAGCATGAGGCCATCCTCCTCACCCTTTTCTTCTGCATCTCCAAAGCTCTGCCCCACATTCTGAGTCCCTCAGATTGGGTTAGTCCTGCCCCCCAATCCCTGTACTCTGACCATGCCTTGAAATGTGCTTTTGTCGTTTATAGGTTTGACAGTTTTCCTTCCAGCTGTAACTCCAGTCTGAGATCTGACAAAAAGCAGGTATCCATCCATCCATCCATCCATCCATCCATCCATCCATCCATCCGACAAATGATATGGAACACAACTGCTATTCATCTGCCAGCTTCCTTCATTATAAAAGTTGCAATAGAGTGGGGGTGACAGAAAATGAGCAAGGGGAAAATAAGCACATTTGTGACCGAAGAGGGAGCAGTGGGGCTGGGTTACACCTGGGGCCTGGACGCTCCACTCTGGTGGTTAGTGGAAGTCTCCCTGCAAGGTGGACTTCAGACCAGGCTGAAGGAGAGGAATCCAGAGAACACCCGAGGAGCCAGTGAGACCAATGGCAGCAGCCGTGATTGATTTGGCAGTGATTGGGTGCCTGGCACCGCCCAGGGGTTTTGAACCCACATCCCTCATTTCATGTCACACTCTGCTGGCCTGTGGCTGTCTCTACTCTCTGCAGTGGGCCTCTGAGGCTGAGGAGGTCATAGGACCCCGTCAGTCACTGGGGGAAGCATGGTCCCTAGCACGGCTGCCTGACTCTGAGGCTGTGCTTGGAGTGGACCTCAGGGCTAGCCCAGCTTTCTTCATCAAGTGCCACGTCCCGTGATGTCCCGGGATGAAGAAGGGCTCCCTCTCACAGTGTCTCCCTCTGGTGTCCATAAGGCGAGAGGTGGAGAGGGCTTTCTTGGTTGAGCAGGTGGTCTCAGATGTCCTATTTGGCAAATGGGGGGCATACGCTCATCTCCCAGAATTTCTATGAAGGTTCAATGAAATCTTGATGATGTGAAAATTCTGGGAGTCCAGCCAAGGACAGCATCCAAGGTAGTTGCTTACCAGAGTGTGTGTGCATTTTCTGTTTGTGTATCTGCACACCTCTGGGGGTGGAAGTCCCTGCTGGGCGGCACGTCCACAGGCCCACGAAAACCTCCCAGACAGCGGGGCAGCTTCCACCGTGGCCACCTGGGAAGGCCCCGTGTCTGCTTCCTCCTTGTGGGTGGAGGGAGGGGGAAAGCGTTTCTTTTTTGTTTTGTAATTCAGCAAGCCAGCCCTGCTTCCCAGGCCTCCCACCACACTTTCTGCCACCTTCTCTGACCTACCTGACTAGGAAGTCATCCTTCTTTCTTTGAGCATTTTTTGGATTAAAAAAAACAAAAACAATAAAACTGGCCATTCCCGACAAGCAATCCTCTTGTTTATTGATTTGCCCTGTCAGGTTCTTTTATGCAGACATACATTTAAGATAAAACTTCAGTCTCTCCTTTCATGACAATCAATAATGCATTGTGCTTTCTGGAGCATTCCTGTGTCCATGTGAGATCTGTGCTGGCTCTTGGCCTCCCAGTTCTTGGCACGTCCCATTCCCCTGGGTCACCTACTTCCAGAGCTACAGTCCACTTTCTCTTTCTGAAAGAGGACATTAGAGGGCCAGCTGGAAGCCACCATCTCTAATTGCCAATTAAATTCCACAGTGTGCTTTTGATATTACACCTTCTCGCAGCTTGAGGATCTCTGTCAGCAGGTGGATAAGTAGCCCATGCCTTGACCAGAACGCCTCACACTATTTCTACCTCAAAATTCCTTCCGTCCTCCTTCCTGACATCCCTCTACAAAGCAGGAGTTACAGGTGTTGGGAGAGCAAGTCCTATGTCGCACAGGTTTGCTGAAAAGATAAAGGATGAATGGAAAGACGAGAGCAGTGTGTGCCACACGTTCGCTTTCCTTCCCAGGCATGTGTCTGTGCCCTGGGCCAAGGGCTGCCCTCCTGACTAAGCCAGACCAGCCCAGGGGCAGATGCGGCCAGGTTCTTTCTGTTTCCAAGGCTTTAGGTTTCTCAGATGGCCCAGACCTGGCAAACCTCGTCTGAGTCTATTGTGAAGGGAGAGACAGAGGCTTGTGATGCCTGAGACAGTGGTCTCAGAGGTGGTCCACCTGCCTTCATATCTGCAAATGAGGAGCAAGGGCATGTCCCTTCCCAGAGGGCGGGGGCCAAGCCCAGGCTGGGGCGATGGCCTGGTGTGCGTGTGGGTGAGGAGGAGCACTAAGCCAGAGCAGGCCGCCTGTTTTCCCGGGCCAATTCCCCTTCCTCTGGAATTCATTCACATTTCCCACGAGGGATTATACCATCAAATCCATCTCCATTATGGCCAAACGCCAGTGCCAGTGAGGCAAATGAAGCTAATTAATGACTTCCCAGAGAGGAACCTGCATCCCAGGGCACCAGCTAAACCAGCACTGACTCCTGTCCCCCAGCCCCACCCAAAGGCAGGGGAAGAAGTGGCTGGTTCTTGACTCCGTGGGTGGGGGGGACACAGGAACCGGGGGAAAGCACTGTACCCCCTGTTCAGCAGCCCCCCGAGGGGCTTCCCCAGCTGCTGCACAGGGAAGCTGGAGAAGTACGAGTTCCCCGACAATGATTGTAAACTTAGTGGCTCCCTGGATGAACCAATTGCTTCCTGCGGTAGTAAAATGAACAATTCATCGTAGATTATTTGAAGGCAAATCACTTTAAGTGTAAGAAATAAAAAGACAAATTGGCAATTGAATTTTGTGTGAGAACATAAGTGGGTGATTTGCATTGGCGACTGTGCCGGAAGACTTAGCTATATGGGAAGGAAAGAACCGACGAAATGGGGTCAGCCAGAGACATCGTCACCGATGGAGCTCCGAGGGGTGATGGGGCCAGATGCACTGGCCCCTTTGCAAAGCTCTTTGCCTCTCAGCATGAGGGAGTGAGAGAGATCAGGTTTCATAAGGAGGGATTAGCCCATGAGGACCCGAGCAGCATGGTCAACAATGTAACTGATTTTTATACTGCACGTTTTAATGGGACAAATATTGATGTTGTCTAGAATCAGTCGTTCTTGGGTTTTATCCAGTTCCCCAGAGCTCCTGTGATGGAATCTGTGGCTCCATTAGTTCCATTTTTGAAGGGTGAGCCCAAGAAGCAATTGCCTCTTTAAATTGCCAAGGCTCTCCTGGGACAGAAAGCCACATGCCAGAGCTCTGTTGAAAAACAATCACATATAGCCAGCCCCGTCCCCTGAGGAAGCCTCTTCTGGGTTATTCTCCTGTATGGAAAAAGGCCTTGGGAATCTTCTGGATGGAATTCCCACCGATCTCGCTTATAATAGGTATAGCTGGAACTGGTGATAATAGGTATCGCTGGAACTGGTGATAATAGGTCTCGCTGGAACTGTTGATAATAGATATCACTGGAACTGGTGATAATAGGTCTCGCTGGAACTGATGATAATAGGTCTCGCTGGAACTGGTGATAATAGATATCACTGGAACTGGTGATAATAGGTCTCGCTGGAACTGGTGATAATAGATATCGCTGGAGCTGGTGATAATAGATATCGCTGGAACTGGTGATAATAGATATCGCTGGAACTGGTGATAATAGATATCGCTGGAACTGGTGATAATAGATATCACTGGAACTGGTGATAATAGGTCTCGCTGGAACTGGTGATAATAGATATCACTGGAACTGGTGATAATAGATATCGCTGGAGCTGGTGATAATAGATATTGCTGGAGCTGGTGATAATAGGTCTCGCTGGAACTGGTGACAATAGGTCTTGCTGGAACTGGTGAAAATAGGTCTCGCTGGAACTGGTGATAATAGGTATCGCTGGAACTGGAGACCTCGCGCAGCACGATGCCCCTCCCCATTCTTTCTTAAACAAATATTTAAAAAAATATCAACTATGACCCCCCTGCTCTGCTTGGAGCTGGAGATTTAACTGTGCTCACTAACCTCATGGAGCTTGATGGGGCAGGAGAGAGACACAGTTCCTTCTGAGCAGATCTGACAGAGGCCTTGGCATAGCTGGGCTTGATTGACTGGAAGGGTGGCTCGCCCCTGAATCCATGCCTCTCTGTGTTGAGAAGGGCACCCTAAATACCCACCTCCTAGCCCTAAGGCTGTCCTTAAGTCCCTGTAAAGACGGCGTCCTCGAAATACACCAATCACCAGTGCTGTGAGACATGGAGAGAACTTCTATCTTAAAAAAGGTCGTGGGTCCAATATGTTTGGGAGTGTCACCAACGTGGCCAAGTGTGTTTACTGCAAGGCTTTTCAGGGCCTTTCTCAAGCCCATAAGTTCAACCTCAGTCTTCCAAGGAGGACAGAGGATGTTATGTTTCCCAACAGACGTCATTCCCACTTTTCTCACGCTTGTCTGGAAACGCCCTCTGTAACTGGGGTCTATTGAGAACAGTGTGAGGGTAGATGCTCCTCTGTGGCATTCCTGTCTGGTGATTCCCATCTTTGGGTGAGCAATTCTGGTGGCGGGGAACACACTATTTGCCTATACCACGTGGGGCCTGATAGCTTCTGAAGCTCTGTGATCCATATGTCAGCATCAAGATGTTTGCCTGAAGCATCTTGAACCCAGCCTCCCCCTGCCTCCTGGGCCAGTGAAGAACTGTCCTTTGCAGAGACTTCCCTGTTCGAGTGGACATATCCTGCTCCTTCTATGCTCCCTCATATTACATGAGCACATCTCATTACCACCCTGGCCATGCCCCTCAGGACACTGGCTGGCTTGTCCCATCACGGGAGAATGGTTTGCATAGACATCTGCGGAGTTTTCCAAGGGGGAGTTGCAAGGACCACCTCCAATGGGCCTATCACCTCCAGCTTTCCTAAGCTTATGCCCCTGTTAATGCATCCCAGTATCCATTAAATACTTTCCTGACAGCTGCATTATGAGGGTGACTTGAAGAAAGCCTTGAAGATGGTACTCAAACAACTGATCCTACACGTTTCTTTTATGCACATATTGGCTGTGCTTTTCAGGCTTCAACTCAGAACCTCACGTCTATTTCTGTTCAACGTCAGCCTGCGGGGTGAAGCCTCTCCTTGCTGCTGCGGTTGGTGGGTTGCTGTCCCTCTCATACTTGTATCATCCACAGTTTTCATGATCATTCCATCAGCGTCCACCCAGACAGGTGGCGGAGAGCAGCACAGGGCTGGGGGGGCCCCTTCGGGCAACATGTAGACCCTCAGACCCCTCGAGCAGCTTCATTTTCCAGCTGAGACTTCACTGATTGCAGCTGTGGTAATGCAGGGGATATCAAGATGAATGCAGGCACCGAGCCCCACCTCCAGCTGCTGAATTGCAGTTTCTTGGAGACTATCCCAGACAGTTGCAACTTCAGTGTTCCACAGGCCTCAGTGCTCCACAGGCCTCCTGATGCCACCACACGGTAAAGACCAACTCGTCTTCTGCACAGCGGCACTGCCTGTGTTCCCTGCCTCACCAGCGAAGCTGTCCTGGGCATGTCCACACACCCATGGTGAAATCCAGGGTTCTGCATGAGGCAGAACCGTTATTGAGTTCCCTCTGCCCCGGGACAAGCATGATGCTGGGAGCTGGGACTTAGTACTCAGTAAAGGCCTCTCAGGTTATTTCCTCATGGAGATGCCAGTCCTCCCAGTAAGAAGGTGATTGATCATATAATCATGAAAGAAAGCTAAATTTACCAGGGCTAGAAAACTAGCTGATATTTTGGAAGGCAGATTCTGGGTGTTTTGCATGTTGTAGTACATTGCTGCCTGCTCAGCCCAAAGTCCATGCTCCCTTCCTCTCTAATATTAAAGTTCTGATTTTTTTTTTTTTTTTTCTGAGATGGAGTTTTGCTCTGTCGCCCAGGCTGGAGTGTAGTGGTATGATCGCACCTCACTGCAGCCTCCACCTCTCGGGTTCAAGCAATTCTCCTGCCTCGGCCTCCTGAGTAGCTGAGACTACAGGCATGTGCCACACTACACCTGGCTGATTTTTTTTTTTTTTTTGTAATTTTAGTAGAAATGGGGATTTACAATGTTGGCCAGGCTGGTCTTGAACTCCTGATCTCATGTAATCCACCAGCCTCAGCCTCCCAGTGTGCTGGGATTACAGACATGAGCCAACTTACCCAGCCAAAAAATTCTGTTCTTTCTTTGGTGTAACAAATTGTCCCCTGTCATAAAAGAACACCCTCCTCAAACTCCCATGAAGTGAAATGTACCAAGTGACTAAGTTCTGCCTAATGAAATGTGCATGACAGCCAGGAAGGCAGCTTCTAGGATGCTGTCCTTCTTCCTTTCCTCTTTCTTCCAGTCTGAAAACAGGATATGATGGCTGGTGCTCCAGCAGCCATCTTAGACTATGAGGTAAGTCATGTGTTAAGACGGCCAATCAGAAAGATGGAAACCTTTCTCTGGTTTCAGTTCCAGCAACTTTGAATGAAAAATCCGTAGTTCACAACATTCTGAGACATGTTTATTCCTTTATTCATTTGCTCACCAGCTGTTTCCTGGAGATGTACTTCGTGGCAGCCATGGTTCCAGGGCTGGAGATACAGACATGTTCCTGCCCTCCTGGAGTAGATTCCAATACACTTTTTAATGATCACAGTGTAAGTGAGAATGCCAGGGAGGCAGATTCTAGGGTCTCTGTGGATCTCTATTCTCCAGGCTGTAGGGAGAAGTGTGGCCACAGGTGTGTGAAAGGCCTTTGTCAAGCAAACCTCTATCTCCCAGACAGACTCTCAGATCCAGGGCCCATGCGGGGCTGCAAGACTGGTAAGCAGGAGGCCAAGTTGAGAAAGCTCTCCATAAATAAAAGAGGATGCATCAATAGTGCCATTTATTCTTCTATTTAATACTCATTTGTCAAAAGCAGATGCAATGCCCGCCCTCACTGTTCCCTACATCCATCTTTGAGGCTTTTCCTGCAGTACATTCTGCAGGGAACAGGATGGTTGTACCACAGGGAACAGGATGCTTTGCCCAGCTGGTGGCAGAGATGATGCACTTAGTTTGCATCAGTCAGATCCAAATTAAAAATTAAAGACAATATTTGAATTGGATGTGGAAAATTGTAGCCAGGCTAGAGGGAGGTGAGTCACTACTCCTGGGTTTATTTCTATCTCAGAAAATAAAAGCAACTTGTAAAGTCCACCACTTATGCTTTCTAAAACATGGCTTCCTCCACCACCACCAAATAGGAGATGCAGAATTACTGGCCGGGATTTTGGTTTCTAATTATGCTGCAAAGCTACTAAATTTAGGTGGCAGTGATTCCTTTCTCCCCTTAAGGTTGCTGAAAACTATAGACCTGCCCAGGGGAGTTCTAGAAGAGTTTTAAATACAAAAATGGGTTCTTAAATTGGAAATTAAAAACTAACTCAGAAGTGCTTGTGTCAAAGACGGAACGGAAAGTGTTGCTCACATGACTGGAACTCCAGGTTCAGGCACAGTGGGCTGCAGGGTGCAGGGACCCCATGTTGCCCCCGTGAGTCAGGCTCCTGCTCTGGGCCCATCATCTGGGCTGTTCCCAGTGTGGCTGGGTTCTTGAGCAGGCTCTCTTCTCCTTGCAGGTGAGGTGGCTGGCGGCTCCTCAGACCAGTGGCCCTGGAACCACCTCTCCTTAGACCTGCCTTGATCACAAGCTCATTTCTTCACCATTTGCTGTGGTCTAGGGAGGGAAAACTCTTTTACTTGGGACCTGGCTCAAGGTCCCATCCCTGCCACAGGATGCTTGGAGTCTGCCCTGTCCTAACCACAAAGACTGAGAGAAGATAAGGGGTAGTTTCTTATTGAAACAATTGGGGTGTTGCTACCAGATTGAAGGGAAACAGAGGCTGGGTTATTGAGGAGTAACCATCCCCTACAGTGGGTGAGTAGACCACCACGGTCAACTATGAGTTTCTGGGGCTTCTCAGCCCCTTTCCTGGACTATCTCACTGAATCCTCATGCTGTTTCTCTGGGTTGAAGGCAGAGTATTATCCCCTTGACCACGAGAAGCCTGAGACGCGGCAGACTGAAGCGCCTTGTAGGAGGTCTCCGAGCCCAGTGTCAGCTCAAAATGTGTGAATGTGTGGTCACCTGTCCTACTGCTGGCCTGGGAGCTGGGGCAGCTGGGGTAGCTGGAGCCCTTGATTCAACCTAAGGGCATCCTGTATGTTTGGCTCCATGTTGTCACACATCACCCTTGCCCAGGCCAATCAAGGAAGCAGAACTAGGACCAGGTGATTTTGAGATGCCTTGACAAGAGTGCCTTCGGCCTTTCACCTGATGTGCCACTCCTGTGGCATTGGAGTGGTCAGTTGGTGCTGAAGAGACCATGTGGATACAGTGAGGCACACATATCTCCTTGCTTTGGCAGCAGCTGTGAGCCAGTTCAGTGTCAATGGGCACAAGTAAAAGTGGAGGAGGCTAGTTGAGGGGACGCTGGTCTGGAGTAGAGGAAATGAGAAGCACGACACGTATAGAACATCTTGAAGAACCTGCATTGCCACATCTTGTGGTCCTTTAGTCTCATGCTAGGATAAAGGATAATAGACCAGCTAGACAGAGCTGGTAGATGGAGAAAAGCCAAAGCTCTGGCGCAGCCAGTAGTTGACTGTGGTGGTTTAGAACTTGGGCCCTTTAACATGGATGATTTGAGCAAATATTTCTGAGAAAATTCAAACATGGCAGAAGTTGCCATGGGTGGAAGTGACGTGGAAGAATCTTAAATACGTTTTGTTTTGTGTGTGTGTGGAGCTGGAGTGGTGAGTCTCTAATCCATGTTAAATCCAGAGAAAGCCCTCCACCAAACAGGCTTCTTCCTGATCCCAGCCCCTGCCTGGGTCACTGTGCTTGTTCTCAGGTGTTCACCTTGCTCTAGGCTGGCCCCATTTCTGTGCCCTCTACAAAGCCCCACCCATGGATGCATGGGTGCCACCCATGCAGAGGAGCCACCAAACTGCTCCTCTTCCCACCTTCACCTCCTAAAGCATTGTCACACAGGTGTGTTCACCTGTGGAGACATACCTGGAGACCCCAGTGCAGCAGATCCAGGAGGTGGACACCTGCAGATGACAGGTGTGTTCCCCTGTGGAGACACACCTGGGGACCCCAGTGCAGCAGATCCAGGAGGTGGACACCTACAGATGACAGGTGTGTTCCCCTGTGGAGACACACCTGGGGACCCCAGTGCAGCAGATCCAGGAGGTGGACACCTGCAGATGACAGGTGTGTTCACCTGTGGAGACATACCTGGGGACCCCAGTGCAGCAGATCCAGGAGGTGGACACCTGCAGATGTGCATGTTTCCCCAGGTGCTCCTAAGAACCGTTGTTTCCCTCACTAGAAAAGGCATCCCAACCACAGTTACAAAGTGCAGTAGTTTTCACTGGAGGTGATTTTGATCCCAAGGGTCTGGACATATCAGGAGACATTTTTGGCTGTCAAAACTGGGAGGTGCTACTGGTATCCAGTGAATAAAAACTGGGGTGCTGCCAAACATCCTACAATGCACAGGACAGCACCCCCCAACAGAGAACTATCCAGCTACAGATGTTAACAGTGTCTAGGTTAAAAAAGTTTGATGCAGTGGCCCATGGGAAGGTCTTACACCTGCTCTAGACTGTGAACCCAGAAAGGGAAAGGCCTATTTCATGTCTCATTCACTATCACAGTGCCTGGCACACGGCCATTGTTCACAGCTACTTGATGAATGGAAGGGCAGATGGATGGATGGATAGATGGATTAATGAATGGATTGATGGGTGGAGAGATGAATGGATGGATGGATGTGTGGATGGATGGAGGAATGGAAAGATGTGTGAATGGTTAGGTGAATGGATAGAAGCATGGTGAATGGATGGGTAGATGTGTGTATGGATGGGTGAATATATGGATAGATGGATAAATGGATGAATGCATGGATGGATGGTGAAAGGATGGATGGATGGATGGTGGATGGATGGATAGATGGTTGATGGATAGTGGATGAATGGTAGACAGATGAGTGGAGGAATGGATGATGGATGAATAGACGGAGGATGGATGGCAGATGGATGGTGGATGGGTGGATGGGTGGATGAATGGTGGATGGATGATGGATTGATGGATGGATGGAGGATGGATGGTTGGATGGATGGATGAAAGGTGGATGGATAGTGGATGGATGGTGAGTGGTTGGATGGAGGATGGATGGTGGATGGATGGATGGATGGTCAATGGATAGTGGATGAAAGGTAAACAGATGATGAGTGGAGGGATGAATATATGGATGGATAGATAGAGTTATACAGGGACTGCTGGCCTGGGCATCGGAGTGTGTGGCTGTAGTCCCAGGCTCTCACTGAGGAGCACTGGGATCCTAACCAAGGAACTGAGTAGCCTGTTGGTGTGCTTGCTTGGTCGCTCTTCTGCTCAGCCCGCTAAACACAGGGCTCTGCCCTAGAATTACTTCTCCCCTCTCTCAACCCTCCTCCCTAAGATAGCCAGCCTCCTAAGGTAGGCAAGATGCTGAGTTGACCCCAACATCTCTGCCCCCTGGTGGACACATCCTCGTTGTGAAGTCCATTGAGTGTGGGCAGAACCTGTAACGATGAGGAGACATCACTCTGAGATCAGGTTACATCCTATGTCCCAAGGGAGCTGGTCTTCTCTGGACCTGACCTAGTCAGGCAAGATTTTTAAGAGCAGAGAGTTTTCTTTGGCTGGTGGCAGAAGAAGTCAGAGAAAGACATGTCTTCTGCTCAACAGCATGGCAGAAAGAATCCTGGAGGGAGCCACGGCAGGGGTAACGTTAAAATTGTCTACTAGTGGGTTGAGCATGGCCAGTCAATAGCTGCAGGCACTAGGGCAGGGGCGGGAGCTGGAGGAGCCCCTCCAGGGACTAAATTTTGACTACTGGAACTTGGAGAGGGCCAGGGAGGCCCAGAAGCTGAAGCAGGGCTGAAGGGCTGAAGGGAGTGGACAGTGGGTTTTTAACCACTGATGCTGCCATGCAGACTGGCACAAGGCTCCCGGGCATGCCTTCCATGTTCAATGTCAGCTTCCACCTGCCGTGACCACCTCTGCTCGGGCAGGGCTGCCTCCCACTTCTTCTGGACACCTCCAGAATCCAAGACTGAGCCCAGGGACCACTCCGACCAGAGGAGGGGTGCCCTGATGCCATGTCATATATAAGTGAGCACAGTGGGACTTCAGGGCAGACGACAGCACCTGTGAGGTTGCAGGAGACGGCCTCCACCTGCCCCAGGGCATGTTCCTGGGCCCTGTTGTCCTTCCACTGGCTACCTGGGGCCTTCGGTGGCTCTGGGCTCTCACCGCCCTCCCAACCCATCCCACTCCATGGGCCTTTTAGGAGCTCACTTTTGATCAGATCAGTGTGGGAGCCTCACACAGAAACCAAGAGCAGCCCCACGGGGCCCCTGG
The DNA here is from genome assembly GCF_000001405.40 of Homo sapiens. NCBI lineage: Eukaryota > Metazoa > Chordata > Mammalia > Primates > Hominidae > Homo > Homo sapiens. The sequence continues at coordinate 61,043,832 of NC_000020.11, read as the reverse complement.
ACCTCGTCACTGATATCAGGGACCCAGCAGGAAATTCGCTTTTGGCACCATCTCTGGATCCTCGGCCAGGGAGAAAGACCGCATCTCATCTCTGTCAGTCTTGAGGCTGACCCAGCAATGAAACCCCACAAGGAAGAAAAATGTCATGTTCTCATCATGGGGTGATCTGGTATTCAATCTCCCAACAAACATCTACTTTGTTGCCAGATGTAAAACAAAAATGTAATTTTTGTTTTAGGGTTGAGGTTGACTTGCGGAGCAAAAATTCCCATGTGCGGCTCTGTTATCCAGCCTCTCGCACGGCTTCACAATCCAGTTCAAGACCCTTCACAGTCCCCTGCTCTCCGTGTCTCCAGTCTCAGGGGGTATGGCAGGGTCTCCTGCAGGTGTTTTTGATCCCAGCAATGCAGGCGGCTCCTGGCCCTGCAGCCCCCAGTCTTCCCAGGCACAGCACTCCCCACATCCAACTGTAATTGGCTTCTTCCTCAGTTCACAGCCCGCTCCCTGAGGGCAGTGGGCGTTTCTGATGCATTTCTTGAATCTACGTTAAAGTCTGGTAGGTTAAAGGGACTGAATTCACACAAGTACAGTGAATAAATGCACTGATGGATGCAGTGAGTTTATGTGAGTCAGGCACGAATCATACCGGCGGTTAACATCTTCTCCCAGCTCATGCCGGGGTGATTGGTGAAAACCTCTGTGTTTTCATTGCTTTATGAGATGGGCATTCACCTCCACCCCTGAAACAGCCCCAGTGACCTAGGGTGCAATTCATGTACGATTTACACTTCCCATGCACTTCTAAAAGGACTTGAGAGAATAATGGAGGGCCCAATGCAAGGAAAACTACAAGGGAACAGAAGCCGTGGGAGGGAGACAGAAGGAGCGGATGCAGGCGGCACCTGAACTGAACAGATGACAGTGTTTAGGGAACAAATGTGCCCCAAGTTTCCTGGCAGCTACAGTACACATCGTTTTTGTTTTCAGACACGAGAAAGCATTTGTGGAGACTACCTATTCCTGGAAACTAAACTCAAACAAGAAGGGCTGCTTCTGTTTGTGCAGGATTAGTGCGGTACTGGAGAGCCGGGCGTCCGTGACAGGTCAAGAAGAAACCGTTTCAGCACCATGAAGCTGGACAGAGTGAGTCCAGGGGCTCTGTCCGTGCCGTCAGAGGTTTGACAGTTATAGACAAGGCGGCGAGTATTCTGGTGCCTAGAACACTGCTTGGGACTTGCTGGGTTCTCGGTAAATATTTATGGAATGACTAAAACGAATGAATCAATCACGGTAGAGGATTGATCATTGACCAGAGTGGTTACTCAGTGATTATGAAGCCATACTAACCGCCATGATGTGCAGAATGAATATTCCGGACCAGATCCTTTGCTGAGAGCCTGCGTTCATTTTCTTGGGCTGCCACAACCTAGAACAACAGATCGGGGGCCTTCAACAACAGACATTTATTTTCTCAGTTTTGGAGGCTGAACGTTCAAGATCTAGGTGTCATCAGGGTTGGTTTCTTTGGAGACCTCTCTCCTTGGCTTGTAGACGGCATCTTCTCCCTGTCTTGGAATTGTCTTCCCTCTGTGTGTGTCTGTGTCCTAATTTTCTCTTCTTATAAGGACACCAGACATTGGATTAGGGCCTACCCCAAAGACTTCATTTTGCCTTAATTACCTCTTTAAAGGACCTATGTTCAAATACATTCACATTCTGAGGGACTGGGGATTAGGACTTCAACATATGAATTTGGGGAAATACAATTCAGCTCATCACTGTGCTCTATATGAATCATGGTCATGTTCTACCATCAACATGTGGAGAGAGGCCTGGCTACAGGCAATTGATGTAAGATGCATATGTGTTTGTGTGTGTGTGTGAGTGTGTGTGTGTAGGGGGTTCCTGTCCTTGGTCACATACAGAATAGTGTCAGAGAGAGGCTCCAACCCCCCCACACAGTGCTCAATGACACTAGATGTGCAATAAATGAGTGTCAAATGGACCAGCCCACTTGCCCAGCCACAGACCATTTCCACTCTGCTCACCTCTCTGCATCCCCGCATCCTGACCTTCAGGACAGGACACTCACCATGCCAGCAGGAGGCTGTGCCACTCTGGAGGGCAGCTGCCCTTCCCTGGGTTCTGGCTGCCAACTGGCTGCCTCCCAGGTGTTTCGGCTCCTGCAGGTCCCACCCATTTGCCACTGCTGTTGGAGGAGCAGCCTGGCTTGGCAATGGTGAGAACGGATGGGATTCTTTTCAGAAGGTGTAGAAGCTGCATCCCCACCTGGTATTGAGGTAGGCTTTGAGGGACGTCTGAGTGCAGAGTTATGGAGACTGACTTGTTCTTCTGGGGATGGGATAATAATTGGATGAAGCCTAGCAGAGGCAAAGGCTGTGACCTCCTGTATCTGTATGTGAAGTTGCTGTGGACTCCTCCATTTGTACGCGAAGTTGCTGTGGCCTTCTCTGTCTGTTCGTGAAGTTGCTATGGCCTCCTCCATCTGTGGGTCCGCATGCACATTTTCTCTTTTCAGACACCAGGTTTGCTTTCTTGACCTGGAGCTGGCTGAGCAGGGAGGATTATGTACCTAGAAATGCCCTGGCCCAATGCAATCTCTTATTGTTGGAGTATAAATCAACTCTGATTTGGCCTCTTTCCTGAATGGGTTTAAACAAACAACCTCACAGTTCAATCCCAGTGTTTTTAACAGATGGCTCCAAACCAAAGCCTGTGGATGTGGCTCACCTGGGCGTCGTGCCGTCCATCCTGTGCTGCAGAGGCACAGGTCCCTGAGACGATGCTGTCACAACCTGGAAAGGCAGTGGGCTCAGAACCTCTCAGGGGAATGGGGGTATCTTCTGCAGAGGGGAGGGGGCTGCACGGAGTTGGGGATGCTGGTGAGAAACACTGGGTAGAGGGGGGTTTGCCCTGTGAGGCCTCGAAAGTCAAAGGTAGAGTCTGAAAACATCTGGAAATTTCACTGTAGCCATCACAGGGTCCTGGGCATGGAGGGAGTGGGGGACACAGGGACCCTGGCCCGACCTGCATCTCCTGACCCTTCCCTTTCACCTTTTCTAAGAGAAAGCATGCACGTCACCTGAAAAGCGTATGCAGGCCAAGCAGAGAGTCCGCTCCTGTCTCTGCCTGGGGAGGCCGGCATGAGCCTTGCAGACATGGAGGCATCATGGTTTACGTCTGTGTGCTGGAGCTGCAGGTGGAGGCAAGGGGGCTGGATTCACTGAGGGCTCTGGGTTCTCAGAAAACTGATGGCTCTTCATCGGGCAGCATGGAGCTACAAGTGGCCTTGCATACCAGCAGCCTGTGTGTCACACAGAGCGTTAAGTGTGACAGAGTATGCCCTTGAGCCTAGGATTGGACCTCTGCTCTGTCATTTACAAGCTCTGTGACCCTGGAAAGGTTGCTGGCCCTCTCTGTGCCCTGGAGTCCCTCTAATAGAGATGGGCTGATGGTAAAACGCTGCTCAGGAAGCAAGACGTGTGCGCTGAGCCATCGTTAGCACCGTGGTGAGACTGTCAGCGCTGAGAAACAGTCATGGGACATTTTTAAAAGGTGATTTACTTTCCTGAGAAAGAGGAAAACAAGAATGATCGATGCCCTAAAACAAAATAGCAATACTGTTGTTGGTGCTTACTACCATAAGGGCTTAAAGTGACGCTTTAGACACACGTGTGCATGTATGTTGGTGTGTTGCCTATGCATGTGCGTGCGTGCCCGTGTGGGCCCGGCAGGTGTAGCAAGCTGCCCTGTGTAAGATGTCCTATGAAACGGCCATGAGTGTTGGGATCTCCCTGGCCTAGGACATAGGAGGTGAATGGTTCTCAGGCTGCACTAACATTAATATCATCTGGGGACTTCAGGAAAACTCTGTGGCCCCAGCACCACCCACGACCACCCAAGTCAGAGTGGCCATCAGTTGAGCACTGAGCTTCCTGCTGTGCCCTGGTTTAGGGTGTATGGGAACACACCCATAGCTAAGGGCCTATGGAAACACAAAGGAGACCTGATGCTCTGGATAGTTGCATCAAAGTTAAAATTTGTTTGCATATAAGAAAATGTACTTGGGTGAATCTGCAAAATAAATCCTGCCTCACCTAGAAATATGGTTTTAAAGAGCATCATAGGCCAGGCGCGGTGGCTCACACCTATAATCCCAGCACTTTGGGAGGCCAAGGCGGGCAGATCACCTGAGGTCAAGAGTTTGAGACTAGCCTGGCCAACATGGTGAAACCCCGTCTCTACTAAAAATACAAAAATTAGCTGGGTATGGTGGTGGGCACCTGTAATCCCAGCTACTTGGGAGGCTGAGGCAGGAAAATCGCTTGAACCCGGTAGGCGGAGGTTGCAGTGAGCTGAGATCGTGCCATTGCATTTCAGCCTGGGGGACAAGAGTGAGACTTCGTCTCAAAAAAAGAAAAAAAAAAGGAACATCATATTTGAGTTCTCAATACACTTTTTCCAGGAGGTCAATTAAGCTGTTCCTACCTTAACTTAAAATGTATAATATTTTCTATACCAAAAAACTCTGAAATGTAACTCAGTGGACTAAAAATATATAGAATGCATTTATAGGCAAGGATTTTTCTAGATTATGAAGGGGCAGGTACAATGATCAGAGCTTGTTCTTAGATATGACTCAATAAATCTTGGTTAACTCCTGTGATGAAAAGAAGAGAAAAAGCCCCTTCAACACTGACATGGCAGCCTCAACGCGGGGTTTCCTGGGGAAACGGGTGCCTGGGACAGGGTAAAGGAGAACCAGCTTCATGGGAGAGTGACCCATGCAGCCTCACAGGCCTCCACATTCAGAAAGTGCCCCCCCGATGGGCTTAATGCTTAATCACAGTATTGGAATTCTTAATAATTTGAACAAGGACCTCACATTTTCATTTTGCATCAAGAGCTTCAAATTTCATAGTTGTTCCTGCAATGCAGTGTTGTGGTCTGAAGTCAAGGCCCTGGGCTACCACTTACCACCTCTGTGGTATCAGGTAAGTCATATAACCCCTCTGATCTGCAGTTTCTGTATCTTGAAGAGCAAATAAATGTGTTCCTGTCAGTTACATGTCAGTATAGTTATACATTGATTCATAGTTAAGGGACTTCCAGTTTCAGAGACTGCATGTAAAGAGTGGAAGTCATCCCTCCCATCCTTACAATAAGAAAGAGCAAAACAAACAGAAATACATGACTTTTTTGGATTTGTCAAGGAACTGAAGTTATAGGGAAAACTGCCACCCTAAAATTGGGAGGTGAGCACAGAGAATCAGCCAAGATCAACTACTCTGAGCAGAAGTTACTGGAGCCATAATGTGACAGGAGAACTTCTATGGAGATTCTGATGACCTTGTGGGACTCAGTGTGAATTAACATGAAATTGAGAAACTTCTGGGGGCATGGTCTTACTGGGGAGCCCAAATTTTCTTCAGTTTTACTTTCAGGAACCCCACCATGTTCTCATGGTGAAGATCCAAAAATGATCTCATGGCCATGGTGGGAATGTAATGCTTGTGAAGGACCCCCAGAGAGTGCCTCATAATTAAGGCCTACTCTGAAGAGAAAAAACATTGTCTTCATTTTATTTTATTAGACATTGTCCTAATGCTGAAATGGCATTCCTCCCATGTCAAGCCCACTATACTCATTACTCACCTACGGAAAAAAGTAGTTATACTACTGGAGAAAAGCTTGTGACTGTCACAGCCCTGAGACACAGGCCCATTACAAGACAGATTTAATCAGAATATTGTGAAACACTCTCCTTCCCCACCCCACTGACAGGTTCCTGCAGAAAACAGTGAAAGAGTTGCAAGGTGCAGACATTCTCTGAGTAGGAAGACTTAGGGAGACCTAAGGAAAAGAGGAGAGACAAAAAGCAAGAACAGTAGAGAAGTTTGAAGCCTCTGGCACCTGCAGCTACAGCAAGCACAAAACACAGTCAGACTCTACCTAGATTAACACACTGTCTCACACTAAATGCCTATTTCCTTATTTCCTCTTACAACATAACTGCCTTACAACAACAATATCAACAACAAATACAAGATGTGCCAAAAAAGCAAGAAAACCAAACCAAACAAAGCCTTAAGACAGCACCAGAACAAGACTGAGCTATGACTCAGAATGATCAGACACGGAATGTAACACACCTGTGATTAATGTGCTAAGGGCTCTGATGGAAAAAGTACGCAGCATGCAAAACAGATGGGTGATGTCAGAAGAAAGATGGAAACTCTACGAAAAATTAAATGGAAATGTTAGAAATAAAAAATACAATAACAAAAATAAAGAATGCCTTTGATGGGCTTACAATAGGCTGGGAATAGCTGAAGAAAAATTAGTGAGCTTGAAACTCTCCAAACTGAAATTCAAGAAGCGAAAAGAATTTTAAAATAGAACAGGATATTCAAAAACTACGGGGAAATGCCAAAAGATATAACATATATTTTGTTGAAAAACCAGAAGAGTAAAAAGAAAAAGGAGCATGAGAAACATTTGATGTAATAATGTCTGGAAACTTACCAAAATTAGTGATAAGCACCAAAGCATACTTCCAGGAAGCTCAGAGAACACCGAGCATGTTAAGTATTTTTTTAAAAAACATATCTAGGCATATTACACACAAACTGCAGAAAACCAAAGACAAGAAAATATTGAGAAAATCAGAGGAAATAATAACACCACTAGAGGAAAAAGGAAAAGAAATACAATACATATTTCATCAGAAACTATGCAAGGAAGACGAGAGTAGGGTGAAGTATTTAAAGTGTTGGGGGGAAAAATTCCACACCGATCTAGAATTTTGTATCTAGTGAAATTATCCATCCAAAGTGAAGAAGAAATAAAGACTTTCTCAGACAAACAAAACAAGTAGGGTTTTGCTTTTTTGCCAGCAGATCTTCTCTGCAAGAAATGTTATAAGAAAATCTTCAGAGAGAAGGACAATGCTGTAGGTCAGAAACTTGGATCTACATAAAGAAATGAGGAGCATCAGAGCAGTAATGAATGAAGGTAAAAAAAAATTTAATTTTCTTTTTCTTAGTTGATCCAAAAATAGTTGTTGGTTTAAAATAAAATAATAGTAGCAATGTATTGGGTGATTACAGCATATGAATAAGTGAGAGGAATGGCAGTGATGTTAGAGAAGATAGGAGGAAGAAATCGAGAATACATGGTTATAAGGCACCTGTACTGTGAGGTGGTATACTGTTATTTATTTATTTATTTATTTATTTATTTATTTATTTATTGAGACAGAGTCTCACTCTGTCACCCTGGCTGGAGTGCAGTGGCACGATCTTGGCTCACTGCAACCTTCGCCTCCCAGGTTTAAGGAATTCTTCTGCCTCAGCCTTCCGAGTAGCTGGGACTACAAGTGAGTGCCACCACACCCACCTAATTTTTTTTGTATTTTTAGTATAGACGGGGTTTCACCATATTGGCCAGGCTGGTCTTGAACTCCTGAGCTTGTGATCCGCTGACCTTGGCCTCCCAAAGTGCTGGGATTACAGGCGTGAACCACCGCGCCCGGCCTAGTATACTGTTATTTTAAGGTGGACTTAGATAGTTAAAAATGTATGTCAGTTGAAATACTAGGGTAGTCATTAAAAATATTATAAAGAAGTACAATTACATACTAAGAAAGGAGATGTAATGTGATCATATTAAATGCTCAGTTAAAACCAGCAAAGACCAAAAAATATAGGGAGAGAATAAAGGATGAATGTATAGAATAGAAAAGAGTTGCAAATGTGGTAGACATTAATTCAAATATATTAATAATCATTTTAAATATGAATTGTCTAAATGCACCAATTAAAGAACAGAGACTATCAGAATAGATTAAGAAATATGAAGGCCCAACTATATTTTTTCTGTAAGAAACCTACTTTAAATGTAATGATTCAGACAGGTTAAAAGTAAAGGATTAAGAAAGATATAACATGCTAAAGCTCAAAGGAAAACTGGCATAGCTGTGTTACTTCCAGGCAAAGCAGACATCAGAAGAAGGAAAAAAGGAAAATTATCAGGGATAAAGGGTGGTATTGTGTAATGACAAAAAGACCCATGTTCCAAGAAGACATAGCAACCCTAAAGGTCTACACACTTAACAAGAGAGCCTCAAAATAGGTAGGGCAGGAAGCTGGTAGAACTGCAAGAAGAAATAGACAAATCTACTATTATAATTAGAGATTTCAACACCTCTTTATTGGTAATTGATAGGTTAAACAGGCAGAAAATCATTAAGGATTAACTGAAGTTCAACTGAATAGCACCATCAATCAATTTGATCTAATTGATATTTAAGAAATTCTCCATCCAATAACTGTAGACTACACCTTCTTCTCAAGCTAGTGGGGACCATTCACCAAGACAGACCACATTATGAGCCATAAAACAAACGCTAACCAATTTAAAATGTCAGAAATCACACAAAGTGTGTCATTAGACTACAACGGAATTAAACTACGAATCAATATCAGAAAGACAGTCAGAAAACACCCAAATACTTGGAGATGAAATAATACATTTTAAAATAACACGTGGGTCAAAGAATACATCTCAAGTTAAATTAAAAAAAACATTTTAAACAGAAGTATACAAATATAGCATCACAATTTGTGACATACAAAGAAGACAGTGCTTAGAGGGAAATTTGTAGCAGTAAATGCATATATTAGAAAATAAACAAAACATCAATAATATAAGCTGCTTCTTCAGAAAAAGAGAAACAAGAACAACTTAAGCCTACAGCAAGCAGTAGAAAAATAATAAACATTAAAGCATATATCAATAACATTTAAAACAGGAAACTAATAGAGAAAATCAAAACCCAAAGCTGTTTCTTAGAAAAGATTAATAAAATGGATAGTCATCTTGCCAGGTTAACCAAGATAAATATAGAGAAGTCACAAATCACTTACATCAGAAATGAGAGAAGAGGCATCATTACTGATCTCATGGACATTAAAAGGATTATAGAAATATCACCACAACTCTATGCCTGGAAATTTGATAACTTGGATGAAATGACCATTCAATTCCTTGGAAGATACAAACTGTCAAAACTCACACAAGGATAATTTGATAATATAAATGGGCCTACATTTATAAAATAATTTGAATAGATAATTAATAACCTTCCAAAACTGTAAGCATTAGTCCAAGATTGGTTTACTGATGAATTCTACTAAACATTTAATGACAAAATCATACCAATTCTCCATAATTTCTCCCAGAAGCAGAAAGAACACTTCCCAACTCATTTTATATGGCCCGCATTATCCTAATGCCCAAACCAGATGAAGACATTGTAAGAAAGAAAAACTACAGGCCAACATCTCTTATGAACTTAAACGCAATAATCCTCAGGAAAATATTAGCAAATTGAATCCTATAATGTATAAACATAATTACACACTATGACCAAATGGGATTTATCCCAAATATGCAAGGCTCATTTCACATTTGAAAATGAGTTCATACAAGTCATCACATTAACAGGCTAAAGAATAGAAGTCATGCAATTACATCAACAGATGCAGAAGAAGTACTTGACAAAATGCAACATCCATTCATGATAAAAATCCTCAGCAAAGCAGGAATGGAGAGGGACTTCCTTTACCTGATAAAGAATGTCAACAAAAAAACTGCAACTGACATGATGCTCATTGGTGGGAAACTGAATTCTTTCCTGTTCAAATAAGGAATAAGGCAACCATGTTGCCTCTCACCACTTGTACTCAACAGCATACTGATCCCAACTAATGCAATAAGACAAGAAAAGGGAATAAAAATATACAGGTTGTGAAGAAAGAAAACTACCTTTGTAGATGACACAGTTGCCTATGTAGAAAATGCCAAAGAATGTACAAAAATCTCTTGGATGTGATAGACTAGTATAGCAAGGTTGCAGGATATAATGTTAATATACAAAAGTAAATTGCTTTCCTATATACCAATAATGAACAATTGGAATTTGAAACTTAAAAATTACTATTTAAAATAGCACCAAATAATAAAATACTTAGGTATAACAAAATATGAACAGGCACTATTTGTGGAAAACTACAGAACGGTGATAAAACTAAAGAAGATCGAAATACATTGAGAGATATTCTGTCTTCCTGGATTGGAAGACTCAGTATTGTATAGGTGTCCATGCTTCCCACTTTGATCCATAGAATCAATTCAAACCCAATCAAAATCTTGGCAAGCTCTTTTGTAGAAATCAACAAACTGAATCTAAAATTTATGTGGAGAAGCAAAAGACCCAGAACAGCCAACACAATGTTGAAGAAGAGCAAAGTCAGAGGACAACATTGCTTGACTTCAAGACTTGCTCTACAGCTAGAGTCATCATCCAGAAAGCGTGGTGTTGAAAATAGAATAGACAAATAGATCAATAGAACACAATAGAGGCCAGAAATAAACCCAAACAAATAAAGAAGACAAGACCATACAATGGAGGAAGGAGAGTCTCTTCAGGAAATGAAGCTGGAACAAATTAACTTGCACATGCTCAAAACTAATCTAGACACAGACATTCCACCTTCCACAAAATTAACCTAACATATCACAGGTCTAAATGTAAAATCTGTACTTGATTCAGGGCCTGGACTTGAATAGTCACTCAACTAATATGTAAGAATGTGACTTTAAATGCAAATACATTTCATTCTATATTTGAAAATTCCACTGAGAATCTCCCCTTGTAATATTCCCATAGGTTTAAGAATCTACAATGGATAAAAAGTTTACTTTACGTATCATTGCCTCTTTGTGCAAACAGAACTTGCTGGAACCCCAGAGCGGGGATGAAGAATTTGGTAGACAGGCACATTACTGGATCCCATCTCTATAGACCCTGACATTATACATCTGGGGTGGACCAGAGAAAGTGCATTTTCACCCAGTAACAAGCAAGTCTCATAGCCAGTCATGTCTGAAAAGCACACAACATGGAGTGGGTAGAGTCAGGAACAAAAGCACTTAAAGCTGGAAATGAAAACCCAAAGCAGAAAGAAGTCATCTTTGTAGAGGCATCAAAATCAAAGTGTATGGATGTGAAATAGAAAATAAAAGCCATAAGTAAATTCTCAAAACTCATCACTTTAAGGTAAAATGATGGGTCTCAGGTACGTTTGTGTTTTAATTATCACGTGGACAAAGTAACAGAGTAACATAGCAGTTTCCATATATTATCCTAAACCCTAAAACTTTTTCTATAAAGTGTTATTCCGAACCTTCAATGCATTAAATATTCATTAAACGCCTTGGGCACTGTACTCGCTGTGAGCAGGGGATTAAAAAAATCAACTCGAATTGACTGACTCAATTCCTACCATAGTAATTCTATATTGTTATATATTGTTACAACATGCATTGAATTAAACATATAAGCACAGGCCTTGGTTTGGAATTTCCCAGGCCTGCTGTTTAGAGACTCAGGGAATCCTGGGCTCCTTCCTGACTTTCAGACAAAGGACAGTGTTTGCTATTGAATCAGGACGGATGGCCCTCTGGGTCCAAGTGAGTAACAGTGGACTCTGGCATGAGCCACTGTGCATGGTCTCTCCATGCCTGGACTCGATCTGTACGCAGTCGGCTAGTCCAGGCCTATTGGGAAAGAACCACTGGGATGCTATTCATACTGAATATAGATCTCTCTTGTCTTTCAATATGCACTTATCGATTAGGAGTTGGAGGAAGTTTCCTCCACTCAGACTGCATGGAGCTGGCTGAAATCTCTCTCTGTCTCTGCCTCTCTTGGAAACCTGTGATCCAGTTGCTGGAACTACCTGGATGAGACCAAGCCATGCAGGAAGCTTCTCCTCATGCTCTGACCAGAATTCTCAATGGTGCCTGGATTTCCAAATGCTCTGGTTGCACTCAAGGGTGTGAGGCCTGGGGCTTTTGGTTTCAAGTGATAGAAACACAATGCAAAGTAAAAATAAACACGAAGCATAAAGACGGCACACATTGGCATTTTCGACAGAACAGTCTGGTGAGAGGGCTCAGCCTGGGCTGACCTCATGGCTTCTGGCTGCTGCCTCTCCTACCTTGTGCTCAGGCCCCCACCTCTGTGAGGGCAGCTCCAAGCTATGTGGTCCCTGGTCCCTGCAGTCTCAGACCAAGGCCTCCTTCTCCCTTGGGGGTGGCAGCCTTATGCCAGGGTCCTGCCTGGGGCCCATGCTCACCCATGCCCAGGCTCGTGTGAGTATGTGTAGTGCGTGCTGGGGGGGCGGGGTGGGGTTCAGATGGTCATGTGATGGGCAGACCCATGAGAAGAGGAGGACACTTCTAGGAGGAGGGTGGAGTCCGTTAGAATATCAGAGAGGACCCTGATCCTCTGTGGGGGGTTTCTGAGTTAAAAACACACGGGGTGATGGGTTGAGGGCCTGGAAGAGAAGACCTGAGCTATAATCCAGGTGCAGTGGTCCTGGCAGAATATGGCTGCTACCCCTCCACCATGGTGCAGCCAGCCCAGAACGCCTCCCCGTGCCTCCTACCGGGCTCATCTGTCACTCATCTGCCTCTGCTTTTCCACAGCCTATCTTTGGGTTCCTGAAATGTAAGGTATGGGAAGGGAGGGGAGAGATGGGTGGGACAGCATCCTTCAGGGCCAGGGCCAGGGCCAGGGCCAGGGTCCTGAAGCCCAAGGACGTGGTGTCTCCCTTGGAAAGCCCTGCTGCTGAGGGGAGAGGGACACAGCTTACTCTCCCAGGATCAGCCAGAGGGGAAGAGACAGGATGACCTCTGGCACGTCGCAGCCCCCTGACCACAGGGGCTGTGGGGGCCAGGGAGTACAGAGAGCATCCTGCAGGAGGTGATACCTTTAGGATGGACAGGCTGGAGTCATCTCTGTGAAAAAAGGGAGGAACTCCTCTGGCAAGCTAAAGGCACAGATGCAAAGGCAGAGAACAGAGACCCGAGGATGCTAGAGAGAACCCTAGAGCTCAGTGCCAGCCTCCAAGGCTCTGGCTGGAGAGTTTTGCCTAAACACACAAAGGCCCAGGGTGCACTGGGGCAGAGTGGAGAGACTGAAGTGACCACTTCTCATGCCCACTGCAAAGGGGACCAACCTGCACCAGGGACCTAAGTTTCTTGCCCGTGGCTACTGAGTGGGAATAGCTGACTGGGATGCTCACAGGCAGACCCTCATGCTCTCCACTCCAGGTTATTCAGAGCCCTTTCACATTCACCAACAGGCTACTTTCTTCTGCTCTCAAAAAATTCCACCACATAACAAGTGCGGTGGGGATGTGAGGGCACAGTCACTTGTCTTCAACATGCAACCCAGTTAATGGAGTTGGTGTGGAAGGAAATCTTTGTGGGATGTCAGTGGGTGTTTAGCTTTTGGAATTTTCCTTTCTTACATTCTAGAAAGAAAACATAGCAGCTGCTGTTGTCCCAGAACTGGTCTGACCCCAATGCTAGGACAAACTGTCCACTGCTGACAGCTGAGCTCTGTTGCTCCCCATCCAACATGACACAAACAATATTGAAGAATGTCCATGGCAAGCAAGCTCACTGTGCCACCCACACCCCATGAACCAGTGGAAGTTGCTGCTGTATCACACAGCTGGATCCTCCCTCTGGCCCACCCTCCCCAGATATGATTGATTGAGACCCCCAGTCACAGAATTGGTCCCTTTTCTGACAGCACCCAATGCAGATCCACCTCCTTAGACCTGAAGCCCCAGCTAGGCCCCCATCCTTCCCCACGTGCTTCGTCATTCTGTGTTGGGGGCCCTCCTGGTTCTCCATAGTGTGAGTTTTCCCTTACAGCAACAAGGGAGGAAGCAACTTGCTCCCTGCTGTGTGTTCAGGGGTCTTTGTCCAGTTGGACATCAACATCCTGCCAACATTGGCATGAACAGGCCCGAGAAGGTAGCTGGGCCATTGTGCCTCCTTCTCAGGGGCATGTGCAAAGCTGGGGGTAGAAATAGTGCAATGACAAGTTTGCTTCTGATTCAGTTTGCAAGTGTGGGCAGTTTCATGGGCTGCTGTGTGGTGGCCAGAGATGGGGGAGAGAAGGAGATTATGAAGGTGAGAGGAGTATGGAGGGGGCAGAGGAGAGGAAGGGAGAAGGAGATATGAGAAAGAGAAAGAAAGGAGAGAGAAACCAAGGGAGCCAAAGGGTTAGAGAGACATTATTGAGCAGGGAGGAAGAAATGGGGGGAAGAGAGAGAGAGGAAGAGAGGAAGAGTAGGAGACAGGAGGAGAGAAAGGCAAGATAGGAGACAGAGAAGGAGAGAGAGAGGGAGAGAAGAAGGAAAGGAGACAGAGAGGGACTGATATGGTTTGGCTCTGTGTCCCCACCTAAATCTCATCTCAAATGTGTCCAGGGAGGCACCTGGTGGGAGGTGACTGGATCATGGGGGCAGTTTCTCCCATGCTGTTCTTATGATAGTGAGTGAGTTCTCATGAGGTCTGATGGGTTTATAAGGCAGTTTTCCTGTTCTTGCTTGCTCTCTCTCTTACCTGCCACCATGTAGGACATGCCTCTTCCCCTTCCACCATGACCGTAAGTTTCCTGAGGCCTCACCAGACATGTGGAACTGTGAGTCAATTAAACCTCTTTTCTTTATAATACCCAGTCTCAGGTATGTCTTTATAGCAGTGTGAGAATGGATTAATACAGGGAGAGAGAGGGAGGGGGAGAGAGAGGGAGGGAGAGAGAGAGAGGGAGGGGGAGAGAGAGGGAGGGGGAGAGAGAGGGAGGGGGAGAGAGAGGGAGGGGGAGAGAGAGGGAGGGGGAGAGAGAGAGAGGGGGAGAGAGAGGGAGGGGGAGAGAGAGGGAGGGGGAGAGAGAGAGAGAAAGAGGGGGAGAGAGGGAGAGAGAGAGAGAGAAGGAGGGAAAGTGGGAAGGAGGGAGAGAATATTTTTCTAACCCTGGGGAAGGGCCTATGGGTCATCCGCAGGAGCAGTAGTATTGTGATTATACCTGTTGGCTTAGACTGAGGTCATGTCAGCAAAAACTGAAGAACAAGGTGTCTTTCCAACGTCTCTGCTTTTCCTAAGATTATTGTCATCTTTGTAACACCTTCGGTGTTGGAGAGAGGCCTTGCAATGGCTGAACTTTAACTTGATTACATTTCATGCCCACCTGGGTTTGCAATTGCACAAGGCCGTTGCACCCTGGACCTGTCCCCTGCACAGTGGCTTTAATAGGTGATTGAACTGGTGGGCCAAGCTGCCATCTTTCAAAAAAAAAAAAAAATTGTGGCTTTCTTTTGCAGAGTGAGAAAGATTGTACTCCTTTCCCCACTTGTTGAAACTGTTTTGACCCAGTCATTAAGTCTTATAGTTGATCCATCTTCTCAGCAAACATTTTCTACGGGCAGAAAATGTTTGTGTTGCTAGGAGCGCAGCTAGTTGTGCTACTCTTAATACAAAAGGAAAGCAGTCCTTCAATGTGTGTCAATAAACCTTTCTTGTCAACGAGAGACTTGCCTTTTTAAAAAGAGGCACACAGCTGGCTGTCACACCCCGCACCCTTGGAAAGCTGCACATTCATAAATAAAGCCTGAAATAGAATTGGAGCATGAACTCCTTTACCCAAGGTGTGAAACACTTAGTGTTAAACAAATCCTCTTTCTCGCAACTGTTACCATAAACAATGTGATTAAATAGAGCAAGGGATATAGAAAGAGCTGGGGAGGAACCCAGGAAGGAGCTTGAAGATTTGGTGAATCCAGCACACTTGGTGCTTCTGCTCAGCCTCCTCCGCAGATGGTCCTTCTCAAATTCTGCAGGCGGGTTTTCTTCTCTTCGCTTGAACTCAGAAAAACACAATGACAAACACAGTTTGATAGGTGCATTTACTAGGGTCAAATGTAAGCTTCCTTTGCCTTTAGTGTGAAAATGAGAATGGACACAGGAGACTGGGGATGTCATGGTGACTCTGGGAGGTGTCGGACGAGCCCCCTGAGGTCTGTCTGTGGGCAACGCCTCCCAAAGTGTCATAAACCCGGAAAGGCTTCAATCACAGATATTCCATGACACTGGCAAAAGGAACATTCTACTTAGTTCTATGCAGAATTAAATCATATGCTTATTATTTGCGGGTGGGGGCAGGAAAGAGAGAGAGAGAAGAAAAGAGAGAGCAGAGAGAGAGAGGCCAGCTGACATTCAAAGGCCTGGCTTAAATTAGAATTTCCTTACTTTCCCATAAATAACTTTTATGCAAGATGTGTTCTTTTTAATAGCAAAGGAATAAATTTACACTTCGGCTTTTTAACACATTGATTCTCTCTGAAAATTCATCTCCTTAAAAGAGTAAGAATGTGTATAATATTAAAGCATGTGATGAAAAGGTGTTTAGAATTGCCATTTTAATTCCAAAGGCTTGCCAGAACATCTTGCCTGCACTCACCCTCGCAAATAGCCTAAAAAGTCATGCTCTCCTCACTGCCATCGTCCCTCCTGCCACCAGCTGCCAGGCCCATTGAGAATTTTATTACATGCCAAGTCAGGAAGCATAATTTGCTAACATTCAGTTCTTTTGTGTTGCATCCAAGTTTCACATTAAGCAGTTTGCACCTCAGAAAGCATTATTGAGTTTACGTTTCTGGAAGTATTTTTCATTATTCATATTTAAATTATGTTCCTTTGAGGAGGAGATAAAGGCTGGAAATTTTTATCAAGAGACGCATATTGTAGGTAGTGAAAAACCTTAGCCTTTTATTATTGAAGGTATAAAACGTTCCAACAGGAGCTAAAATACTTAAAGAGCATAAGGTTTGAGTATAATGTTTAATGATGGAAGTGGTTGGCGGGAGGGGTTACATGTCTTGAAGAGATGATTTTAAGGCACTTATTGAAGCAGGCTGGACAGAGGGTTGGCGCTGAGTCTACAGGTCTATGAGCCTGTCTGCTCTGAGCCGTTGGATGCAACCCTCCTTGGGTGTGCTTCAGTGTGGCACAGGGCGTGTCACCTGCCCAGCACAGACCCAAACCCAGGGCTCATTGAGGGAATTATGATTTTCTTCCCTGAAAATAATTCCCCTGGGGAAAGAAACATAACACCAGGCAATGGCACCATTAATAACAATGTATTTTTAGTTTGGATAGTATTTAATTTTAAAAAAGTATAATTTTTCTTTTTTTAGTCTCATAAAAGTGGTAACCCAGAAGAAACTCTTTTGAAAAGAGAACTTTCAAAAGTAGTTGCACATGTATCTGTGTAATAGAATGATTTATATTCCTTTGGGTATATAAATCATTCCCAGTAATGGGATTGCTGGGTCAGATGGTATTTCTGGTTCCAGATCTATGAGGAATCGCCACACCGAGTGTGTTCATTGCAGCACTATTCACAATAGAAAAGATATGGAACAACGCAAATGCCCATCAATGATAGACTAGATAAAGAAAATGTGGTACATAGACACCATGGAATACTACACAGCCATGAAAAGGAACAAGATCATGTCCTTTGTAGGGACATGAGTGGAGCTGGAAACCATTATCCTCAGAAAACTAACAGAGAAACAGAAAACCAAACGCCATATGTTCTCACTCGTAAGTGGGAGCTGAACAATGAGAACACATGGACACAGAGAGTGGAACAATGCACACTGAGGCCTGTTGTGGGGGAACGGGGAGGGAGAGCATCAGGATAAATAGCTAATGCATGTGAGGCATAATACCTAGGGGATGGGTTGATAGGTGTAGCAAAGTGCCATGGCACATGTTTGCCTATGTAACAAACCCGCACGTCCTGCACATGTACTCCAGAACTTAAAAATTAAAATAAAAAAAACCCAACATACAAATATCCAGCCCTAAGAACTAAAAACAAGCTATGTGCAAAAAAAAAAAAAAAAAAAAAAAAAAAAAAAAAAAAAAGTAGCTGCGCTTGTTACCGCAAAAATAAATGGAAGTCATAGTGTGAAAAACCCATGCCTGTGAGCTTCACGGAGAAGTCGAGACGCTTGAGGTTGTGATTCTGGAATCCCTCCTGGAACTGCCATGTGGGCAGTAGCTGCGGATGTGCCTGAGTGTTGCCTAGGTACCTGGCGTGTTGTTAGAAGGCAGGGACCCTCACACCTGGGTGTGCACAGAAATCATCCGAGATTTTATGAAAATGCACCTTCTGAGTCTATTGTCTGGGGCCAGCTGAGGGGCTGCGTTCCTAACAAGCTCCCAGGTAAGGCAGAATGTTCTGGGGCTTTATTTACACATAGCCTTGCTCATGAAACTCATTCGACTCCTTGAGGAGGGTACTGTTATTACTCTTACTTTTGAAATGTAGAAACCGAGGCTGAGCATGGTAAAGGAGCCCCCTGCAGTAGGTTGAATGGTGGCCACCACCCACCCCCCAAATTGTAAGTTCATCCAGAGCCTGTGGAAGTGAATTTTTAAAGCAAACTAAATATGGCCTGAGAAGGACTCTGTACTTCTATATTTGAGTGCAGCCTCACTTAATGGGTAGAGGAGTTGGAAGCCCTAACTTAGGAGTAGGCACCGGTAACAGTGGCTGAATCTTGGCCAGTCCCAGCAGCCATACTTCAACCTCTCATAGACTGCTGAGTGTTGAACTGTGTTCCAGGCAAACACCAACCTGTAACCCGTCCAAGTGTTTCTGTACCTCAGTGCTGATTACTGTACATCATTTCCCTTTTCTGTCTATAAATTTGTTCTGACCACGAGGCACCCCTGGAGTCTCCCTGAATCTGCTGAGATTCTGGGGGCTGCCTGATTCACGAATGTTCATTGCTCCATTAAACTCCTTTAAATGTAATTCGGCTGACGTTTTTATTTTAACAGACTTTATTTGGAAAAAAGGTCTTTATAGATGTAATTAGGGATCTCGAGGTGAAATCTTCGGGGATGATCCATGTGGACCCCAAATCCAATGACTGTGTCCTTAGAAGGGAAGACGGAGGCAGAGCCTGGGCGGATGCAGCCACACAAGCTGTGGACGCCAGGGACTGGCAGCAGCCAACGGAGGCTCTGAGAGGCAAAGAGGAGCCTCCCCGAGGGCCTGCATGTCCCTGTGGCGGAGGGAGGTGGCCTGGCTGGCACCTTGAGTTTGGACTTCATTATTCTAAGCTCTGCCCGGTTTGTGGTCACTACTGGAGTGACTCAGGAAGGTACCAGGTTTGCAAATAATGGGGCAGGATGTGACTGTCTTCGTGCCAGCCTGGGCTCTAACTGCACTCCCTCCTGTCTAGGTGGGACTCCCCCCGACTCTTCCTGGGTCCAGTCAGGAGTCCTCTGGCCTCTCATGAGCCTGTGTCCTCACCGTCGCCTCTGCGGGCAGGTCTCTGTGCTGCCACACTCTCCTTTTGCAGAGCAGCCTGGGCTGCCAGCCTCCTCTAGGCCCTCTCGCCGTGGGGTCTGCGTGTCCCTGTAGCTGGGTCGGGGCAGGAAAGGGGTGGCTTATCTTTGCTCTTCAAAGGACGTTGTTGCCTCCTGTGATTTCTGAGTTCCTAGTCTTCTTTCTAAAAGGCTGCTCCTCAGATTTGACTCATTGGGAAGATCAGATCATTTGAAATGGGGAAAAACACCAGAGATGTTTCACTGATCCACACCTTATCACCCAGCTCCGATCAGTTCCGACAAGGTGCTGTGGCTGCGTGGGTGGGGGCTCCCTGCGAGTGGCCGTGTGGGTGGGGGGCTCCCTGCGAGTGGCCGTGTGGGTGGGGGGCTCCCTGCGAGTGGCCGCGTGGGCGGGGGCTCCTGCGAGTGGCCACGTGGGTGGGGGGCTCCCTGCGAGTGGCCGCGTGGGCGGGGGCTCCTGCCAGTGGCCGTGTGGGAGGCGGGCTCCTGCGAGTGGCCGCGTGCTCCTGCGAGTGGCCGCGTGGGTGGGGGGCTCCTGCGAGTGGCCGCGTGGGTGGGGGCTCCTGCGAGTGGCCGCGTGGGTGGGGGGCTCCCTGCGAGTGGCCGCGTGGGCGGAGGCTCCTGCCAGTGGCCGTGTGGGAGGCGGGCTCCTGCGAGTGGCTGCGTGGGTGGGGGCTCCTGCGAGTGGCCGCGTGGGTGGGGGGCTCCTGCGAGTGGCCGTGTGGGCGGGGGGCTCCCTGCAAGTGGTTGTGAGGGTGGGGGCTCCTGCGAGTGGCCGTGTGGGTGGGGGCTTCTGCGAGTGGCTGCGTGGGTGGGGGTTCCTGCGATTTTCCACGGAGGAAGCTCAATGTGCCCCTTCCTTGTCAGAAGCTGCTGCTGGCTCTAGGCTGCAAAGTCCCCTCAAACATCACAGCTTCGAACTAGGAGCCTGCAAGGGGCCCCAGCGTTTAGGGGCACCAAGCCTCTGCCTTCTGGCTGGTGAAGGGCTCCTTCCGTGGGTAAATACCAGTACCAGTGCCTGTAACGCCTTCAGCGGGCTCTCAGGAAGAGCCCTGTGATTTTGAAAGTCTTGATTTTGTAGCCCCATCTATGCTGCAAAGCTTTGACAACATCACACTGACTGATGCCAACAGCTCTGCCAAGTGCCCTGCAATTCCCGTCTCATCTTCATTACAGTGACCCCGTGTGCTGTGTCATAATGCACATTCCACAGATGGACAAACTGAGGCTCGGGGAGGCTACCTCACCTGTCAAAGTATTTCACAGCTGGCAAGGGGAGGCATCAGGATTTAAACCTGTGTGGCTGGCCACTGAGCTCATGGTCTGACCCCACACAAGGAAAGGTTTGTTGATATGTGTGATGTCTGCACGACTGTCTCCAGGGCTGGAGCAGCCTCCGTGGCCTTTGATGATAACTTTTTCATGCTGCAGGGCTTGATCCCAACAGGTGCACAGTGAATGTTTACCAGTGACAATTCAGTAAGTGGCAGGTGAAAAATAGTTTTATTAGTGACATAAAATAGACCAGACGAGTGCCTGTCAGAGTGGCTTAGACCAGAGCTACTCAGAGATTCAGTGACCAACTGACCACCTCCATCAGACCCGGGAGCTGGTTGACAAGGCCCCACCCATACTTGCTGGAGCTGTGGGACTTTACTGGGGACGGAGCCCAGATGTCTGTATTTAGCACAGTCCCCAGCAACATTGAGGCCACTGCGTCATTCTCATTGTTGTCCTCTGGAGGCAGAGGGTGACCCTGGCCTCCATGAGGGAAAGGATTGCACCTCACGCAATGGCAAAATCAAAGCCAGGGACGAGAGGCACCCAGATTTCCAGAAGATGATGAACCACCCTGGGGTGGAAGCTGACATATCTTTGAAATAGCATTTAGCCTCAGAGTGCAAATAAATTGCAAATTGATCTGGGGGTGGGGTGTGCTAGCAGGGGCTCCTTGAAGAAGCTGCAAGCAGTTCTAGGTCAGCCTCCTTGGACCACTTTTCCTGCGAGGAGGCTACAGTGGCAGATAAATAACCCCTCCAAGGTAATAGATCAAAAGCCCTTAAGTGCAGATAAAAGGGTGAAATGCTTCTGAAATTCCTTGTTATGAGATTTGGCGGGGAGATGAGAGGAGTATGAATAGCACAAAGTTAAATTTTTTAAAAAACAGAAACGGAGAGGAAAAGAAAAAGAAAGAAAGAAAAGAATGAAAGAAAGAAAGAAGGAAAGAAAGAAAGAAAGAAAGAAAGAAAGAAAGAAAGAAAGAAAGAAAGAAAGAAGGGAAATGGTGTAGTGTTGACCAGTGAATAACACAGCAACCTCTGAGAACAGGTGTCCCTGTATTATGGGATATTTTCTTTGAATTTTTAACAAAGCCAGGAACAACATATAGGTAAAACATGGGTGAATTTGACATCACAGGGGCAGAGGACATGAAATTCTATGGAATGTGCCTGTGAAATTTCCCACTTTAGAGATGGAAACCTGGCACGTCCTGAGGTGTCCCCATGGTGAAGGCAGACTGGGGCCTGTGCCTAGGTCATGGGGAATGGTAAGGAATGCAGAGAGCGGTGCCAAACAGAAATCGGGCCTTGCCGCTTGGCAGTGGCCATCGGTTACGTCGTCTTCACAGCCCTTCGTCACTGCTCATCACCCACCTACCTTGTGGCCCAATATGCAACAACAGGAGGACCTGTCCGATGAATTTTCAAAGCCCTGGGTTTTAACCTTCCCTCTTGTGGGCCTTGACTGCTGACCCTGGAATGCAGATTCCCTGGATTCCTGGGTCTGCCACGTGGGCTTTCAGCTGGCATCTTTGCTGGTCTCAGGGAATCACACGAAGTGGGATCTTTGTGTGGATTTTGGCCACGGGCTCTTAAAATTTGGTCTGATATGAGAATCAAAAAAGCATTCATCAAACCACCATTCTGTTAAAAGACAGACTCTTCCATGCTGCTAGGAGAGTCCCAGATCTTGTTGCCTTAAATCTCCTTCCTGACTTCCCACTGCCTGGACTAACTCCAGGGGACCCAGAGCTGCATAGGCGATTCCTCAAAAGCAGTCTCTGAGAAGGAGAGAAGCTGGGTGTCCATGCTCCTCTGAGCAAACTGTTTTGCCCCGACTGGCCTTTTGTCCAAGTTATTTGTCTGCCTGTTTCCCTGTCTATAAATGGGGATGCTAATAGAGCCTCAGAGCATTGTTTTGAGAATTGAGACCAATCAAGCTAAGGTTAAAGAGTAATACATGGATCTAGGGTCTAAGTCTGATAGCAGAAGGGATTTTCTGGTGTGTGTGTGTTTCTAATAATTTAGACCCAGATTCCTTGTCTACCATGCCCCAGACAGATCTGAGAATTGGGTCATCAGTTGCATGCAAAAATGTTGAATTTTAGTTTTATTAAAAAATGAGTTGACTTTGATATCGTCTGACAAAAGATTGTACAAATGAATAAAGCAGTTTAAAATGATTAAAAATTGTATATTTTTGAAAACCATTGTAAGATGACTGTGAGGTTCGAAAGGGCAGCTTCCTTTCATTCCTCTCATCCTTCCTCTCTTTCTCCTTTCTCCCCTGGACATTTAAACCAAAGATTTTCCATGGAACCTGGGGAAGGACGGCGTGGCCTGGGCATGATCGTCTTGCATTGCAGTGTTGGCCATTGTGCCCCTGAGTTAGGATGAGAAGGGACGTCATGGTGGCTTCCCTGCTCCTTGTGCCTGGATGTACAGAGAAGGAATCTGTATTTTGTTTTTAGAGGAACTATAAGCTCATGCTAATTTTATGTCATGTTTTTCCCCGGTGTATCGTTCTCTGGAGCCTCCAAATAGACACTGGAAATTGGACAAAGGGGGAACCCATCTGTGGTCTGTCCATCAGAGCAGACTCAAGTCAAGGAGCGTAGCCATAAAACTGGCCTGTGAGTCTTTGCAAAACACACACAACAAAAAGGCACCTGCCTTCCATCTAAAGAGGAGCTGCCTAGACACCGCACAGAGCCAGCCATTCCTCCACATGCCACCATGTGTCTTTTTAATTTAATTTTTTTTTGAGACAGAGTCTTTGTCTGTCGCCCAGGCTGGAGTGCAGTGGTGCAATCTCGGCTCACGGCAACCTCCACCCACCGGGTTCAAGCGATTTTCCTGCCTCAGCCTTCCGAGTAGCTAGGATTGCAGGTGGCCACCACTATGCCCGACTAATTTTTGTATTTTTAATAGAGACGTGTTTCACCATGTTGGCTAGGCAGGTCTTGAACTCCTGACCTCAGGTGATCCACCTACCTCGGCCTCCCAAAGTGCTAGGATTACAGGCAGGAACCACCGTGCCCAGCTGTCTTTTTAATTTTAAACTTTGCTTCTCTAGAAGACACTCCTCATTAAGAACAAACACAGTGTTGAAAATAAGCCAGTCTCTTCGCCTGAAGGGAGGCATCACTGTTGTGTTGGGAGATGGATCTACAAGTGTTTTCATCACAGTGCTGCTTACAATGGAGATAAAGAGAAAACAACTTGTGGGTCCAACAAAGTGGATTGGGTGTGTGAGGGGCACCCTGACTCCATGGTTCCAAAATAGTATTTGCAACTCACTTTTGCTTAACTAAAAGTACTCATCTATCTGAGAGACGAGGAGAAGCACACAAGATGTTAATAATGATAATCTTCGGGGTCACATTTCATGCTTGTCTTTTCACTTTCAGTTTTGAGGTAATTACAGATTCACATGCAGTTCTAGGAAATATTGCAGAGAGATCCCATGTGCCCAACACCCAATTTCCTCAAAGGTAACATCTTGCAAAATTATAGTACAATATCACACCAGGATTCAGATGTTGCCAGGTTTTCATGCACTCGTGTGCGTGCACGCATACATGTGTGTGCGTGTGTGTGCATGCATGTGTGTGCACGTGCTTGTTTGCATGTGTGTGTGCGTGGGTGCATGGGTGTGCGTGGGTGCGTGGGTGTGCCTGCACATGTGTGTACTTGTGTGCGTTTGCATGCATGTGTGTGCATGTGTGTGCGTGTGTGTACATGTACATGTATGCGTGTGTGTGCACGTGATTGTGCGTGTGTACATGTGTGGGTATGTGTGCACGTGTGTGCATCTATGTGTGCATGAGTATGTATGCATGTGTGCATGTGTGTGCATGTGTGCATGTATGTATGCATGTGTGTGCATGTGTATGTGCATGCATGTGTTACTTCTATGGAGTTTTATCATATGTGTAGGTTCCTTTGACCACACATGGTCAAGACACAGGACAGTCCCACAAGGATCTCTTTGCTGCTCTTTTAGGGCCACATCCATCTCCCTCCCTCTTCCATAATCCTGAGTAACCACTAACCTGTTCTGCATCTCTCATTTTGTCACTTCCAGAATGCTGTACATATGTATAGAATCATACAGTATGGAACCTTTTCGGATTGACATTTTTCACTCAGCTGAATTCTTTCCCAGTCATTGCCCATATTTGAAACATTCTCCTTTTCATTGCTGTGTAGTATTCCACAGCCTGCATCCAGGTACTCACAGTTTGTTTAGTCATTTACGCATCAAAGGGTATTTGGGTTATTTTCAGTTTGGGACCATTATGACTTTAAAGCTGCTTTGGAAATGTGTGGGTGGATATTTGGGTAAATGTTGTTTTCATTTCTCTGGGATAAACGCCTGAGAGTGAATCTGTTGTGTCCTGGGGTAAGTGTTTACTGTTGTAGGAAATGACAAACTGTTTTCTGTAGTGGTTGTGCTATTTGACATTCCCACCGGCTATGTATAAGTGATTCAGCTTTTCCACATCCTCAACAACATTTGATGTTATTACATTTAAAAAAACTTAGCCTTTCTGATACATATGTAGTAATGCCTGGTGGTTTGCCTTTGTGGTTCCCGAATGGCTAATGATGCTGAACGTTGTTTCCGATGCTCACTGGCCATCTGAATATCCCCCTCAGTGAAATGTCCCTTTATGCCTTTTGGCTATTTTCTAACAGATTTTTTGTTTTATGCTTGAGCTTTGAGTTATTTGTATATTCTAGATTCGAGTCCTTTGTTAGATATATGGTTTGCAAACATTTCCTCCCAGTCTATAGCTTGTCTTTTCATCCTCTTAACAGGGTCTTCCTGAAAGCAAAAGTTTTACGTTTTGTTGAGGTCCAATTTATCATTTTCTGAGTGTTGCTCTTGGTGTCAAGTCTAAAAATTTTCCACTGAGCATAGGTCCTAAAGATTTTCTCCTTTTTTTTTCTTTTCTAAAAGTCTTAGAGTTTGATGTTTTTAAGTTAATGGTCCATTTTGAGTTGATTTTTGTATAAGGTATGAGGTTTAGGTTAAGGCTCACTTTTGCATACGGAATCAATCGCCCTAGCACCATTTGTTAAAAAGGCTGTCCTTCCTCCATTGAATAATTTTTGTACCTTTTTCAAAACCCCTCGGGCATATTTGGGTGGATCTGTTTCTAACTTCTCTATTCTGTTCCATTGATCTATGTCTATCGCTCCTCCAGAACCACACCGTCTTAATTGCTATGG
The DNA here is from genome assembly GCF_000001405.40 of Homo sapiens. NCBI lineage: Eukaryota > Metazoa > Chordata > Mammalia > Primates > Hominidae > Homo > Homo sapiens. Next base: position 61,017,997 of record NC_000020.11, on the reverse strand, counting down.
CTTTATAATAAGTCTTAACATTGGGTAGCACGATTCCTCCCATTTTAATCCTCTTTTTCGAGATTGTTTTAGCTATTCTAGGTTCTGCATTTCATGTTTTTTGAATGATGAAAAGCTTTTGCTAGCATGAAAAAGGAGTTACCAAAAATCAAAGAAAACTTCTATGTCCCCCCAAAAAGTCATCAGCATGTAGTGGTATTGGTGGGAAAATGAGGGAAATTCTTAGACGTCAGAAATTATGAGAGTAAGTTAATCCTAAGAGGTAAGTGAGCTAGCGCTACTCTCTAGAGCCAGGATGGGAGGGGTCCCTGAAGGAGGAAACGTGGGCTACTCTTGGGCCCAGAAAAACGGAGATATAAATGAGGAAATGCTGGCCTAAAGTCAGGACCCCGGCGGACAGCATCCTCAGCGAGGAAACTAGATGAATAAAGACTCATGTCACCAGGCCAGGTGTGGTGGCTCACACCTGTAATCTCAGTACTTCGGGAGGCTGAGGCAGGCGGATCATTTGAGGCCAGAAGTTCAAGACCAGCCTTGCCAACATGGTGAAACCCCATCTCTGCTAAAAATACAAAAATTAGCCAGGCGTGGTGGCATGCCCCAGTAATCCCAGCTACTTGGGAGGCTGAGGCATGAGAATCGCTTGAACACGAGAGGCAGAGGCTGCAGTGACCTGAGATTGAGCGCACCACTGCACTCCAGGCTGGGCGACAGAGTGAGACTGTCTCAAAACAACAACAACAAAACTCATTTGACTCACTTCACCAAAGGAGGTGCCGTGGAGTTGCTCGTCCTGGTCTTGGCGCTGGACGGAGGGAAGTTCCGGGGAAGAGGAGCCCTGAGAGTCCCAACACTAAATTCACTATTAGGTACCTTTGGGGCTCAGCTGTATTGGCGTGGGGTAATTGTACTATTTTCTTATTAACCCATCAATTTATATTTCTAGTTCTTTCTTCTGTTTGATTTTTAATATTGTTAATCATTATATTTTCTCTGTCAATCTTAAGGTCTTTTCATAGAACAAAGTGGTTTTTTTGTAAATTTTATCTTTCTTGAAATCCTAAACCATGGAAAAATGCCTAGAAAAGTATCCGTTACTGAAAACTGAATTAAAAAAATGCAAAGCAAGACTGCAGTAAAATACTCTTTCTCACCCTTGTCCCCAGCTGACAGTGATCAGTGACTGATTATTTTGTCCAGGCTTTGCAGCAAGTGGTTCTCTCAAGCAATCCTGGTGGGAATGGAAACTGGAGCAACCCCTTTGAAAACAGCTTTGCAGTGCTTGGTAAAGTAGAAGCACCTACCTGTGACTCAGTGATCCCTTCCCAGGGGAATGCTTAGAGCACACCATGCTTGTGTGCAGCAGAAGACAGGCACCCACGTGGATAACCACACTGCTTGTAATAGCAAGATACAGGGATGACCCAAATATTCAGCAGCAAGATTAATGGATGCACTGTGGGGTCCACAGTATAAATGAATGGACCACAGCTGCACCCAGCAGCACGGACGCCTGATTGGAGGAGACCGGTGAATGCAATGAGTCAGTTATAGAAGAGACGGACAGTATGGTTTTTTGAAATAGAAATTTCATAACACATGATGCTCCATAAACATTGAGGAGCCCATCTAGACATAGTAAAATGAAAAAGTCAAAGAAGATAACGAAAAAATATACATTTTAGACTAGTGGTTCCTTCTGGGAGGAGGCTTGGAAGAGGGAAGGGCACACAGGGAGTTTCCAACAACGCTCACTTCCTTATGATGGGTGGGTGCTCATGGGTGTCTTATGATGATTACTGTTTAGGTGTTGCCTATATAGTACACATAACCTTAAACACAAGGAGGGAATAAGTCTCCTCCCTCTTCAGTGGAAAAGCTGGGGGCTAGTGAGCCAGGAATAGTTTTGAAGGACTCTGTGAGTTTGCCATGAGGTCCTTGGGCCATGTAGGGTTGCAACTGAGACATATTATCACTGGGGAAGTCTTTGCCATTCTCCTGAAACTCAGACTTAACTGGGCACTGGCATTTTAAGTTGCTTAGCCTGGCGAACCTGGCTCCAAGGTGGTTTGATTGAACCCTGCCAAGCAGATGCCAGATTCAGGAGGCGACTTTTCTGCTTTCTCCAAAGCCTCATGTTCTCACAAAGTACAAGTGACCACCCTCAAGACCGCAGGCTGGGGTATAAATAACTTATGACATAAAAGAAATTTGGGCTGACATGCGATCAGACCAAGTGAGCTGTCTTTGCAGCTGTCGAGTGGCCAATAAGCAATTTCCTTCCACTGATATTTTTCTTACAACACATCTTTGAGGGGCAGCGTCTGCCTGCAACCTGTGGGCAGAGAGGTTGGTGATAAAGGCTGTGGGGTTCTGACTAGGGGACTGCTGGAATTGTAAAGTATTTAAAAGGCAGGTGCCATTCAAGGTTATCCCTCTGATAAGGAACATAGCTCTTCGAAGACACACATCACTAATTTCTCATAAAAATGATTCTGCCAGCAGGGGATTTTTGCATTCCTGCTGGGCTGGCCCAGAAGAGGCTTTGGGACATCTAGCATTTTGAAGCCACCATGAGGGCAGGACAGCCAGCCTGCACAGAGCTGGGAAGTGATGGCTGAGGCTGCAGAGAAACCCAGTTTTGGATGCTAGCTTTCTACTGTGGCTACATGTTGCCGGTCTCCTGAGCAATCCCTTCTTTGGAAGACTTCACTTCTCTCCCTTGCAAGGACACTTCTAGTAGAGAGAACACTGCTCACGGGGCCTCTGGGGATCTGCTTTAAAGGTTCCGCCAGTTGGTGAGCGCATGTTCACACATGGGAGGCATTGGTGTGAATAGGCACATTCTAGGGAGGTGCTGCCAGACCTACACTGCCACCTAATATTTGTAAGGAAACGATTAACCCCTGGCTGCTAAGCCCTTGATAGAACTTGCACTTGCTTGATTTTCAAAGGCTGGCGAGAAAGCACGTCAGACAGAATGTTCTTCCTGGAGAATGCAGCTGGTGCCCGAGTGTTTTAAGTGCAAGGAAATGGCTTCAGCCTGTGATTTGAAAGCTGGCTGGCTCTGTTTTCAGAGCACACCTATACTAATGAGTCAGTCATTGCCTCAGAAAACAAAAGCCAAGATGGAAAAAGATGGTATTGTCAACATGAGGACTATCATTTGTCAAAGAGAATTATTGTCCAGTGGTTCTTACCGGGGGTGGTTCTTGCTCCATGTAAAGGCATTTGGAATTGGCTCCAGGGCGGCTCAGAGATGCTAATGCTATGCCCAGGCTGGAGGCAGGTGACAGCAGAGAATGCTAAGCATCCTGCAACGCCCACAGAGAGAATCATCCCACCCCAAGTACTCCTAGGGCAGCGGTTACAAAGCCCTGAGAGCAGAGGAGGCTCATGAACATGTTCTGCTGCTTTGTTGAGCCTCTAGTTCAGTCCCAGTTGGCTCTCAGAGGAAAAGCTTTTGCCTTGATCACGGACTGCTTGTAAATTAAAATACATTTGGGTTTTTGTGTGTATTCTTCATTCATTGATCCTATATTTTACAATAGGAAGGCAGTGTCTCTGGAGAAGGCAAAAATTTTCATTTAAATAGCAGCAGGAAAGAAACTCAGGTGCAAATGGGAAGGAAGTTCATTAATGAGACTTTCCTGCTAGGCTAATAGGAGAGAAGGAGGAACCAAAAGCTCTGGACTTCGGCTACCACTTCCTGGCCCTTCAGCCCAGCAAATTTGAAAACGTCTTCTCTCTCAATGAATTAGTTTGCCACCTGTCCTGCCGAGCATGGAAACTGTTAAAGGCAAATGAGACAACGTATGTGAAACATCTCGAACAACTCACAGAGGTATCCAACTGCAAAGTAAGGGCAGCAGTGCTAACATATCTCAAAGCAGAGACCGTCAGTATCTCCTAATCAAAGAGATGTTGGAAGGTGATATGGTTTGGCTCTGTGTCCCCACCCAAATCTCATGTCAAATTGTAATCTCCATGTGTTGGGGAGGGGCTTGGTGGGAGGTGATTGAATCATGGGAGCAGACTTCCCCCTTACTGTTCTGGTGATAGAGTTCTCAAAAGAGCTAGTTGGTTGAAAGCATGTAGCGATTATTTGCTCTCTCTTTCCTGCTCCACCATGGTAAGACATACTTGCTTTCCCTTTGTCTTCTGCCATAATTGTAAGTTTCCTGAGGCCTTCCAGCCATGCTTCCTGTACAGCTGGTGGAACTGTGAGTCAATTAAACCACTTTTCTTCATAAATTACCCAGTCTCAGGTAGTTCTTTATAGCAGTGTGAGAACAGACATACAGAGGGGGAAGGACAAAAATTTAACCCTAATAGGTGAAATTCTGGATCTATTTAGTAATTAATAATACTAATACTAATCATAATGACAGTAATAGCAAAAATCACCATTAAGTACCTGCTATGTGTGATACATGATAAGTTCTTGTTTTGCTTCTTACAAAGGTAACGCCATTGAGTCCCTACAAAAATCCATGGAAGTTAGAATTAATGTCTTCATTTTAAGATGAGGAAACTGAGGCTCAGAGAGGTTAATTTGCTTTCCCAAGGTCACCCAAATGTGAAGTGTCAAAGCAAGAATTCAGGCTCCTAATCTCACATTCCACAGCTGTGCTCCCCCTGAGCCCACCGAGAAGAGCCCAAAAGTGTCCTGTGCCCACTTGACGGGGCTCTCAGGGGCCGTAACCTAGCTTTCATTTTTACATAGTCAATCTTCAGTGTATCAGAGCAAAAAAAAAAAAAAAAAAAAAAAAAAAAAAAAAAAAAAAAAAAAAAAAACATGGTGGGAAAGGGACAACACTCCATCATCCTCCAAAATCTCATTTGGTTTGGCTCCTGGGCTCAAGCGAACTGGGTGAGAGCCCTAGGCAGATGAAAAATTCTGGTTTCCTGTGATGCCTGCCTATGGAGATGAGCATCTGTCTCCAGCTCAGCAGCAGGTGCAGAGACATTTATTTTCACAGTAGAAGAAACCACTTTGTGGCTGATATTTAGACATAGTAGAAATGGTTGAGCATTTGTACTCCTCAGCAGTAGGTCATAGCATTGAAACAAATGCTTAGATGTCTCTTTTCAAGTGGAAAAAAAAAACCAAAACATTCGGAGTATGTGTGTTTTTCTTTTCTCATATTAGTGATATGGGAGCAGAGGCTATCAAAATCCCTAGTTTACAGATTTTAAAAACTCCAAAATCTTAAGCTGAGAGTTAAATAACTAACTTGACTAGTGTATTAGTAAAGGTTCTGAAGAGAAACAGAGCCAATAGAAGATATAAAAATGTAGATGTATATGTTTTATAAATATAAGCTCCTAGATTTACAGTGAAGTTGTATCCCAATAAACTCATTTAAGTTGGAAATATTGTAAGTCCAAAATGCATTTAATATACCTAATCTACCGAATATCATAACTTGGCTTAGCCCACCTTAAACATGCTTGGAATATTTAGATTAGCCTACAGCTTGGCAAAACCATCTAACACACAGCCTACTTTATAATAAAGTGTCTAATATCTCATGTAATTTATTGAATACTGAAAGTAAAAAAACAGAAGGTTTGTATAGGTACTCAAAGTATGGTTTCTACTGAATGTCTGTCACTTTCACACCATTGTAAAATTGAAAAATCTGAAGTTGAACCATGGTAAGTGGCGGACTGTTTATAAATATGAAGAGATTTATTATGAGGAATTGACTCACATGATTATGGAGGCTGGGAAATCCCAAGAACTGGAGGCCTGGAGAAATGCGATGTAAGTTCTAGTCGGAATCCAGAGACCTGAGAACCAGGAGCACTAATGCTGGAAATCCCAGCCCAAGAGCAGGAGAAGAAGACTAATGTCCTGGCTAAGCAGCCAGGCAGAGTGGGCGAATTCTCCCTTCTTCTGCTTCTTTGTTCCACTCAGACCTTCAGTAGCTTGCAGGACGCTCACCCTTACTGAGGAGGGTAATCTACTTTACTCACTCTGCTGATTCAAATGCAAACTTCCTCTGCACACACTCACAGACATACCCCAAAATAGTGTGCAATCAATTATCTGGGCACCCCGTGGCCTGGTCAAGTCAACACATGAAATTAACCATCACAAGTTGCATTCTGGATTAGACTAAATTCATGTCAAGATTATTTATTCAACAAATATGTTTTGAGTGCCTCATATGTGCTTGGCATTGAGCCAAGCCCTGGCGAAATAAAGATGAGCCCATGGGCATCCTCCTTATAATCTTGGCTTTCAGTTGACTGGAGTCAATTGCTAATCAGACAGTCACACAAATGATGAAACACTGGACACTTCCCCTCTAAGATCAGGGACAAATCCAGTGTGCCTTCTTACCACTTTCATCCAACATTGTACCAAATGTCTCAACCAGTGCAATGAGGCAGGAAAGAGGCATACTGGGCACACAGAGAGAAAACAAAGGAGTACAAGTGTTGCTATTAGCAGCTGACACAGGTGTGTACATCAAAAACAGTATGGAGTCTACAAAAACAACTGCTAGAAATAAAAAATGAATTTAACAAGAACCCAGAATACAAGGTCAATGTGGTAGCCTGTTCTAACATTTTATCAGTGTCGTTCCTCCCTATATGTCTGTGAATTACCCGATTGAGAGATGAAGTCTATTGCTCTTAACCTCCTGAATCTGGGCTGGTCGTAGTGATTTGCTTTACCAATAAAATGAGGTGGAAATGACATCCTAGGACTACTAAATCTAGGTCATAAGAGACACATTCTTTCTAGGGATCAGGCACCATGTGAAACGTCCAAGTACTCCAAGGCCACCATACTGTGAGAAGCCCATGCCATATGGAAAGACATTATAGGACGAGGTGCTATAGAGAGAGAGAGGAGAAGGGGTGCCAAGGAGCCCCCAAACCCCAGGCATGGGAGTGAGGAAGTCTGTACTGACACTCTGTGGATCAAAGATGAACCACCCCAGTCATCCCCTCCTGAAATGCGAGGGTTGTTTTAAGCCACTAGGTTTTGGGCAATAGGGCTCAGTCACATGTGGTAGTGGCTACCATGCTGGATAGCATCATCCTAAAAGAAAATATTGGAGAATATCTTTAGGCCATCGAGTAGGCAAAGAGTCTTTTAAATAGAACACAAAAAGCATTGGCCATAAAAGATAAAGTTGAATTTTTTCATTTGATAAAATGAAAAAAATTGCTTATTAAGTGGTCCTGTTAAGAGAACAAATAGGCAAATCACAAACAGGGAGGAAACATTCAGTGCATATGTCTCACAAAGGACTCCTGTTCAGACTACACAAAGGACTCTTACAAATCAACAATGAAGTGAAAAACAACCCCATAGAAACAGGCAAAACACTTTAACAGACACTTCATGGAAGAAGCTAAATAAATGGTTAATAAGCACAGAAAAAGGTGCTCATTAGTCATTAGGAAAATGTAAATTAAAATCACAATGAGGGCCTTGGAGCGGTGGCTCATGCCTGTAATCCCAGAACTTTGGGAAGCTGAGGCTGGCAGATCACTTAAGCTCAGGAGTTTGAGACTAGTCTGCGCAACATAGTAAGACCCTGTCTCTATAAAAAATAATAATAATAAAAAAATTAACCAAGCATGGTGGCATTTGCCTGTAGTCCCAGCCACTCAGGAGGCTGAGGTGGGAGGATCACTTGAGCCTAAGAGGTTGAGGCTGCAGTGAGTTCTAATCACACCACTACACACGAGCCTGGGCTACAGAGCAAGACCCTGTCTCAAAAAAACCCAAACACACAATGAGATACCATTTCACATTCACATTAGAGGATGAGGTGCTATAGAGAGAGAGAGGAGAAAGGGTGCCAAGGAGCCCCCAAGCCCCAGGCGTGGGAGTGAGGAAGTCTGTACTGACACTCTGTGGATCAAAGATGAACCACCCCAGTCAGCCCCTCCTGAAATGCAGGGTTGTTTTAAGCCACCAGGTTTTGGGCAATAGGTTAATGTAAAAAGACCGACAAGACGAATTGTTGGAGTGGATGTGGAGTGAATGGAAGTCTCATACGTGGCTGGTACAAGGAAGTGCAAACTCGTACAGCCTTTTAAAGAATCCCAGGAGAGTTTCTTGTCAAGTTAAAGTTACATTTACCTTATGACCCAGCAATTCCACTTTCAGGTATTTATCCAAGAAGAATGAAAACATATGCCCATACAATGACTTCTACAACAATTTCCATAGCTGCCTTATTTGTAATAGACAAGAGCTAGAAATGACTGGATGCTCCTCAGTTGGAGAATTAAGGCATGGATTCTGTGTAGTACTCACAATATCAAGAATCTACTTAATGGCAGGGCATGGTGGCTCACACCTATAATCCTAGCACTTTGGGAGGCGGAGGTGGGCAGATCACCTGAGGTCAGGGGTTCGAGATCAGCATGGCCAACATGGAGAAACCCTGTCTCTACTAAAAATACAAAAATTAGCCGGGTGTGGTGGTGGGTGCCTGTAATCCCAGCTACTCGGGAGGCTGAGGCGGGAGAATCGCTTGAACCTGAGAGGCGGAGGTTGCAGTGAGTCGGGATTGTGCCACTGCACTCTAGCCTGGGTGACAGAGTGAGACTCCATCTCAAAAAAAAAAAATCTACTTACTGATGCATGCAGCAACATGGAAGAAGCTGGAGACAAGAGAATGGATGCTGTGTGAGTCTGTTACTATGAAATTTAAGAATAGATGAAGCTGATCTGTGGTGAAACAAATCAGAATAGTAGTTGCTTCTAAGGGTGAGGTTTCCCTCTAAAAGATATGAGGGAAGTTCCTGGGTGATGGGAGTAGTCTATGGCTTGTTTGGGATGGTGGCTTTATGAGTGTAGACAGTTGTCAAACGTATTGAACTGAATACTTGAGATCTGCACACGTTAAAGCATGTAAATTACCCCTCAATTAAAACAGTCGTTACCCAGAAGAGTGTGCACTTGCCATGTTGTGAAGAGAAGGGATATGCTCTGTGACACCTGCAGCAGAGGGATCAGTTCCTCCCGGTTCCTAGCAAAGGATGTCCATTTGGAGATGTGGGGGAAGATTAGAGACTGACTCAAGGAAGTGGGCTGGGGTGCTGGGGGCTGAGGACATCCAGGCAGTGGGAACAGCAGAGGGAAATGAAGTCCTGGGGAGCGCTGGAGTGCTTGGGGTGTGAAAGGACGGCAACCTAGCTGACTGACCTGGTAGGGTTTGGGGGAAGATTCTGTTCTGAAGAGTAGGGGAAGAGGGGAAGCCATAGAGGGATGTGCTCAGATTCGTATTTTTTAAAGGTCATCCTGGCTGCTGAGAGGAGACCAGCACTGGGAGGGTGGAGAGAAGATGGAGAGTCAATCGATGTGAAGGGGGTTCCCACAGCTGCCCACGTGAGAGATGATGGTCAGGTGCCTGGACGCTGCTGGAGAGAGAGGCAGAAGTGGATGCACATAGGCAGGCGTGGGAGGCAAGGTGATTATGGATTCACTCTGGATTTGCAATGGCGAGTGAGGGAGGGAGGGAATCGGGATGGGTTTTGGGTTTCTGGCTTGTAGGAAGAACAGTGATGCCTTTCACAGAGAGCAGAAACGTGTATAAAGCACCAGGTTAGCAAGGAAAACAGGAGAACTAAATACTTACAGAGGAGAGTGGAAGGACAATTCGTAGAATGTGTGGTCACTGAGTTTAACTTGAGAAAAGAATGCCTGCATTGTCTACAAATTTTTAGAGCTATTATTAGTTCTATCTTATTGAGGAGTTGACGTTTTGCCAAAAAGTGCACTCTTCTACATAAATATATGTGTGTGTGTGTATATACATGTACATATATACACACACACACATATTTATGTAAAAGATATATATTAAATGTATTCATATGTAGTTGTAAAAAATAATGCAGACATATCCTATGAACCCTCCTCCGAGGTTCCTCCAGTGGTAACATCTTGCATAACTAGCACAAGATCACAACCAGGGTATCAATATAGATACACCCCGCTAATCTTATTCAGATTGCCACAGATTCAGGTTTCATTTGTATTCACTCGTGTCTGTGTGTGTTTGTGTGTGTGAGTGTGTGTGTATTTCATGCAGTTTTATTCTTTATATCTTTAAATGTTCTATCTCTATTGGAATTTTAGTTTTTTCCTGAAAATTTTACAAATTAAGGGAAAGAGAATTGACCGAGGAATTGAACACTCATATAAACTTTCTCATTAAATTAATGATGTGGTGCCCATCCATTGATCCCTTATAAAACTTGAAATTTCTTAATTGAAATGGGGACCAGGAAGAAGAAAAATAAAAATCCACCATAAAAGCTAATGGTATGAGTGGATTTCTAACACCTAAATTATTCAGAGCTATAATTAACGGAAATGTGGAACTATGAACCTTTCCTCTTGGATGTACAGCCACCATGGAAATGGATTCTCTTCCCCATAAGGATTAGTGCCCAAATTTATTGTCCTAGTGATGTCAGCAAAGTCATTAATATCAGCAGTGCCAGGGAACTGGGAGGGATCAAGGGACCTTCAGTCCTGTTACTTCAAGGACAATCATTTTCTCTGTGGATAAATCTAAACATGCAATATGTTTTCCCTGGAGAAAAATTAAATAATGATGATAATGATGACAGTGATGATGATGATAATTGTCTATAATACTCTTTACTGAGCTATGATTGTCTACCATACTCTTTACTATGCCCTAAGTGTTTTTCATAAGGAAACTCATAAAATCAAACAATCTTACAGAGCAGCTAGTTTTATGCCTGTGTTACAACGGAAGAAACTGAGGCATAGTGTTCTTAACCCATTCCCCCAATTCCCTGGTTAGTAAGTGATAATCCCACATTTCAAACTGAGGGTCACGGAACACTCAAGTCCTAGTTCTTAATTACGACAGCATTTGCCTCTATTCTGTTACTGTTATCCACATATGAATTAATTTGAGATTATATGACCACTGAGCATATTTGTAATTCATGTTAAAATGATGTCCTGTATCTGGAGGTAGGTATGTTCATTTATCTGCATAAAACTTCCACAAAAAATTAAAAGCTAGAGGTTTTTCTTTCTCTCACACTGATATTCAATCCAGAAATATATTGGGTTATGTATCCAACTGGCCACTTTTTCCATGTTCCCTGCTCCTGCAACAGCCTCCTCTTCCTCTGGAGTGTCGCTTGAGTCTTCTAATGGGTCTCCTGACATCCACCCTTGTCTCTTGTGTTCCACGGCTGCCGGAGGACTCCTCCTAAAGGGGAAGTCAAGTCTTGTCACCCTTGAACTCAGAATCCCCCAGTGGCTCCCTCCTCGTGTGGAGTCAGGATTAGAATCCTGGCAGCTGAGAGCAAGGCCCTGGAGCCTTCAGCCTTGCTGTGTCTCCTGCTTCTGCCCTACCTGCTTCCTGGCACCCTTGGCTGCTGGTTGGCATCCACACAGGTAGGACCCCCATGTGGGCATTTGAGTTTCCTCTTCCCTCCACTCAGAATACACAGTCCAATGTTCCCTCCTGGCTGGCCCCTTCACTTGCTTCAGGTTTCTCCTTTAATATCATCTCCTCAAAGGGTTCCTTCTCCCTCATCCTTAAATCTACCCAGCTCTGCCTCCCCCCACAGCTGGTCCCTCTTCATCTGCTCACTGCACCCGTCTTTGTAGCCCTCAGACGTATCCAGCTCAGGATGTATGCATTTGTCTGGAAACTTGGCGAGGGTGTGAACCTCTGTCTACTTTGGTCCTGGCTTAAACTGTGGCATGGAGAACAATGCCGATCGTAAAGTAGATGCTCAGTATATATTGTGTTCTAGGTGCATGGATTCACCAGGGACAAAGCAGATAAAACTAAGCCAAAAAAAAAAAAAAAATAACTGGTGGAGGTTTTCTGCCAATAACCCAGGGACCTCATTTCTGGGAAACTTTGTGGCTGTTGGGTACCTCTGACACACTCTCTGTCCTCCGCCGCACACAGATCTGAAGGTACACATGCTCTTACACCTCGGGGAAGTTCTTGGGCCCTGCCTCCTTTCTCTTTAACCCTTGCTAAACCCTAATGGTTCTGCTTCTCCCCAGTCTCCTGGGATCTCTGCAGTTGCTCACTCCCTCCAATGGAGCTCCAGTCTTCCGTCCTGTTGGCCCTTGTCTCTTTGTCTCCCCAGATGCTGTCATCAACATTGTCCTGCCCTGATTTTGGTCTCTGTCCTGCTGTGGACACCTGTCCAAGCCTGGATCCTGGGAGCCACACCCACCAGGAGAAGATGGGTGTAACTGGGTAAAATTTGGGGAGTTCAGGAAGTTGACTTAGATCGCCCCTGATGGCCGAAAGTTTTCTCACCAATTTAGGAGGAAGCTCTCTACCAAGATGGTTCCCAAATCCTGCATCTCAGTCTGGTTCCTTGGGCTCCTGTGTCTTCTGGAGAGGATTCTGGACACTTTTTCTTCTACTCTATGATGCTGCAGAGTCAAGTGACCTCAACAGGACGCTTACCTGGAGCAAGCTCTGTTATCCATAATGGCTCCAGGGTTGGGTGGAGGGGAGCCAGGCCCACCCAGCGGCTGAAGTTTGTGTGGATTCAAAGAGAACCTGGAGGGCAGCTCAGAAAAGGAGTGCAAAGCAGCACATTTTCTTTTTTTGACCCAGGTCATCAATGTTGTCAGGTGCTTTCATTGAGGAGGAAGGAGTTTAATTAGAAAGGGCATCCACAGTTAGTACAATTTATCTACCAGAATCTAGGAACAAGTATTTACGGAGCACTGAGACAAGATACGGGATTTGGGGACAATTTTGGTAGACAGCATTTCTTCTGATTTGGTGAGAAAAGTTTAGGCCATCAGGGAAATGTAATTCAACCTCTGGAACTCTCCATATTATACCCATCCACTCCCATCCCCCTCTCCTTCTGTTTCACAGACTCAGTGTGTGGCGTGTGTGTTTGAGCCTCCAGCCATCTCTCCTTTCTTCTCCTCATTTGAATATCTTCAAAGTGTGGTCTGTGGTCTATAGACACTGGGTCCAGGTCTTCACCTCCCAATCTACTCTAACATAGTTCAGACAACTATTATTATCTGTAGCAGTAGTAGAGTAATGGTACTAGTAGTAATAGTAGGCATAGTTATTGCAGTGATAATAACTAGTATCGTTTCTCTCTTTGATTTTCATGAACTCACAGGACACAGAAACGTTCCTTTTTTTTTCTTTTTTCAATTTTTAATAGAGATTGGGCCTCACTATATCACCCTGCTCCTCTTGCCCCCGCCTGCCACAATTTTGCTACCCTTTGCTTTAGCGGGGAATGTGGTACTCCAGTCTATTCTCCACGATCACTGTCTCCATGTCGTCCTGAATGAGGCTGTTTATACTCGGAATAGCCTTCCAACCCTAGCCCATGCCTGGCCCCTCTCCTTCAGCCTCCAAGATTTGATTCAAGCCTCCCCTCATTTTCCCATTATCCATTGCTGTGCAGCAAACAACTCCATGTCTCAGCAGCCGTAGACAACACCTATCATTGATTCTGCTCATAATCTGCTGTTAGGGAAGGACTTGGAGAGGACAGGCACCTCATCTCTGCTTCTCACAGTATCAGCTGAGGAGGCTTGCCTGGGCTGAAGGACGCAATTCCAAGACCAGTCCACATACATCCCAGGCAAGCAGTGCTGCTGCTTGTTCTTCACGCCTGGGTCCCCACAGGGTGACGTGGGTTTCCTCCCAGCATGACAGCTGCGTCCATGAGGGGACCTCTCAAGAGAAGTGGGTGGAAGCAGCATCGCCTTCTATGGCCTCTGGAATCACATGGACCATTTCCTCCTCTGTCACTTGTCTGCCCACATTCAAAAGGAGGAATGCAGGCCCACCCACTGCTGAGAGAAGCCTTAAATACACCTGTAACAAGGGCAGATCTTGTTGCAGCCATCTTTGGAAAATAGCCTCTGCCATACGGGTCGAGGAAGCCTCACCCACCTCCATAGATAGGTGACTGTACCTTCTTAGGGATCTCAGGGGTCCCAGTTCTCATTTGTGCATACACACACCACGTGCCAATCAATCATCTCTGCAGGTCACTTTCTCATGCCTGTCTGACCACACCCTCAGACTAAACCAGGTTATTTCAGGCTTTACAAATCATCAGTTAATCCTTCAGTCCCAGCTCAGTACCTGACCGATAGGTAAACTAAATGTTTTTGATCAGTGAATGAATATGTTAAAGAATGAGTGAAGATCATCTTCTTTATTTTTTTTCTTTTTAATTGTTGGACTCTGAGCAAGGTGCCATAAGTTGATGGACAGTTTTCTCATCCACAGAACAGAGATATAATGTGTGAATCATAGTGTGGTGAAGAATCAATGTTGAGACCTGTGAAAAGGCACTTGGAACAGAGAAGGAATTCAATGGATGTGAGTTGGAATTGAGAAGTGGCAGAAGGAGGGTTTGACTGATGGCAGAGATGCTTGAAGATGAGCCTGAAAGGAGGTGTAAGGGGCTTCCTGAGGGAGAGACCAGGTATTGCACCACAACTTAAGGAAAGAAGAGAAATTCTTCAAAACATTATCACCAAGAAAGAGCAGAAGCTACTTTATGTAAGATCTGAATAGGCTTCCCAAAATTAGTTCCCCAATTAGCTCAATGAATTCCAAGGTAAGCATGTAATTCATTAAAAATAAATATTACCATGGAGATGCAATAATTACAATAATTTTAGAGCATTTATCCTACATAAATGCTTACTAACTATATGCATTTTACCATTGTGTAGTAAATTCCAAAGCATTCTAATGAGCAAGCCATTTAATGTTGATATTCTTGTTAACAGCGGCGAACTGTATGGGTCTGCAGTAACTTGGTTCCTGCCTCCTCAAAGGAAATAATTCAACTGAGGGGCATAAGGCAGAGTTAGAGTTTGAGGCAAGTTTTTGGAAGGAGTGAAAGTTTATTAAAAAGCTTTAGGGCAGGAATGAAAGGAAGTAAAGTACACTTGGAAGAGGACCAAGCAGGTGACTTAAAAGATCAAGTGCATGGTTTGACTTTTGACTTGGGGTCTTATACATCGGCTTCTGGGGTCTGCGTTTCTTCTCCTCTGATTCCTCCCTTGGGTGGACTGTCCATATGTGCAGTGACCGGCCAGCACTTAGGAGGGGCCACACGCACAGGGTGTTTCCTGAAGTGGTGCACATGCTTACTTGAGGCATTTTTCCCTTACCAGTCCAGTGTTCCTAGAGGAAGGCCATATACCAGTTAAACTCTGCCATTTTTGCCTTTTAGTGCTCCTGCTTCAGCCCAACTGGCTCCTGAGAGCTTACCTGGAACCAGCTTCAGGTATTTTCTGCCTATTGGGAGACTGCCATTCCCTGGCACCAGCTGCAACCAATTATTATTTTAGAGAAACAGTTTAACAACCACCTGACCATCACCTGATAGTTGGGGACATTCCTGGGGTTATTGGGAGTGCTTTTCCTCCCCTGTTCATGTAGGCCTAACTGCCTACGCTATCATTCTGATGATTTTCATCCTAAGCAAAACCTAGCAGACAGAGTTGGGAAACACTGTGAGAGCTTGGGAATATCTGAGACAATGGTCCAGCTGATTCTTTCATTTCAGCTCAAGTCAGAAGTTCTCAGGGATACACGAGGGCAAAATTACCTCCATAGAAACACTAGAAGTTATGTTCATTTCTTACTCTCAATTTTTTTATGAGTGTTTAGTGGAGTTTTACAGCAGTCATGTGAACTGGGATGACGTCATCGCTCCAATGGTTAACGGCATGCATACTTGCATTTTCTTGACTTTTAACATTTTCTCAGCTTTTCTAAAATGATACATACTGATATACATCACCCACATAAGCAGAAGCTCTTTGAGGTTACTCTTACTAATTAAAAGAGTGAAAATGGTCCCGAGACCACAAGGTTTGGCAAACGTAACCTAAGTTGTGTCCCCCACCTTCATGTCGAGATAAGACTCTTCTCCCATGAAAGTGCTACAGCAGATCTGGGGCTCCTTGGCTGAATTTATGAGACTATGGGAAGAGACAGATGGAGACAGAGATAGAAAGACAGAAATGAGAGAGGGAGATAAGGGAGACATAGAGGTGTGTGTGTGAGAGAGATGCTATTATGGGGTCTGAACTAGTTAGACCCCATGAAGAACTACTCTGAAGCTTAATAGCATAAACCAATTGCCTCAGAGGCTTAAAACTTGTTAATTCTTTGTTCTGAGGCCTGGCAATTTGGGCTGAGCATCGTTGGGTATTTCACGTGGTCTCAGCTGGGCTCTCTCTTTCCTCTGTGGTCCACAGTGATTGCTTAGGCAGCCCTGTTTCTGGGGGTTTGCTGGTATTGGCCACATAACCTCAGTCCTCCTCCACATGGTCTTTTCTCCTCCAGCATGCCAGCCTGAGCCTGCCCTTGCAGCGAACGCAGGGTTCCCAGAGTACAAATAATGTGTCTCAAGGCTTCTTGAGACTTCAGACTGAAACCATTGTGGCCCTAGCAAGTTGCAAGTCCAGTCCACATTCAAAGGCTGAGGACAGAGATTCCACCGCCTCATAGAAGGAGGTGCCGAGTCGCATTGGAAGGGGTGTCATTACAGCATGATGTGGAGCCATTGGTGCAAACAGGCTACATCTGGATGTCCTTCTCTGCCATGGTCACACTACCCCTCCTTTGTTCTCTCAGGATCCCAGCTGGTTCTCCTTCCAAAGGTGCAAAGCACAGATCATGCCACTGACAACCATTTTACCGTGGTGCAATTGTTGTAGGCAAAAACATCAGACTTCATCTTCAGAATGTGAACTCTGTACTTCTCATTTAAGTGGTGTTATTTGGAAGAAGCAGATGTTTGGAATTATAACCTATTTTTCTCTGAATCAAGGACAATTCAGGTTCCTTAGATTGCTCTCTAAAACGTGCATTGTGTTGACAGAATTTGGACATTAACCAGAAATGTGCACCTGTATGTTCTGATTCATGTTATTTGACAGGAAAGTCCACAGAGTCTCATGAGCATTAAGTTTGACTCACATCAGTCATTTCCAATTATTTTTTATAAATAAATGCAGCTGTAAAAGTGCTTAGGGAGATGTGAAACCTCTGAGTAGTAAGATAGCTCTTTTCTCAGTGACACAGTGGGGATTTAAAGGGAATGTCAATGTAGCAGGCCCCATTTGTTCTAAACTAGATGGCAAAACTGCAAGTGCCCCTGTGACACTGGCCAGAGAACACAGAGTCTTAGGGCAAGAGATGAGAAGGATTTAATTGTCTTTATTTCTATGTTTTTAAAAAAATTCAGGCTTAGATTTCAAAATAAATGTTAGCATTTGTAAAGGTGCCATGTTGTCAGCTCACATCAAACCCCTTTTCTCAATTTCAAAATTACCGAGAGTCTAAACCCCAGATCTCATTCTGTGCAATCGTTCAGCTCCACTAAGCACTCAAAGTGTCAATGACAGAAACCTGGCTGTCGATCACTAGATATCATTAAGAGGTTCCATACAAATATCCTGGGAATGAACTCCTCCTCAAATCATGACAAAGAAAATTCCCCACAGGATTTTAGTGCACAGAAATTATGAGGCTATTCAACAAGAGCCTTATACCTGTGCCTTCCAGAAGACTCTTCTGGATTCGTGAGTTATGCTGAGATTAAGACTGATTAGCTGCATCAAGATGTAAGTGGAATGAAATATGCTTTTGCATCTTGAGGAACCATCCATTTGAGTTACCACTTGTCTGATCCATGGCTGCAGCAGGATTTATCACAGCAGCATGAAATCCAGCAGTAGCTTGTTTCCGACTGCCTGACTCATAATCAACAACCCACTCTTGGAGATTTTTGGCTGTCTCACCTGGTTATGCCAATAAATCTGAGTGAATAGCTGCTTGATTTGTTATTGATTTCCCCATGGATGAATTTGAGGCTGCATTTTCAGTGATAGGTCTTCAGAGCAGAAACTCAGGGCAAAGGAAAAGCTTTGCCAATATTGAGAGACTCAAGGGCTCACTCCTTCTTTGTGCTGGGAAACTCACTATCAGTGCTGAATGAGTCCTGTTGGTGCAATATTCCAGTGCAAAGGAGGAGAAAAAGGGCTACATGAGGATGCTGGAAAAGTCTTGTCCTATTTAAGAGGAAGGTCACGCTGAGATGTGTCATTCACAATTTTGGAAGTCATGGACACTGATGAAAGACAGTATCCATAAAAAACTTTTCCATATTGTTTACAATCATGATTAATTTTGTCTAAACTTATCTCATTGCAAATTGAGGTCCCTTTAGTAAAAAAAAATTTCAACAGGTAAACATTCCATACCATGTGGATTGAGTATTGGTAAAAACTGGAATGGCCCCAGGGAATCTAAACGGATGGCTTAGCTTTTTCAGGATTCTGGGCTTGAAAAATGTTTTCAGTGGAATTCTTAGACTCTTTTCAGAGGATATTAGTTTTGGGATTCTCTTTGGAAGTGGGTTGTGCTGTGAAACTGGAGGAGACTGGCACAGATCTGCCAACTGCGACTTGAGAAGCTGAAGCTGCATCTCATCTTACGACTTGCAGAGGCATCATTACATCACCCGTCAAAAGGAACCACCCTTTTTATACGAAAAAAAAAAAAAAAATCAACTTGGCAGCCCTCACTTGCTTTGCTCACCAAACCCTGGTACTGAGCCATTCTTGTTTCTCAGACTTGCATCAGCTTCCAAAACATCTTCTCTATCTCCTATAGCTTTACTAAACAAAGTCTTATACCATTTTCTAGTTTCTGTTTATAAGCGAAAACCTTGTTCATTGGAAGAGTTTCAAAAATTTAAACTGAGGACTGAAGAATTAAAAAAACTTCTTTTGAGCAGGGAGATTTTGGAGTGTGACCCCTGGCTTCTCAGTTAGCAGGCACCTTCCATTTGTGGGCTCCCCATCATGGACTTTGGTTTGCACAGTGTCCACAGTGGACTTCTCCTCCATGGGGCGCACCTGCTCCTCCCTGCTTTTCTGGTTGGTAAATCTGTAGAGGCCCTTTCTGGGTGATCTAGCTGAGCTCATTATAAGAGGCTGCCAGATCTAAAACAGAATGCTCAGATATTTGGAAACTTTCATATCTACTATTAAATACCCACAGGATATTCTAGGGACATAAATTTTAAAAATTCATCCATCAGGCACCAGGGTTTCAAAAGTGAATTCCTAAGTTGCAGCAATATGGAAGAAATGGAATTTTGAAAGCCCATTGCACTCTTGGTGCGAGCACAGGAAAAGAGCTTGTAACCCAATTCTCAGAGCTGTTGAGCTTTTATCAGCCAGCGTTTGCCTTTAGAGAAGCTGTTCTACAAATCTCTCTCTGCAAAGCAACCTTGGTTAAAAGAACTTGAAGGAAGAAGAGGCCTTATAATCCTTAATTCGCCTGGTGGATATTTCCATGATATTTTTTTCCCCAGTATTATTAAGGAGTTCTCCAGCACACGTCTCTTCGAAGGAGCAACCAGAGAGAAGCAGAAACCCACATTTTCATGTAAGATGAGGCCATGGGAAGCATCTTCCTTTTTGCAAATCTAATAGATGGTCTAGATTTTGCAAATCTAATAGATGCAGACTTAATAGATGGTCAGGGTGTAAAATCGTAAAGACAATCGGATCTTTGATTTTGGTTGTTTGTGCTGTCTGACAACTCCCATATTTGTAGAGACAAAACCCTCAGTTTCATGTGCTTGATTTGCTAGATAGTTTCTGCGCAGCACAGAATGGGATGTGGGCTGGGAGGAGGCAACATTACTCCTCCATCAGGCTAGAATTGACATTTTTCCATTGCCAATTCCTTTTCTTTTGCAGAAATAGCCCAGCTGTGTCAAAATGTGCTAGAAACCCACCTTAAACGTGAGTGTTGCTTTTTACAATGTAAACTGAAAGTTTTAGTGCCTTTCTTTTTCCTCTCCTGATATGGACCTGCAATGGCAGAAAGAGTGTGGTTTTGAGAATGCAAGCAAATCTCCTTTTTGATGACACCGACTTTGTCAGTTTTCTCATTGGAAAATGGGGGTAAGTACAATTACGTTGCATGGCTATGTGCAGATTAAAAGTAGATTAAAAGTACATTCCCCCAACTAGTCAGTGACATAAATAAAAAGGCACGGCTCTTCTAGATTAAAAGATATTTAAGTGACAGAACAACCAAATCTGTCTTATGTGGGTTGTCTGGCTTTGTCTGGAACAAAACCATTATCAAAAGGCATTTGTAGGGCAACAGAGGAAATTTGAATATGGACGTGCTAGTAGATATTAAGGAAGACCATTTATTTTGTTAAGTCTGATAATGGTATTGTGGTTTATAAGTAAATGTCTTTTTCTTTAAAAGCTATATACTGAAGTATTAAACTAGAAATGAAATGTCATATTGTCAGTATTTTACTTTTAAAATATTCAAGCAAAAATCATTTGAAGGAAACATGGTAAAATATTACTCATCATTAAGTCAAGGCAGTATATAGAGGTTTATGCTATTCTGTCTTCTTTAGTATTTGTTAAAATTTGCACAATGAAATGTTAAAAAATGACATGCCACATACAGTTTTTTGCACAGGGCCTGGAGCATTGCAGATGCTGAAGACACAGGTCAGGCCAGCTGTTCTTTGGTCAATCAGCTTATGTTCATTGATCTCTTTTCTCCTTGCTGAAGAAAGGAACATAAATGAGATGTACATGCTACCTGCCCTCAGGATTTAGCCCTTGGTGGGAAGGTGGGATTGAGTTGCTCTTAAGAAGGGAATGGTGGGTACCATTCAGTGGGTAAATTGTCTGCAGAATATGTGGGTGTGATCATGAAAGATCTGAACTTGAAGCCAACACAGTTTTTATTGAGTGCCCACTGTGTGTCAGGGTGGAAGATCGGGTGGCCTTTAATTCTTCACTCCTTGAGTATCCTGAGTTCCACCTGGGATAGGTAACTTTGCAGCACCCAACACCGATGGTGTGACCTGCTGAAGCTCATGGGGTGCGAGTGAACATGACAGAAGCTGAAGCTGAGGCAGCGCATGGAGGGCTGCGCTTGCTTGCTGTGGCTCCCGTTCCTGCCTGCTGCGGATGGAGCCAGGGTGGACCTCAGACTCTCAGTTGTCAACTGAAGCTAGCCTCTATCAGCTGATGCTCCGCTGATGTGGGGCCAAGTTCCTTCTTATTATTTAAGCCTCTGAGTTTTCAGGCTGGTTTTGAACACAGTGTTATTATGGCAACAGGTAACTGGTACTGGGAGACTGTGAACATGGCTTTGTCATATGAGCAATAATTTTCATAACAAGTACATGGATCAAGGTTCTAAGGATAAAGAATCTAACAAACAGAAAAGAGGGTGCAGATGGCAGGACCATTCTGACCTCTCCACGAGGCATTTGGACTTGTGCAGACTGGGTGATTTGAATGCCCAAGTCTCTGCTTGTGGGCAGCTGTCTTCTTTCCTTCCTTGAGCCTGGTGAGTGGTTCCTGAAACCATGCCTGCATATGAATCTCTGCACAGGGGCCACTTGTGCGTTACGGACTATTGCAGTCATTTTCAGGGGGTGGTTTTGCATACACTTTTTTTTCTGAGACAGAGTCTGGCTCTGTCACCCAGGCTGGAGTGCAGTGGCGCTATCTCAGCTCACTGCAACCTCCACCTCCTGGGTTCAAGAGATTCTCCTGCTTCAGCCTCCCGAGTAGCTGGGACTACAGGCACACACCATGATGCCTGGCTAATTTTTGTATTTTTAGTAGAGACTGGGTTTTGCCATGTTGGCCAGGCTGCTCTTGAATTCCTGACCTCAAGTGATCCGCCTGCCTCAGCCTCCCAAAGTGCTGGGATTACAGGTGTGAGCCACTATACCCAGCCTCTCCTACACAGGTTTTTTTTCACCTTCTTTGCAACCACGTAAGTGA
Source organism: Homo sapiens (assembly GCF_000001405.40). Lineage (NCBI taxonomy): Eukaryota > Metazoa > Chordata > Mammalia > Primates > Hominidae > Homo > Homo sapiens. The sequence continues at coordinate 60,996,132 of NC_000020.11, read as the reverse complement.
AATCCCAACTCCTTGTGCACACAGGGAGGGACATTGAGACTGAGTCGACCTCAAGGGGAATGTCATTGGCGGGGAGAAGAGGGTACACAGAGTCCCTGCCCCGACCATGGAGTTGTGCTGGTTTTAGCGTCCTCACCCACAACGCCTCTTTCCTCGGTGAGAAATTACTGCTGCTCATAGGACAGAATGTTCCCCAGGTGTGTGAGGACACAAACCCCCAGGAAGTACCAATCTGTGTACAAGTCTCTTGCGAGCACACCCTCGGTGGTGGGACTCCGTCGTTTGACCACTCTGGTGGCGCCTCTCCTGTCCTTTGGAATCAGTGCCCAGCTACCCCATGGAAAACCCCTCTGCCCCGTTTGTCATGGCAGTTGCATTGGTAAGGATCGGATCACAAAACCTGCATCTGGCCAGCAGGAGCACCAAGTGATGTGCTTGGGCAGAAGACGTGTCCCTTATCAGCCGGATTAAAACCACCGTGAGGCTTCCGCCAGCCTTCCTGAGGGTGCCAGGCTGTGGGGGCCACCCCTGCTGTGACTCTTTTCTAAAGCCACTTACCCAGGAGCCTGAAAACGAAGCCAGTGGGCAGGAGCCTTTGGAGCACTGCAGCCCAGGGTGCCTGAGAGATTCTGCTGCAGGTGCCGGGACTCTCCGAGGCTCTGGGTGGCCATCTCCCTTTGTTAAGTGGTTTGAGTGTGGTCTCTGTCACCAGCCACTGAGAGCCTCCTGACTCATGCAGAGAACACGTCTGATGGCAGAATCCCCACAGCACAAGAGGCCAGGAGAGGAGATATTTAGACCAAGATGGCATTCTGCACTGCTCTGCTAAAGCAATGCAGCAGCGAGCGACTGGCCACAGGGGAACCCCCTAGGAGCCCCTTGTTTCATTCTTTAGATGTCTCCCAGGTGGAGGCAAGGTCTCACTTACCTCCTTCCTACAAATGGCAGAGTTTGAGGGGCTCTGGGCGGAGTTGGGCTGAGCTTCTTCCCTGAAGCTGGGTTCCCTGGCTGTGGCTCCCCTTCCTGTCCAGTGGTCAGGTGTCCCCTCCCTCCCTCCTTGTGTACTGAGAGGCGAGTAGGCCTGGGAAGACACCATGAGCAAAGTCACCTCTCTTCTGGGTCCCGTGGAGCTCATGCGTGGTAGCATCTCTAACAAGCCACTTAGCAGAGGCAAACAGATGAAACTACAAGGACAGATATGAAAGGGACAACAAGGGTGACATGAACTCGGGGCAGGGACTTGCTTCTAGAGGGGTGTTCCAGGAAGAGCTTGCAGAGGAGGTGACCCAGGGTGGAGAGAAAGCCTTGTCACCTGGGTATCTGGGCAGTGGGATGGGGGAGGGAGGCAGGCAGTGTTCCCAGCCAGGGCCAGCTTGTGCAATGGCCCCTCCCTTGCTGGTTCTATGGGGGGAACTGGGAGGAGACCAGGGTGGTGGGAACACAGTGAAGGAGCAGGACTGAGATTCCCTGAGGTAGAGGAGGTGGGAGGGACAGATTCTACTGGGCCTTGCACATGAGGCTTGCATTTATGCTAAGTGCAGGGTAAAGCCTCAGGAAGCTGATAAGAACTGAGTGTGTGGGGGAAGGGGGGAGGCATGTCATGTTCTGAAGGTCCCTCTCAGCCCTAAAACCCCATGTTCTCTGTCTCCATGGACGCGTTCTTTCTTTCATTCGGTGCTGAGTGGAGCTAAGTGGTTCCCTGGATTTGTGCAGAGGGGATTGGCTTACCCGAAGATGTGTACAGGAGAGAGGGCGGTCTGGAGGTGTTTCAATAATGATGAATCTGTATGTGTGTGCATAAGACTATACAAAAGTAATTATTATTACATTTATTGGATGGTAATTATATGCTAGGCTAATGCTTCACATGAATTTTCTCATTCAGTCCTCCCAAAAGTATTCCGAAAATTCACTTCCCCCTAATTTTACAAATGAGGAAACTGAGGTTTAACGATACAAAGGGCACACAGGTGGTAAGTGGTGGAGCCAGGTTTGGGGTCTGGACCATTTAAAGCCTGCTCATCACATTCTCGTGTCTCCTTAGCTGTGCCTCACCTCTCCAGGCATTCAGATATGGAAACTAATTGGACCCATGATTCATTTTGCTTTCTTTCCATCCTTGGAGAACTTTACAAAGAGGCCGAAGCACCCTCCGAATGGTCCGCAGATGAGACAGGAGAGACCTGGGAAGACTGGCCCTGGTACGTCCCTCTGCTACCTCAGATTCTGTGGTCATGAGCACTCTGGGCTCCAAAGCCACAAGGAACCTCATGGAGGCTTATGCCAAGAGCACCCCCTGTGGCTGTGTGTGGTGTATGGGACATGGATTTTGCATTTTTCATGCTAATTAGAGAACACAGCTTTTCTCCTTTCAAATTCTCCTAAGGTGCCAGAAACCACAGTATATAGAATGAAAGGAAGAAGAAGAAGGAAAAAAAAAAACCCTCTGAATTTCCAGCTGCAGAATCGCATCAGGGCACGTGATGTCAGGCCACGCTAGTCATGTTTGCTTATGAGGTGCAGTCCCCCAGGGATGCCACGACCTGCTGTGTCAGTCAGAGAAGAAAGAAGGAGAAGGAAAAACAAATCATTCCACAGCTGCTCAAGTTTGAAAAGTAAGGCTTTAGAAACTGAATTTTCTTCAGCTACAAGATGAGCACCAATATTTAAATACGTCAGATTTTCTGGCTGGAGTTGAAGGCTGGGAAGATCTACAAGGATTTCTGAGTTTCTTAGATCTTTAGCTTATCATAGCATTAAGAAAAACCTTTTTTATTATGAAAAATTTCAAAAATACAGGAACACAGGGAGAATACAATAATGAACTGCCACACACAGTTCCCCAAATGATCATTAACATGTGCCTGTGCTTACTTTGTCTTTTCTGCCTTCGGGAGTATATTAAGGTGTATGTAATATATTTAATATTCATTACAAACATCATGAAATTTTGTCTCTAAATACGTAAACAATAAAGAACACTTTCTAAAGTAATGCAACAGCATCTAAACTCTAAGATGTTGCTACAACTTGAATGTTTGTGTCCCTCCAAAATTCATAGGTTGAAACCCAATCACCAAGGAGCTGTTATTATAAGGTGGGCCCTCTGGGAGGTGAGGAGGCCCTAAGGAACCCACCTTTCAATGAATGAGATTGGTGCCCATATAAATGAGGCTCCATAGAGCTGCCTGCCTCTTTTTCACCCTGCTGTCATGTGAGGACACAGCATCATCTTAGAGGCAGAGAACAGATCCTCATCAGATACTGAGCCTGCAAGCCTCTTGACCTTGGACTTCCCAGGCTTCAGAACCATGAGCAATGAATTCGTGCTGTTTATACATTACAGCAGTCTCCGGTATTTTGTTATAGCAGCAGAAACATACTAAGACAGAAACTGGTACCAAGCAGCGGAATGTCACTATAACAAATACCTGAAAATGTGGAAGCAGCTTTGGAACTGAGTATTGGGTAGAGGCCAGAAGAGTTTTGAAGCCAAAAAAAAAAAAAAATTCTGTATTGCCATGAAAGAGTGTTAGTGGTGATTCTAGGGAGGGCCCAGAAGAAGAGAGCTGGAAAGAGAGACTCAGTCTTCTTAGAGATTATCTAGGTGGTCGCGGACAGAATGTTGGTAGAAATATGAGGTCTGATGAGGTCCCAGATGAAAATGAGAAACAAGATATGGAACCTCGGGGGAAAGACTGTCCTTGTAATAAAGTGGCAAAGAGCTTGCTCGAATTTTGTTTATGTTGTAGCACTTTGTGGAAAGCAGAACTCATGAGTAATAAACTGGTTGGAAGAAATAAGCTTGGTGGAAGAAGTCTCTAAGCCAAGTGCTGAGAGTGCCACATGGCTTCTCTTGATGGCTCAGTAAAATGTAAGAAGAGACAAACTAATGATGGAATTTATAATCAAAAGCGGAGCAACACTTAAAACTTGGGAAAATTCTCAGCCTGCCTATGTTAAGAATGAACAGGTGGGTTCGGGAGGGAAAACTGAGTGTGGCCAAGTGACACCCTTGATATTAATTTCTCTAGTAGGTAGATTAGTATGGAGAGAGAAAAGCTAGATGCGATTTATCAAGACAATGGAAAAATGACCGTAAACGTGTTTGAGTTGCCATGCCCATCACAGTCTCAGAGAGAGAGCCAGGGCCTTCAAGGCAGGATGGTTTCAAGGGGAGTCCCAGGGTGCCTGTGGGACCTCAGGGCTTGATCGTCAGAGCTCCCCCCGGTTTCTGCTCCACTTATTCACGCTCAGCATGAATGTTGTGTGGCCCAGACCCAGATGTGTCTCCGGCCACAGCTCTGGAGGGCGCAGGCACCCAACGGCACTCGGGCCACAGCTCTGGAGGGCCCAGGCACTCAGCAGGTGCGCTGCACAAGTGGACTAAGATAGATGTTCGACAGCGCCTGTCTGGATATCTACACAATAACTACCAGGTGAGAGATGCAAATACTGGCTCCAGGGACCCAGGCTGAGCCCCCTGAATCAGGATTCCTGTCATGATACCTGGAATATGCATTTTAACAGCCCCACCGTAAATCTGATGTGCCATCCAGTTTAAGAACCCTGGCTGGGTGCGGTGGGTGGCTCATGCCTGTAATCCCAGCACTTTGGGAGGCCGAGGCGGGTGGATCACAAGGTCAGGAGATCGAGACCATCCTGGCTAACGTGAAACCCCGTCTCTACTAAAAATACACAAAATTAGCCGGGCATGGTGGCACACGCCTGTAGTCCCAGCTACTCAGGAGGCTGAGGCAGGAGAATGGCGTGAACCCGGGAGGTGGAGCTTGCAGTGGCGGAGATCGCACCACTGCACTCCAGCCTGGGCGACAGAGCGAGACTCCATCTCAAAAAAAAAAAAAAAAAAAGAACCCTGTGTGTGTGGATGCAAGAATCCCTTCCTCTCTGCTCCCCCGTGGGTGGAGCCCGCTGTGTTCCCAGGCTGAAGCGGAGTCCAGCCCTGCATAGCTGAGTGGCTCTGAGATGCCCATCCTCACTGAGTCTAAGGGATGTAACTCTCAGCTGTGTGACAGGGACATGATGTGTCCACAACCCTCCCAGTAATAGCATCCTACATGCCACCAGCATGTGAGCAAGGTTGCACGAGACGGGGCTGCAGCCCCCTGGGAGTGAGGACCACAACGAGTGCCTACCTGAGGCCTCCAGATCGAGTCTGGCATTGTTGAAAGGAAGTCGGATAGATCCGTGGGGGTGGATTTTGAGAGAGGAAGACCTGCCTGACACATAGAAACAGCACAGCGTGATACGCAAAGGCAGCCTTGCCTTTCATCCCTTCCTCAAATCACTGCTGAGCACCTTCTTGGAATATTACAGTGAGGAAGACAAGCAGTAAATGGAAAGCCGCATTGCAGCCGCTACCGAGAGTAATGGATTTCAGAGTCAGCCTGGCAACATCGCCAGTAGTCAATTATTGCTCTTAATAAAGGAGTGGGATTGAGGAAGACAAGATCCCTAGTTACTGTTTACTTAGCACTTAATAAATGTCAGATGCAGAACTAAGCTCCTCCTTTGCTTCATGTCGTTTATCCCTTCTGACAGCCCTGTGAGGTAGAAATATTTTAATTTCTGATTTTTAGATGAAGAAACTGAGGCTCCGAGGGGTTCAATAACCTGATGACAATCACCCGCTAGGAAGCGGTGAAGATGCTGGCACCTGTATCTGTAACCATTCGCATAGAACAGCCACCTGTAGGGCGGGGGTGGTGCTGGTGATTTTTAGCCAAGGATGATTATTTTTCTTTTCTCAAAAATGGACATCCTGTGCACGGCACAGCCACCGACTTCAGAAAGTGTGGCATTAGCTTTTGCAGCACAAGGCAAAAAATTTAAATCAGATTAGGAAGCACAGTTGCTATGGTACCAGGAAAGTACACTTTCATGCAAAGCAATTTAATAGATGTGAAAATGTGCACCTTCTAAAGGAACACTGTATTTTAGAGATAAAGCCCCTCCAGCAGCAGCAGTGGACTGACAGGCCCCTCGTCGGAGGCGCATCGTCGCCCACCATCTCTCCCTGCCTCCTGCCAGGGGAGGGCCTGAGTACCGATTTGAAGGCCTTCTCAGGGCAAGCTCAGCCTGCTCCCCAAAGGGAAGGAAGAATGCAAGCCCTACGGCCTGTCTGCACTGTGTCCTTCATCTGGGTCTCAACCCAGCTAGGTAGCTCCCCCACATCAGGGCACAAACTCCCTGTGGCCCTGTTCCTCTCAGCTCTGCCTCCCCAGCTGCTCCAGGGCCCATGGAAAGGGCCACCCATTCTCCATTCCCTGCTGTCTCCTGGAGGCCTGGGGATGCAGGCTCGCCAAGCATTCGGGACCCCCACTGAGTGCCAGGGAGGATTCCATTTGTGCCTGGCGTTGGCTACATTCTGTGAGACTTTGGAAAGTTTGCTTTTAACCTAAGCCTCAGTTTCTTCATCTGTAAAATTGATCCTCATCTATAAAATGAACATACCTTTAAGATGATTTAAACACAGCCCCTGGTATGCATGAAGGACTCTGGAAAAGTTAGCAGTCAGGTCAGGTCAGTCTAGCGCTTGGCATGCTTGCTGAGTAAATAGGGCTCAGACCTCCTCTCTTCTCTACCCATCAGCCTCACTTTGCCCCCACCTCACCAGCTCCTTCATTACTCCACACACACACACACCTGTAACAAGCCCCACCTTGAGACCTTCTTCTAGTTGGTCCTCTGCCCTGAACGTCCTTCTGCAGTGTCCACACAATCCTCTCCCTCTCCTTCTTCCCCCTCGCTCAGTTGTCATCTTCCAAAAGAGGCCTCGCCCACCCCACAAAACAATTTCAACCCACTCCCCCAGCACTCATCACACTCTGTGCCCTGCCTCGTCCTGTGGAGTCAGTGATGGTTTATCTTGTCTGCTGCCTACTGTTGGGCTCTCCACATGGGATCAGAAGCCTAAGACACAGGCATCTTTGTTTAGTTCAGTGATGTATCAGCGCCCAGTACAAAGCAGACACTAAAGAAATATTCGAATGAATGTTTAGCATTTTTAATATACCACCCTCTCCATTATTCCAAATGTGAGTCTTGTTGGAAATTGTCTCATGTAGGGAGAAAACACATCCAATACCCTCTCACCTTCATGAGGTGGCCTCCCCTCTCCACCCCAAAACTTCCTACCCCCTGTCCTGCTTGGACACATAGGATTCCTGTGCACTGTGTATTTTACTTATTCATTTGGCTTCTTATTGTCAACTCCCATGAAACTATGAGTTCCAAAAGGATAGGAATTTGTGTCAGGTTCACCTTAGTTCATTTTTTCACAGTTCAAGGGGCTGGGAAGGCCAAGATCATGGTGCTGGCAAATATGGTGTCTGGTGAGGGCTGCTTCCTGGTTCATAGACAACCATTCTCTTGCTGTGTCCTCACGTGGTGGAAGGAGTGAGGGAACTCTCTTGGGTCTCATTTACAAGGCTCCACCCTCATGACCTAATCACCTCCCAAAGTGCCCATCTCCGAAAACCATCCCATGGGGGGTTAGTATTTCAACATAGGAATTTTGTGGGAACATAAACATTCAGACCATAGTAGGCTTGTTTATTTTACCTTAAACACTTGGAACAGGGCCTAAAACATACTAGGAGCACAATAAATATTCACCAAAGAAATGAGAGAATAACTGAATGAATGAGTTAACCTGGGGCACGGTCCCCATGGTAGGAACGACCTCGGGGGTGCAGAGTTCAGAGAAAGTGAGTTCTTGGGGAGCTGAGCTTCAAACTCAAGTTCCACCCCTTTCTCACCAACTGGCCCATGTATGGGCAAGTGACTTCACTTATCTGACCCTCAGTATTCTCGTCTGACAAGTGGGTATAATAAGAGTTCCTACCTCATGGGGTTGTTTTATGAGTTATATAAGTTACCGTGTGTCAATTACATAGTGTAGTGCTAGCTCATCATAACTAATTAACTAACTATTAATTGTAGTTTCTATTTTCTTATCTCCCCAGAAAGCAGGACAACCTGAAAAAGCTGAAGCTAAAGCTGGCCTTTACAAGGTGGGGTAGTTTTTTGAAACTAGATATGATTTCTTATCTTAAAGCTCTGGTAGCAATGTGAAGTCTCATGTTCATCTTCAGAGAACTTCACTGTGACCCCAGGTTCACAGAAGTCAGAGAAATTCCTTGTCCAATGATCAGTAGTGGAGGAGATGCCTAATGTTTATCTTTTCTGGAATTCTTGATGTCATTTGTGCCAAACAGTCCCTGTCAGCTGCCTCAACCGTTTCAGGTTTTCTGGAACCACAATCTGTGTCTTATTTTTGGGTGTCCTGGTTGTCTAATCTATGCATGCCAACAGAACAGACTGAACTGTATGCATGGAGTCAAACCCACAGACGTGCAGGGTTGCCAACTGAACAGGCCATTTATTGCAAGACCACAGGTAAGAACAATTTGGAGGCCAAGAGAGAAGTCACAACACGATGAGCTCAGCCAAGAGAAGGCAGTAAAGGAGTCAAAAGAAGGTGTTTGTGGCTCCCAAGACTATTGCTCCAAAAGGAAGCTCACCTGGGCACACCTTTGTCAGCCCCTCCTTTTCTTCTTTCCTGGGGAGTTTGAGTAAGCTCTTTCCTCCACTGGGAATGTTATCTCCTCTTTTCTTCATTTGGTTCATGGCTACTGATTTTTCAAATCTCAGCTCAATTGCCACTTCCTCCAGGAAGCTCTCCCTGACCCCCTAACTTCCTCGAGCCCTGTTCCTGTCCTCAGGGCTCCACACCCCTCTACTTGGTAGCTCTTGTCACAGTCACTATGTTTTTGTGCATCTCAGATTCATGTCTTTCTCTCTCATCTAGATTGTCTGCTCCATGAGGGCAGGATTAGGGTCTGTTTTTCTTCCTCATTTTATCTGCATCTGTTTGCAGAGTTGAGGATGTAACAGGCAGCTATGACTACTTGTTTAATAAATGCATGGGTGCATGAACACAAGGAAGAGGTGAGCTGTGGATGGATTACAAAGTGTCCCTGCTAATCTGTGACGTTAATGGGTGTGAAGGACATTAATTCTTGCCAGGGTCAGTCTGAGTTGTGACTAACAGCATGGAGGAATGCGCTCGCTCCAAGTAGGCACAGCAGGGTGTGGCAGGGTCTTGGGAGAGAGTTTCTTCTGAGCACTTCCCACAGGCCACAGGAATGGCCTTTGTTATTTTTGCTCAGTTTCTGTCCCTCATGTCCTTTCCACAAGCCTTGCCCAATAGTCAGGCCAGCACCTCTCTGGCCACAAGCTCCTAAAACATTTGAGAGCTGATGGAGACCACCTTGGGAAAAGCAAGCTTCTCCGGGAGCACTGGGAATGGCAGGCTCCTCTTTGTCCTGCGCTGATGAGATGGGCATGCCAACTCCTCCCACTGTTCTGGGGAAGCTGGCATCCAATGACGCCAACAAGTTGGACAGAATTCAGAAGAAACAACGGCCACAGACGTTCTCGTGAGTTCTGGCTGTCACTATGTGAAACGTCACAACTCCAGCCGAAGACAAGAAAACATAGTTAAAATTGAGCCCTTCTCCCTCCGTAAATTGGATATGTTTAATTTTACTTTGGTAAGTGAGAGCCTGTGTTAGAAGAGCTTGAGGAAGCCAGGTGCCAGGTGGCAGGTGCCAGTTGGCACCCATGCTCCCCGATGTTTGCTCACCTACAGACAGGACAATTGCTTGGGCTCTTCTTCCAGAACTCAGGAACCTGGTCCCCACCTATTACAGCCTCTGTTGTGGACCAGATCTCTGATTGCATTTACCGCTAAGGCATGTGAAACCTTAGAGGAAACACACCTTTGAAGGATTCAGCTCCAAATATGCTTGACATAGAGGCAGGTGAGTAATAAACAATAAGAACAAGTATCTTTTGAACACTTACTCTGGGTCAAGCAGTTGATATTTATTATTCCACTTGCTATTACAGCAATGCAGAGAGGTATTTTCTATGATGTCCCCCCATTTTATAGACAAGGAAACCAAGTTTCAGGGGAATGCCATTTCAAGGACACACATCTCTGACTTTCCTCCAGGAAGCTCTCCCTGACCCTCCTGACTTCCTCGAGTCCTGTTCTTGTCCTCAGGGCTCCACACCCCTCCCCTTGGTAGCTCTTGTCACAGTCACTATGTTTGCATGCATCTCAGATTCATGTCTTTCTTTCTCATCTAGATTGTCTGCTCCATGAGGACAGGATTCAGGTCTGGATTTCAATGTCCCTATGGTAATAGGGATGCTGTATAATTTCAGAGTCCTAGCGGGTTTCCAGATTGAAGAACACAGAGCTATTACCTAGTGAGAACAGAAGGCAGCTCCAGGAAGGCCTGTCATCAGGGCAAACCACAGAGGAGCGAAGGCACAGGCTTGTTGGGGAATGGAGCTGAGTTGCCCTGGGTCCAGGGAATGAGAAGCAAAGCTATGGTAACAGCCTTTCTAGCCATGTCAGACCTGCCTCTTCTATACCCCACTGCTGTGGCACAGATGACCTTCATTCTCAGCTCTTGTTGCTGTTGGAATTGTGCTTTGGTTTAAATGATTGATCTGTTTCTGCCAGAGTCAGATGGATGGATGGATGGATGGATGGAAGAATGGATGGATGGATGGATGGACAGTCAGACCGACAGCAAGAGTAGGGGCAGTATATGGAGGATCTTGAAGGGCGTCTTAAGGAAAGAGGACTTTGGGAGTCAGTGGGGGAGTCATTCCAGGATTTGGGATTGGGTTGTGATACATGTTGGGATTGGAAGACCAGTTGGGAATTGAAGATGGCAGAAATTAAGCTTTAGCATTATTGGAAATGAAATTGGTAGTTTTGTATTTCTTTGTGCAAGTCTTCAAATGTTTCCAAGCCTAATAATTCTCATCCTGTCCTCATTATTCGCTCAATCTCCAATTCTTGCCAAGCCTGTCTCCCAAGTATCCCTTGAAAGGCATTATTCCTCCCCTCCCCGAGGTGTCCAGGTCACTGAGACACCTCCCAACCTGCCTCTCCTGTGTACTCGCACCCCCTTTTCCCCTCTGACGGGAATTCTGCCAGGCAGCCAGTACGACCTTCCTGAGATGCAGACGTCCATGTGACTCCCACGCATCTCTGAACTTTAGCTGTCAGCTGGAGTTTCTTCCTAAGGGAGGTCCCTCAGGACTCTTGTATGTGTTCTTACAGCACTGACGTTTCCCCTGATAAATGTCATCACACGCTGTTGCGATCAAGTTAAAATTGTTTGTTTCCCCTGCTCTTAAGTCCTTGAGGTCTGGCCACCGCTGTGTCCCCTGGCAATATGCCCAGCTCTTATGGGAAATTGAGGAACAGGTGTTGAATGAATGCATGTTGCAGAAAGAGGTGCCATGCCCCCATGGAGTGATTAGGCTGCTTAATAAAGGGACTAAGCCTGGCTGCTGGATCTGAGGTTCTGGGTTCAAACCTCGGATTCTCAACCCATTAGCTGTGTGACCTAGGGGAAGTTCTTCAGCTTACTGAATTTCCGTTTTCTCTTTATTCAAGGGGGTCCTAATAACAGCGCTGATTTCAGAGGGCTGAAGTGAGGAAGAGAGAACGCGAAGTACTATCTGGCACACAGAAACTTCTCAATAAACATCAGCTGCTATTGTCAATTCAGGGGAAGCGGGACACGAAAGGGAAATGGCGTGTGATTCAGATCAAAGCTGGAGTTACCAGCTATGCTTTACGTTTTCTGAAATTAATTTACGCGTGAAATTGTATTTTCTGAGTGAATACACATGTAGTGTGTGGTGATGTTTGGTCTATCCAGTGTGCCATTTATTTTATGTTTGTGCCTTTAATCAAGATTAGAAAATAATCTACGTGAAAAACTGTTGTAAAAGAAATGAGTTTCTGGTAAAATCTTCCTGCTCCCACTTGGTGGGGAGTGAGATTAGCCTGTGGATTTTGGGAGTGTTTGCAGGACCGCATTTGGTAAAACGATTTGTGGGCTTCTGTGTGTGTATTGGATAACTAAGAGTGGGAACCACGGGGAGGCATAGGCTTGTAGATTTAACTACTGTGAAGCGGTGTAATTTTGGGCAAATGTCTTAGTCCCTCTGGGCCTCAGTTCTTCATGTGTCAAATGGGAATACCGATTGGATTTGTCTCAGAGCACCATTGCAGGATTAGATGCCAAAAAAAAAAAAAAAAAAAAGTAAAGTATTTCCAACATCCTGTGGCACAGAGTTCTAAGCCACTGTTTCTAAGCTCAGAAACAGTTTTTATTGTTTTCATTTCTGTTTGTTACTTAAAAGGCTTCTGATTTATTCAAGGCTAAAAACATCTTCTGCATCTGCCTAAGAATTCAGGGCTCTAGGTGGGTCTGGTAGGCTCTCTGCCCTCCCCATGGCCCACCGGGAAATATTATATTTAAGAAAATTCAGGGTTCTAGGGTCAAAGAAAGCTTCTTAATTCAATTCCCATTCATCAGCTGTCATTTCTACTGTTTGCAGGTCAGTTCCATCAAGTATGTTGGGAAGTAAATTTAGAGATCTACCTATAATTATCTTTTTTGTGAAGCACTGTTTTTGACACTAGCTAGAGGTTGAATTTTATTACTTCCTTAAAAAAAATAGTAAGCCAGGTATTCTCTGGCAAAAGGAAGAAGAACAGCAGGAAAAACAGTTGGAAAGAGAATCAGGATTTCTATTTTTTAAAAAGAGCCCGCATTGCCAAGTCAATCCTAAGCCAAAAGAACAAAGCTGGAGGCATCACGCTACCCGACTTCAAACTATACTACAAGGCTACAGTAACCAAAAAAGCATGGTACTGGTACCAAAACAGAGATATAGACCAATGGAACAGAACAGAGCCCTCAGAAATAATGCCGCATATCTGCAACTATCTGATCTTTGACAAACCTGACAGAAACAAGCAATGGGGAAAGGATTCCCTATTTAATAAATGGTGCTGGGAAAACTGGCTAGCCATATATAGAAAGCTGAAACTGGATTCCTTCTTTACACCTTACACAAAAATTAATTCAAGATGGATTAAAGACTTAAATGTTAGACCTAAAACCATAAAAACCCTAGAAGAAAACCTAGGCAATACCATTCAGGACATAGGAATGGGCAAGTGCTTCATGTCTAAAACACCAAAAGCAATGGCAACAGAAGCCAAAATTGACAAATGGGATCTAATTAAACTAAAGAGCTTCTGCACAGCAAAAGAAACTACCATCAGAGTGAACAGGCAACCTACAGAATGGGAGAAAATTTTTGCAACCTACTTATCTGACAAAGGGCTAATATCCAGAATCTACAATGAACTCAAACAAATTTACAAGAAAAAAACAAACAACCCCATCAAAAAGTGGGCAAAGGATATGAACAGACACTTCTCAAAAGAAGACATTTATGCCGCCAAAAAACACATGAAAAAATGCTCATCATCACTGGCCATCGGAGAAATGAAAATCAAAACCAAATGAGATACCATCTCACACCAGTTAGAATGGCGATCATTAAAAAGTCAGGAAACAACAAACGCTGGAGAGGATGTGGAGAAATAGGAACACTTTTACACTGTTGGTGGCACTGTAAACTAGTTCAACCATTGTGGAAGTCAGTGTGGCGATTCCTCAGGGATCTAGAACTAGAAATACCATTTGACCCAGCCATCCCATTACTGGGTATATACCCAAAGGATTATAAATCATGCTGCTATAAAGACACATGCACACGTATGTTTATAGTGGCACTAGTCACAATAGCAAAGACTTGGAACCAACCTAAATGTCCAACAACGATAGACTGGATTAAGAAAATGTGGCACATATACACCATGGAATACTATGCAGCCATAAAAAATGATGAGTTCATGTCCTTTGTAGGGACATGGATGAAACTGGAAACCATCATTCTCAGCAAACTATCGCAAGGACAAAAAACCAAACACCGCATGTTCTCACTCATATGTGGGAATTGAACAATGAGAACACATGGACACAGGAAGGGGAACATCACACACTGGGGACTGTTGTGGGGTGGGGAGAGGGGACAGGGATAGCATTAGGAGATATACGTAATGCTAAATGACCAGTTAATGGGTGCAGCACACCAACATGGCACATGTATATATATGTAACAAACCTGCACGTTCTGCACGTGTACCCTAAAACTTAAAGTATAATAATAGTAAAATTTAAAAAAAAGTATGTACCTATTCTTATTTTATCAAACGTTTTATCAGAAATGAAATGTCAAATGTTATTTCCTTTTCTGCATTTGTGAATATATCATGGTTTTTCTCTTTTTTATATATTCATAATACATTAATAGATTTCCTATTACCAGACCTTTCTTGCATTATTGGGATAAGCTTCAGTTAATATATTATTCTTATAATGGGCTATTGCTGGATAATATTTTATTTGTGATTTTTACATCATTATTTTTAAATAAAATTCTGTAATTTAAAAAAATTACTGCTGAAATTACTTAAAAATTGGGGAACCTTGGCATATGAAAAATGATTATTTCATTAAAATGAGTGGGACAATGGAAAAAATAAAAACAAAAATAAATACTTTAAAATAAAAAAATTATTTAAAGTTGTTGTGGGCATATAGTAGGTGTATCTGTTTATAAGGTACATAACATATTTTAACAGGCATACAACGCATAATAATCACATCAGGATAAAGTTGATTTACCCTCAAGCATGTGGGTACATGATTACCTTCAAGCATTTGTCCTTTCTTTGTGTAACAAACAATCCAATTATACTATTTTAGTTATTTTCAATTGTACAATTTAAATTGTATATAATTTAAATGTAAATTTAAATTGTATATAATTTAAATGTAAATTTAAATTGTATATAATTTAAATGTAAATTTAAATTGTATATAATTTAAGTGTAAATTTAAATTGTATATAATTTAAGTGTGAATTTAAATTGTATATAATTTAAGTGTAAATTTAAATTGTATATAATTTAAATGTAAATTTAAATTATTGTTAACTGCGGTCACCCTGTTGTGCCATCACATACTAGGTCTTATTTATTCCATCTAGCTATATTTTTATACCCATTAACCATCCTTCCCCCCAACTCCCCTTCCCAGCTTCTGGTAACCACCATTCTACTATCTTCGTAAGTTCAATTGTTTTAATTTTTACCTCCCGCAAATAAGTGAGAACATGGGAAATTTGTCTTTCTGTGCCTGGCTTACTTTACTTAACCCACTGAAATAATGACCTCCAGTTCCACCCATAGTGTTGGAAATGACACGATCTCATTCTTTTTTATGACTGAATAGTACTCCATTGAGTGTACGTAGCACATTTTCTTTATCCATCTGTCTGTTGATGGACCCATAGATTGCTTCCACATCTTGGCTATTGTGAACAGTGCTGCCACAAATATGGCAATACAGATATCTCTTTGATATACTGATTTTCTTTCTTTTGGGTGTAGACCTAGCAGTGGGATTGCAGGATTGTATGGTAACTCTATTTTTAGTTTTTTGAGGAACCTCTAAACTGTTTTCCATAGTGGTTGTACTAATTTACATTCCCACCAACAGTGTACAAGGCTTCCCTTTTCTCCATATTCCTGCCAGTATTTGTTATTGCCTGTCTTTTGGACAAAAGCCATTTTAGCTGGGGTAAGATATCTCATTGTAGTTTTCATCTGCATTTCTCTGATGATCACTGATGCTGAGCACCTTTTAATGTACGTATTTGCCATTTGTATGTCTTCTTTTGAGAAATATCTATTCAGATCATTTTTTCCATTTTTAAAACAGATTATTAGATTTTTTTCCTATAGGGTAGTTTGAGCTCTTTATATATTCTGGTTATTAATCTCTTGTCACATGGATAGTTTGCAAATATTTTCTCCCGTTCTGTGCGGTGTCTCTTCACTTTGTTGATTGTTTCCTTTGCTGCACAGAAGCTTTTTAACTTGATGTGATTCCATTTGTCTACTTCTTGCTTTGGTTGTCTGTACTTGTAGGGTATTACTCAAGAAACCCTTGCCCAGACTGATATCCTAGAGAGGTTCCTTGATATCTTCTTTTAGTAGTTTCAGAGTTTGAGGTTTTAGATTTAAGTCTTTAATCCGTTTTTATTTGAATTTTGTATATGGCGAGAGATGGAGTCTAGTTTCATTCTTCTGCATATAGATATCCAGTTTTCCCAGCATTATTTGTTGAAGGGACTGTCCTTTCCCCAGTGTATGTTCTTGGCATTTTTGTTGAAAATGAGTTCACCATAGATGTATGGATTTGTTTCTTGGTTCTCTATTCTGTTTCATTGGTTTATATATTTGTTTTTATGCCAGTACCATGCTGTTTTGTTTACTATAGCTCTGTAGTATAATTTGAAGTCAGGTAATGTAATTATTTCAGTTTTGTTCATTTTGCTCAAGATAGCTTTGGCTATCCTGGGTCTTTTGCGGTTCTATATACATTTTAGGGTTGTTTTTTCTATTGATATGAAGAATCCCATGGGTATTTTGATAGGGATTGCATTGAATCTGTAGATTGCTTTAGGTGGTATGGATATTTTTAACAATATGAAATCTTTCAATCCATGAACATGGAATATCTTTTCATCTTTTGGTGTTGCCTTCTATTTCTTGCATTGGTGTTTTATAGTTTTCATTGTACAGATTGAGCATTTCTTTTTTTTAATGCATCATTTAGAACACAAGATGAATATTAGCTAAAGAAAGATAATGGACAATGACAATGTGACAGCTGACAGAACAGCTCCTAATGGAGGAACCCAGGAGAATATCAAGGCCACAGCAGCTGCAATCAGAAGGAGGCAGGGTAGGAAAGCTGGCCCAAGGGGTGCAGTGTCATAACAGCCTGGTGTGCATGCACAGAGGTGCCAAGTGAGGGGCAGTGAGTGAGAAGCACATGAGGCAGTTTCCCAAGACATAAGATCTCCAAGTCAAGGACGAGCAAAGCAGGAATGCAAACCAATTAAAAACACCAAAGGAGGCTGACCTGCCTTCTGCAAACTCTTACTTGGAGTAGTAAAGTGATCACTGGGCTCTTATTACCCCCATTTTGCAGATGAGAACACTGAGGTTTTAAAGGCTTAAATGACCAGCTCAAGCTGACACTCACTCAAAAATGGCCAAGCCAGGGCTCAAGTGCAGATCCTGTGCTCTGAGGCACCTTGTTAGATGAACTTGAAGACCTTAGACTCAAGTGCCTTGCTGCTTGCACAACAACCCTGTTGTTTAAGACCCAGCAGTTCTACTCCTCCGCACCTATTCAAGAGAAGCATAGCATAGGTTTACAAAAATATTTGCTCACAAATTTACAGTAGTCCCAAACTGGAAACAACCCAAATACCCATCAACTGGTGGATGAGTAGACAAATATGGTGCATCTGTACCACAGAATATTATTCTGCCATAGAAGGAACAAAGCACAGATACCTGCTATAGGATGGATGAAACTTGAAAACCTCATGCTAAGGGAAGAAAGCCAGACACAAAAGACCAACTATTATGATTCCATTTACATGAAATGTCCAGGAAAGTCAAATCACAGAGACAGGAAGTAGATTGGTGGTTCCCTGTGGCTGGGGGTGGGCGTAGGGAGTGACTGCAGATGGGTGTGAGGGATCTTATCGGGGAGATGAAAATGTCTGAAACCGGTTTATGGTGATGTAATTTTTAGCAGCTTGGTAAAGTTACTAAAAATCATTGAATTGTATACTTGAAATGGGTAAATGTTATGAGATGTAAAATCTACCTCAATATAGTCATAAGCGGGGGGGACTCAACCTCGCTCTGTTCTATTGGGTGATTTTTCTTATTCAAAAATGAGGTCTAGTGGCTTTTGAAAATTCACCAAGAATTCACAGAATTTTCCCAGAAAATGAATAAAAACTAGTGTTGCCTTCCCATAGTGTACTTGGGTGACATTTCCTGGGAGGCAGAGTGCTAGGAGGACTGAGACGACAAGACAGCTGGCAGAAGGACAGGCTGGCATGAGTGCAGAGTGGGCGGGCAAGATGCTTGCCTCTTGAATTTCCACACTCGTTCCCGTCAAGAGCAGCGTCTGGAGCGCTGAGTGTCAGACCCACAGGCTATACTGCAGGCGTGGCTTTTGCACTGTCTGAGTCTGTGTTTTCTAGACTGAGCTTTGGACTGTTTATAACATGATGGAGGCACTGTCTGAGTCTGTGTTTTCTACACTGAGCTTTGGGCTGTTTATAATATGATGGAGGCACTTGATTTCTGGCAGGCTCCGGCTAAGCAATGTCTAATTGTTGTGGGTTCCCAGATGGTCTTCTGGAATAGCTAGCTGGAGAAGGGCAAATAAGCAAGCAATCACATTTTGTTCGGTGGGGGTCTATGCAGCACTGTCTTTGCCTCCCCTCCCATCCCTGTCCGGTTTTCTGCAGTTCCACCAGTCCCTGGAGTGTGTGGCACAGTGAGTTCTGAGGAGCCAGGAATGGAGGGGGGATACTCTCTGTCCCCCTCAGGTCTGGGGCATCACCCTCAAGAGCTGCTCCTCCGTGGACTCGATCCTGTCCCCCTGTAGGAAGTGCCTGGACAACTGAAATGCATGTTCTTGCTTCTCCTAGGCAGAGACCTGGCAGGTCACCATGGTGACACCATTTAACACAAACCTATGGGACAGCGAGGCCCGAAGATGTCATTGTCCTCGGTGATTGAACCAGACAGGACTCTTCTGGTGATGAGTGACAGCAGTGACTAGGAGAGTCACAGGAGTTTGTAGGCTCACAAGACTGAAAAGTCTCAACTGAAAAGCTTCTGTCACAGCTGTACCCAGGGGCTCAGAGATGTCACTCTGTCTCTAAGCTCTATTTCCTAGAGGGTGGCATCATCTACACCCCAGTTCTCTTCTTGGGGTGACAAAGATAACCCCCTGGGCAACAGGCTGGCTTAATTTAGAGCGTCAGACATCATGGAAGGATGGGTAATCTTCTTTCTGGGATTTACTTCCAGTAGAAGTCCCAGGAGGGCCCATCTTTGAACCAAAGGGGCTGTTCTGCTCCAAGTGGCCAGGCCTGGAACAGCCATCAGCTTCTGGAGCTGGAGAAGCCAGAGGCGAGGGTGTGTGCTCCGCTCAGCCAGAATTACAGAGGCCCTCGGGGCCAGAGGTCAGCTCCTGTTGGGCCTTTCTGACACCAGGCAGTCAATTCCACCTGTGCCATGCTGGATGTTTCTCCATGAGTGGGCATGGGAATTCATCTGGGGCCTTTCCACAGGAAATCCCTGGCTGCTGCTGTCTCCGTTTGTGACCTCAGAAGGAAGGAGGCATTTTCTCTTCTTGTATCCACGTGCAGTGTCAGGGCAGGACTCTATCTACCTGGTGCTGGCCAGCCTGTGGAATTCACTGTGGCCTGAAGGATAGGCCTCAGTCCATAATATCTGGGGGCTGCTGGGCACTTCTAGAAATCCCTATGATGCCACGCACAAACCAGCAGCTGGCCCTCCTGAACATGAAGGCAGATGGGACTAGAACAGGTGCTCTGACCTCTCCCCCTCCCATGTTCCCATCCCCAACCCATCCTACTTCTTGGTCAATTTTACACACTCCTAGGATCTAAGCTGCTTCCCACTGGCTGGAAGGTAACCTTTGCTCTGTGTCCTCTACGTTCCCACCACATCCTGTGGCCCTGAACTCCCCCAGAACCCATTGCCATCCCTGAGATCCAAGCTAAATGCAGCAGGCGGCTGTGGAAGACTCTGGCGGGCTGTTCCTGAATCTAACAGTTGCTTACACGTGGGCTGGTCCCCGTGTTCTTGCCCCGTTTTGGTGGTGAGCATGCATGCGCCCTGCCTTCCTATCCATGAGCCAGTACACAGCATCGCATGTCAGCTCGTCCCCACAGATGCAGTTCTAGGGAAGAGAAGCTCTCCCTGGAGAAGACGGACCCGTGAGCCGGGGTTTCAATCGTGAGGCAGACAGTGAGCCACAGCCCCTCGTGGCTGAGTTGATGATACAGGGAAAGGCAAGTGGGGGTGCGGAGCAAGAACCTCTTAATCCTGCAATGAACTTGAGCTCCATTTCTGACTTTGAAAAGGTGGGAAAGGCATTTTGTTTCAACAAAGAACCAATGGCAAAGAAAGGTGGTTTTTTGGCAGCTACCTCCGTATTCTTTTGCATTTTAAAACTCTGGTAATATCATGATTTGATTCAGATGGAGCAAGAGAAGGCAGCACACATTTGGAAACATATCTTTCTGTTTCTTCCTGCTTTTCCAACACAAACAGCTGTTAAATAACTTCAATTACCTTTTGAAAAGGGAATTGTGCAATCAAAGACTCAAACAAGGATAGGTTGACCATCTTCTGCTCAGACAGGCTGCCGCGGTTCTCCGGGCCTCACATTCAGTCAGCACCTGGGCCCTCGTCACATCTCATCCTTATGTTTTAGGGGCCAGCTGGGTCTCAGAAGCCATCCGTGATGCCCCACTTGTTGGCAGAGGGAATCAGATTTGAAATGTACTGGGTCTAGCACAGTTTAACCATGGACAGCCCTGCTTTGGGTAAATCCTTCTGTAGGCTGGTGCCACTTACGATGCACCCGGCAGTGTTCAGAGAGACTGGGCCCGGCTTTACCTTTGGGGACAAAGAGGAGTAAAAAGAAATGAACTGAAATTGTTGTAAGTAGGCTAATTTGCAAATATGGAATCTAGGAATAATGAGGCCCAATTATACTAAAAACCACTAAACTGTATTTTTAAAAAGTGAACTTTATGGTACGTGAATTTGTGAATTATACCTCAATAAAGCTGTTATTTTTAAAGAAACCAGCCAAAAGAAAGAAAGAAAGAAAGAAATTAACTTGACTTTTGGTATCCAGGATTGAAAGAAATCTCATAATTTATCAAGAAGAGACACATTTTCATTGCGCACTGGGCTGCAAACTGGGGGATGGGAGATACAAAGGTAGAGTCAGACCCAGCCCCTGTGGCCCTGGAGCCTAGGTCCTTGGGTGGAAAGGAGGTTGCATTGGCTGGGATTAGGCTCAGCTGCATGTTTCAAGAAGACAAGGGTAATGGTAGCTTACACAGGCAAGGTCTTCCTCTATCTCAGTTCAGGAGTCCGGCCCTCCCAGGTCCCTAAGCAGTGAGGAAGTGGGCCTGTCTGCAGGTGTGGTCTCCCGTGGCAGGCTCCAAGGTTGCTAGTGAACGTGGCACAAGGCCATGCCTAGCATGGAGGGAGATAGCTTTGTAAATAAGATTTCATCGGGGCACAGGCATGTCACTTCATTTGCAAGTTATCTGGGGTTGCTTTCATGAGCTACAAAGGCAGAGCTGAGTAGCTGTGACAGACACCATACGGCCCGCAAAGCCTAAAATATTTTATTTCTGTCTCTTTTCGGAAAATGTTTGTCAACTCTCACTCTAAATGACCTTGCCTTTGCCCATTTCTCTGGCTTCCTATCATGTCATTCTCCTCCTTACTCTGAAGCATGTCTGAGGGTTTTGTAAGACACACAGAGATTCTGATGCATCAGAGCACAGGCGTGCATTGCTGGGCAAGGATGTTGAATCTGGGAGGATCACTTTGCCTACGATGGTGCACGTGATCTCTCTGTGCCTTTAGCTCATGGGGAAGTAAAGCAAGACAAAGAAATAGCCATCCCATACGTATTCAGCTCACTTGATAGCAATAAGGAGTGATTGTTATTAACATATAAGGCCAAGTCCCATGTTGAGATTCTAAGAGCGTTCTTTTTTCCCAGTTGTAATGTTAGATAATACTAGACAATGAAACACTCTGTCCTGAAGAGATTCATGCGGCTTGTTTTCTTCCTCTCTCGATGTTTTTGTAACTGTCTCCCATAGAAACTCCGTCCTCATCATCATCCAGCCTGAATCATTCCGAGCACCCTGGGCGTCCTGAGCTTAGCCGTCTCCCAGCTGCCTCATGCTGCTGCCTGGGTGGTTTCTCTTTCCCAGCACAGCTGAGGCTGTCGGGTCTCCTAGCAGCACTGTGGAGGCACAAGGAGCCTCGGGCCAGGAGAGCGCTCAGCCACCATCCAGCCCCGTGTATCCCAACATGCATACAACAGGTGACATGTGAGACAGTTTGAGAGAGCCTGTGAACAAACAGTTAAATTTTTTCCTGGTATTCAAACAATGCTTTCAATGTGTATTAAGAAAAAAAAATTAATTAACAAATCAAACCCTTAATTTTGTTGATATTATAGCGTAGGATGAGGTTAGATATATCCAAGTTAAAAAATGATGATTTAAAGAAAACTGTTAAGTAAGTAATAAATACATATATTAAATGTGGCCTTGAAGAACTGTAATTTGGAAGCAGGGATCCAGCCTAAGCCTCATCTGATAGGTGAGAAATGAGCCCCAGGCATGTTGCTTTTGTAAGTGCACCCAACTCGCTGCTAGAAGGATTGAGGCTAAAGCCCAGGTCACCTCAAGTGAATGACCTGAAGTTCATGGCTATTGAAATACAGATGACCCTAAGTTCATTGCTATTCCTTTGAATCCTGACGGTGTTGAATTAGGACAACCCATAGACATGCCAACACTGAACTGGAGCGTCGTGTGTGCTCCATGCTGCTGAAGGCACTTCACAGGTACTAACTCACTGAACCCTTCCTGCAGCTCTCTATAAAGTAGCTATTACCATACTCATTTCACAGATGGGGAAATGGAGGCAGAGAGAAGTTGAGTCACTCACCTACAGTTGTCCAGCTGGTAAACGGTAAAGCCAGGGTAAGAACCCAGGTTCCAGAATTTACATCTTTAACTACTAGGAAATACCATGTCTTACTTTTGATTAATGTTTGCCTTGAATTAAATACTACACCCCCCCGTACACACACACACACACACACACACACACACACACACACTCAGAATGTACTCAATGGCTGTCGGTGCAGATGCATGGCAGGAGAGCTGTCTAGGTGGAGCCATGCACATGCACACAGTCCAAAGGTAAGCAGCTCCTTGGACCTGAGGACCAGCCGACCAGAGCGTGGGGACCAGTGTGGGAGGATCCTGGGAGGCAGGAGAGGTCATGGGGGAGCCTTGAGGTTGAGGGAAAAGTATGGATTTCACTTTAGTTTTTAATCCACTGCATTGAGGTATAATTTGCATTTAACAAAGGCACAGATTTCAAGTAAGACATTCCATGACTTTTGGCAAACATGTGTGTCCTAAACAAGATAGAGAATATTTTCATCCCCACTCATTCTTGTTTGCATGCCATTCCCACAACCCATGTGAGAAACCAGATACAATTTTGGTGGTCACGGCTTTTTTCCCCCTGTTCTGGAACCTCCTGTAGACGGAATCCTGCAGAGGGTGCTCCTTCAAGCCTGGACTTGTCTACACAGCACGATTGGTGACCTCCACCTGCTTCAGGTACTGAAGGTTTGTCCCTTCTATTGATGAGCTGTGTTGCATTTGTCCTACATTCACCTGTTGATGACTTCTGGATTGGTTCCAGTACTGGATCATGAATAAAACAAATCTTTTGTGTGGATTTATTCTTATTTCTCTTGGGTAAAATTTAAGAGTTGAATCATTGGGTGATAGGCTAGTCCTTTTTACTTCGTAAGAAACTGCCAAACCATTTCCAAGTGGTTTCCCCATTTTATGTTTTTGTCCTCAATGCCCAAGAGTTTCAGTTGCCCCCATGCTTGCCAACACAAAAAGCGCCATCCCAGTGGGAGTCAATGTCTCTTTCCCTGAACTCAGGACATTTAGCACCACTACATGTATTTGTTGGACATTCATATATGTTCTTTTCTTAAAACATCTATTCCGGCTTGGTATCGTGGCTTACACCTGTAACCCCAGCACTTTGGGAGGCTGAGGTGGGCGGATCACGTGAAGTCAGGAGTTCAACACCAACCTGGCCAACATGGCAAAACCCCGTCGCTATTAAAAAACATAAAAATTAGCCAGGCATGGTAGCAGGCACCTGTAATCCCAGCTACTGGGGAGGCTGAGGCAGAGAGAATTGCTTGAAACTGGAGGGTGGAGGTTGCAGTGAGCCAAGATTGTGCTACTGCACTGCAGCCTGGTGACAGAGCAAGACTCTGTCTCAAAAAAAAAAAAAAAAAAACAAAGAAAGAAAAAATATCTATTCAAGTCTTCTACTTTTTTAAAAATTGAGCTCTTTTTGTTACTGATTTACAGAGGCTTTTCATTAGGATATGTGTACTGTGAATATTTTTAAACTGATCTGTGGTTTACCTTTTCATTTTCTTAATAATGTTTTCTAAAGACTTGAAGTTTTTAATCTTGAAGTCCAATTTATCATGAATGCTTTCTGGTACTTTTCAGGAAATCTTTACTTCTCCTAAGTTGACAATGTTATTCTCCTTTGTTTTCTTCTAGAAGTTTTATAATTTTAGCTTTTAGGATGAAGTCTATAATCCATCTAATCCGTCTCATATTTATTTTTGTGTATGGTATGAAGCAGGAATTGAGATGATGATGATTATTTTAATAAGCTTGGATATGCAATTATTCCAGCATCAGTAGTGGAAATGATCATTCATTCCCCAATGAATTATCTTGACATCTTTGAAAAAAAAATCAGCTGTCTCTATATGGGTGGATCGATTTCTGTTCTCTCCTCTGTTCCATTGATCATTTTGCCTATCCTTAAGCAAACACCACACTGAGTTGATCATTGTAAGGTAGTCAATCTAGAAGCTGGGTAGGCAGAGTCCTCCATTTTTATTCTCTTCTTTTAAAGATTGCTTAGGTTATTCTATGTTCTTTGCATTTTCACATTAATTTTAGTATCAGTTTATAAGTTTCTACAAAAAGGTATACTAGGGCTTTTATAGGGATTTCATGGGCTATATAAATCAATGTAGAGACAAATTGGCATCTTAAAAATGCTGAGTTCTCTCCATGAACACGGCCACCACAGCTAGCCTTTGGGAAACGTTTTGATAACAGAAGTAAATTCATTAAAACATACAGGACATTCAGATTATATATCTACTGAGGTCTACTGTAATTTTTATCTACAGTGTTATCTATTTTGGGGTATAGAAGTCTTGCACATTTAATTAAATGTATGACTAAGTATTTTATGTGTTCTAATGCTATTATAAATGGTATTTTTGAATAGTTTGTAGTCCACGGTTTGTTGCTAAGATGTGGAAACACAGTTGATTTCTGTATGTTGATGGCAGTGGCTGCAGAGGTACGGCACCTAGTTCCTCCCTTGTCAGAACCCAGGCACCAAGTCCCTGGGTTGCTTGGGGTGTTCGTGGCTGCTGGGTTCCAGCCACATTCTTCTCTGAGCATTGCTTTCTGCCGGAGGGTGCTGTCCTGGCCAAAGCTATGCTTCCGGCCTCAGGCAGCCTCGTCTAATGCCTGGTCAGCACAGGAATGTGGGCCCGTTGCGCTGGAAGGGATGACTTTGTAGAGTTCTCCCAGGTGCAGAGCTCGGGGAGTTTCAAGACCTGGGCAGCTGCATCATAGTTCAGCTTCTCCCTCTATCTGATCCTGGTCTTTTCACTCTCCCACAGTGTGAATTCTGCAAGAACCTCTCAATTCCTCTTTGGTGGGGGCATTCCCAGCTGTGTCCTAGCTAGGAAAACTTAGTTATGACAATTAATACCAACAATGAGCCAATGAGGCAGATTCTAAACTAGGATTTTGATGCTTATTCATGGACTTTCTGACCTGGCTGCGAGAACATCATCATTGATGGGCATAGCATTGTCAGCCCCTGAAATGTGGCAACACTAAATATTTGGATGACTTACCAGTGGGATGCCAGTGGAAGGAAATGCACGAGGGAGAGGCAGGCAGCACCCAGCCTTGAACTTTCTTTGTGGGAAATTATTTCTTTTTTAAAAAAATTTTGGAGTCTTGCTCTTTCACCCAGTCTGGAGTGGAATGATGTGATAATAGATCATTGCAGCCTAAAACTCCTAGGATCAAGCAGTCCTCCTACCTCAGCCTTCCAAATAGCCAGGAATACAGGCACGTACAACCACACTCAGATAATTTTTAAATTTTTTGTAGAGATGAGAGTCTTGCTATGTTGCCCAGGCTGGTCTCGAACTCCTGGGCTCAAGCAATCCTCCATCCTTGGCCTCCCAAAGTATTAGGATTTCAGGCATAAGCCACAACACCTGCCCTGTGGGAAACTTTTTGATAACAGATTCAAATGCCTTAAAACATATAGGACATTTACATGATATATTTCTTCTTAAATCAGTTTTTATTGTTTCTTCTTGTGTAGTTTTGATACATTATATTTTAAGAATTTGTAATTTCATTGATGGTTAAGACATATTAGCCTTAATTCATTCATAACTTTCCTTTATCATTACATGACTTCAGTATCTCAGTGAAGGCACTCCTTTTATTTTTAATATTTGTAATTTTTAATTTCTCTCCTTCTTCTGTCTAGCTAGAAATTTAACCTTTTTTTAGCCTTTCAAAACATTGCTTGCCTTTTTAATTTTCTTTATTGTTTACTTTCTATTTCATAGATTTATATACTCTGTTTTTCTGTTACTTTGGGTTTCATTTATTCTTTTTCTAGATTTTGAGGTGGGAAGTTAAGCTCATGGGTTTCACACCACCCTGGGATTCTATTTTAAGCCTCTGGGGAGCTCTGAGCAGGACATAGTATGCCCTGGTTTCTATTTTAACAGAGCAAAAGCACAGTGCTGGGGCCTCAGACGGTAAGAGTAAGATCTGGTGGGGAAGGCACTGAGGCTTCTCCAGGTAAGGCTGGAGGGTTGGGTCTTTGGACAGCAGTTTTTTCTGGCACAAATTTATGGAGGCAGAACGGGCCTCTCTGTGTTGAGGAGACCTCCCTGTCAAGAGGGGTGGAGTGGTGGGAGGAGTGAGAGAGGCAGACAGGGCTGTGGGTCAGCCTGGCAGGTGCGAGGTTTGCCTTAGGGTGTCAGGGGTCAGAGTGTGGGATCACAGCACCACCACCCACTGCCATTCTGGCCTTGGGAGAGGTGTGCATCCTTTCACGGCTCCTCATCTGGAGAACTGTGCTAAGGACCAAACCCTCCTTGTGGGGTTCCTTGGGGATTCAATGAAACCATCTGAGTAAAGCTTTGAGCTGAGTACTGGCAAGCCCTGAGTGCTCTATGGGCAGTAGTGTTTACACTGAGGGCCCATGTTCAGGGATGTTTCTGGATTCAGCACAGAAGGAAGTGGGAAAATAGCACAAAGCCCAGCCCCCGGGAGCCTGGGCGGCATGGTCAGCAGAGAGAACACAAGTTTGCATGAGGAACCTCCCAAATCCCCTGGGGAGACAGGGTCATCTTGGTTGGTGTTGTCGTTGGCATCTTCTCTTGGGAGACGGGTCATCTTTGTTGGCGTTGTCATTGGCATTTTCTCTTGGGAGACAGGGTCATCGTGGTTGGCGTTGTCATTGGCATCTTCTCCTGGGAGACGGGGTCATCTTGGTTGGCGTTGTCATTGGCATCTTCTCTTGGGAGACGGGGTCATCTTGGTTGGCGTGGTCATTGGCATCTTCTCTTGGGAGACGGGGTCATCTTGGTTGGCATTGTCATTGGCATTTTCTCTTGGGAGATGAGGTCATCTTGGTTGGCATTATTGGCATCTTCTCTTGGGAGACGGGGTCATCTTGGTTGGCGTTGTCATCGGCATCTTCTCTTATATTCCAAGCATATCTTGGAGGAAACATTCACTCTTTGGCAAATTTCTTTCAGCCCGTGGTGAAAACTCCATGTGCAAGAAGAAACGGAGGAGAACGCTGCCTGTGCCTTGCAGCTGATTCTGCTTTTAGAGCTCTGCTTAACTCTTGCGAAGGGAAAGGTCCACCTTCAAAGCTATCTTTGAATCTAATTTTATATTAATCTTTTAATGCGATCTGATTCAATGATGAGTCTTAACACTTGTCATGTTGAATGTGTGAGCATCCATCACATTCTCCTCTCGGAAACATCTTGTGGTGAGTTTCAAGACTCGGCCCCTTCATGCTCTGAAAAGCTGAAGTCGTCGGCCACTTCTCCCTACCCCTGTTTACCAGGCCTGGAGCTGGCGTGTGCTGATGTGCGCTCATTCCCAAACACTCGCCAGCGCTGGCCGCCAGAGGCAGTTGCTATGATGCTGCTACACTCATGAAGATGAGCAGGATGAATATTTTAGCCTGGGCCTCTGCACAAAGATGCTTAAGAGCTTTGGGGACATGGAATTTGGGAGTGTCTCAGTCAACAGCCGTGGGTATCACTGCTCCTGTCTAACAGCACGTGCAGCTCACTGTCCACATTAAATTAAAAAAAAAATCAGCAGCTGGCACTGCGTGAATTGCCTTGTTTCCTTTAGAGCAGTGGCTCTCAACTGGGCAGGGGCAGTTTATGCTCCCCGGAAGATCTGGCAATGTCTGGAGACAGTTTTGCTTGTCATACCTGATGGAGGTGGTACCGGCACCTTCTGGATGGAAGTCAGGGATGCGGCTAAGCATTCTACAAAGCACAGGACGCGCCCTCCGCCCGCCCAACCCCGCAACACAGAACAGGACGCGCCCTCCGCCCGCCCAACGCCGCAGCACAGAACGGGACGCGCCCTCCGCCCGCCCAACCCCGCAACACAGAACGGGACGCGCCCTCCGCCCGCCCAACCCCGCAACACAGAACGGGACGCGCCCTCCGCCCGCCCAACCCCGCAACACAGCACGGGACGCGCCCTCCGCCCGCCCAACCCCGCAACACAGAACAGGACGCGCCCTCCGACCGCCCAACCCCGCAACCCAGAATTACCTGGTTCAAAATATCAGTAGTGCCCGGGGTGGGGGAGAACTCCCGACTTCAGTAAATTTTAACTCCACAAATCTAATTCTGAAAATGTCCATCCTAATCGGCAACATTAGGGCCCTGTAATCACTTTATTAAGAAAATGCTCCCTTGGTTCTCTTGATACCTAAAAATACGTAACCAGGAAAATTTCAGGTAACGCCTGACCCACCTCCCTAGATGATGCAAGAATGACTTTTTTTTTTTGTTAAATTGCACAGAGTTCTGTAGTGAGAAGATTTTCTCCGCAGCGCATATGATCTGTGAGTTTAGTTTTGCGTGTCGTGATGGTTAATTTTATGTGTCAACATGACTGGGTGCTGGGGTGCCCGGACGTTTCTGGCTGAGATTAGCAATTGAGTCGGTAGACTGAGACAAGCAGGTGCTCTCCGCCGTGTGAGTGCCTCCGCCAATCCACGCCTGACCTGAATAGATCAGAAAGACGGATCCTCCTCCAGGTAAGAGGGAGCCCCTGCTGTCTGACGACTGTGAGCTAGGACTTGGGTCATTTTCTGACTTTGGGACTGAAGTCTCCGTGCTTCTCGGGTCTAGAGCGGACCTGCTCTTGGACTGGAGCGAAAACATCCACTGCCCTGCGTCTCAGCTTGCGGACTGTGGTGCGTGAGGCCGGCCTGCCTTCAATCATCACACGAGCCAATTCCTTATAACTAATCTCTTTCTCTATTTTTTTGTATACAAATACACCCATGCACACATCCTGTTC
Organism: Homo sapiens; assembly: GCF_000001405.40. Classification (NCBI taxonomy): domain Eukaryota; kingdom Metazoa; phylum Chordata; class Mammalia; order Primates; family Hominidae; genus Homo; species Homo sapiens. Next base: position 60,966,660 of record NC_000020.11, on the reverse strand, counting down.
TGTTTTTCTGGAGAATCCTAAGACACATGTATTGCTTTTTAAATCCACATTTATTTCTGTGCATGCTTCCATTTTTTCCCCTGTACTTTGTCTCTGAGCAAGTGTAGTAGGCATGGTTTCCGGTTTTTGCGTTGGGAGCCGAGACTCTCTGTGGGAGCTCCAGTCATCCCCGCTCGTGCCCCTTGTCCCATCAGCCTCCTTGCACAGCCATCAGTCAAGGATCTATGTGCTACTCCTGAAATGAAATAATGTAACCTACCTACACGCACGATTTAATAAGAAATGAATTTTATGCCCTAGCTGTAATATAAAGGTCACTTGAAAGGAAAGCAATTGATAATAAAATATATATTTCAAAATGAAAATGTTCCGGAACAACCCCACGGATGCTCTGTGGCCGGCTGGCCGGCTGTGGGTGGGCGATGGCCTCACTCACAAAGCAGGGAGGGTGCCCACAGGCCCTTGGCAGCTCCAGCCCACCAGCGGTGTTGCTGTAATGATATCACTTGGATGTTTGTCCCTGCCCAAATCTGTTGAATTGTGATCTGCAATGCTGGAGGTGGGGCCTGGTGGCGGTGTTTGGGTGGTGGGGATGGATCACTCATGGCTTGGTGCTGCCTTCCTGGTAGGGAGCTCTTGCAAGATCTGGTCATTTAAAAGTGTGCAGGAGGCCGGGCGCGGTGGCTCACGCCTATAATCCCTGCACTTTGGGAAGCTGAGGCGGGTGGATCATGAGATCAGGAGATCGAGACCATCCTGGCTAACACGGTGAAACCCCGTCTCTACTAAAAATACAAAAAATTAGCCGGGTGTGGTGGCAGGTGCCTGTAGTCCCAGCTACTCGGAAGGCTGAGGCAGGAGAATGGCGTGAACCCAGGAGGCAGAGCTTGCAGTGAGCCAAGATCGTGCCACTGTACTCCAGCCTGGGCGACAGAGTGAGACTCCGTCGCCAGAGTGTGCAGCACGTCCTCTTGCTCTCTCGTGCTCCTGCTCTCACTACCTGACATGTTTGTGCCCCCCTCTGCCTTCTGCCATGATTGGAAGCTTCCTGAGGCCTCCCCAGAAGCTGATGCCACCACGATTCCTGTGATGTCTGCAGAACTGTGAGCCAATTAAACTCATTTTTAAAATAGATTATCCACTCTCAGGTATTCCTTTATACCAATGCAAGAAGACCCTAAGGCACGGCCACAGAAGTGACTCTAAAATGGGGAGCAACTCCCGGTGATGTCAGGCCTTTCCACTTCGGAAAATACAAATTCACAGAGGTCTGTTTCTGGAAAACCCAGTGTGTGTTACAGATGCTTTACGTTCATTGCAAACCAGCATACGCTCCTAGGCTCAGAAAATTAACAAGCTTCTTTTCTCTGGGAATCTCTGGCTGGACAAGTAAACATCCACCATGGAGGGTGGGCACAGGTCTCAACTGTGCAAGGTGGTTTAGCGTTCCTGACTCCCTCATTCCCTTGCCAATGCTGGAAGCACCCTCCAATCATTGTGACACCACAGGCAAAGTTCCCTGAGAGGCTGTGCAACCCCATTGAAGACTACTGAGTGGGCATCTGAGGTCACCCTAAGGTGGAAAGCTTGGGCTGCCCTTGCTGCTGGGGCTGCTAAAGCGGGGGTCAGGGAACTTGGGTCACTGTTGATCACTGTGTCTCCATGTTCTGGAAGACGGGGAATCTGCACGTGTCATGATACCAAGCTGAGGTTAAAAATTGCAGAGAGATGCAGAGAGGGGAATGTGCCATCCTCACAGCCCCTGGGTCCAGGTGTTCCTGAAGAGCCTCCCTCCTTAGACCCGGCTGGAGGAGCTGGTCGATGACTCCATCATGCCTAAGCTGATTCGAATTCAGTTTCTGTCACTGCAACCAAAGGAGGTAACCAGTAGCCAGTGTTACAATAAACCTTCTTCCAAAATAAATAAATAATAAATAAATAACATCTATCAGGATGTTCAGATTTAGAGTGTTGAACAAAAGCTACCTCCCCCCAACCTCTCATTGCACAAAAGCTCCCCCATCCTACACATTTCAAGTACAACTAGCTGGCCACACTAAAACAGCCAACTTGATTTTGTCTAATGATTTGTAGTTATGCTTTCTTCAGGCCATATTTTCATCCTCAATATCAATTAGTATTCCTATTTCTTTTCATAAAACCTTAACAAATCAATCTAGTGGTAGATATGACCCAGGATTAGTCAATCAGTTTTGAAGTCATGAGAAATATCCATTTTATTCCAGAATCTATACTTCATCAATAATTCCTTCAGAGAATGCATATTAATATTTTAATGCAGAGAGAATGACAGGAAGACAAAAGGCCCGTGGTAGCTGCCTTGGAGTGAAAACATCATCACAGCATTAAAATGGACTCTGGAAGTGAGTGACAGCTGTCCTCAGATAGAAAGGAGGCAGGTTTCAGCAAGGAGGTGGGCCTGCAGAGTGCTAACGTCACCCATCTCTGTTTGTACAGTGTTTGCATTTGTTTCCCTGAAAGATTATCCTAAATCCCCAATCCTCAGTTGCATCTCTGCATCAGGAAAAGGTAAATTCATCTGTAAAGAAATTTGGCATTAACAGTTTAACCTTCCAGCACGGTATGTGTGCAGAAGCCACATCTGTGTTCCCCAAAGAATCCTGTGTTCTTTCCAATAACACGGTAACGAGAGGTCATGCCAAATGGTTACTGGAAAGCTGCAGGAGCTAACACCACATTTTCTAATCCTTCCAAGAGAACCAGGGAAAAGATGAAGGAATTTTCTCCAGGTTTCCTCTATTGAAAATTAATCGCTATGCAAAAACCACAGCCAAGTGAGAGTTTTGTAAATATTGCTTTCAAATGAAATGCAGCTTTCAAAAGTACTCATGAGAAATTGGAGATGTTAGTGTCTGCCCATTGTATTGCATATAAGTTCAGAATCATGAAAGAAGATTAATATAATCATACTGTTCTGTGGTGCATATGTGTGACTGCATTTTGAAACTGGATTGAGAAGAGCTACTGTTTTTAAATGAAATTTTCTAACATTTAAAAATCACAACAGCAAACCTCCTACATATACAAGACAGACCACAACATGCCTGGGAGTCACACAGTCTATTTTCAACAATGTAAATAGTACTTAGGAATCTGTGTGCATTGTTTCACGATGGAAATACAGTGGGCATCTTTTAATTCTGTAATCAGTGTCTTCACAGGAAAGCGTTTCTCAGTAAAGGGTAATTTTTTCTGTCTTCCAAGGACCAGAATCCAAACACATCACTGGAACTAGGTAGAAATTGTCCATGTTCTCAACAAATTTGGAGACTTTCCCAGAAAAGTTTACATGAGCATATAAACCACGTGCTTGGTAACTTTTCTAATGGAAATTTTGAATGTGCCTCTTACAAATAAGTTTACTTCAACACTTCTCCTGATGTTTTTACACCTATTTGATCATGGTAAGTATGTATAAAACTCCTGGCTGACTTCTTACTGTCATCAGGGTGCTTTGCACTGGGTTCAGCATGGGGCAGTTGCTTTTCTCCACACTCTCACTTCTCCAGCACTGCATGATATCTAAAAATATTTGAAGCTCCTTATTGTATCTTGAATATGTATTTTAAAAACATCAAGTCACTGAGTGCATTTCTGGGATGAGAGAACCGTGGAAATTTTTTTTTCTTGCTACTGGCTTTCTGAAAATGATTGTATCTGTAGAGAATCTGAGACAAGAGAGGAAAAAGTCTTCTTTAGTCCTAAATGAGATTCTTTATCTCACCAAGTTTCACAGAATTTGCTGATGTTTCAGTTTGAGGCCAGCGTCTCAGCCCCTGAGCTGCTAATTGGCTTCAGTCCTCACCTGGGAAAGGAGACTTTGGTTACCTCACCGAAACCCACTGTGGCCCTCCAAGAGAGGCTTTTTCAAACTCTCCTCCTGATAAAGTTTTTGTTATGCAATTTGCTGCCTTCACTGAGGACCCTAGGATGATCTCCAGGGATGCTGAGAACTGGCCTGAGGGGAAATGACTGATTCCCCAGGGAAGCTGGACTTTCACCCTGCTGCTCTGGGAGGCGGGTGTTGGAAGCTGCACAGACAGTCCCGCCATGGCTGGGGTGAGGGCACCTGCTTGGGTGGCACACCTGGCTCTGGTTTCCACATGGAGGAGCCCATCAGGCTTTGTGGAAGTGAGTAACCTGGACAACCGTGCAGTGATGTCCAGTGAGAAAAATGTCCTCAGAGGCCCCCAAAGCAACCCAAAGTCACACAGGGTTAGAATATGAAAGATGGTTGGGCTGATATCCTCTTATTAGGTGAACTTTGGGAGACTGGCCGCCTCCCTTCCTGAGTTGCAGCTTTTTCTTTTTTTGAAAAAAAAGAAAGTGCCCCCTCTTCCTACACATGCTCGCCTCTTCTGGAAGCCATCCTGGGTAACTCAGTTAGATGACATTTAGGAACAAGGAAAGCAGGTTTGAGTTTCTGTTCTGCCACATCCCAGCCTTGAGGCCCTGATACATTCCTAACTCTGGAGTCCTCAGTTTGCTTATCTGAGAGGTGAAGATGACAAACACTGTTCACTGTGCGGGGAGCACCTGCAATTTCTGTGCTTGCTTCCTGTCGATGTCCATCCACTCCTCTTTCTGAGCTTGGCTGTCCTCTGATGCACCTCACCTCTCTCCACTCACAGCCCACCTGTAGCCATGATGTGGCCAAATCAAAGTCAACAATAGGCTGAGCTCCTGGATCCAGCCGAGCCTAAAGCCAGTCGTCCTTCTGCATTTTCCTACCTGACAAGGCCACAAACTCCCTGCGCGGTGCCGAAGAGAATTTGGGGTTTGTTTCTCATCACCTGCAACTTTAAAGAGCTGGCTGATCCAGTGGTTCTCAGGCTTGAAGGTGCCCCAAGGTCACCTGGAGGCCTTGCCCAAGTACAGACTGCTGGGCCTCACACCCAGTGTTTCTGATTTAGCAGATCTGGGGAGAGGCCTGAGAGCTGGCCCTTCTAACAAGCCCTTAGGTGACGCTGATACTGCTGGTCTGCGGATGCTGATACTGCTGGTCTGTGGATGCTGTTACTGCTGGTCTGAGGATGCTGATACTGCTGGTCTGAGGATGCTGACACTGCTGGTCTGAGGACCACACTTTGAGAAGCACTACATTAATTCTGCCTGTGCTCTGCGGCTGTGGTGAGAATTCCATGAGCCAGTGTAGAAGATATCTGTGGTCTAGAACAAAGTGCCACAAATATAGTGACTTAAAACGGCAAGCACTGATCTCAGGATACATTTTCATGGTCAAGCGTGGGGTTTCAGCTGGTGGCGGAGGTGTCAGCCAGGCAGTGCTCCTCTGATTTCTCTTCCCAGCTCACATGGCTGTTGGCTGGAATTCAGTTCTTTGCAGCTGTAGGACTGAGGTCTCTGTATTCTTGCTGGCTGTCAGCCAGGAGCTGTTCTCAGGTCTTAGGGGTGCCAACTCTCATAGACCCTCTGATGACATGGAGGCTCCTTCAAGGCCAGCAGGGGTTTCTTCCAGTGCAGTCTGTGAAGATGACATCTCTGTGGGGTGCCATGTAGCCAAGAGAGACATCCCAATGCCTGTGCCGTGTTCTGTTGACTGGAAGCAACTCAGAGGCTCTGCTTATGCTAGAGGGTCAAGGTGAGGGGATTGCACAAGGGTAGGACTCACTGGGGTCCATCTTAGGACTCTGCTTGCCCCAGAGAGCACATGTAACGTCTTTCGTGTACTGTTAGGGTAATGTGTTAATGCCAAGAAATGATAGGTGCTATTAACATTAATTTGGATGGTGATGAAATGATTCTGAGGGTTTGGTAACAAGGAAAGTAGGGGGCACAGAGAGTGGATGAGCAGCCTCCTCTTCATGTGGGTGCACCTGTGGTGCAGGTGTGAATGTCTCTGCTGGCAGACAAGGAACCAGAAGCTTCCAGAGCAGAGCAGGTGGCACCATCGATGGGAGAATCAGAAGTGTGAGCGGAGTCAGCTGCCTAGACCAGCGATAGAATCCAAACCCATGGGCTCAGAGCCAGGGGTGAGGCCAGGGTGCCCAGCGACACTGCAGGGCAAGATGGTGTCACAAGGAAAATAAACCAAACGGCAAATTAATCAAATAACTCTTCAGCTGAGGCAAAGTGTGAATGCTTGAGAAGAAAAATGCATGAGGTGGGAAGAAAAGATGAACACGAAACAATCTTCTATTTTTCCATTTCTGTGTAAGCAAGACCCCAGAAATTATTAATCTTATAACAAGCTGGGAAAGTTTCCGGTCTCCTGAGTGGTTTCTGAAGTCACAAGGAACTGAAGCAACCGACTCTATTGTCTCTTCTCTGCCCTTCTTAGGCAGCAATTTACTAAAATACTGGGAATTTATTTCTCTCCCAGAGGAATGAGTGGTTTAAAGTGTGTCTCCAGGTGCAGGCTCCTCTGGGGGATACCCTTGATTTTCAAATGCAAGACGTGCATTTGATGGACCCCAGCATTCAGATGTGGCTTCTTCAGAAGTTGTGGTTTTCCCAGGGAAGCTGGTTTAGTTATGTTCACACTGGCAGATTAGAAAGTTCGCTCATCTTAATTCTTGAAATTCTCAGTATTTCAAAACTGGGTGGAGACTGTAGAAAGTGACCAAGAATCTTACTAATGAGCTGATGCAAGAAAACCCTTCAGAGGGAGTTAGCTTTGGGGCCTTAGAAAAGTTTTGATGCCCTCAGGTGTCCTGAGAGCATTGAGATTTCCATCTGGATGTTACTATTATTCAGTGTTGGGGGTGGGTGAATATGCAATGACGATGATGCTCCACCTGCCTATATCTGTCCTTGTATCCATCAATTCCTCTCATCTCATCTCATCTCATCTCATCTGTCATCTCTATGACTTTTCACCCCATAAAACATTGTGTTACTATATAGGTCTTAGAAATTTTCTCCTTTGTGGGGAGGTTTATCTTTTTAACTAATGCTGTTCAAAAATTGCCACTTCTAGGCAAAAGGCTGTGCTCTGCTCAACAAATTCACACCCAATGATGCTGTGAATTTGCTTAAACTATTCAGTCCTATAAGTACATGGTTTTTGCTTCTTTGATATACATTGTATTTTGCTTCAAAATACTCAGTGCCATCTGTATCTACATATTAATTTGTGTTACCCAACAATGACAGTGAATAAATGCATTTCATTTTGGTATCATGGTGATTGATTAAAGTAATAGAATTTCAGGAATAGAATGGGTCTGTTTAAGGAACCTCTAGTCCAAGGCCCATGCAGTTGATTCTTTTATTTTCTCCATAACATCCTCAACGAGAAGGAAGGGCTGAGAGCATGGATGTTGGTTTTGGGAGGACCTGGGATTGATCTTAGGAAGGGCGCTTTGCTTCTCTGGGATGCCTGCATCTGTTAGGTGGAGTAGGAAGGGGTCTTTTGCTCCCAGGGAACATGGATGGTTGGTAGCCTCACACTATGGGAACCTCACATGGACCTGGGAAGGGTCTCCTTGACTTACCATGCTGAACAGTGCTGGGTACCTTCCTGTGACCATTGCCACTCCCCTTCCCAGCTCAGGAAACCCTACTCTGGTTCAAGCGGCTACCTGCTGAGGGAAGCTGGGCCCTTGATAAACCACGCATTCCCACCTTGACATCATTCTCACTTGCCACAGGAAGGGCTCATGGTGAGCATGGAACCATTTCTGGCCAATGGTACATGAAGGGGAGACTGCTGTGGAGGCTCAGAAGGAGCTTACTCCCTGATTAAAAGAGGAAAGGAGAAGTTGCTCCTTCCTTCTTCCTGTCTCGAATTTGGTTATCGTTGCATGGGACACTCAAAGCTGTGCAAACAGAGGGCAGAAAGCCCCAGGCTTAACCAGCAACACAGGGAAGATGGCAGAGTGGAAGTAGAGGAAGAACCTGGGTCCTCAATGGACCACTGCATCAGGCCCAAGATCCTCTCCCTCCAAACGTTTTGTTAAGTGAGATGATTGCATGTCTTTGAGTTTAATGCATTCTTAGCTGGTGATTCTGTTTCTTGCAGATGAATCTATCGCAATAGACAGAATCACAAAACCAACCTCTCGTTTTCGAGCAGGCAGTCCTTCTTGGCATTCTTCCTTCCATCTCCTGGAAATACTTCCAGATTGAGAGCCCTAGAGGTATGACTGAGATCCCTTCAAAGCTGGCCTCTCTTCATCCCCAACAACCAAGATCCAAGAGGGCGAAAGAGGGAGCCCGAGGTGAGAGAGTAAATTAGGAAAACGTGGCTTTCCATCTTCCCTGGCCATTTCCTTGTCCCTTTTGAGCTCTCTGCATTTTTTTTTTAATGTTTGCCTTGGTTCTTAATGAAGTCCTTACTTGGGCAAACTGCCTAGAAACTTCAGTTGAAAACTTGACCCTGGAAACTTCCTTAATGAGAAGGAATGTAATTAATAACTAGGCTTATATATGCTGATAATTTAACTCTGGCTCAAAATAAAATTTTTTAAGACTCAGGGGAAAGGGTTAATGTTTTATTTGCCTGGAAAGGCTGAGTGCATCTTCTCTCTTCGGAAGAGCAGGACACTCAAGGTAATGAGCCCAGGGACCAGCACAATAGGGTGCTTAATAAGTGTTCAATGAATTAATCAGTAATAAGGCAGGAGACATTTTTAAAATCTGGGGGACAATGAATACAAAAAGGAACCAGGAGGAAGACTTTACGGTTTCCTGACTTGGGGCCTTGGGGAGGTGGCGTTGGGGCTTTCAGGGTGACTTTTCCAATAGGCACCCATTGTTCTGGTACAGGAGAGCATCAGAAATGAGGAACAGCTGGAGCAAAGTCAAGGTGACCATGAGAATCTGTAGGACCATGGAGAGCAACAGGTTGACTACAGCAGGTTGATCTTGATTCTCTCTGAGAGACCTGGAGAGCTAAGGTTAACTAGGTCAAGAGGAAGCTACGTTTTTACCTTCTGACAGTGGTTCCCAAAGTGTACCCCCTGGACCTCCAGGGTACCTCTAGGGTACCCTCTTTTGAAGGGTTCATAAAGTCAAAACTATTTTCACAATCATACTATGACATTATCTGTCTTTTCCACTGGCATTAACACTGATGGGGCAAGAACAACTGTAGGCAAAAGTGCTGGCACCTTTGCATGGACCAAGGATGGGGCACTGAACAGCATGGGCCATCCCTGCACCCTTCATCACCACGCTTTTCAGGAAAATAAAGCAATGCCAATATCACTTAAGAACTGACTCATAGAAACAGTAAAAAGTATTAATTTTATTAATTCTTGAACTTTGGGTGCTCTGAGCAAACACTTTGTGTGATGATGAGGGAGATGGGCCTAAGGGTCTTCTGTGGCTTACCAGGACCCAATGGCTGCCCCAAGGAAAAACTCGGTACGCTCATTTGAGCAGAGCACTGAACTGCTCTGTTTTTCAAGAAACAGCAGTTTTACTTGAAAGATTAACTGACAGATAAACTACAGTTGTTCAGACTTGGATATTTTGCAAATCTTCACCAAAATAAATTAGGTCCAATCTCCTGTGCAGAAGAATTCCAAATAATTCACGTAGGTGCTCCAACCTCAAGGAGGGGGTGCCTCACTCCCACTCCCTAGGTACAGGTTGCACCCTGCATAGGGAGTTCCCTCCAAAGAACACAGTGTGCAGGGGGTGACAGAAAAGGGAAACCTTATCAGGGAGAAAGCTGATGAAAGCTCCTTGAGGCAAGCAGGTGATCAAGGTCAACATCAAGAGTTGAAAATATGCTCCCTGGATAAGATGTGGTGAAAATGGCACTTTGCCTCTGTGGTCTTCCTCCCCAAAGCCCATAACCCCAGTCTAACCACAAGAAAGAAAATCAGACAAATCTCAACTGAAGGACATTCAACAAAATACCTGACCAGTTGATGTGGTCTGGCTGTGTCCCCACTCAAATCTCATCTTGAACTGTAGCTCCCATAACTCCCACATATTGTGGGAAGGACCTCGTGGCAGGTGCTTAGATCATGGGACTGGCCCCCTCATGATGTTCTCATGATAGTGAGTTCTCACGAGATCTGATGGTTTTATAAGGGACTTTTCCCCCTTTTGCTGGGCACCTCGATCTCCTGCCACCCTGTGAAGAGGTGCCTTCCAGCATGACTGTAAGTTTCCTGAGATCTTCCCACCCATGTTGAACTGTGAATCAATTAAACCTCTTTCCTTTATAAATTACCCAGTCTTAGTCTATGTCTTTATTAGCAGCATGAGAAAAGACGAATACACCAGTACTCCTCAAAACTGCCAGGGTCATCAAAAATATGGCAAGTCTGAGAAACTGTCACCACCAAGATGAGCTTAAGGAGACACGATGGCTAAATGCACTGTGATATCCTGGATGGGACTGTGGGGCATCCCAGAATCCTTTTCTGTGAGAAAAATGACCGTAGGTAAAAACAAAGGACATCTGAATAAACTATGGGCTTAAATTAATAACAATGTATCAGTATTCACACCAGTGGAAATTGGATGTGGGGTGTATGTGGACTCTGCATTCTCTTCACAACTTTTCTGTAAACCTAAAACTCTGCTAAAATAAAAAGTGTATTTAAAAATATAAACGAAGTGAGCCTGTCACTTTGAGGAAAGTAACGAATAGTATTTGTTTCCAGTGATAAAATTTGAGCTTCTAAGTTCAAATAAAAATTTTGGAAAACTTGTATCTACACTCATTGTCTTGGCAGTATCCCCAGACTTCAAGCCTTTTCTAATGAGATCTGGTGATATTAGCAAATGTTATTCATTTTCTGATATTGCATAATGGAAAATCTGCCTAACATAGTGAACTTTTGTTTTCCCACTGACCAACATGATGTTATCAAATTATGCACTGGTAAAAGATTCCCTTACACTTCAAATAGGCCAGTGGATTTTCACTTAATAGAACATGAAAAGTTAATTCATGTAACTTCAGACTTGCATTGCATGTAACCTTTAAAAAAATGACTGCTGCTAAGTTTTGGTATAGTATCAAAAAAGAATGTGCACAAGGAACTGAAGAGATCTGTAAACACTGTTGAAATCCGTCTCCCTTCCAACTGCATATCTGTATGAGACTGGACTTTTTCATCCATTTGCACCCAGCAACATACCACAGCAAACTGAACATGGAAGCAGTTACAAGAACCCAGCATTCTTGGATGGTTAGATTTCTCTGATAAAGCTGTGTTCTCTTTTCCCTTCTGAGTAAACTTCAGGATGGATTTAGGATCTAGTCACACCTCCTTTGTAACAGTGTCCATTCTATTGAAATTGACCATTTATGTGTCTGTCTTCAATGCAATAAGACAATTAGTATTTCTGGCTCTGGAATAGGACCACCAGAGTCTTATTTTGGGATACCCCATTATGAGGTCTGTGTTACTGTTCAAGTTAATTCAACTTCCTAAGCTTCAATTTCCTCACTTTCAAAAAGCACATGATGACAGGATGGACAACAACATCCTATCTTAAGTTTTATATGAGATAAAGCTCATAAATATACATATTTCCATATATGTATTGCATATACAGTATAAGAATATGAATTTATATGCTTATTGTATGCACCTACTCATATTTATAAGTTTATGTACATATATCATGTATTTACATTTACTTGACTGTTATTACCACTTCTGCACCATTTCACTGTGGGGTCTGGCAGGTGGAGCCTTGTCTTAGGTGCCTGGTACATAGCTTGGCACAAAATGAGTCTTCAGTGATTGTTAACTTAAATTGCAGTGGGGGTAGAATTTTGCTATGTACATAAAATATACATGATATACATATTAGTTTTGCAATGCACATAAAATAATTATACTATATTATCATGATAAAGTCCCTTTCCTCCCCTTCCTACAGGAAAAGTTGATTCTTTAACTATACTTTTTAGAAGTTTTTTGAAGTATAATTGATAAAAATTGCACATATTTAACTTATACATTTTGATAAATTTGGACATATGTATGCACCTGTGATGCCATCACCACAATCAAAAGACAAAGCATGTCCATCACCTCTAAACATTCTGGTGTGTTCCTGTGTGGGAGTTTGTTATTTTGCAATAAAAACCCTTAATGTGAGATCTGGCCCCTTAACATATTCTAAAGTGCACTATTCAGTATTGGTAACACTAACCACTGTGTGATTCAGCAGATCTCTGGAACTTATTCACCTCTCCTAACTGGAACTTGAGTCTATTTCCCCATTTCCCTCCCTCAGCCCCTAGCAACATAAGTGAACACAGAAGACACTGCGCTAAGTGAAATAGGCCAGACACAGAAGAACAAACCCTGCTCGATTCCACTCTCGAGAGGGATGTCTGATAGTCCAACTCCTAGACACGGGGCCTAGAAGGGTGATTTGCCTGTACGTCCTGTGGTCACTGCAAACTCCTCCAGCCTTGCCATTACTTGGGTAGAGCAGCGCAGGAGAAGGCCACCTCTGGTAGAAGTGGCTGTGGAGCGGGAGCAGGACAGAGAGAGGAGACAGAGAACTGGATGATTTTGTGCAGGGCAGGGTATATCCAGGGCTGTGGCCTCCTGATTTCGTTCTCATTGTGAGGTGTCAATCTAACTATAGGGTGGTGTGAAGAAAGCAACACTCGCTGCTCCTCGGACTGACCAGGGGCTGTAGATACAGGTGTGCACACATTCCTGTGTGCCTGTGCACGTGTGATGCTGTGTGTTTGGAGATGTGTGTGCCTGCATCAGCTCACCTGGGATTGCCCTTGTAGCTGTGATAATCTGCAAAGAACATGAAAGCAGGGGTCAGGTCTGGCCCAGAGCTCACCACTTACACTACCTAGACTTAGTACAATCCTTTCACCAGCCCTGGACTGAATTTACTCACAAGCAAATAACGAGATTGGACCTATAACTTCCCATAACCCTTACAGCTTGGGGATGTCAAGATTATGTGTGTGTTCAAGTCTAGACCTATGGAAGGAGAGATGCTATTTGAAAAGACTGTCGCAGTTGAAGGAAGGGACTGTGGCAACTGGGCTCACTCTGACCCTGAGATCTGCAAGCGTCTCAAATGCCTGGTAGAAAAGGGCTTTTCTTTTATAGAGAGGAACAAGCAAAGCTCGTGGAGTGTGCTCTTTGTGTCTGAGCAGAGGCTGCGTGATCTGTCCGGCAGAGGGTGGGTCGGAGTCCAGGGTCCTGTGGAGATACTCTTAACTACAGCGTAGTTGAGTCAGTTAGCGAGCACTTTGTTCTGATTGACCAGTGGAAACCACAGTTCAGCTAATCTTTTATGAGACAAAGCACGGGAATGTGGAGGCTCTATGTTTGACCCGGTCATGGATACGAGACGGCACCTGTAAGCCCTAAGCAAGTCGTATTGCGGTAAGCCATTTCCTGCTGTACCAGTGGATTGGGGATTTCTTCCACCATTACTGTTTCCCGGCAGCTCCAGTAAAGCCTAACTTGGTTGCCTCAGAGCCAAACTCCTCTCTGAACTCTGTCCTGTAGAGACTTCTGGAGAGGTGACCTGCCACCTGTCCTGAGCTCTGAAAATCCCCAGTGGGACCTCATTGTTGTGCCTCTGTTCTGGAGGCCAAACGAGGCATTTCCATCTGGGACTGCACTCAGCTGTCACTTCTGGAAAATTCTACCACAGAGTCCCGGCCAAGGGGAGGGGTAGCTTCTCTGGTTACAGCAAGTCCACAGTTGGACAGCCTCGGGCCAGGGCTGTTGGGTCAATGGACAAGGTCATTCCACCATCCTGCTTCTCCTTCCTGATCCCGCTTTCGTCTGCATGGCCGCATCATCATGGCACACCAGGCAGGAGAAGGCGCTGCCATTTTATTCACAACAGGACTCTCTTCCCACAAACTTCTGAATCAAACTCATTGGCCAGAATGATGTCATACGGTCACTTCTAGCTATTTGGGTTTATTGAAAGCCAAAAATAGCATAGAAGTGTCCCACCTCATTGTGAAATGTCTTAAATATTGAAGCCTTTTCTTTAAAATCTTAGTGAATTTGCCCTACAAATCTGTATTTGTCTTAATATGAAAAATAAGCTTCCCTCCACCACCCCCATCACTGGATTAAAATTTGGCCTTGCCCATATGATGGCCTTGAGTAGAACTTGACTCAAGACAAGCCCCCCTGGAGAAGCGCTTGTGTGGACCCTCCCAGGATGTGAGAGATAATGATCATTTTCTAAACTCATGTTTAATTAGATTTTGTAGAGTTGAAAATATGGAACCTAGGAGATCTGAATTTAGAAACACTGGATTTTCATTCCAGAACAAATGCACATTGAGATAAAATAGGTTAATATAAAGTCATGGCTAAAAGTGTCCTAAGAGAGATATTGATTATTGTTTGATACATCAAATATTAACAAAATTGCCAGAAATCTCAGGATTTTCAAAAACAAAACTTATGATTGAAATGCACACCTCTCAGCCTCGAATCCCTGCAGGCTAGAGAACCGGCTCAGGTTTGAAATGCAGCTGCAGGCTCTGCTGTCTCGCTGGTGTGGGTGAGGCTTATTCTCTCTTGTGTGAAGGTGATACAGCTGGTCCTTTGATTTCTGAGTGGTAGGGACATCATTGCTCGGACCCTGCTGGAGCATCTCTGCTCTGTGCATATTCATGCACTCACTGAGTCTGTCATGGCTGAGTCCCTTCTGTGCATCAGACACCCTCCTAGGAGCTGGGCATAGGAGGCCCACAGGAGAGATGCAGCCCGTCTTCATACACGTTAAGTGAGGTAATGAAGAAATAAACGCATACACAGGTTTGTTTCAGAGAGTGATAAATGCTGAGAATCAAAGGAACCCAGATGATCACAGCATCAGAGAATGACCCTGGGGCGTCGCCTCAGCCACGGTGGTCAGGGAGGACTTCTCTGAGTAAAGAGTTAAACCGGATCCAGCCCTAGTAAGGGAAAGGGGATTTCATTTCAGAAAGAGACAACAGCAAGTGCCAATGTCCTGATGCCACCAAGGACAAGGTGTGTTGGAGGAAGTTCTGCGATTGTGACTGGAGCAGAGCAAACAAGGAGAGCATTAGGAGAGGTTGTTCCTAAGACAGCGGCCTCATTGTGCAGGGCTCGGCCAGCTGCGGGGACAAGTTTGGGCTTCATTTTCAAAACGTGCATCTGTCCCTCTGTGAAACTTTTATCAGTTAGCCTGAGTTCTACCCTCTGAAGTCACATAAACTATTCTCTCCCACATTGCAGCTCTTCAAGTACATGAACACATGTCCCGGCTGCTGAGTTGCTTTACTCTGGGCTTGTCATTCTCAGTCCTTTCTCAGTCCTGCTAGTGTTTTGAGCTTCTCACTGCCCTGGTCACTCCCATCTGGAGACCCTGAACTGGTAACCATGGTTATGACTCCAGCCACTGAGCCAAAATGAGCTGTCAGGATACATGCCGCCCTCCCCGCACCTCTCCAGCCATCCCCAGATCCATCATGCATCATGTACATATATTAATCTGAACTCTTCTAAAGACTTTCATGTGTTAGGTTCAAACCTACACTTATAGGCAGAGGCTCCAGAGGACGCCGAGTGCCTGCGGCTTTGTGCATGCTGAACATTCAGATTTTCCCAGTTAGTTTCATTCTTTATACTTCTACTCAATTTGAATAGAACAAAACTTGTAAAAAAAAATCACTGTAAAAGAAAAGAGAGTGAAGAAAAACAATCTGTGTGTGTGCAAGACACAGAGAGCTCTGGTTTTGTGTGATTTCCATCTGGGAAAGACTCAGGTAAGATCCCACTTTATCCAAACTAGGTCAATCTTTGCTTTGCTCTTTCTTGCTTAACCAGCTGCCTGCTTGCTTGTGGTTTCTCCTGGTGTCTGTAATGAGAAATGTGTCCCAGCGTAATTACAAAGATGAAAGCTCAGTGAGCTCAGCCAGGGAAAGCACACTTCAGAAATCACCACATTGCTCAGGGGCTGCTCTCGCCACTCAGCCCCAAGCGCCCCATCGAACTGGAGGCATGGAATGAGGTCCTGGCAACCCGCCTGGGGTACTTTTGTCTGTGAAGCCAAGGATGGCCTTTTCCCCATAAAGTTGAGGTTCTTTGCATGATATAAAATGAATTTGCCTCATTGTGAGAACTAGCATCAGCACAAAGCTGGGAGGCATTTTACCTGGAAGACAGAAAGTCCTAGGAGAGAAGCATCTGCCTCCCACTGGCTAAGTCATCAACCCAGGCACTTGTCTATCCATCAATCTATTCCCTCCACCTATTAATTCACTCAACCACCCACCCATCACTCATCCACCCATCATCCACTTACCCATCCGTCCATCCACCCATCCATCCACACATGCATACCCTTATCCACACATTTATTCATTTATCTATCTATTCATCCATTTACACATGCAGATATGCATGCAGTCATCTGTTTGTTTGTTTGTTTGTTTGTTTATTTATTTATTTATTTATTTATTTATTTATTTTTTCGGAATCTCACTCTGTCGCCCAGACTGGAGTGCAGTGGTGCGATCTTGTTTCACTGCAACCTCTGCCTCCCTGGTTTGAGCTATTCTCCTGTCTCAGCCTCCTGTGTAGTTACAGGCGTGTGCCATCATGCCCGGCTAATTTTTTGCATTTTTAGTAGAGACGGGGTTTCACCGTGTTAGCCAGGATGGTCTTGATCTCCTGACCTTGTGATCTACCTGCCTTGGACTCCCAAAGTGCTGAGATTACAGGCGGGAGCCACCACGCCCGGCCATGTTCATCTATCCATCCAAATACCCATAATCCTTCCTTCCTCCCTCCCTCCCTCCCTACCTCCATCCCTTTCTCCCCCTCCCTTCCCCCTCCCTCCCTCCCTCCCTCCTCTCCTCTCCTCTCCTCTCCTCTCCTCTCCTCTCCTCTCCCCTTCCTTCCTTCCTTCCTTCCTTCCTTCCTTCCTTCCTTCCTTCCCTCCATCCATCCAACATCTATGCTTTTTATGCCTCAGGCATGTTCTGGGCACTGGGGAGTCAGTGATGAACTCAACTATGAAAATCTCACCTTCATGGGGCTTTCACTCTAGTTGGAGAAGACAAACAGCACACAAGTCAACCATAAACAAGGTGATTCTGGGAAGTGACTAGCGTGATAAAGCACTGTGTTAGGCTGCAGCACTGGGGTGAAGGGCCTCTGATCGGTGCCATGGCAACCAAGACCTGAGTCCTGTGCTGAAGTCATCATGGGTGATGCCAAAGACAGGGAGTTGCACCAGCGAGAGCAAAGGCCAGTCTCAGGGAGATCGTGGCACTTCTGGGGAACAGAAAGGATTCCGGGGAGCAAGGAAGGGGAAGGCAGACATGGTGGTCAGGCCTGTGAAAGGGGAAGTCAGAACACAAAAGGAGTTATTTTTGTCAACAGCTCCCTTGGGAACTGCGTGGTGTGGGGGGCCAGCATGGCCTTGCTGTGCGCCTCCCCTGCAAGTCACCGCTCTGTTCCACTACCTTCTGTGTCTTTGAGATGTCTGTATGTGGTGTCAGCCAGCCAGGTGAAGTGGAGAGCTATGGGTACTCTAAAGGTCATTCGTTAAATCACTCACTCAATACATACATATTGAATGATTTCTAGGCGTCAGGTTGGCTCCTCGGCCTCTCTTGTCCTTTGCCTCTCCCTGGAGTTAGGCTGCTCTTTGGGTACCCACCAGGGCCCCTCTGATGGGGTTTCCTTGGAGAGGGAGTCCCGGGATTCCACCAAGGTCTCTGCCAAGAGAAGGTGGAACCTCACCAAAGATGCCCGCCAGATTCCCGTGCGTTCACGCCTTCCCTAAGGTGCTGTCTCAGGGTCCATCCTCCCGCCTGTCTGGGACCGCCGAGATGTGCTGTGTTGGTGGGGACAGGGCGGCCTGTAGCCCAACTCAACCACGGGGCTCGGTGGCTTGAATGGACCCAATGGGCATGGGCATGAAGTTAATCACAGCTGTCATTGATTTCTCAGTGTGGACCCGGCAGGGTACTGATTCTGTGCTCACATTTGTTGAAACGTTTCAATACATTTAGGGGGTAGGTGCTACAGTCTGCCTTTTACAGAGAAGAGCTCAAAGGAGTTAAGTGCTTGTCTAGCATCCTGCAGCCACAAATGAGGGGTTAGGAGTCAAATCCTGCAGTCCCGCTCAAGCCTGGTATCAAACCACTCAACTGCATTCCTCCCAGGAATGAGCGAGGCCCCAGTGAAAGGTGTTTCAGGGACCCCAGAGTCAGTAACAGGCTCTCTCATTAGCCGCCTCTTACTAACAAGCCGTAGCGCTTGCTCCTTGCTGGGCCTGCCAGCCTATGAGACCCTGAAGGCCTTGGTGTTGTGTCTCCATGGATACTACTCCGCTCCTCAGGTAGGATAATTTTCTGTGTGCTGCTTGGAAAACAGCGATTCAGCCATATCTGTGGATTAAAGACAAAGCTGTCCTTTATTAGAATGAAAAGAAAATTTTAAAACAACTAAAAACCCCAAACGAACATGCTCTGAGGCATCATACCAGTTTGTCTTTTTGTTTTGTGCTGAGAATTCATTTCCATTTTCAGGCAGCCCCATGGTGGAGGAAAATCCCTGAGTGCTGACTTCTGGGGCAAGTGCAGCGTCAGGGTGATGTGCGTGCAATGCCATCCCCGCCCTCCACGGGACACAAGGCAAGAGGCCAAGCCCTGTAGCATCAGGTTGATGTGCGTGCAATGCCATCCCCACCCTCCATAGGAAAAGAGGCAGGAGGCCCAGCCCTGTACTTCCCTCCCTCTAGACTGGAGGCTGACAGTCCACGCAGACAAGCTGAGACAGTCTTGCCCTAGGAAGGTGCCCAGCCTGGCTGGACAGTCTGGGTGGTGGACATAGGAGCAGTCCAGGAAGTGGCTTTGCTGATGAAAACGACAGTGTTCAAAAGTAGGATTTCAGAGAATCTGCTGCATCCACCTCCCATGAGGGTCCCAGGTGAAAGATGACAGAGAGTTGGAGATCCAGAAATGGCTCAGTGAGGAGCTAGTCTACAGGTCTCCAAACTGGTTTCTGTGGGACTTGGTGGTGACCCAGGATCTGACTGGAGCACCTTGGGAAGCCTGGGCAGGTAGACTTCCAAATCTTAATTAAAATCAGACCTGCTAGCTTTAAAAATATATTTTTTTTGGCTGGGCGTGGTGGCTTGCACCTGTAATCCCAGCACTTTGGGAAGCTGAGGCAGGCAGATCACGAGGTCAAGAGATTGAGACCATCCTGGCTAACATGGTGAAACCCCATCTCTACTGAAAATACAAAAATTAGCTGGGTGTGGTGGCGTGCACCTGTAGTCCCAGCTACTCGGGAGGCTGAGGCAGGAGAATCGCTTGAACCTGGGAGGTGGAAGTTGCAGCGAGCTGAGATCAAGCCACTTCACTCCAGCCTCGCTACAGAGCGAGACTCAAAAAAAAATATATATATATATTTTTTTTTCTAAGATATAATTTAGACACAGTTCAACTCAACCTTTTCAGTATGCAGTTCTGTGAGTCTTGACGAATGTGTACAGTCATGTAACTAGCACCACAATCAAGATACAGAACATTCCATCCCCCACCCAGCCCCTGGCAATCTCTGATCTAGTTTCTGTCTCTGTCATTTTGCCTTTTCCAAGATGTATGTCGTATACATTGAACCATACAGTATGCAGTGTTTTGGGGCTAGCTTCTTTCAAGTAGCGTAATTCACCTGAGATTCTTCCTTGATGAATCAAGAGTTCTTTCCTTTTATTTCTGACCTCTATTTTGGGCCACCATTTGTCTTTCAGTTCCCCAATTAAGAGACATTGGTATTGTCTCCAGTTTTTGGAGATGTTTAATAAAGCTGCCACAAACATTTACATGCAGCCTCTTGTGTGAACAGGGGTTTTTTAGTTTTACTCCAATAAAGTCTTAGGAATGTGGTCCTGAGTTACGGTAAGTTTAACTTTATAAGGAACTCTTAACTATCTTCCAGAGTGGCTGTGTCATGATATGTCACTCATCCCATCAGCAAGGAGTGAGGGCTCCTACTGCCCCTCATTCTCCCCAGCATTTGGTGTTACAGTGGGATTTTCTTTTAAATTTAACCATTCTAATAGTTGTAGTGGTATCTTATTGTGATTTTAATTTGCGTTTTCCTAGTGACTAATGATGTTGAGTATCTTTTCATATGTTTATTTTTCAATTGTACATATTCTTTGGTGAAGTGACCACTCAAACTTTTGTTTTTCTGGCTTTTATTTATCTTACATATTGAAGAGCATTCTAAGGTTTTATTGAGAGGAAAATAGACAGTATGAGAAAAATTACAAAGCCAATAAAACAGATCAGAGTACAGGTAGAAACATGACCTTGCAATGCTGCGTCTACCGCCTTCTCCAAAATTCCACACTGAGGAATATGTCCAGCTTATTTTGGGATAATAGCATTGGTATTGTTACAGGATCGTTGGGGTGTCGCTTTTCTGGGCAGAAATCTCTGTGGCCAGTGGCACCTTTTCCCGAGTTCTTGTCCTGCGTTCAGGAAGAATGAGGTATGCAGACAAGTGGAGGGTGAGCAAGACAGAGAAGCTTATTGAGTGTTAGAACAGCTCAGGGGAGACTTACAATGGGTAGCTCCTCTTTGTATGCAGGTCATCCCATCAAGTGTTCAGCTCGCAGCAGAGACTCTGGAGAGGGTGGCTCTTCTCCACCATCAGGTTGTCCCCATCATCTCTGCAGCCATCATCTGCAGTGGTCTTCCCACTCCTGTCTGCTGCTGGTCATCCTGTCATCTCTCCATTCTCTGCCTGCTCTGGTAAAGCCCAGGGCTTCTATGGACCACAGAGGGGAGAAAGTGTGTGCCAGCCGGCTCATGGGCAGCCATGGGAGGACACAGAAAAGGCACCACAAGTCTTCATTCCAGTCCATGGGATTGGCTTTACCAGGGACCCATCCCCTTCTGCCCAGGAACCTATCTGCCTTCTGCTGCCATTCATGATGCCCAGGTTTTGCCCCAACTTTTCTGAGATTGGAGCAGACACCAACAGCAGAAAGCAGCCAGGCAGTGGGAGCAGGCACTTCTGAGCCTGCAAGGGCAGGGGGCCTTCCCAGGCCAATGGGGCAGTGGCCTGGGTCTGCAGGCAGTTTGGGCAGCTGCAGCGGCACCCAGGGAGCTCCCACCCCAACTCAGAAGGGATGGGGCTCCCGCTGGCTCCATGGGGCGTGCAGCCCAGGCAATGCCTCCCTGCTGCAGCCAACGTGATGGCAGTGACAGGCTGTCTGGAGCAGCAGCTGCCATCAGTATGGCAGGCACCCCCCAGAACAAAGGCCACAATGCTGGTCACTTTCAACTCCATTCTCCACGCTATACTTAAAGAAAGCAATTGGTAACTGATCATTGCTGTTTTGCAGAAGACCATAGAGCTTTAATCATGCCAATTGACTTCATATTATTTAAGTTACAAATAATGAACAACTGATGTTAGTTACTTAATAAACACTTGTTGAATACATATAAAATGCAGTCCATGCTCACTGGTTTTGGGAAACCAAAATCTATGTATTGAAAGAGAGAATTAGGCCAGGCACGGTGGCTCATGCCTATAATCCCAGCACTTTGGGAGGTTAAGGTGAGTGGATCACTTGAGGTCAGGAGTTGGAGACCAGCCTGACCAACATAGTGAAACCCCGTTTCTACTAAAAATACAAAAATTAGCCAGGCATGGTGGGGTGTGCCTGTAATCCCAGCTACTCAGGAGGCTGAGGCAGAAGAATTGCTTGAACCTGGGAGGCCAATGTTGCAGTGAGCCAAGATCACGCCACTGCACTCCAGCCTGGGCAACAGAGCAAGACTTCATCTCAAAAGAAAAAAAAAAAAGAGAGAGAGAGAGAGAGAATTAAAAACAAACGTTGACACTTACTATTGAAAATGGGCACTAAGAAGTTTGATAGGATGCAAGTTTACAGAGGTTACAAGGTTCTACTTGGGAGAAGAAGGGTTTGAGTTGGACGCAGAAAGATGAATAGAAATACGACTAGTAGAGAAGACAGTGAAAGAGAACCCAAGCTGAGAAAGAGATGTCTGAAAGATGATGGGTTGTGCAGTGTGGAGCAGGGGAGACCATGCTCTTCAGAGCAGAGGCCGAGACTGAGAGCAGTGTGATGATGTCAGTAGTGGGAGCTGAAGTTAGAAAGCCAAGCAAAGGAGAGTCCCACGATAGAGGGGCACTGTATTGTGAATAGGGGCTGCTTTTGGTTTGACCAGGTTCTATACTTTCTATGGTCTGCACCTGTTTTGGCAAAAGACTGGGATCACTGGGGTCAGCTTGGCAAATACTCCTGGTACATAAAATGCTCACCTGTCAGCTTTTGTTAATAGGAAGACCTCATGCCAACCAGAAATTTTCCTTTATTTATTTATTAGTTTATTTATTTATTTATTTTGATACACAGTTTCCCTCTGTTACTTAGGCTGGAGTGCAATGGGACCATCTCGCCTCACTGCAACCTTCACTTCCCAGCTGCAAGCCATACTTGTGCCTCAGCCTTCAGAGTAGCTGGGATTACAGGCATGCGCCACCATGCATGGCTAATTTTTGCATTTTTAGTAGAGATGGGGTTTCGCCATGTTGTCCAGGCTGATCCCAAACTTCTGACCTCAAGTGATCCATCCACCTTGGCCTCCCAAAGTGCTGGGATTACAGATATGAGCCACTGTGCCCGGCCTCAACCAGAAATTTCTAAGAATTTATCAGAAAAATCAGCTCAAACTAAGAATTTTGAGATGTTGGGCAAGAAAAGAAAAATTCTCAGGCTTAGCTAATGAAGAGGATGAACATGGAACTCTCGTTAACTGACCTAATTACTGTACAAATTTTCCTAATTGTATACCTTAAGAACTACATGCCAGTGTCTGCAGTTAAACCATTTTTGCTTTAGATTTTTTGAATACTTCTCAAGTTCCTTAAATATCTCCACTTAAGTTTCTTTTATTGAACAAGCAACCCATATGTGCATTGATTAGACTGCAACAGAAACAGACCCTCTTTCAGCTGGTTGGGGAAACTAAATCTATTTGCCAAGACTAAATCCATGGTCTGTCCAATGACCAAGTCCCCCAGGAGTTTCTCTGTGTGGGCCGACATGAGACAAGTCTATGGCTGGGTTTTTATCTCTTAAAGCCAAGATGTCATTTATGGGCTGTACAGCTGAGAAACATGCAACAACAGGGCCATGAACAAAAAGCACAACATTGGTCTCTTGCTCTACAAGAAGACTTCTGGAGCACCTCTCTCATCCTGTGGTTCATGCCCTACCACCGCTGCCCTACCCTGCAGTCACAGCGATATGTGCCTTCTGCCTCCAAAGCTCCTGTGTGCTCTTGGTTTCTGGCCTCTATTCATACACCTGGCTGCTACTCTGATATTACTATGAAAGCTTTGCTTAGTTGTGTCTGTAGAGGTGTACGGAAGGGACATTCCCAGATCACTTTAGTGGCACTGGGTTACAAGGATAGTCTTGTAGTTGCATGATTAATCTGTGTTTCAGAAATTCAAAAACTGAGACTTACAGCAGCCCCATTGCAAATCAGAAGATTAGAGTACAGTTGCTAGGAGTAGGTGTGGAGCCCCCAAAGCTTGTCCTCTTGGGAACACCTAGCCTTTAAACTTCCAAAGGAATATCCAATTAATAGATGAGTCACCATCCATGTGGCCTTCTCTATTTGTGCAGAGGCCACTTCAGAGCTTCCCCACTTCCAGCCCTTAGAGGATGAACTTCATCTCAGGCAGTGGTCTTGATGCAGGACAGGGGAGCTCCAAAGTGTGGCTTAGCCCAGGAGGGTTTTGGCTTTGTCCGGAAAAGAATTCAAGGATAAGCCAGGTAGAAGAAAACAGCTTTATTGAGGTGCGGTGTCACAGCTCCATGATTGCTCCTTCAGAGCAGGGCTACCCGGTAGGCAGAGGAGCAGCTCAGGGCAGTTTTGCAGTCACATTTATACCCACTTTTAATAACATGCAGATTAAGGGGCAGTTTATGCAGAAATTTCTAGGGAAGGGGTAGTAACTTTTGGGTCATTGGATCATTGCCATGGAAAGGGGCAGTGGTGTTGCCTTGACAACACTAAGTTGACACACTGGTGGGAGTGTCTTTTTGGAAAGATGCTTTTGCTCTGACCCTGTTTTAGCTAGTCCTCAATCTGGTTCAGTGCCCAAGCCCCGCCTCTGGAGTTGAGTCCCACCTCCTACCTCAGTCTGAGAAGTGAAACTCTTAACTAGACCCATTGTTCCACTGAGGTCACTTTGAGTGGTCATGTTTTTATGTGTTTGACTCTACATCTCTCCAATACACTTGGTCAGGTATTTCTAAAACACTCTTCCAGTGATCCCTTATATCAGAGGTTGTTAAACCGTGGTCCTCAGGCCACATCCACCCAACATGTGGTTTTGCCAATAAAGTTTTATTGGAACACAGGCGTACCCATTTGTTTATAGATGGCCACAATGACAGAGTTGCATAGTTGTGTCAGAAACATCTGGTAAGCAAAACCTAAAATATTTATTGTCTGGCCTTTTGCACAAAAGTTTGCCAACTGTGATTCAGAAAGCAGTGAGCCACCTCGTGATGACCTGTGTTCAGCTGCTCTATCCTTGTAGCCTGTTGGTGCTCAGTAATGATTGCAACAGGGAGTGTGACTAGAGGACCACTTTGCGGGACTCTGAGGCTCAGGTGGAAGTTTTCTCCACCTCCTCTCCAAGATGCCTCTTGACCCTGGATCACTCAGATTCTAAATGCCTCCCAATGATTGCTCCTGGTGCATACAACAACCTGATAGAGGCAATGGTTGGGGACATTTGGCAAGTTTCCAGTGGTTCAGGGAAGCTTAGAAAGAACCAGAGACTTCTTGGCCCTCTGATGCCCCCTCCCACAACTCACCCACCTTGGTTCCTGGTTTTCTCTTCATTTGCATTATTGCAAAATTCATAATTGTGTGAAATTGCATGAAAGTATGAAATGTGCATTGCATTTAATTAGCTCTGCCTGTGGCTATCAATAGGTTCTACACACACACACACGCGCACACACACACACACACACACACACAGAGGGAGGGAGGGAGGGAGAGAGAGATAGAGTGAGATTTTGAATCTAATGATATTTGCAGTTAAGCCAGCTAGAGCTGGAGGGAATGTACAATCATCAAGGCGAAGGCAGCAATTTGCTGGGCAGCCAACTTGTGCTCCATCTCATTCTAGTGCTTGGTGATCCGGCAGCCTCCACGTAGTGATGCTTAATTGAGAAAGAAAGAGGAGGTTTTGAGCAACTCATTTCTATTCCAAACGTAGTCCTCATTTTTATTCATTCTGGCTATTCGTTTCTTCTGTCCTGTTGAGGTAAGTGAAGGGCATGCCAACAGGGAAAATGCATGGACCACCCCAATTATGAACAGTTTCCTGGTTCGAACTCCAGTGTCCACATGGATTGAGTGCTGAAGCGCTGGGCCAGCGTATCCCAGACTTGCCTTGTCAGTTAGCCAGGTTTGGGGAACACTTAATTCATCTGCAAGTGAATAACAGTTTCAGGTGATGTATTTCTTATGCTTTTCTCGTTAATCCACACCTCCATCCTCTGAAGTAGCACCTCTATTTCAGAGATGAGGATATGGGGGCCTCATAGACGGTCACTTGTCCAAAGCATGCTGGCTGGGATGAACATGGGAGGAAGGGTGGAAGGAGGTGAAGTCTAAGGAGTGTCCTCTCACTCATACATTCAGGCTACAACAGCAATATCTGTATCTGCGTCTATATTGGTGTCTATGTGTGTATCAATACCTGTATCCAGAGCAACGTGCATCTCTATGCACATGTCATCTAGTCTCAATATCTATATCAGTACCCATAACAGGATCTGGATCTGAATCTACATCAATGTCTGCATCTATCTCCATATCCCTATCTTATCAATATCCATATCGTATCTATATTAATTCCATATCGTATCATATCAATATCCATATAAATCTATATCCATATTCCTGTCATATCCATCTGATATCATCTCTATATCCATGTTTATATCATATCATACCATACCTATGTCCATATCATATCCATACCCATATTATATCCATATCATATTTATATCATTACCCACACTACATCTATATCCATATTTATGGCATATCCATATCTATATCTATATCCATATTCATATAAATCTATATCCATATTAATTTCATATCCATACCCATATTATATCTATATCCCTATTTATATCAAATACATACACATATCAAATTCATATCTATATTGTATCCATTTATATATCATATTTATACCATATCAATATATCTATATTCATATATATTATATCTATGTCCCTATCATACCCACATCTCTATATCTATATTATATCTATACCCATATTGTATTTATATCCATATCTATATCTATATCCATATAATATTCACATCCATATCACATCTATATAATATCTACATTCATATCAAATCCATTCCATATCAAATTTATATTCATATCACATCCATATTCATATCTGTATCCATATCTATATTATATACCTATCTATATTATATCTCTATTCATATCCATCTTATATCTGAACCCGTATCATATACATATCGATATCATATCTATATCCATATGTATATATTTTATCGATATCCTATATCCATAGCATATCCACATCCATATTCATATAATGTCCATACCCACATTCAGATCCATGTCATATCCATTTTATATGCATATTAATATCATATCCATATCTATACCTCTCTATTTATAATTAAGCACCCACGCGGCAGGCACTCAAGGTCCCCATTTGCAAGTTGTACAGAGTTCCTAACTGAGCAGAGCTCACCAACTACGTGGAAGTCAGACATTTATGGTTTGGACAGTCACTCAGTCACAATCCTCTTATATGTTCCAAAAGAGAAACACATAGGGGTTTATCTGCGGGTACAGAGCTTGTCAGGGAAGAGTTCTAGAGAGGAGACGTGCCAGATAAGACAGGATGGGGCCTAGACCCTGGCATAGGTACGGGGCACAGAGCCCCTGGGAAAGTCATCCCAAAAGCCTTGAGGGTGAGCAGGGTTCTGTGCTTTTGGAGACCTGCAGGGTTGTTTCGCTGGAGCCTGGGCCGGCTGGAGACCAGGGGAGAAGAAACCAATCACCTGCTAAAGATCAGGGGCTCTGGGCTGAGTAGGGGCCTTAAACAAAGAGAAACTGGGACGGTCTGCAGGTATCTGTTTATCTGCAGAGTTGAAAATATCTGAGATGATACTTATTTTCCAAAAGTATACAAGCTTCTCAAACCTGCAAAGCCCGTCTCCAGTTCCTTATCCTTCCTGGCTCATGGTCTCTGGGAATTTAAGCACAAAATCCCACATATTTTCACACTGTGCCTGTCAGAATGTCAAGACCCTGACAAGAGTTACCAGGATGGGCTAACTTTTTGGGAAGGAAGAAAAAATGTCTCCTCATGGTGAAGTCAATGCAGGAGCTCAACCCCTTCCATCACTTGAAATTCATAGGTGAAGCTGTGCTCAACACCACAGCATTCAGTCTATTTTCAATGAGGAAATGGCTCTTAAACAACATTTTCAGCCTGCAAAATATAGTTAATTTAAGGGCTCTGTTTTAATCTGTAAATTAAATAATGAGAAGACCCTTATGATGGCCCACACACACCCAACGCCCAGGAACATGCCTTTCCTCTGCAAATCCCCACAGCTTTCCTCGGAACTCACACACAGTGACTGTAATTACACCGCATATCAGAAGGTGTCTTTGGAGAACTCAGGTGCAGAGAAGCCGTGTGGAAGGCACATTCTGAACGTGAGAGATGGAGAATTTGTGGACCTTCTCTTCCTGAGTGATATGCCTTTCTTTGCTTATTTCTGAATCCTTCTTTTCCTTTAAAGATTTTTCTTTTCTCATTGCACATTTACAGAGGCTTCCACTTTGCAGCGGACACCAAAATTGTCTGAAACATTATTTTTACCATCAAGCTGAATGAAAAGTGGGTTTATATTGAACTCATGGACATAGTTTAGAAGGCTTCCTTGTCCTAGAAATGTCAATCATTTGGAGAAGTGAGTTTCACACCGTGATGAACTAAGTATCTCGGCGTAAAAACCCCAGCAACTTGCCCTCACGTCTCCACAGCAGGAAGTGGCTTTTGAGTCAGGATCAGGGATCACTGGTAATGCCAAGGGGACTCAATCCTCCTTCCCAGTGGCTTCTAGGGAGCTGATTAATGGAATTTAAGACCAAAGGGAGGGATCCTACTGTTTTCCCTGACACCCCCGCCTTTCCCCTTTCACTTTGAGAAGAATAGTCCTGAACAGAAGTGGGTGGGAATGCGCGGAAGACCACCTTTGCACCTCCCCTCCCTGGGTGTCTCACGTGGCAGGGACCTGGGTCTCCCTGCAGCAACGCAGGCGGGTAGATCGGGACTGCGGTGTGGACATGTGGCTAGGGGAACTTTGCCTCTAGGAGCTCACCAGGACTTGTAGGGGAAGGGGCTTCTGAAGTTGCCAAGCAGGCCTCAAGCACTATTTACATCACGCTCTTCCAGAAACAGGCTCTGAGATAAAGATTTGAGGGCTTGTGGGTTGTGTGGGAGAGGTTCCAGGGAGCCGCAGCGGTCCTAGGGAAGTGAGGTGGGGAGGGACCCAAGCCGGCACAGGTGAGTTAATGAGCAGGAGGGCACCCAGTCCTGTGGGGACTCTGCAATTACCAAAGAAAATGTCTCCGAGCTGTCACACGAAGGGATGAGGAACACAGAATATTTACTGACTATTTTTTTTTTTTTTTTTTTTTTTTTTGCCCAGCAGTGGCTGAGAGCTGTCCCTGAAAGAACTGATTTCCACACGTTCAGAAACTGATGCCAAGAAGAGGTGGGTGGAGTCCCAGCTGCACGGCCCACGCCCTTCTTCGGTCCTGGTCTCTCCAGCCCACGCATCTCTCGAGAGTCTCTCAGGCCCACACTCTGAGTGTCCATGTTACTATTTTTAAGAATGGATGGTCTTAGCTGCTCTTGATCATCCAGTTGTTCTCAGCGGTGATGCTATTTGTCACAAGGCTGGCTGGTGTCTATGGAAGTGTTCTGCATACACGCTTGTGATCAAAACAATGCAAAACTTAGAAATTTCCTTTTGTCTTTCCCCGTGAATGTTAAGCTAATAATCTATTTTTCTGCCTTGTTATTTTTATAATGACAGATACCTCCTTCCCATAGTTAAATCTTAATGATACATTTGAGCATATCAATATATTGTCAGTCTTACTCCCCCTACAATGTGACTAGACATGGTTGCAGGTCTGCTTACCTCACGGTGAGAACAAACTGAGAAAATGTGCATGAGCCCTTTTGACAGAAGAGAAACTGAGCTCATGGATGCAGTCAGTCCAGTCACACATGGGGAGCAGCACTTGGGACAAGTGGCAGCAGCAGGATTCAAACCCGGACTCCATGCGGTGCAAAGCCCCTGAGCTCTGGCTATACCACAAACCAAGTGTCAGAAGACTTTTCATTCTGTCCGCCCTGATGGGGGAATTAAAAGTCAAGGCAGGGAAAGGTCTGAAAACCAGGAATGAGAAGCTGCAGAGCTGAATATTTAAGAAGCATCCTGATCTGTGCTTGGGATGCTTCCTGCCATCCCTTAATTCATTGATGTAAGGAGTGTTTGCAGGTGACCCCCTGGTGCCAGATGCTGGGCTGGATTCTGGCTCTGCACCAATGAATGAAACAAAGGTAGTCCTATCCTTGTGGAGCACAGAGAGAGGAAAAGGTCATAAACAGTTAGCGGACAGGGGCGTATGAACTTACACATATGGAGAGAAGTAAGAGGGAAACAGGGTGCGGGGACAGTGATGAAACTGGCTATTAGGTCAGGTGGGCAGGGGACAACTGAAGCTCGAGGGTGTCTCTGCAGGGCAGGAAGCAACCAGGGAGATGAAGAGCACCCTAAACGGTTGGTTTGGCACAGGCAAAGCCAGGGGCGGGGGGTAGAAGGGCTGGAGGATTTGAGAAACAGACGGATGGGAGAGTGTCTGGGGCTCTGGGCTGAACCCATCAAACCCCACAACTCCAGGCTGAAGCCAGCAGCCCACACAAGAGAGTGAGAGGAAGAAAATGACTTTCTTGAGGTCATTTTACTTTTGTTTTATTGTGACTCTAGAAAAGACAAATGCAGACCCCAGGGTCCCATCTCGCCTTAGATTCTTCTCCCCAAAGAAAGCTCTCCCTAGGAGTGGCAGGTGTTTTTGTTTTTGTTCTTAGTAATTTCTTCTAGAAGTCTATGT
This sequence comes from Homo sapiens, assembly GCF_000001405.40. Classification (NCBI taxonomy): domain Eukaryota; kingdom Metazoa; phylum Chordata; class Mammalia; order Primates; family Hominidae; genus Homo; species Homo sapiens. Next base: position 60,936,412 of record NC_000020.11, on the reverse strand, counting down.
TAGTCCATGTCTGTATTCACCTGTGCATATGTTTCATTTATTCCAAAGGTTCACACTATACCCACGATTTGGAACGTCAGCTGGGAGCTTCCCACACCAGCATCTCATTTCATTTTCAAGAGTGTCATTGAGTTCCCGCGTGCCCACCACAGCACCGATTCCTCTAGCCCTTTCCAGACAAGCTCTTCAGCACTCTTCAGTGTCTTCCCACCATCAACAGTGCTGTTGGGAGCTCCCCTAGTGGACTGTTGCCCATATAAAGCCCTTCAAGGCGCTGTTATATCAAAGGATTTGTGTGGACAAGCTTCAGGGATGCATCTGGGACAAGGCTTTTGCTGGACCTCTCGGTCCTGGGGCCTAGAGTCAGTCACGACAAAGAAGAAAGCCTGCAACAATTGGGAAAGTCTTTGCAGGGGAGTAAGAAGGGACAGTGCTAGCCTTCCCACTGCATTGCAAGCTCTCCTCTACATGGGACCAGATCAGGGCCAGGCTGTCTTCATTGTGACGGGTGGATTTCAGAATTTGTAGAATTGTGGACCTGGTAGGTTTGGAGACCAAGTTTGAATTTAGACTTATCTGCTTAGCATTTGTGTGACCTTGGGCAAGCTATGTCACTCTCTGAATGGCAGATCATCTGTACAAAGGGTGTAATTAAATTAACAATAAAGGGTGATTGGAATGACAATATATGGACCTTAGTAAAAATACAGTAACAGATGTTGGCAGTGAGGATACTGAAAAATTATGGTGCTAGAGAAGGAGGAGAGGAGGGAAGGGGAGAAGGAGGAAGGTAAGGGGAGGAGGGAGAGCAGGAGAACAAGGAGAAGAGAGTTCAGGAGAAGGTGGCAAGGTGTGCAGATTCACCAAGCCCAGGTATTAGCTGTCTCTATTTAGCCTCATTAGTTATGTTCTTAATGAACCAAGTTAGAACCAGACCTAACAGGAACAACAAGAAATGCAACAGTATAAAAGCACCCAGAGAGAAGTGTTTATGGGAAGTCCTGATTCACTCCTTGGCCTTTTTCTAAAAGTTGGAGTGGCTGTGACCTAGGATCCCCTTTGGCTACTTGGATAATTACCCAAACGTGGATCTCTTTGCTTTAAGGTTTTTTTTTTTTTTTTTTTTTTTTCAGGGAATCTCAGGAGAGAAGCAGGTGCCAAAGGCATTTCTATCATTGCAAAGCTGATCACGTCTATAATTTTCCACAGCATCTCTCTATGAGATCAGGTACAAGGAGATTTCACAGTCTGGGAGGAACCTGCCGGAAATGCAGCCCCGTGGCTTCCTGTTCTCTTCATGGGAAGGCATTGTCATCATAGCTTCCATTTTTGCCTCTGCTCTTGTTATTATATATTCAAAGTATTATACCAACATCCCTGATGTGTATCATGCTTTCACATATTTAACTTGGCTGTCATGAAATTCACAATCACCTAGACTAGGACAGGGAGGCGGAAAGGGGAGGGGTGGATGGTGCTGAACTTGCAACTGTAGGGCTGAGTCAGAGCCCTGACTCTGCAACTTAGAAGCTTGGAACCTTAGCCTCCTACATGTCACCTTTCTGTATTTGGAGGCCGCAGGACCTGTTTTACTGCAACACCTGCACAGGGTTATTGTGATGATCAAGGAGAGCCAAGATTTGTGCAAATAGTTTGGAGACTGCAAACGGAAAATGAGGATGGCCTCCTAGCTCGACAGATCTGCCCAAGGCTGCAGAGCTACTAAATGTTAGAAACAGGTCCAGATTTCAGGTTCATTTACCTTTGTTCCTATTCTCCAGAAGGAGACCCTGAGATGCAAGATTTAATAGGGGACACTGCTCAGGAGAAAGGGGTGGGGGAAGTGGGATGAGACATGAGACAGAGCTGAGCATGGATGTGGTCATAGCCAGACCCTGGGAGGAGCTCTGGGGCATAGAACACTCCACAGAGCTGGCCTCCCCCTTTGCACACCACGCTCAAGCCCTGCATGGTGACTTGAGTCCCCTACATGTTTCCTGTACTGGTCTTACCATTGCAATCCTTCTGGCCCATGGCTCACTGCTGCCCAAGGCTCAGGACTTTTATTCAGGATCATCTAATTCTCTTTCTTTGTGACACCACATCATAATTACCTATGGGTTGCCCTTCTTCAGAGGCCATGGCAACCTGAAGTCAGGGGATGTTGCTTGTTTATTTTGTGTGTCTTCATACCCCAAAACTCCTACCCAGTGGCCTGAGACATGAGGGGCCCAACAGCAAGGTAACTGGATGTTAATGACAGAGGGTTTCTGACTTCTCAACTCCATGCCAATCATTCCCAGCCCTGCACACCGTGTGAGGCCGTTTGATAGTCACAGCCACTCCACAGTGAGAGGTTCTAATTATCTGTTTCACAGATGAGCAATCTGAGACTCAAGGACATTAAGCAGCTTTCCTGTGACCACACCACAGGGGAGAGAGAGAGGGCCAGGTTTAATCCAAGCCATCCTGGAGTCCTGATCCTGAACTCCCGAGTCCTGGGCTTCACTGTCACCAAAGAATGAGAAAATCAAGAGACTGGGAAGAGGCTGCCCTGGGTGATGACCAGTGTGAGATGGCCATTTGAGAGGGGATCATGAGCAGGTGGAATCTCAAAATGGGAGAAAGAGGAGTAAGGCAGGGAAGGGCGATACTGTTCCTCCACCCCCTACTCTGTCCCCAGTGCACAGCCTGCACCCGGGCCCTAGGAAGCTGCTAGTGGATAGCTGATAAATGGATATGGCCTAAAAGCCATCTTAGACACTTTCTCTGTTCTTCTTCCCAATTCTATGGGCTGCTTTTCACATTGATGCCAGTAGCAGCTTGAAGATATTGTTACCTACTAAGTATTCATCTCTTGGACACCAGTGAAAGTAGTTTCCACAAGTTTCTCTCTCTAGTTGAAGTGCAATATTCAAGCATTAGACCCTCCCTAGCAGCGTTTAAATAGTTCCGCTCCAGACCTACAGAGTCAAAGTCTCCGAAGTTGAAGTGGGGCTGTACAGAGGTCCTGGCAATCTGTGTTTTCCAATAACTCCTTGGGTGACCCTGATGCTGCTTTCCTGGATATGGAAATCCCTATGAGTTGCATGGGAAGATCTAGATTTTTCCAGAACTGAGTCATGCACAAATGTGGAGATTTTCTTACTACTTAATAAAAATCAAATTATGAGTACAAAGTTAGAGAAACGCCTTGGGAGAGCCATCTCCAGGAAACACCATATGTGAAGTCCACCTGCGACAGCATAGAAGAAGCCCTGGCCCTGTCCTGAGACCCTTCAGTCTGGTCAGGCACACCTCACAGACTGGATGGTGAGGATGTAGGTACCCTCGAGATGCCACAGTGGAAGGAAGACTGTGTCAAGGACTATTCATGAAATTTTAATGAAACTTGGATTTGGTCTCTTATTGGGGTACAGGAATGAGCGTCCCATAGCAGGGAAGGCACACAAGTGACTAAGAGCATCATCCTGGCACCCAGCGCCTCCTCCTCGTTTTCCGCTTCTCAGACTTAGATGTTGGAATGCCTAGATTCTACTTTTCCACCTTGTTTCATCCCCAAAGGACTGTCCCCTTTCATGGTGAAGCTCATAATCTGTAGTCCTCTGGGAAGTGTGGGCGAGTCATACGATTTGACTAAAGACAGAGCCAAAGCAACATCTCATTCCAGCAGTTGGCTCTCAGGCAGTCCCGGATGCATTCAGAGATGCTCCATGCTGTCCCCACCTCCTTGCATATGTTATTACTGCAGAAAGATTTTTAAGGCCCAAGAAGAAGAAAAAAAGGGGCATTTGAGGAGAGGCAAATCTAGGGATGAGAATAGAAAGAGCTTTGATTGTGGTTTGCTTCTATGATGCTTGTACATTCACCTGATCCCTGACCACAGAGACCTCCAGCAGAACTAGATCACAGGATGGTCAGGGTCTCAGCCACTCCCGTAAAGCCCCATGGCATCATCTCTAACAGGAATATTTCTTTTTTGGTTTGGGGGATGGTGTCTCATTTTCTCAGTCCTGCTTTGTCTTGAGCAGACTTGCTGCTCAATGCAGCAGGCATGGATGCCAGTCAGCGAGATTTCCTCCTGGCTCCATATTCCTACTGGCCAATGTATGAACCTCAGAGCTGGACCATTGTTCTCATGAAAACAACCATTGAAAACACTTTCCATCATGCGTTACGTGCCAGGTGTTATTTTAAGTTGTATATGGGTTCACCTTTTTAACTCTCATAACCCCGCTATGAAATAAGATCCCTGTGATCCCTCAGTGTATAGAGCGTATAGACAGAGAAACTTGAGATTGAGTCACCCACCCAAGGGTGAAGGTAAGAAGTGGCAGAACTGGAGTTAGGACATAGACAGTTCACTCTGGAAGCTGTGTGTTCAGTCACCATACTATCCTGTCACTGGGAAAAAACATGTTCCTAGAAAAGCATTACTTTCTTAAGAGAAACTAAAACAAGAATAAAAACAAATCAAAACACAGAACAAGTGGCATTTCCAGGCCCCTGGAAGGGAGCCAGTTGCTCGTCTGCATCAAGTCCTGTATTTTAGGCTTTGAATTCTGAGTCAGGCAGGTCTCTCCTGCTACAGAGGAAGTAGGGAGAGCAGCTGAGATAGGGCGAGGGTAGAATGGGGACGAGAAGGGGGCAGGGGAGGGCCCCCAAGCTGAGTAGGTCCTGGAAGTGCTGCCCAGATGCAGAGGTAGACGTGAGGGAGGAGTTAAGTTCTGGGATGAGTTAAGCATCTTCCTGCCCCAGGCTTGAAGAGGGGGCTCAGCCTCCTCCCCTGCCATTCCCCTTCTGGCCCCATTCCTATGACGCTTTCACCAGCTTCCTGTTCATTCTCCCACTGCACCAGAGGCCCTGACCTGGCCCTCAGGCTGGACAGTTCCTCAGTTCAGTATCCGAGACCCTGCTGGGCTCCCCCACCCTGCGACTGCTGCAGCCTCATGGAGACTTCCATCCCAGGCTGGACCCAGCCACTGTCTCACCAGCCCCTTCCATGCAGCAGAAAGGTGCTCTCTGGAACGAGGTGGTTCTCACACATTCTCCATTGCTTTGGGACCCTCTGATAGCCCCTACCATGCCCTCTTCCCACAGCCAGAACTTACCTGGAGGCTAAGTCCCCACTGTAGTCTGTCCTTTGGAAATACTCATCAAATGTGTCATTACTTATCCAATATCTGTTGTTTCCCTAACAAGGTCGTCAGCTCCAAGAGTACAGGGACTGGCATGTTCACTAATATTCTCTGTGTCTAGTACTGTGCTGGGAACACAGCATGTGCTCAATAAATGCTGCTGAGTGTGAATGCGAGAAGGAACACATGAAGAGAGAACTGGAGCTGAGTGCCAATTAGGACAACTCAGGGTTATCTTCCCTGAGTCCTCTGCAGGGAGGGAGTGGTGGGAAAGCTTGTCCTTCCAGTCTTTACTCTGTCCTGGGGGTTTGCAGAGGGCCAGGGACTCTCAGGGGCCTGGAAGCACAAGGCTCAGAGGCACAAGATTCCCTTCTCTTTCCTCCACTGGGTCCAATTCTTGTAGACATGTTTCCCTGTGGTTCACTACCTCCTGCAGTCCTCTTCGCTTTGAGATGACCCAGATTCTCAACCTTCATGAGCCAAGTTTGGGAACCCCTGCTGTGTGGGGAAGGAGAGCTGTGAGGCCATGGGAACCTCTCATTTTGCAACCTCTTCCCCTCATTCCTCGCCTTTGTCCTCTGACTCGCAGTGGGACCTGTGGAAGATGAGAAGGGGTTGCCCTTTTTCCATGTCTCCTTTGGTCTTCCTCTCTTTACCCATCCAACAAAAATACACCTGGTGCCTAACACGTGCCATGTGCTCCACTGAGCGCTGAGGATGCAGAGATGAGCGAGTTTGAGCACGACTCTCTGCACTTAGGCTTCACGGTCCCTCTCTGGCTGCCTGGAAACGCCCCCTTCACCCAGCCATTCCCTAAAGATGTACTTAACCAGGGTTTGCTAAAGTCCCTCCTTTGCAATCGCCCAACTCCCATCAGCGACTCCTAGGCACCACGTCTCCCGAAGCTTCCATCAAATCACCCACCCTGGCAAGAAAAACTGCAGCCAGGGAGACCCTCTGGCTTCCAGTGTTTTACTGCTTTCCTAATAAGAGGAAAATTACAAGTGAACATTGTCAGTAAATTCCCTGGCAGAGAGAACTCTCTGATTGTGCAATAACCTCTTTCTCCATCCACCTGGGAGCATGATGGATGGACCTGCGACATGGAAAATGTGAAATGAAACTGAATTTAGTAGCAATATGGTTCATTAATAGAGGCAAGATTTTTGAAGAGGGCTGAGGAAAGGGGCTAAATCCTTGTTTCCGTGACACCTTCAATTTGAGTATTCTTAGGAACTTGTCCGTCTGAATACTTACCCTTTTGCTACCAAGAAAATGTTTCAAGGTTAAGACAAACATGGGCCTGACTCTTGAAAACTGCCTCCAGCTTCTGCACTTGAACTCATAAAGTCAGGATAGAATTATAATGTATCCCAGTTAAAGAAATAAGAAAGAGAGAAGAGAAAAGGGGACACACATCCTAGAGAGAATTAAATGTCGGCAAGTTCAATTTTAATACTGGGCTATGGTAAAGCAATTGAGGGATGTCGGCACTGTTTTATTATTTATGCAGCAGACAAAAGTCATCTGCAAAGGAAATTTTGTGATAGACAGTAAATTAAGCAAAGCTGCCCTACAAATTTGGATTAAGTCTTACACTGGTTTTAATATTTAATACATCCTCATGAATCACATTTTCACAAACTGCAGTAGAAGTTCAGGAAAGGCTTTAGAATGTGTTGGTTTATTATTACTATTTTTCTTCCACTAAAACCTTTCTTTAAGTAAAGCATGGGGTCGGTTGCATTTTATTTTACAATATAAAACACAAAGTCAAATCTCATTGACCAATGGTGTTGCTGGATTTAGTCCAATGCACAACGAGTGACTTAAACTCAAATATTAAAAGAACAACTCAAATTATATCCCATCAGAATCAAGTGCACATGCTCATTCCCTCTTGGTTTACTCTGTGAGTTTAGGGAAAATTGGCTGGAAGGTTCATAATCAAATGTGCTATGGCATAAGAAGAAGGTTTGTAGAACAGAGAACTCAAAGAACAGAAGGGAAAATGGTTTAAAATCCTGTATATCTGATTGCATGTTTAACACTCTGTAAGCTACCAGCTGACATGAACACATTTTTAGCTCATCAGGTGTATATAGTGGTGTTGCTTCATGCACTCCCAAAATATCTATGAATGCAAACCTCATAACTCAGCTTTATGCTCAGATGAGTGAATCAAAGTCTAGATACATGAGTCAGAGAAGCACAAAGAAGGAAAAAATATGCACCACAGAGTGACCAACTTAAGGAGCTCATGATTTAATGACAGAGTCATGTTAAATGGTACATGAACAATTGGAGGAGGGGGATGGGATAGCTTCATTTAGGCTACTGCTCACCAGGTAGCAGACACCTCTAACTGACACCAATAAGCTCGAAGCTGGTCTCAGACTTCTTCTCCACATAGTTGCTTCCAATGGATCAAAGTTAGCATGGGAGACCAAAACTACTTTCCATTCATGAATGGAACCAAGAGGATTGGCTCCATGAAGAGTCATGGTGGGAGCAGGGTTGGTAGGGAAGGTTTCAGTTGCACCTAAGGGGATGGTAGGCAGGTTTGGGTGGTGGGATGGGGGCTGGAAAGGAGGACTAATGTGAGCCATGTCACCAAGGCAGGAAGAAGAAAGGGACATGCAGGAGCCAGAAGAGAAGAGTCCGGGTGTATCAGAGATTGTGTCATGCAGTGAGGCAACCTGTAATGTTGGACCTGCTGAAGGCCATCTGGAGAGCTCAGCCAAACAGCCAAGGCATATGAGGAAACTGGGGCCACTTTTGGGCTGCTGAGCATCCTGCCAATATGAAGCCAGCAGTCTTTTGGCAGAAGATTTTTGTCCAAATAAAGAAAGTGCATCTTTGTAGGGTGCTGCTGAAAACCTGCAGTATATCCTAGGGACATCCAAAGAGACAGCTGTGGCATCACCACCCAAGGGGACCCTGGAGTCTTCCTGAAGCCCTACCCCCAACCAGCCTGCAGGGGCAGAGAAGACCAAACAGTGAGGTCAGGAAAAGGGTGGAGACAGAACTTCAAATCATCCTTGGGAAGATGGCCTGGAGATTCTCCCAGGTCCAGAGATATGCTAGGTTAAGTTGGGCTCCCCTAGAAGCAGACTGAGAGATGAGGATGCGAGAGCAAGGAGATTATTTGGGAGGCGATGGAGGTAATCCTAGGAAACACTGAACCTGTGCATTCATGTGTAGAATAATATACAGATGGTTACATATAGGAATATTTGTAGTTAGGTGCATATACACAGTTAGTATACACATAGAAATCTTTGTAGATAGGTGTATATACACAGTTAGTATACACATAGAAATTTTTGTAGGTAGGTGCATATACACAGCTAGTATACACATAGAAATCTTTATAGGCAGGTGCATATACACAGTATTCACATAGAAATCTTTGTAGATAAATGCATATACACTGTTAGCATACATGTAGAAATCTTTGTAGATATACTCATATGAACAGTATACACATAGAAATCTTTATAGACAGGTGCATGTGCACAGTATACACATAGAAATCTTTATAGACAGGTGCATATACACTGTTAGTATACACATAGAAATCTTTGTAGATAGGTGCATATACACAGTATACACATATAAGTCTCCTTAATCTGTCAGCTGAACAGGCCAACAGCAATCAGTATTCACAGGGAGCACACCTAGAGCCCAGTTACTGCTTTCTCATACCGTTCTCCTGTAAAGAAAGCAGGGCACCTAGGAGAAATCGCTGATTCTAGGACTGGTGCCAAGAATATAAAAGATGAGTCTGTAGCATCTTACAGTGTCAGAAAACAAAGAAATGCTCAAAAAATAAAACTTTAAAAGTTAAAAAACAATAACACATAGATGGGGGTATGTCCAAGAGGCACAGGCACCCACTGATATAGCTCCCGACAGCCAAAGCTGGAACAGTTTAAGCAATATATATATATATATATACATATATAATATATTTATAATTATAAATATAATTATAATAATATATATAATTATATATAATATACATAATTTTGAGACGAGTTAGACTGATGGAGTTAGATAAGTGGAAATTCAGGGTCCTGGGAGCAGAAACCATGAACACGTTTTGTGAAGAGAAATGAAGTTGGGAGGATTGAAAGAAGCCAGCAAAAAGTAGATTCTGAGGCAGGTGCTTTGCGTGCCTAGGGCACCAGCTTGGGTTTCACTGGGTTTCACACATAGACCGTGTGAGGAGCTTCAGAGGAAAAGATTTGTCTACTTTGCAAAATATGGCACTTCCATCTCAGATCTCTCATTTTCCTGAAGATTGAAGTTAGCTTCTATTTTGCTTTCAGAATAGTCATTTGACATTTTCCTGAGAACAAGGCTGTTTTTCCATCCACAACTATGTTCTCTAAAGGGTAGGATGGTGCCCTTTCACCACGGAGCTGCTATGATTTGCTCTACAGCAAGCCTACGAGTCCTGCCCGTGTAAGACAACAGCGGGAATGACATGGCCCCTGCTCCACACCTTGTAATGTGCCTGCTGCAGAATCAGGTGATAATTAGTCTGGGAAACCCTACAACTGCCTTTGCTAGAGCAGGTAAATAGATCAGGTGGCCCCGGGGCAGGAATCCAGCCTCTCCTGGGATGCACCCAGGGCTGCATAGCTCTCCCTCCCCAAGGGACTCAGCTGGGGGGAAGGCCAGTTGTCTGCTAAGGGGCACAAGGGACATTTCAAACTCCTGGGAGAAAGTTGAACAGTTTGAGTGTGAAATTAGCATGATAATTAACATGATAGTAAGGTTTCTACAAGGTCTAAATGTAGATGTAATTTGGGTCATCTTTTCTAAATGGGTGTGCTGGTTATATATCTATATCTATATCTAACTATCTATATATGTATACACATACATATGTTTAAAAGCCTAGGTGTCTTCAGAAAGTTTTTTCCTGTAGAGCTCTCAGAAACAGCAGGGTTGCCTCATAGCTGGAAAAAGAGGAGAGGAAACACTGAGAGGCCGGGACACCCCCTTGGCAAATGTGTGTCCCTTGCAGCAACATGTTGCAGCTGGAGGCCATAATCCTAAACAAATTAATGCAGAAATAGAAAACCAAATACCACAAGTTGTCACTTACAAGTGGGAGCTAAACATTGCCTACACATGACCAGAAAGAGTGGAACTACAGACAATAGGGACTACTTGAGGGGGAAGGTTGGAAGGAGGGTGAGAGAAGAAAAACCACCCTTTGGGTGCTGTGCTCACTGCCTGAGTGATGAAATCACTTGTGCACTATACCCCAACAACACATAATTTATTCATGTAACAAGCCTGTACATATGTCCACTGAACCTAAATAAAAGTTGAAAAAAAAAGGTCTAACATGAGTCTAAAAATGAAATGTATCGCTATAAAGCTTACAGAAGAAAACACAGGAGAAAACCTAGGTGATCTTAGGTTTGGCAATGAGTTTTGGGATACAGCACCAAAAAGCATAGTTTATGAGAAAATAATCGATAAATTGCACTGAAATTAAAAACTTCTGCTCTGAAATTAAAAACTTCATTATCACTGTTAAGATAATGAAAAGATGAGCCACAGATGGGGAGAAATATTTGCAAACCATGTATCTAATAAAGAACTTGTATACAAAATATACAAAGAAGTCATAAAAAGTCAACAATAAGAACACAACCTAATTTTTTAAAATGTAAAACATATCATAAGAGACATGGCACAAAATGTACAGATAGCATATCAAAAGATGCTCGACATCATTTTCCATCAGAAAATTAAAAACTAAAATGGTGATATTTCATTACACACCTATTAGGATGACTAAAATCCAAAACAGTGACACCAAATCCTGACGAGACTGCCAAGCAACAGGAACTCTCATCCGCTGCTGCTGGGAATGTAAAATGGTGCAGCCGCTGTAGAAGGCAGTTTGGCACCTTCTGACAAAGCCAAGCATAATATGACCATATGATCCAGCAATTGTACTCCTAGGTATTTACAAAATTGATTTGAAAACTTATGTCCGTGCAAAAACCTGCATGTGAAGGTATAGCAGCTTTATTTATAGTCAAACAAAATTGGATGCAACCAAGATATCCTTCAATAGGTGGGTGGAGAAACAAACTGTAGTATATCCGTACAATGGAATATCATTCCATGGGGAGAAAAACAAGAAATGAGCTATGAAGCCTTGAAAAACATGGCTTAAATTTAAATGCATAGTAAAAGAAGCGAGTCTGAAAAGGCTCCATATTGTGTGATTCCAGGTATATATCATTCTGAGAAAAAGCAAAACTGTATTGATATTAAGTTTATGAGTGGTTTCCAGGTGTTCAAGAGGAGAGGGATGGTGAATAGATGAAGTGCAGAGTATCTTAGAGCAATAAAACTATTTTGCATGATACTGTAATGTTGGAGACATGACATTATAAGTTTGTCAAAATCCATAGGACCTAAGAGAATGAAGAATAAACCTTAAAATACAAATGCTTTAAAGACCATTTAAGAGGTTTGTCATCCCAGGGAGGAACCATGTGAGAAGAGAATCTAATTGGGCTGCAACTGTACGAATCAACCCTGAACAAGGAGTTGGGAGAAGAAAGGTACTGATCTAAACAACTAGTCTGTAAGACTAATGGCAAAAGATATACAAGCACTATACACTAGTTGGTGAAATTATTTCCCATGGAGTCTGGGATGATAGTCTTGAGGTCACTCTACATGTATACTGGAATTGAGCAATTAACTAAATGATTGTTGGATGGGGAAGCCAGGTTGCTCACTGTTGGAGTGGATGTTACAGAGGTGCAAGAGGAGGAGCTGAGAATGAACCACATGATTGTGGATTAGGGTTGGAGACATCAATGGAACTCATGTTTAGCTTGATATAGATATAGGTAAAATATTCATAGGCATATGTATACACATGAATTAGCATACATACACATATTCCCTTGCTCTGTTAGTTGATAAGGCCTGGAAATAGTGGCATCCAAGTAGCAACGAACACATCTAATGTCCAGATCTTCATTTCTAGTGCCACTCTCCAATAAAAGTAACCAGGGATCCTTAAACAAATGGCTCATTCTGGGACTGGAGGAGGTAATATACAAGATGGGTCTGAAGCAGCTTGTAGGGCCAAAAAGGAAGAAAGTGCTTAAAACAAACAAACATACAAAATATAAAACAACATACACATTGACAAAGCTATCTCAAAAAGCACAGGAGCCAACTGAAAACTCCTAATGACCAAAGCTGAGCCAAGGAGGCCAACTAAAGGAGCAATAAAGGCATGGGTTATAACTCAACTTATAAAATAAATCTCCACTAACCTATTTTGATATAAATTAATGGTTAAATGAATGAACAAATAAATAAACAAGGAGAAAAGACAATTTTCCAATGAAGGATAATTTCAAATAATTTACACAGATACCCTGCCTTCATGAGTAGGATTCCATGAGTAGAAGCAAGACTCCTACCCCATAGGTATTAACTACACATAGTGGCTTCCTTCCATAGAGTACAGGATGGAAGCCATCCATCCATAGGGTGGATTATAGAATGGAAAGGGGGAGATAGAGTAACTTTACAACAGACAAACCTGACCATCGCTACCTCAGCCAGGTGATCAAGGCTGATGCAGGCAGGCAGTAATGTCATGCATATACTATGTACCTTTGATATGATGTGATAGGAACTCTTATTCACTGCTGTTGTGAATGCACATTGGTAAAGCTACTTTACCAGTTTCTTACAAAGCCAAAGATGTTCCTGTAATCAAGAATAGGAAAAGCACTTTACCTCTGTGGCTTTCTTCCCCCAAACCCATAACTCCAGTCTAACCATGAGAAGACATCAAACGAATTCCAATAGAGGGGTATCCTCCAAAATTGTAGTTAATGATGTATTAATATTGGTTCATTAATTGTGACAAATGTATCATGGTAATGTAAGATGTTAATTGGACAAAAAATTGGATGTGGGGTGTACACGGACCCTCTGTACTAGCTTCTAATTTTTTCTGTAAATCTAAAACTGTTCTAAAAATAAAGTCTATTATATAATTGTTCTCTGTTAGACATAGTTGAGATAGATATTGCTCAATGCCAGATATGTTTTTTTGGTAAATAAATTTTGAGTTTTATTCTTGTATCTAGCATTCATTGAATGCCTGTTTACATGCCACATGTATTTCCCAGCTCTGAGAATAGAGCAGAGAACAAGGAGACGAGGTTCTCAGGATACTCATGGTCTTTCCTTTGTGCCACTGCTCTGCATTTCTTATGACATGGAAGTTGCTTTGCCAAGTGATTTACTTGTGCCTGAATTTGTCTTACTCTCTCCTACTATAGTAGGAGTTGCACTGACAACTTCAATGGGTCATATTCAACTCCCAAATCCCAAGCCTAGTGCAGTACCTGGCAAAAAAAAAAAAAAAAAAAAAAAAAAAAAAAAAAAAAAAGCACGTAATGGATCAACACATTCCTTCTTTAATTTACCAAATTATTATTAGATTTCTATTCTGTATTACACATTGCATTAGGTCAAAACTCACGGCTGCAAGATGTTGAGGATTTCTACCAACTCCCCCCATATGGGGCAACATGCAAATACAAGAACCATCTTTGGAACAAGCTGTGGGTAAGTGTGATACCCACTAACAGTTACAGAGAGCAAGCAGTGCTTGGTAATGATCTGTGTGCAGGTAGTTCCCACAGAAGGGAACTAGGCATTCAGCATGTGCTATGCCCCCAAATGTAGTGAATGGTTTGGATAATGACATTTTACAAATAACTTGCACCAATAAGAAGAAAGATTGCACTAAATTATTAATGGTGCTCATGGAGGCAGGGAAGGGGAGGAAAAATCTCCACATATTAACTTTTCCTGCTTCTCTAATCAAGAAAGGGCTGTAGCTGAAAGGGAAGAGATGGGATTAGGGGAAGTTTATTGCAGTGTGATTCCCTGCCCCTGCCATTTTCCCCATTAATCAGCCCACGTGTCTCAAGGCTGTGACTGACTTGTGTGCTGAAAATGATTTTGTCTCTAACATATGTTCAGGTAGGCTGCTCTCCTTCCACATTCAATAAATATTTATTGAGGTGGACCACATGCAGGTATGACTCTAGGTGTGGTGGATGCATGAGGGACATTGTCCTTGCCTTCATGTAGACTGCATTCTTCTGGGGAAGCTAGAAAATGAACAAATAGGCAAACAAATGAATATTTTAACATAGTTATGTATGTTAATAATGACTTTAGACACCTTCCCATGACCACTAATTCAGCCCTCTAGCTAAAATAACAGCTCTTTCTCTGTGTGTACTCCTTCCCTGGATGGTCATTTACGTTCCCTGGATGCCTTTCAATCTCATCTCCATCCACTCTTCTACCTGATCACCAGGATCCAGGTCCACCATGACCTCCTGTCTGCCTTAAACATGCCCAACTACCCCATCTCCCACTTCAGAGTCTTCATTGCTGTAATTTGCTCTGCCCAGAATCACCTTCATCACCTCAGACCCTTCTTATTCTTTTGGTTTTGGATTAATTTCTACCTCTTTGTAAGTCTCCATTTAGGTTTTAACTCCCCTTTACTCCAGAGGTGAAAAATGCAGGCTTCTGGTGACACTGCTGTCCAGCCCACACTGAGCTGAGGGTTTATGCGGCCTCAGCACTGAGGCATGCCCAGGTGCATTCAAACTATTCTGTGAGATGATTCTTTGCACCAATCCCTGTAGGGTTCCCATTGTCTTTGGCAAAGAAGCTTGTGCATGGCACTGAGTTGGGGCCAGAACATGGTTTGTGGAGAGTGGGTCAGCACTGGGGTGGGGCAGAGGCATATAGCTGGGCCCAAATTATAGTTTCTGCAATTAGCCAGCATCAGGCAGAATGGAAATGGGGGGAGGTGGCTGGCTTTGTGGAGCTGCAGCCAGAAGGCAACTTTCAGGGCGAGCAGAAACTCAAAAGCAGGAACTGTTCTTTTACCATCGCAGAACTAACATCACGCTCCTAACAGCAGCATCCGTTCAGCGCCTCGGACAGCTCCCAGGAAGCCAACAACCTGGACAGCTATGAAAGGACTTTTCACTCCACTTTTAAAGTAGTGGCATCCACCTTGGGGATAAAATGCAGACCAGGAAGTTACAACCTACAGCCCCCCAGGAGCTCTCAGTTCCTGACATAAGTAAAATCATTCATTCATTCACTCATGGTACACTCTTTGAGAGCCTCTTAATGGGCAGGGCTCACACTTGCAGGATGCTCCTTGGGTGTGCCTGCATCTACAGTGGGAGGGACTAGGTGCAGGTGGGTAATCCTGCTCGAGACACTGCTTCATTGTAGAAGGGGAGCCTTTGGAGCAAGGGAGGTAGGCTCACCTCCCAGCTCTGCCATTTACATGCTGAATGGTCTTGATATAAAAGGAAAATGATAATAAAGACACAAAGTTAAAAAACACTTCATTCCTCCACTTTCAAGCTCATCACCATCTATGCTGCTGGATTGTTGAAAGAACGATAATTAATGCCTGTGAAGGATCTAGCACAGAGCTTGGCACCTGGACCTCACCCAGTTAACGGTGTGTGTGAGGACTGCGGAGGGCACCAGCCCCCAGAGCCTCCAGCTCATCTTGTGGAGACCACGACACAGGCCTTATTCTTGGGCACTGAACAGAAGAGAAATATTGTTTTGATTTCATTTCATGGGCAATGCCCACAGAATGTATCTGCCTTGAAAAAACAAAAACAAAACCCCCATTGCTTTCTAACCTGCTATACTGAATTCAGTGCAGCCCCTCCATGGGAAATGGCTGGTCAAGCTGGCCTGAGTTCTCAACACCACATACTTAATATACAAAGCCCGTCACACAATAGTGCCTTCCTAGGGCTCCATCCATCTTGTGAAGGCAGAAGGCTGGCAGCTTCCCCACAGTGAGACCATTGGAGGTGTTCACTGCAGTGGGTATTCCACCTTCCTTCCCTGTCAACGGCGAGTAAGAGGCTGTTTCTGCAAAGCCCCTATTCTCTTTCCTTTCATGTTCCTGTCACTGCGGAGTTTGCATGGGGGCTATTGTGTAGCACTCTAATTGTTTCCAGGAATAGGTGATGTTGCCTTAGAAAGCTAAAAACCCCACCATGTCCCCATTGAGAACTGGAGGCTCATTCCCTTTAAATATGTAAATATGTCACACCCTCTCTGTGGCGTGCACAGCCTGAAGCTCTCCAGGCTGATTGCTTAGATTTGAGGACTTTCTGACAGTTTGAGCACAGGAAACAATGAGAGGGAGAGAGAGATGGAAAAGGAGAGAGGAGGAGGGGAGAGAGAGACTGAGAGAGGGAGAGAGACTGAGAGAGAGAGAAAGAGATGGGGGGAGAGAGAGAGAGAGAGAGAGCAAGAGAGAGAGAGAGGAGAGCAGCACAGAGCAATACATTTCTCTTCCTTAAAAGAGACACCAAAGTTGACAGAACCATCCTTTCATTTCCGTATTAGACTCTCCAGAGCATTCTTATTTAGGTAGCAATCTTTTAGAAAAGATACCACTTTCCGCAAAACACACAAACACCTAATTCACTGGGGTGATATTTGCCATGGCAATTTTTTAGATAAAGAGCTATTTTGTAGAGTTCTGTGAACAAGGCATTTTTAATAGTTGTAGGCTGATCCTTTGCTGGTGGAAACATCCTCATTCCCATGGCTCCTGGCAGAATGTCTGAGCTTTTATCTGTATTTCTGTAGAACACCAGGACCAGTACTCATTCCATGAGAGTCCAAAAAAGGGAGGTCCTACGTGGTGGTGGTCAGATCATTTTGGGCATCTGAGTATCCTGAGTCAGGCAGCTTGTCTTGAAGGGCACAGGCACTGGAAGTCATAGACTTCATGGTCATAGGTGGGACCTGGATGAAGTGCATCTCCCAATTCCCTGGTGCCCCCAGAGTCTGTTTATGCTGTGGGTCTTCTGTAGCTCCTCTGTCCTACCTTTCAACCACTTCTTGCTCACATGCTCAGAAATGGAATAAGAACTTGTTCAGGCTACGTTGTCCACGGCTGACAATAAGGTGTGACCCTTCCTAGTGGATTTTTAATTTAACATGTCTTAATAAAAAACTATGGCTATTTTATTTTTATGGATAGTTTTACTGTTAAATGAAATGGTAATACAAGTCTAAGCAAAAACATTACAATCTCATTTCCTATGCTATTATACACTTAGCAAATTTCTGGTCAATATCCTTTGGTGTTTTCCTAGAATGTAAGTTTCACAAAGCATAAGACTATCTATTTTATTCACTGCTAATTCAGTGTCTAGAAATGCCTGGCACCCAGAAGGTTCTCAGACTGAACTTATTTAGTGAACGTAATGAATAAGTGAATGTGATTATTCAATTTTTATTATATCTGTGGTAGTTTAGTCCGTAACTTCTATGTTGCACTTTTTATTTCACATTACCATGCTTATTTTTCCAGTTTCCTGGAGAACTTTTTAAAGCTACTTTACTCTCTTTTGCTACTCCTGTGTAATAGCCAATGCTATAAATATCCTTACATAACTTTCTCAATGAACATGCATTCATAGACAAAAGCACATCGACATAACGGAGTTTTTAATTATTTTTCTTTAAGTGGATATTGTTAAACTCTACTCATGTCTACAACCTACATACTCTATTCTTCATACTCAGCTGTTTTATCAATGACAGTTCTCTAATTTAAGAATAATGGGAATAAATATCTATAAATAATTCCATAATAAACATATCGTAACATAACTTTGTGCAATGTTTTAATATCTATAAAATGAATAGAAATGAATATTCTTGGTCATAGGGGGCTATAACTTTTTTTAACCAAAACTTAAATGGATATTACATGATTCCCTTACATATAATATATATCAATTCATGTCCTGACCATGAAGCTTAGATCATTTCACATGGAGTAACAGATCAGGCACAGGTATTACCTGGGTGTCTTAGTCCACTGGAACTGTTATAACAAAATATTATAGACTGGGTGGGCTAAACACAGAAACTTATTTCTCCTGGAGGCTGGAAGTCCAAGACAAACCAAGCTACCAGCTTACTTAGTTCTTGGTGAGGGCTTTCTTCTTAGCTTGAAAAGGGCCACATTCTCCCCGTGTCTAACCTGGCCTTTCCTTGCAGTGTGTACCTGGAGAGAGAGCGAGGCCTTGCTCTTCCTTTTCTTATAAGGCCATCGATTCTAGCAAATTAGAACCTCATCTTTATTTAACATTTATTTTAGGTCAGGGGTACATGTGCAGGTTTGTTTTAAGGGTAAACTCATGTCACGGAGGTTTGTTGTACAGGTTATTTTGTCACCCAGGTACTAAGCCTAGCACCCAATAATTATTTTTCCTGATTGTCTTCCTCCTCTTACCCTCTGCCTTCAAGTAGGCCCCAGGGTCTGTTGTTCCTCTCTTTGTGTCCATGTGTTCTCATCATTTAGCTCCCACTTATAAGTGAGAACATGCAGTATTTGGTTTTCTCTTCCTGTGTTAGTTTGCTAAGAATGATGGCCTTCAGCTCCATTCATGTTCCTGCAGAATACACAATCTTATTCTTTTTATGGCTGCATAGTATTCCATGGTGTATATGTGACACATTTTTATTACCCAATCTACAGTTGATGTAGAACTCCATCTTTATGACCTCTTTTAATCTTAATTACCTCCTAAAAGTCCTATCACCAAACAAGGTCACATTGGAGGTTGAGACTTCAACATAGGAATTTTGGGGTGATGGAAACATACAGTTAAATCTATAAAACAGGGAGAGAAGAAATGTGCTTTTAAGGACTGTATGCCTTCTAGGGAAACTCTCTCCTCCAAGACAGCCTGGGGGGCAGGACTTCAGAAATAGTAGAGCAAGCTTGTCTAACCCACCGCCCAGGGGCCTTATGTGGCCCAGGACAGTTTTGAATGCAGCCCAACACAAATTTGTAAACTTTTTAAAAACATTGTAAGATTTTTCTGCAATTTTTTTTGGCACATCAGCTATCATTAGTGTTAGTGTATTTTATGTGTGGCCCAAGACAATTCTTCTTCCTCCAATGTGGCCTGGGGAAGCCAAAAAATTGGACACCCCTTTGTGAGGACATCTGTAAATATTCCCTTTCATGAAAGCAACAACAATTCTGAGAAAATATTTCAATATCAACTTTTTCAGAATTCTAGAGATTCACCAAAGGTGGCAACAACCTGAGGAGCATTTGATCAAGAGGAACTCCTGAACTTTAGTAGGAATAGCAGGGCCCATGGCTTTTAACTTGACCTACTTCCATCCCCTTCTACCTGGCTCCACAGTCATCTTAAAAACTACCAACTCATGACTACAATATCTGTGAGAAGTAGCAGCTTTGGAGCCAATGTAAGAAAAATGCTAGGTTTGGGAATCTTCAAAAATTCCATACCTGGAACCTTGACATTATTTGACCTGTCTCACCAGGAAAAGCCATTCTTAGAACTTTGAAGTTATTTGACCTGACACAGAACTCAATCCCATTGAACAAAGCCTATCTCCTGGGTGTTTGTTGAAACAATCAGTGGCAATTGTTTAAAATGCAGCTGTATGATATATCAATTGAGACAAACAAAAGTTTGGCCAAAAACTCACAACAAAATATCGGGGAAAAAAGATGTCCATGGAGGGCTTTAAAATGCTTAAACATGAAGAAGAATAATATAGACCCTTATTTCTCACTGTATACAAAAATCAACCCAAAAAGAATGGGAAATTTAAATGTAAGATCCTAAACTATTAGAAGAAAACATAGGTAAAACACTTCATGGCCCTGGTCTGGACAAGGATTTTTTGAACAGAACTTCAAAAGAACAGGCAACAAAAGCAAAAATAGACAAATGGAATTACATGAAACTAAGAAGCTTCTGCATGGAAACAAAGGAAACAACAGAATGAAAAGACAACCTGCAGATTAGGAGAGAATATTTGCAAACTATGCATCTGACAAAGCGTTAATATCCAGGGTATATAAGAAACTCAACTCAGTAGCAAAAAAAAAGACAATAATTTGATTAAAGAATGGGTAAAATATCTGAACAGAGATTTCTCAAGAGAAGACATACAAATGGCTAACAGGTGTATGAAAAAAATGCTTACCCATCACAGATCCAGGAAATGCAAATCAAAGCCACATGAGATATCATCTCATCCCAGTTAGAATGGATATTATCAGAAAGGCAAAATAACAAATCCTGGTGAGGATGTCAAGAAAGGAACTGTTCAACACTGTTGGTAGGAATGTAAATTAGTACCTTAGTACAGCACAGAGATCCCTCAGAAAATTAAAAACAGAACTACCATGTGATTCAACAGCCCCACTACTGGGTATATATCCAAAGGAAATGAAATGAGTATGTCAAAGAAATCACTACACTCCCATGTTTATTGCAGCACAATTCGCAGTAACCAAGATATGAAATCGATGTAGGTGTTCATCAACAGAAGAATGGGTAAAGAACATGTTGTGTATACACACGATGGAGTACTATTCAGCCATAAAAAATAATGAACTCTTGTCCTTTGCAGCAACATGGATGAACCTAGAAAACATTATGTTAAGTGACATGAGCCAATCACAGAAGGACAAGTATTGTGTGATCTCACTCATATTGGAAATCTAAAAAGCTGACATCATAGAAGTAAAGAGTAGAATCGTAGTTTCCAGGGCCTGGGGAGGGCAGGGAGGAGGGGCGATGGGGAGAGGTTGATCAACAGGTATAAAGTTACAGTTGGGCAGGTGAAACGAGTTCTGGTGTTCTATTGCCCAGTAGGGTCACTGCAGTGAAAAATAATGTATATTCAAAAATAGCAAGAGGAAAGGATTGAACATTGTTGCCACAAAAAGTGATAAATGTTTGAAGTGATGGATATGTTAATTACCCTAATTTAATCATTACAGATGTATACATGCATCAAAACATCACCCTGTGCCCTGTAAATACATGCAATTATTGTGTTAGCTGAAAACAACATAAGACTTATAAAAAAGGATTCAATGATAGTCCTTCAGGCTGAAAGGAAAGGACACTAGTCAGTAACTTGAATTCACCTGAAAAAATAAAGAGGCTGATAAAGGTAGCTATATAGGTAAATATGAAAGACAGTATAAGTGCTTTTTTTGTAACTCCTTTCTTCTCCCACCTGATTTAAAATACAACTAATAAAAGTAATAATTATAAAACCATGTTGATGGTTTTATAATGTGTAAAGATGTAATTTGTATGACAATAGTGGCACAAGGAATAGAAAGAGAACAAAGCTTTATCGAAGCAAAGTTTCTTTGTACAATGGAAATTAACTTGGTATTAATCCAAACTAGATTGTTTTAAGTTAAGATGCTAACTATAATCCACAGGGAAACTACTAATAAAAAACTGAAAAATATTTTTGAAGAAATAGTAAGACAATTTAAATACTATGCTGGGAAATGTCTGCTTAGCTCTAAAGAAGGCAATAATGAAGCAATGAAGAAATAAAAAAAGATGTGAAACATAGACCACAAATAGCAAAATGGCATGTGTAAATTCTACTTTGTGAGTAATTATTTTAAATTTAAATGAATTAAACACTTCAAATAAAAAGGCAGAATGGCTAAAATGGATAAAACATATGATGCTATATATGCTGTCTACAAGAGACACTTCAGATTCGAAGACATTAAAAGAACAGCAAATTATATAACATGCAAATAGTGATTGAAAGAGAGAAAGAGTGGCTATACTAACATGAAACAAAATTGACTTTAAGGGAAAAAAATTGTAACTGCAGGTAAGAAGGTACATTTTATAACACTAAAATATCCTCCAGAAAGACATAATGATTATAAACATTTATCCACCTATCAACAGAGTCCCAAAATACACGAAGGCAGGCAGAGGGGAAGTGAGAAATAGACAAGTCAACAATAGTTGGAGAATTTAACACCCCACTTTCAATAATGGATAGACCCAGAAGACAGAAGAACAGTAAGGAAAGAAGACTTGATCAACAGTATAAACCAACTAAACCTAAAATAAATCCACAGAGCACCCCAGTCAACAACAGCAGAATACTTCAGTTTTTAAGCACACATGAGATCTTCTCAAGAATAAGCTACATGGTAGGCCATAAATCAAGATATAGTAAACTTAAAAGGATTGAAGTCATTCAAAGTAGACCCTCTGACCACAATGGAATTAAATTAGAAATTATTGACAAAAGGAAATTTGGGAAATTCACAAATATGTGGAAATTAAACAATACACTACCACATAATCAATAGGTAAAAGAAGAAATTACAAAAGAAATTAGATAATACTCTGAAATGACTAAAAGTAAAAACACAATATGCCGAAACTATAGAATATAACTAAAACAGTGTTTAAAACAAAATTTAAACTGTAAACACCTATGTATTTTTTTAAAAAGTCTCCAACCAATAACCTAACATTGAGCCTTAAGAAACTAGAAAAAGAAGAGCAAACTAATCCCAAAGGAAGCAGAAAGAGTGAACTACTAAAGATTAGAGTAGAACCGAATAAAACAGAGAATAAAAACACAATAAATAAAAAAATACAAAAACTGAAAAATTATTCTGAACATCCCGAAGTAATGGTGCAATGAATCATTTAGGGTCATTTCATGAAAATCGGTCTTTAAGAATGTGATAGGAGCAGGTGGGTGTACACAAGGAAGCTTTCAAAGGTTCAACAACGCTCAGAGGAAATCACTTCTAAAAGAAGCACAAAACAGAGTCATTCTGTCCCCTGTGCATGTGTTGAGAGTGTAAGCACCTGTTTGTGGAGACAAGCCACATGCAGGAAAAAGACTGTTCCCATAGCAAAACGTACTCAGGGACTTCAAAACTTCACATCAAAATGCCCTATGTCCCTTTGGCTTCTTTCTACTGGTCACTCTTAATCTTCATATGTTTTTGTACCTATGTGTGACTATGGACAATGTAATTGCTGTATTTAAATAAATGCATGTATTACATTTTGATAGCATTTTACAAAGCCACATGCAAGGAAGGTTGCCAGCTTGTGATTTTCATTCATTGAATTTTTTCAATCTGGTGAGTGAAGATCGTTTCCTTACTTCATTTGTAGTTACTTTTTCTTAACTGATCTTTATTAATAGGTTAAATGTATCTCCTTTTTTGTAAAACAATTATGTGAGTTCATGTCACAACACATGTTGAGAATATCTATGTACTAAGGATGTTAATTGTTTGTCATATATGATGTAAGTGTATTCCCAATTTGACTTATACCTTGGATAGCTTTCTATGTGTGTGTGATGCAAGGTTTTTATTTTTATTTTGTCAAATCTATCAATATTTTGTATTTGGCATTTCTAGTGTCATGCTTTAAAAAATGTCCTCTTTCAGCAATGTTGTCTACTAGGCAACTAAATTTTCTTCTATCACTTTGATGGCTTTTTTTTTTAGATGGAATCTCACTCGTCGCCCAGGCTGGGATGCAGTGGTGTGATCTTGGCTCACCACAAGCTCCATCTCCTGGGTTCATGCCATTCTCCTGCCTCAGCCTCCCGAGTAGCTGGGACTACAGATGTCCACCACCATGCCTAGCTAAATTTTTGTATTTTCAGTAGAGATGGGGTTTCACTGTGTTAGCCAGGGTGATCTCGATCTCCTGACCTCGTCATCTGCCCGCCTCAGCTCCCTTTTTACATTCAAGTTTTAATGCATCTGGATTTGCTTGATGTAAAATGAGATTTTAAATAAGTTTCTTTTTTCTCCAAGGCTTGATTTATCCCATCACCATTTGTGTCATGGTTCCTCCTCTCTTAACATGACAGCTAAACTGTATTCTGTACTTAAATCTTCTAATGTGCTAGAGTATGTTCTTATTCCAGTGATCTATTTTTATAACTTTGCTACAACTTTTATATATGGTGGCAAAATACATACCACCTAAAATTTACAATTTTCATTATTTTTTTTTTTGAATTGGAATCTTGCTCCTGTCTCCCAAGCTGGAGTAAAATGGCATAATCTCGGCTCACTGCAATCTCCGCCTCCCAGGTTCAAGTGATTCTCCTGCCTCAGCCTCCCGAGTAGCTGGGATTGCAGGCACCTGCCACTACGCCCAGCTAATGTTTGTATTTTTAGTAGAGACAGGGTTTCACCATGTTGGTCAGGCTGGTCTCGAACTCCTGACCTCAGATGAACCACCCAACTTGGCCTCCCAAAATACTGGGATTACAGGTGTGAGCCACTATGCCCGGCCCCATCTTCATTATTTTTAAATGCATAGTTCTGTGGCATTAAATACCTTCACACCGTTGTGCAGCCATCATCACCATCAATTCTCCAGAACTCTTTCCATCTTGCAAAACCGTTATTGTTTTGGAATATGTCTGATAAGATACATATAAGTTGTTATTTTTAGCTTTTCCATTTCTGCTATTTATTCTTTCTAATTCTTTCTTATTCTGAAATTTAGGAATAGTTTGCTAGCTTCCCCCCACCCCCCCAAAAAAAAACTCTGTTAGGAATTTGGTTAGAGATAGATTATTGGGGAGAATTTGAATTTTAAAAATATTTATTGCTTCCAATCCAAGAGAAGATACCCTAAATTTTCAGTTCCAGGTTATTGATAACATTTTGTTGCATACATGTATTTAATTATCCTTTTGAAAGCTGTAAGCTCTCAAGGGGATCAAATGTGCCCATCTTTTTCTTTGTTATGTGTGTTCCTAGCACCTGGCTCTGAATGGCATGTGATGAGAACTCGATATATACTTACTACATTAATGTACGACAGATGGCATTTTTTATATATGATTTGAATTTATTATTATTGTTATTTTGAGACGAAGTCTTGCTCTGTTGCCAAGCTGGAGTGCAGTGGCACGATTTCGGCTCACTGCAACCTCTGCCTCCTGGGTTCAAGCAATTATCCTGCCTTAGCCTCCCGAGTATCTAGGACTACAGGCACGTTCCACCACACCCGGTTAATTTTTTGTAATTTTTTAAGTAGAGACCGGGTTTCACCATGTTAGCCAGGATGGTCTCGATCTCCTGATCCCGTGATCTGCCCGCCTCGGCCTCCCAAAGTGCTGTGATTACAGGGATGAGCCACTGCGCACGGCCTGAGTTTATTATTTTATTTAATGAATATTTACTGAGCTATTACTTGGTGCAAGGTACTGATACTACTACAGTGATTGGGGCATGTTTTCATGGAGATTACATTCCAGTGGATTTCTTAGAGTTTTGAGAGGCCATCTCTTATGGATTGAATTATGTCCCCCTCATCCCTCCCAAATTTATACGTGACAGTCCTTGCTCCTGATACCTAAGAATGCGGTATTATTTTGGGAACAGGGTCATTGCGGATGTAATTAGTTAAGATACGATCGTATTGAAGTAGAGTAGGACTCTAATTCTATGTGACTTGTTCTGTATAAAAAGAAGAAAGTTGGACACAGATACACACACAGGGAGAAGCCCCATGAAGAGGAAGGCAGATGCTTCCACAAGCCAAGCAATGCCAAACACAGGTAGTAGATAACAAGAAGCTGGGAGAGGCGTGGAACAGATTCTCCCTCAGAAGGAACCACCCCTGCCTACACTTTGATCCTGGACTTCCAGCCTCCAGAACCATGAGACAATAAATTTCTGTTGTTTATACCACCCAGTCTGTGGTACTTTGCTACGGCTGCCCGAGAAGACTAATACAGTTTTGGTTTCTCCTGAGACCTCTCTCTTTGCACATGGCTTTTTCTCTATATGCACAGGTGTCCCTGGGATCTCCCCTTTTCTGATAAGGACACCAGTCATAGGGGATCAAGGCCTCTCCCTTAGGGCCTCAGTTAACCTTAATAACTTCCCTGAAGGTTAAATCTCCACAAACACTCACATTGGGTATCACGGGCAAAAATGTTATCCTTAACACATATCACTCATCAAAATGCACACATGTGTCTGAAAAGGGTCTTGGATCAGGCAGTGATACTTTAGCTGGTGCTTACACCTACAGAGTCCTTGGAAAATTGAAAGTTGAGAGGCATTGGTCATTAGAGAAATGCAAACCAAAACCACAATGAGATACCATCTCACGCCAGTTAGAATGGCGATTATTAAAAAGTCAGGAAGCAATAGATGCTGGCAAAGCTGTGGAGAAATAGGAATGCTTTTATACTGTTGGTGGGAGTGTAAATTAATTCAACCATTGTGGAAAAGTGTGGCTATTCCTCAAGGATCTAGAATCAGAAATACCATTTGACCCAGCAATCTCATTACTGGGTATATACCCAAAGGATTATAAATCCTACTATAAAGACACATGCACACATATGTTTATTGCAGCACTATTTACAATAGCAAAGACTTGGAACCAATCTAAATGTCCATCAATGATAGACTGGATAAAGAAAATATGGCACATATACACCATGGAATACTATGCAGCCATAAAAAAGGAGATCATGTCCTTTGCAGGGACATGGATGAAGCTGGAAGCCATCATTCTCAGCAAATTAACACAGGAACAGGAAACCAAACACCACATGTTCTCACTCAGAAGTGGGAGGTGAACAATGAGAACACATGGACACAGGGAGGGGAACATCACACACCAGGGTCTGTAGGAAGGTGGGGGCCAAGGGGAAGGAGGGCATTAGGACAAATACCTAATGCACGCGGGGCTTAAAACCTAGATGACGGGTTGATAGGTGCAGCAAACCACCATGGCACATGTATACCTATGTAACAAACCTGCACATTCTGCACATGTATCCTGGAACTTAAAATAAAATATATAAAAAAAGAAAGGTTCCTTTAGGATGTGGGGGCAATAGCAGAGTTGGGAAAGGAAACTAAGAAACCAGTGGGTCTTGAGGTGAAAAGAGTCACTAGACAATTTACCATTCCCCCTAAATTACTCAAGCACAGCTCCCTAGCTTTCCTCTCTTCCCTGGGTGCTGGTTTTCTTCCCAGTTGTGTCTGTTCATTTCATAGCAGTAAGTGTCCAAGTACTTGCATTGGTAGAATGACTCCTTATCAGCTGCAAAGAGGAACCAAATTCCAGAAGAGGATCATTTCCTAAGACATTTCTCATAGCCTTCAAGTTTGATACCTTAAAAAACTAACCACATATGGCAGGGCGCAGTGGCTCACGCCTGTAATCCCAGCACTTTGGGAGGCCGAGGCGGGCAAATCACGAGGTCAGGAGATGGAGACCATCCTGGCCTTTAGTAGAGACAGGTGAAACCCTGTCTCTACTAAAAAATACAAAAAATTATCTGGGCGTGGTGGCTGGCTCCTGTAGTCCCAGCTACTTGGGAGGCTGAGGCAGGAGAATGGCGTGAACCCGGGAGGCGAAGCTTGCAGTGAGCCGAGATCGCGCCACTGCAGTTCAGCCTGGGCGACAGAGCGAGACTCCATCTCAAAAAAAAAAAAAAAAATTAACTACATAAGTAAGAGATGAATAAATTCTCTCAAAAAGATACATGGATGCAGCTGGAGTCCATGATCCTAAGTGAATTAATGTGAGAACAGAAAACCAGATACTGCATGTTTTCACAAGAGGGAGCTAAACATTGAATACACATAGACGTAAAGATGGGAGCAATAGACACTGGGAACTACTGGATAGGGGAGGGAGAATAGGGGAGCGTGGGCTGAAAAACTTACCTATTGGGTACTATGCTCCCCACCTGGGTGACAGGACCATCTGTATCCCAAACCTCAGCTTCACACAATACACCCATGTAAAAACCCTGCACATGGGCTCCGTTTCCAAAAACAGTTGAAAGATTCAACATGAATGAATGGTTGGCAAAAAAAAAAAAAAAAGATAGAAATTTCAAATAAAACTAAAAGTTCACTGTGTATTTTTCTTTTTTCTTTTCTTTCCTTTTTTTTTTTTCTTTTTTTGAGATGGAGTCTCACTCTGTTGCCCAGGCTGGAGTGCAGTGGCACTATCTCGGCTCACTGCAAGCTCCGCCTCCCAGGTTCACGCCATTCTCCTGCCTCAGCCTCCCTAGTAGCTGGGACTACAGGCACCTGCCACCACGCCCAGCTAATTTTTTTGTATTTTTAGTAGAGACGGGGTTTCACCGTGTTAGCCAGGATGGTGTCGATCTCCTGACCTTGTGATCCACCCACCTCAGCCTCCCAAAGTGCTGGGATTACAGGCGTGAGCCACCGCACCCGGCCTTCCCTGTGTATTTTTCTAAGCTTTAAAAACTTTTACATATCAATATATTCCTGTAGAAAACACACCATCTAATCAATTGGAATCAATCTGAAAATCCACCCTCTTTTATTCTGTACAATTTAGAGATCTACCCATGTAAATAGACAGATATTTTTCTTTCTTGTGGAATTGCATATATTCTCCCATTGGAAAAAATGTATACTAGTTTTAATTTAGTTATCACTTTCCGCCATCGTTCCCCTCTCTAAACAGTGGTGTGTATGTTCCAAGCACTATTTCATCACCAATGCAATTAAATAGTTATAATGCATATTATACTCATCTTGCTATAATGCTTCGGTGAGAGGTTTTCTTTTTGGTCTTGCAGTAATTTTGTGCAATTTGTTCAATTTTCTTTTTCATAAAAGAGTTGCATTTATTTCTTAATTCAGAAGTGTGCTTGGTTAGAATCAAGGGGAGCTGAAATTTTTTAAAGCCCCATACATGTTATTTAATGCTTGGATTTCCAGGGCAATCAATTTTTCAGGGTCCTATGTGGCAGGGAAGCCTGAAATGTCCCAGCTAACTTGAAAGGAAGTTGCGCTGTGAGGTGACTACTCTGGCACAGACAAACAAATAACCTTCAATAAATCCACTCCAAGAAATGCACACAGGAGTCAAACCAGTCAGTCAAGCCCCACAGCTCTCCAGTGAAGCACTGGGCTTATCCCCTCATCCTCCAAGGTTGTGACAGCAGCTTCTTTTCAACAGCGACTGTAGCAAGGACACCAGTGACCAGCCTGGCTGAAACAGAAGATCAGCCTTCCTCATGTCCATTCAGCAAACCAAGGGTGCTGGGGCCTGCAGTCATGCATCTTCAAGAATGGGAAGCTCCAGGTATTCCACTCAAACACTGGCCTGTTACTAATCTATGTTTGCAGACACAATTCTATCTGTATTGAGTGATTACTTTCTTCCATTTCTTTGCCTGGTATGCTGTATGTTTCCTTCCAGGCCAGGTCCACCTGTTGCCTACTCTTTGTTGCAAGTGATAGAATCACTCACTTTTCTATAGTCACACAGCATATTTGACTGAATATACAGAAAATCATCATTATTACCATAACCATCATCATCTTCATCCTCACCACTATCACCATCACTGTGATCACCCTCATGATCATCATCACAGAATCATCATCACCATTATCATCATCACCACCACCACCAGTAACATCACCATCCTCATCATTATTAGCCTCCTCTCAACATCATCATCATCAGTGTCATCATAATCACCATCACCATCATCACCATCACTATCATCACCATCATCATCACTACCAGTAGCACTGTTACCATCTTCATCACCATCATCATATCGTCATCACCATCATCATATCGTCATCACCATCATCACCATCATCCTCATCACAATCATCATCGCTAGTTTTATCATCGCCATCATCATCATCACTAGTTTTATCAGCACCATCATCATCATCACTAGTTTTTTTTTGTTTTTTTTTTTTTTTTTTTTTTTTGAGACAGAGTCTCGCTCTGTCACCCAGGCTGGAGTGCAGTGGCGCGATCTTGGCTCACTGCAAGCTCCGCCTCCCAGGTTCATGCCATTCTCCTGCCTCAGCCTCCCAAGTAACTGGGACTACTGGCATCTGCCACCACGCCTGGCTAATTTTTTGTATTTTTAGTAGAGATGGGGTTTCACCATATTAGCCAGGATGGTCTCAATCTCCAGACCTCGTGATCCGCACACCTCGGCCTGCCAAAGTGCTGGGATTACAGGCATGAGCCACCGTGCCCAGCCTATCATCATTAGTTTTATCAGCACCATCATCATCACCATTAACTTCATCATCACCATCATCCTCATTACCATTATTATCATCCCCATCATCATCACCATTTTTATCATCATCACAATTGACATCATCACCACTACCAGCAGCATCATCATTTCTCTTGTCAGCAATTATCATGTCATCTAGAATTTACAGTGTGCTTATTCTGCATAAGACATTCTGCTCAGAGATTACATGTATTTTTTCAATTAAGCCTCACAATTATGATACAAGGCAGATGCTATTATTGTTACCCCTTCTATAAATGAGGACTCTGAGGTACAGAGAGGTGAAGTAACTAGTCTAAGTTTATATGAAAATCTTAGTTTCTTGATTTCTATTTCCATACGTCCATTGGATAGGTAATGAATTGGTTTAATTCATGACTTAGTTTGAATATTGTTATCTCACTTTGACTAAGTTTTGATAGAAAACCCAGCTATAATAATATTATCTAGGACACATAGTGTGGTTCCTGAACCAGCATCATCAGCTTTATCTGAGAGTTTGGTGGAAAGGCTGAACCTTAGGCTCCCACCCCAGAACTATGGAATCTGCATCTGCATTTCAACAGAATCCCACCCAGTGATTTGAGAGCACACAGCGGTGCAGGAAGCAGTGCCCCAGCACACATCGCTTTGTTCTTTTGCTGACATAGACCCGAAATAGGCATATGGCATGGTCCTACAGGGGGTTGGAACACTTGTAACACTGACTTTCTACTGTTTCAGTCTCATAGATAGTATGCAGAAATGTTTTGGGGGTATCACCAATTATTTGCACTTGGAAAGCACAAGGTCGCATAGTCAGCCAGTATCTCCAGAATATCATGGAAGGCTGGTGGGGGAAATGCTCCCTGGAACTGGCGTT
This sequence comes from Homo sapiens, assembly GCF_000001405.40. Taxonomy (NCBI): domain Eukaryota; kingdom Metazoa; phylum Chordata; class Mammalia; order Primates; family Hominidae; genus Homo; species Homo sapiens. The sequence continues at coordinate 60,905,359 of NC_000020.11, read as the reverse complement.
GGGCATGAGCTGCTTGCAGGACCTCACCATCCCTTCATCCTATGGGAGGGGGTCATCGTTAGCTGGCAGCTCTCATGGATGCCAGCTTGCCAGCTGGACTCATGCTCTGTGCAATTATTTCTGCACAGATACACAGAATATTTTACCTGCATCAAAGGAAATTGACTATTGGCCGTATTTGTTGGGCTCTTTGAGTCCTTTTGGGTCCTTTTTTCTTCATGGACAAATTAAGATAATGAACAGAGTCTGTCTCCATTATCAGGTTATGACAAAGACTAAAACACCAATCAGAGTTTACATAATAACTGCTGACAATTGAATAGAATAAAAGCTATAACAGAGTTAATAGTATTGTATTTATGCCAATTACTTGGTTTTGATGTTGTGCTACAATTGCACAAGATGTCACCATTTGGAGAAGCTGAATGAGGGATTCAAAGGACTCTGTACTATTTTGCAACTTCCTATGAGCCTATAATCACACACACAGGAAATGGTATCATGAAGGGAACTTTTCTAGTAAACAGCCTACCTGGTTCTGGCTGAATCAAGCAAGGAAGACCAGAAACTAATGAGCAGTCCTGTCTGAAAGCCCCTGCTGTAGGCATGATCTCCACTCTTTGCTGCTCTTTCATTGCTCTGCCTGTGATTCAGATTCCAGGCAGGGAGCAGGCTACGGGCCCAATACTAAGAACCTGCTTGACCTGAGGCTGGAGAGGGCAAGGTGTCTGGGTAATACTCCCATTGGACGGAATTCAGGGGGGTCTTCAAAAGGATTTGGGTGTCTTGTTACCAAAGCTTGATATGCAGTCACATAAGCACTTGAGCATTACGTGCCTGTGCCTCCGTGCTCACTGACGGAGCGAGTGAGCTTCTGCGTAGGGCAGAGACCTGTGTGCCCCCAGCCCCTCCTAAGCACAAGGGCACCCTGGAGCAGGAATAGATAGGATTTCAACCCTCTATGTGCTCTATAAGCTTCTGTGTTTGTACATACATGTTACACCCCTATGAGGAATTATCTGGAAACTATAGTGTTGAATTTTATATGCACAGGTTGTTTTTACAAAGAGAAGAAGACAGTGACCAGCTATAATTCTTCATTGCTAAGGGTTAATATAGTTGTGTTCATGTTCTCTTAGCTCTCTTTCAGGCACATATTTATGTTTTATCAAGCATTTAAAGCAGATCACAGAACTTAGAAGTGACTTCTCTATCACTTTATCACGATTTTTCAGAATTTCTGATGGAAGCATCGTTGTCCTCATTTTCCAGCCTGGCATCTCCAGGGTGGACATAGATAGACACCTCTGTCAGTTTACACACTGCTCAATGACAGGTTGCAGAAAACTCAGATGCTTCCCTCATAAATAAAATCTAATAACTGTGTGACACACGGTCTTCCTGTTGTTGAGAGTGACGGGAGCATCTCATTTTTGAAGAGTCTTAAGAAAACAGTCTTCAGAAAACACACGGAGGTCTCACCCTCGCCCTATTACTTGTGACAGCTGGGGCTGTTTGCAGACGAGCGATGCTGATGTGAGTGACCTGGTGGCATAGCAGTTTATGAGAGCTGAGCAAATTGCCTGTGCTGAGGTCACCTGCTTCTCGCTTGGCTGCGGTCTCCCCACCCCCACCCCACACTCAGTTCTACAGCCAAGCTGAGGAGCTCTGGGGAAGAATAATATGCTTGGTCGGGACATTCCACCCTTGGGTCACTCATTCTCCAGGCCTCAAAATAGCTTTCCCTTCAGAAGTGACTTCCCGGAAATGTCAGTCCATGGCCATGACCGTGGTGCCTGTTGGTGGAGAGCGGCCACTCCCACTCATGGACATGTTCCCGGGGCTCAGCTCTGGGTGTGGGCAAGGCTGACTCCACAACACTCAAGACAAAGTGACCACACACCCACCACCTCCAAACCCTATGAGGGTGGTCAGGATGTGGACTCAGGAGCCAGGCTGCTGATGTCCAAGCCTTGGTCACTCTCAGGTGACCCCCCTGTGTCCTGAACTCCTGTCTGTGAAATGCAGGTAATATTAACAAACTCACAGGGTTTTTGTGCAGACTCAAGGGGATAGGGCTTGCACAGCCCCGGGTGCCCCATCCAGGCCAGCTGCATGGAGGGCGAGCTGCTTGTGCTGTGTGAGATGTTGAGAATGACTCTTGCCCTGGGGTATCCCGGGTGCCCCATCCAGGCCAGCTGCATGGAGGATGAGCTGCTTGTGCTGTGTGAGATGTTGAGAATGACTCTTGCCCTGGGGTATCCCGGGTGCTCCATCCAGGCCAGCTGCATGGAGGATGAGCTGCTTGTGCTGTGTGAGATGTTGAGAATGACTCTTGCCCTGGGGTATCCCGGATGCCCCATCCAGGCCAGCTGCATGGAGGATGAGCTGCTTGTGCTGTGTGAGATGTTGAGAATGACTCTTGCCCTGGGGCATCAGGCAGCAGGGGCTGGAATGTGAGCACTGGCGCATCTGACAGTCCATTGGCTGTGAGAATCTGGGTGTGGCCAGTGAATCTGGCTGTGCCCAGGTGAATATGAATATACCCAGGTGAATCCGGATAGTCCCAGGAGAAACTGGCTGTGATGGGTGCTTGCAGGTGAATCTGGCTGTGCCCAGGTGAATATGAATATACCCACATGAATCTGGATATTCCCAGGTGAATCTGGCTGTGCCCAGGTGAGTATGGGTATCCCCAGGTGAATCTGGCTGTGCCCAGATGAGTATGGATGCTCCCTGTTGAATCTGGCTGTGCCCAGATGCCACCAGGCTCTACAGGACCTGGCCTCACCCACTTGCCCCACCTCTCTCACCTCCCGCCTCCCTCCTGACTGTTCCACCTCACTTGCCCTAGACTTCTGTTTTCTCAGATCCTTCCCATTTGCTCCACCCTTTTCCTGGATTGCTTTTCCTAGAGCTCTTGAATGGCTCATTCTCAGTCCTCAGATCTCAGTTCAAATGATGCTCAGCAATCCTCATTTCCTTAGTGTGTTTTATTAACTTTATAGCACTTGTTATCATCTAAAATTATTTTTAATTATTTGTGCCTTGTTTATAGTTTTCTCCTCCAACTAACCCACATGCTTCAGAAGGGGAGTGGTTTTCATAGCTTTGTTTGTTCACTTGATCTAAAGTGCCTGGAACAGAATCAGTAGTAGCAAGAATTAATTTAGGCAGGGCATGCAGGACTGTTAGCACAGAGACTCACATTATGGACTCAACCTACTAATTTCATTGTTATTAATGTGGGTAAGGGAAGTACACAATTAACCATAATATATGGTAAAATGAGAAAAATGACAAAGAGGGACAATGTACAATTGGAGCTTAAAGAGACAAGAGACAAGGGGGGAGAGAGAGGGAGAAAGAGAGAGAGAGAGAGAGAGAGCACGCAAAGCTGGAATGAGTAGTCAGCAAGGTCTTATAGGGTGAGGATGCTTGCAAGCTACCCCTTGGCAGATGGAGGGCTGACTACAGTAAAGACATTGGTGGGAACAGACAGAGAGCATCTGCATTTTTAAAGGCACCTTTCAGTAATGCACATGCAAAGGGGTGCAGAATTCCAACTGAACAGGAGATGTCGAGTGTCAGAACCAGACAGACTGATAAACCAGGGCAGCTTCTCTCTTTGGATTCAGATGTTCAAAACAAGCCCACAAAACAAATGTTCCTCCCCTTGCATAGACTGTGCATGGGAAAAGCACACAAGCCATGTACCTGATCTGAAAAAGGACTTGTAATTTCTCAGCACTGAAAGGCCTCCCCTGGATGAGCAAAGCACAACAAAGAGTGAGAAGAAAAGTAATGACTGAGTTACTCAAGCAGTCTCTCCTCAGCAGCTTCTCTGCTCCAATAGGAACCACGAGAGTCTTTGGAAGGATATGATTTAAAGGACTGTCTTTGGACTCAAGGTTTGCACCTGCAGATTTTACATATGGGGCAAGCTGCAGGTGCACAGACATAATTGCATGTCAGATGCCGGGGTCTGGTTGGCAATCCATCTTTCTTTTGGATGAAAATGCCTCATCAAACACACACACAGGGGAGGTGGCTCCCCTCCTCGCTGCACACCTCTTCCCTACCTTCCTTTCATATAATGCAGGTGCGTATTTGAAGACCACCACCTTGTGAACAACTGGGGCTCAGAGGCATATTTCCAGCATAAAATCTGGGAGGAGAGCCTCTGTAAGCTGAGCAAAAATTACTGAGTGCCTCGGGAAAGCCAGGGGTTGACAAGGGTGAGGCTACGGATAGGCAGAAAGGAGGGATAGATGCTTGGGAGGCGTTAGCCACTGCATCGCCTCTGCCTTCCTGGTTTCCAGCCGAACAGAGATGATAGTTGCCTGATATGCAGACGTTATCTCAGAACACAGCTCTAGAATGCAGCCACCTTGGCCTCGGCCTACTGTGGATCCTGCTGTGAAACCACATTCCCTGCTCTCATCCATCTTCCAGGGAGCTATGGAACTGGGGGGAGCAACAGCTTGTGGAAGGCCTGACCATGTGGTTCCTTAGTACTCGCTCTGCTGAAACCATCACAACAATAACTCTTTGTGAGAGCCCCAGTAAAGTTACTGCAGACTTGCTATAAATCAGGGATGTTTGAATGACCTCAAGGCAAGAACACTTACAGAGGAGGAAGGATGTGCAGCTGAGTCTCGGGGGGGGGGATCCCAAAGAAAGGACCCCTGTGCTTCTGTTCTGCATTCGGCCTCCTTCTCTTCCCATCCTCCTCTCTCTCCTTGGCTTTGTGTGACTTTCTCTCCCCCTCTTTTGGAAACACGAGCGACTGGGGAATTATGAGTTCCCTGTACCAACAGCGGAATGGGCTTTTCCCCACAGAGTGACATACTCCATCAGGAAAAAGAAAATGGAATTTACAACACAAACTTTCAAATAATTTGTGATGGAATGGGGAACAGAAACTAAGGCTCACATATTTTAAGATGTAATTTGAAACTCAATGTGTGTGTTTGTGTATGTGTGCCTTTTTTTTTTTTTTTAAAGAATAGAATTGTTTTAAATCCACTAGGGCACTTACATTCTCATAGCTAAGTTTATATAGATTACTTTTGGTTAACTTTTTATTATGAAAACCTTCAAATACACATAAAAGTAGAGAGAATAGTGTAACAATTCCCTCTGTACCCATGACTGGACTTCAATGATTGTATTTAGATTGCTAGAAAGTAATTTTAAAGCTCTCAGCTTGCTTCTTAAAATCGGGTCTTCTGAAATCATTGTGGACTTACTCTGTATTGAGGCTTCTATGTTTTCCTTAAATACAAGCTGATGCCCTGGTCTAAAGTCAAAATTACCAACCATTATTCATCCATTAGTCTCTAAGGCTGAAACATCAAAGAATAATTGCCACCCTCAAGGGATCCCCTGGCATCTCCTTGGAGAGGGAATGGAGCCCCGGCCTGGTGATAAGGAGAGGAAAGTCTGGATGCCCTACTGTGGACATACCTTTCCCTCCTTCGTGGAGTTTGTGACTCGGACCTCAGCAGGTGTTTGGAAACCAAGGGGCAAGGCTGCATGCCCTGGATTCCAGTTTACCTGTTAAAGGAGTGACTTCAAGGAAGGTGGATTAATCCTTTGCCTGCAGGAAGGCAGACCCTGTTTGCCCCACACGGTGGCAGAAAGAAACTTTGTGTTATCAAGTGTGAGGCATTTCTCCTGTTTTCTACAGTCTAGATTAAGTGGAAGGGGATTTGGGGGGCAGCACAAAGGGTGATACAGGAGGTAAACTGAAGAAGCACTGACAAGCCTCCCTAATGTGCCCTGAATCAGAGGGGTGTAGGTGAAAGGCAAGGGCAAGAAGAAAGGTCGTGGACAGTTCTGTTTGGGCTCTTTTTCCCATTGTGTGGAGGCAGCTGTCAGCACCATGGACTGGGGCTGGGAGGGGAACCGCAAGGGTATTGCATTAGTCTCACCCTGACACCTTTTATAATAAGAAAAGGTTGGACCAAGGTTTCCATGGGTGCATATCTGGTGGCTCATTAGTGAAACAAATCAACCCTGGGAACATCTTACATGTCCCAAATAGGCCATTATTTAAATTGTGATTTGTTCACTCAATAGCATATCATGCTGTCATTAAAAAATGATAACAAATGTCTGTACGTAGTAATTGGAAAATGTTTCCACGAAATACTGTTCAGATGGCTTGGGTTGCTAAGAAGCACAAGGTCTAATTCTGTGATCAATCTATATCCCTATCTAGATACTTATTTATACATGGGAAACGGCCAAAAAGAGCACAAAACGTGAAATATTCACATGGTTATATGTGTGTTTTGGGAATTTGGGATATTTTTACTTTCTTACATATAAATTTCTGTGTTTTTGGCTGGGTGCAGTGGCTCATGCCTGTAATCCAGCACTTTGGGAGGCCAAGATATGTGGATGGCTTTGAGTCCAGGTCAAGACCAGCATACGCAACATGACAAAACCCAGTCTTTACAAAAAATACAAAAATTAGCCAGGTGTTGGTGGTTTGTGCCTGTAGTCCCAGCTACTTGGGAGGTTGAGGATGGAGAATCACTTGAGCCCGGGAAAGTAGAGGTTGCAGTGAGCTGAGATCGTGCCACTGAGCTCCAGCCTGGGTGACAGTGAGACCCCATCATAAAAAAAAAAAAAAAATCTGTATTTTCTGAACACACACACACACACACACACACACCACAATGAACATACATGAGTTTTATGTATGGAAATAGCAGGTCTTTTGAATGAAAATGTCTTCAAATATTATTAGAAAGCACGGGGTCAACGAGACACTCAGATGGCATTGTATCAGGAAACTGAGCAAGTGAACATTCTGGGACTCCTATTTCTTATAGGCATTATATCTTCCTTCAACTCAAATACTAAAGTTGTTTTCCATAAAGCTCTTTTTCAAGCTGAGTTGTGTTTCCCCTAAGCACATCTGCCATTTTTCAGCATCTGTCCACTCCGGTGTAAGTTTCCACATCAACCTGTTGTGATTTACCTGTGTCTCATTATGCCTGCTTTTACAGTTGACTAATCCAAGAAAGATAGCTCCCCTTTGCCTATGGATTTAGTGGTAAGGGAGGCCAGAAAGAGTGGAATTGTTATAGCCTTTTTGGCCAACATTCTTTTCCCACAGAATGGCAGGGATTTCTGCCTGGGTCCTCCCTCTCTCATTTAAAATGCCAATCCGAGGCCACAGCAGGTGGCTGGAGTTAGCGCCATGCATCTGTCTCACTTCATGAAAAGTCAGCTCAGACTTCAGGAACATTATGTGGAAATCAGTAATATCTGTTTCAGAGAGAGAGTCTGTCTTTCTGTGGCATGAGAAACAGCAGCTTAAACCAGAGGGAAGCTGACTCTGAGGTGAGGAATCTATTAACTAAATTAAGCCCTTTTAGACCATTTTTAATGGTGATAAATTACAGAAGTTGCTAAATGAGATGGAGACCATAACTCATGTTTGGTGGCAAGAAGAATAATTTAATTTAGCTGTACCTTCTCAGAAAAATTTCAGAAAAAAAATCGCAAACTGAAAATAGTGGTTTCTTGAGACAACGTGTCTGAGAATTGGAGAATGCACTGCCTGGAGACAATGGTGAACAGTTAAGCTCCCCTGGAAATCACAGCAGTAAATCATTTAAAGGCAAAGTGCAATTTTCTCCAGTGGGTCTACTTAGCGACTGACAAACTTAAAATTCTATATCCTGGTCTGTGCAAGAAGCTTGAAGGTGTTTATTTGTTAAGGAGGATTGAGCTGGCTTAATTCTGCTTGAATTTATGTAATGTTGAATTTTTAAACTTTTCATCAGTTCGATTTTCCAATACCTCTAGATCAAATGTAAGCCTCATTTGATAGACTAGAGGATCAGAGACACTTAATACTGTCTCAAAACTCACATGGCTGGACCCCATAAGGTGTTTATCAAAGAACTGTCCACAGACAACTGCTGAGGAGTCTAATCATACAAGCCCCCTGTGAGGAAATATCAAACTGTCTGTCTCTATATATTCTCACACTTCGCTTCTGGTCACCAAAATGTGTGGGTTTTGTCCCTATCAACAACCAATTCTCTGACATCAACTGGGTGTCATGCAATTCAATTCAATCCTCACACTGACTGGAGGACAGTGTGTAGGTCTCATAGGATAAGAGCTCGGTCCTACAGGGCCGCCCCCACTCCAGACGCCAATTGCAAGTCTCAGGTGGTCACTTGTGCTTCTGACTGACCAGCTGTACATCAGCGTCCCCACGTCCCCCTCCTCAGGTTCAATAATTTGCTAGTGAGCTCATAGAACTAAGGAAAATGCTTATGCTTATCAGTTTATTGTATAATAAAGGCTATGATAAAAGACATAGCTGAACAGCCAGATGAGCAGGTATGTGCAGCAAGGTCTGGAAGGGTCCTGAGTGCAGAAGCTTTTGTCCCCATCACATTCGGCTGCACCACTCTCCTTGCCCTGGAATGTGTTCACCAACCTGGAAGTTCTCTAAACTCTGTAGTTCAGGGGTATTTATGCAGGCCTTGTCACACAGGCATGATCAATTATTGACTCAATCTCTAGCTCCTCCTTTCTTCCCAAAGGCTGGAGGGTTGGAAATGGGGCTGGAACTTCCAGGCTTCTAATTATGCCTTGTTGCTTCTGGCTACCAGGCTCCATCCAGGAGCTCACCAGGAGTCGTCTCCTTAGAACAAAACATGCTCTAATCACCCAGGAAATTCCAAGAGACTAGGAGCTCTGTCTCAGGAACCGGGTTCAAATACCAAACGTCAGGACAAAATAAGCACCTAGCACACATATCACACAGGAAAGTAAAAGTGTTTCCATAGCTTAGTGCCAGGAACCAGGGAGGAAAACCAGTATTTACATGTCTTACTATACATCACAATAGCATACCCACTAAGTAGTTTTTACGTGCACTGAAGCTTGGGGAAAACTAGACTGGTGAATACCTTCCTTTCTCTACAGCAGAAGTTTTCTTACTTTACCTGCATAGGATCAAACAGTAAAAAATTTAGGCTTTGTGGCCCCTACAGTCTATTGCAACTATTCTCCTCTGCTGTTGTAGTGTGGTGGTAGTGATAAACAATATGCAAATAAATGGGCGTGGCTGTGTGATAATCAGATTTTATTTACATAAACAGAAAGTGGGCCAAATTTAACCTGTGGGCCATAGTTTGCCAATACCTGCTCTATAGGTAGCCTTCAATAAACTTTAGGTTTATATCATCATCATCATCATCATCATCACACCATCATATTTCACTATCACCACCACCATCATCATCATCAAACTCACCATCACCATCACCATTATCATCTTCCCTACCATCGCCATCTCCATCATCACATCATCGTCATCACATCATTAAATCATCATCAGTAACATAACTACCACCATCACCACCATTATCATCACCACCACCAGCAACATTATCTTCACCATTACCATTACCATCATCCCTTCCATCACATCCCTACCATGACCACTACCATCTCCATCATCACGTCACAATCATCACATCATTATATCATCATCAGTAGCATAACTACCACCATCACCATTATCATCACCACCACCGTCATCATTATATCATCATCAGTAGCATAACTACGACCATCACCACCACCATCATCCACCACCATCATCATTACCATCACCATTATCATCATCCCTACCACCATCATTTCTATCATCATGACCATCACCATCTTATCATCACATCATTATGTCATCAGTAGCATAATTATCACCATCACCACCATTATTCTCACCACCACCATCATCATTATCATCACCATCATCATGTCATCAGTAGCATAATTATCACCATCACCACCATTATTCTCACCACCACCATCATCATTATCATCACCATCATCATTATCAGTGTCATCTTGTCATCACCACCATCACCATTATCATTATCACCACCACCATCACCATTATCATTATCACCACCACAATTATTGATCACTGTGTTCAGTGTCAGCCACAGTGGCAACTAGAATCAACATGCTCTTAGAGCTCAGTGCTACACTTCTTGCTTAGGATGCTCATCCAGCTCTTTTGGAATACCGTCACCTTCTTTTGTACAGTATGCAAATTGTTTGGCCTTTATTACTAATCCTACTTAGCCACTCTGAGTAGATGAGACTATCCCCTTCAAGACCATGAGATTTAATCTAGAAAACCTGGATTGGTCTAACACAAAAATCTTAAGAAAATTTTATTCATGTCATGCAACGAATTATCCAAGCCTAGATGTCAAAGCCCTTCAAATTGGGTTGTTTGGACGGGCTTCCCAAGCACAGGCCTCCTGATCTTATTTATAAACTCCAATCCCAGTCCCTATCCCAAGCCAGGAATGAATGAACAAATAAAAGTTTAATGCAACAGTTTACTATTATTTGAAGTAGCACATTTACTACTTCTGCAACTACCCTAGCTCACATATCAGGCATCATATGTGGGTATTTTTATGTAACTTGCCAGCAAGTGGCCAGAGTAAAACATCCCTCGGACCAGATGACACACAATCTGGGCTGGAAGTTTTCAAAAGGTTTCTTCCCAGGCACAACTTTTGAGGGCTAAAAGTTGTTGGCATCTTCAGTTGAAAAACTGAAATCTCTAAACATCTTGAAAGAAGTCAACGAGCATTACATGGACTCTTCGTCATGACGTAAAAATACCTGACATTGTCTAACACAGCACTGAGCATTGAATCCCCCTTCAACATCATCTCTGTTGTAACATAATTACTGCCTTCTCTGACCTTTCTCTTTTATATACTCACCAGGCAAAGTGTTCCACGTCGTAGTACATTTCTATGATTTTTCTGTAGGGTCTGCTTAACTGTTCTCTTGCAAATATCGCTTGCTCATGACAATTTGAGAATCACCACAGAGGTATAGCTTGACCCCTCAGCTCAATATTGCTCCCACTGGTATTGCTCTAACAAAATGCATCTGCTTAATTTTTCGTCTTCTCCAAAGTTTGCTGGAACATCTGTGGAGGGCGCCATGATACTCTAGATTGCCATGGCAACTGGATGAGAGTCGATGATCAAGGCATGATTGAATCTTTGTTCCCATGAGATTTCCCCATTACCGACACATGATTTTGAGAATTAGAGCTAGTCAGACAATTTTAATGAATCAGATCCCTTAAAATTAAATAAGAAATGTAAATAAAATTAGATTATTTGAAAGCCCAGGAGAGAAAAGAAACAGCTGCTTCCTGACCTAACCATGCTGCCCAAAATTTAGTGGAGTATTTTAATGAAAGGCACACTATAGTTCTGTACAGATGACATTATTATTTTGGCATTATGATGTATTATTTTGAAATTATTATTACTTGATGGAAGCTGGCAAGGGTTAAGTAGATCATACAGCCAAGTACTGGCGCAGGGAGCTGGGAATCCTCCTCAATTTCTTCCCCCCACTGCCCAGGCTTCCGCCTTCTTCACCATGTCATAAGGGGATTCCAGACCACAGGAAAGGACTGCACCAGTGAGCTCTAGAGCCTCTTTGAATTTTACCCTTACAGAATTGTGGGATAGCTATGGTATTGTTGAAACAATTGGTGGGTATTTTTCTCTCATATGACTTTGGCTAGGTAAGAAAGGTGACATAATAAAAACAGGAGAGAGGAAACCTTAATAGGTGTAGAACATTCTCTACCATCCTCCTCTGCCATGTCTTAATAGGGTCTATAAAGCATTCATGTCTCATTCAGCTCCATATTAGTTCTTTGAGCCAAGTAAGGTGCACTCTGGAGATGAAAAGACAGGCCCACGGGACACTTCTGGTTGCAGCCACCCCAGGCCTGGTGCAGAGTCTCCTCTGCAGGATTCCATGCTGGGGACCCGCCAGAATCTGGAACAGATGTGGAACTCCAGGGAAGTGGACAAAAGGAAGGCACTGGAGAAAGGCCAGCTTAGATTTGAATCCAGGATTCTGCCACTTGCCATGTGACCTTGAGCAAGTTATCCCCACGTTCTGAGCTTCAGCTGCCCTGACTATAAGGGGGTGGTAGCAGTGATTGTATGGAGAGGGTTAAATGCCACCGTGTGGAAGTGCTCAGGGTAGTGCCTATACAGCGTTAGGGCCCATTAAAATCAGCGGTATCGATATGTTTATTGAGTGAACGAATGATGATTTTTAAAATCATTTTTTGGGAGGTTGAATGGTATGCATTTCCTGCAGCTGCTGTAACAAATGACCACAAACTGGGTGGCTTCAAACAACCAAAATTGATGATCTCGAAGTTCTGGAGGGCAGACATCTGAAATTGAGGTGTGGGCAGGCATCTGAAATTGAGGTGTGGGCAGGGCTATAATTCCTCTAAAGGATTGTGGGGGAGGATGATTTCTGCCTCTTCCATCTTCTGGGGTCTCCAGGCATTTCTGGGCTTGGGGTCTCATCACTCCAATCCCTTCCCCCATCCTCACATCATCTTATCTTCTGTGTGTCTGTCTTATAAGGATGCATGTGATTATCTTTAGGGCCCACCCACACAATTCAGGATAATATTCTCCTCTCAATAGCCTTAACCTACTTACACATTTTGCCATATATGGTAACACTTACAGGATCTGGGGATTACGATGTGGACATATTTTTTTGGGGGGACCATCATTCAACCCACTACAGGTGGTAGTGGAAAACAGAAGAGACCATGAAGCTACAGAAATATGCAGATGGTTGAAAATAATCTAAAACAAAGAGCGGCAGGTCTTTGACCACATAAATGCTGAGTAAGGTTGACTCTAGGCCCCATACTGGTTCTGCAGAGAAGGTTGGGAAGGGCTGGAAAATAAGTAAGCCCTGAAGTCCTAGGCTCAGGGGCCACATTTAGACCGAGCCCATGAAGAACATACAAATAATTTCCTGCCAGAGTCTCCATAGTGCATTACTTTACCCAGCTTCTCATTTTCCTCTTAGGTCCCTCTGTGCCCCAACATTTGAGTGGGCTTAAATTGCACAGTTCTCTTCTGGGGATTGAGTTGGAAAATGAGGAAAATGATAGATCTTCTAAAATTTGGTTGATTTTTGCTTATGGAAGCACATTTCCTACCTGAGGCATACTGGGGTTCCCTAGAGGACTATCAGTTACTTCTTAAGCTAGGAGACATATTTCTGGTTGGCAAGAATGGTCCCACATCATCAGAGGATCCTCCCTGCTGGCTTCCTGGGTGCTCATTAGTTTGGTGTATCAGAAACTCCCCATCCTTTGCAGAAATGAACAGTTCAGCAGAAACCAAACTCATTGAATTCAAATTTAATTAAATTTGGAGCAATGTATTTTAGTCTTTGGTTCTAACTATGGTAATCTTGCTGCATATGATACCACAGAAAATCATGTGGTTAGTTTTCGAGGAGGGAATTTACAGAATGGCATTGGCTGATACAGATGGAATGCAGAGATGCATGTCTAAGTTTCAAAAAATTCTAGTGATCAAGGGTTTTCTAATAAGGCAGCCATCTAAAATGGAAACTACTTTTCAGGCAAACAATCACATCCCAAAAAATGAAGTTAATAAAAATATGTGTGTAAAGAAAAAGAAAACACTACAAAACAGTACAAAGAAGATAAAAGAGTAACAATCCTAGTCAGGGTAGACTGCATTTCATAGTCAACAACACAAACTCTTGGTATGTTTCTTAATCCAATAAAAGTGATTTCTTTCAATGCAGATGTCTGGAAGGTGGCCTCCCAAGTGATGACTCAGGAGTCCAAGATCCTTCCTTCTTAGGATGACACCTCTTATAGGTCAGGGTTTGGAACACTGTGACCTGCCAGCCAAATCTGGCCCTCAGCTCACGTTTTATAAATAAAGTTTTATTGGAACACAGCCATGCTCATTTATGTGTTGTCTGTGGCTGTCTTCATGCTACAACAGCAGAGTTGAGTAGTTGCTATAGAGGTTGAATGGCCTGCAAAGCCTAAAGTGTTTACTGCTCATCCCTTTATAGAAAGCAAAACAAATTAAACACACACACACACACACAAAAACAACAACAACAACAACAACAAAAACCCTCTGACCTCTGCCCTAGGGCCTCGGATTTCTCAGTGGGAAAGAAGGAGAGAGAGCAAGCATCACACTGGAAGCTGTTTTGGGTCAAACTTGGAGGGGTTTGAGATCAATTCTGCCTATTGTCAAAAGGCCAGGCTCAGCAGGAGGTAAGGGAGAAAGAGAAGGAGGGGGAGATGAGAGGCAGAGAGGAGAAGAGAGGAAAGAAGGATAACAAAAAGTTGACTTCAAGTCAGTAATTATTTGCTTAAGACCTCACAGACTAGAGCCTTCAAAGCAAGGAGAGTAATCAATCTTTATGCTCAGTAACAAAGTTGTCTGGCACCAAGATGAAAGGCATCAGGCTTTTCCCTGAAGGAGGTGTCTGTCCCCAGTTCACCTGAAGGGCCCGGGGCTCAGTGTTTCTTAGTGTTAACCTCAAGCAGGACAGGAACCCTATGGAACACAGCTGAGTTCAAGCCTGCAAAACACAGGTGCTGAGGAGCAAGTTCTCAGTCCTCTCTTCTCTGTCACCCTGTTGACCCCAGGTGCTTGCTGGCCTCCCCCCACCCTGACTCCCTGACCCCTGATCTTTTCCTTGCACTCAGGCCCCAGATGCTTTTGAGAGCAGGATCTGGGAGGTAAGCCTATGGGCTTAAGAATCAGGAATATTTGGATTCACATCTGTGCAGGGTCCAGCCCTTACTAGCTGCATGACCTTGGGCCAATACTGCATGACCTTGGGCCAATACTTACCTTGACTGGCTTTCGCTCCTCATTTGCAGGGTGGAGATAGTGAGTATTAATTTAGAAAATGTATGTTAAGGGCATATTGTGTGGCAGATAGTATCTGCTCCATAAGCATTAGCTATTTTTATTATTCTCACCAAACTCCAATGTTGGAAGGGGTCAGAGGAGGTAGGGGATCATTTTAATATTGAGAGGTCCAGGGCCTGTGGCAAGAAGAAAGACCCAGTTATATTGGCTGCCCTTGTAGTTGGCATCTTCCAACATGGCGGTGATCACACTGATGGATACTGTGCAGTGCGTTTGTTCATTCATTCATTTGACATGAATGTACAAAGTGCCTACTATGTACTAAGTTCTGTGTTAGGAATTAGAGATACAATTCTAAAAAGACATCAAAATCTTTGGAAAAACGTAACAATTGTGACAAAGACATGCATGCCATGGGAGTGGTGTGTAGGGCCATGATCCTGGGCTTGGGGGGTGTGTGGGGGGTCTCCGGAAAAGAATGGAGCCTGAGTAGAGTTAATCCCTGTGCCTGGCACCCCTCAGCCCCTTGGGACTTCTTGTTAGTTGAACATGCCACACTAGTTCCCATCTCAGGGCCTTTGCACTTCTGTTTGCTCTGCCTGAATCCACTTTCCCCATGTCTGTGTGTGGCGGCTTCTTATGATCCTTCAGGTCCCAGTTCAAATATCTCTTGCAAAGGCAGGTCCTACCTGGCCACCCAGGACAAATGTCTTCACTTCATCCTTCCTTCTTCTCTGCCTAGCTGTCACTGCAGGTCATGGAGCCTTTTTTGTTCTCTTCACAGCGTTTATTCCTAAGGATGACCATCGTGTCACTAATTTGTTTCTGCTCTGTCTCCCTCCCGACTATAGAAAGCAAACTCCATGAGAGTAGAGCCCTGAGTGGCTTTTTCGCTCAGAGGTGGATCCTCAGAGCCCAGGGTTGGCTCCACATGGAGCAAGAACTCAGCAGACCTTTGTTGCCTTGGCCAGGCAGAGGGTGTGAGGCCAGCAGAAGGATGGACACCTGAGTTATAGGGCAGAGTCTGAACCAACGAAGGGGGTCATAGAGCCATTTGGCATGTGGGGCACGAGTGAAGGACACAATAGTCAAGTCTCTGTTCTTGGTCCGAGGGGAGGGGAGTCGTGGCTGCACAGTGCTGGCCAGGAACTCTGCATGTTCTTCTCCAAAACGAAGCAGTATGCGTTTTCCTGAGTTCCCTCCTCAGGTGCCCCGAGCTGTTTAAAGTAGAAATGTTCTCATTCCCTGTCAGAGCTGCATAAAGAGTGAATTATCGGGCAATTTCAGAGAGGACATTTAGGAAGAAGACATCAAATTTAAGAGGTTGCAATGAATGTTCAGAGGTCAAAAGAATTGGGGAAATGACTCCATGATTTTCCTTTTATAAAGGCAACACAAATAATGAAATAACAAATGTGTGAAGCCCAGGCTTTTCTTCTCCTCTGTGTATTTTATGCAGCATAAAAATGTGTCTTTGGAGCTTTCTTTGAGTGATTTAAAAACCAGATGGAAGCCAGCAAACAGACTGCATCTGTCCATGTAAAGCTGTCATTTATCTCCGGGGTAAGTGAGTAGAAATGGCGGCCATGTGCTTCTTCCCGAATGCGGAATGCAGAGCATTTGGCTTCTAGCTAAGGCACAAATAATTCCTACGCATGATGAATCCCTCCAACAACAAGGCCCTGCAAAGGCAGGATCAAATCATAGTCATCAGTTCCTGGCACTCTTTTCAAACGGATGCCTCAGAGTCTTCGCAGCGAGCACCCAGACATGAGTTGAGGGAGCTACTTGCCATTTAGTCTGCCATTTATTATTCTTTTTTTTTGCTGTTCTTTTGGAAGCATGATAGATTAAGCCCAAACTCCAAATGTGATCTTTGAGAAAGGCAGAAAACTGTCAACTGAGCAGAATTCATCACCCAGAAGTGTGCAACGGATGGGGACTACCCCCACCTGCAAAGCACTTGGGCTTTAGTAGCTAAATTCAAGAAAAGATGCAACAAATTCATATCAAATGTTTACCCCGACCCATTCATCCTTATGTGTGCAAAACTGGATTGGTTATAATCCTCAATTTGCAGCACAATGCTGCCGTCATGCACATAGTTTTTATTTATTTAAATTTTATTTATCTCCCACCCTCAGTTTCAGCCTTCTTCCAAAGAGGTTCCCTGTCTTATATACCAGAAAAGCATATTTTGTCATGTACTTCATTCTGCTTCTCCTGTTTTCACTCAAGGTATCTTTCAGGTACATTGTGTTGATTTATACTTCCTACTCTTTAACAGATAGACGGTCTTTGAATAATTCTTTGACTATTTCACACACTTTATCCTCTCCCTTTTTTTTTTTTTTTTTTTTTTTGAGATGGAGTCTCGGTCTGTCGCCCAGGCTGCAGTGCAGTGGCGCGATCTCGGCTCACTGCAAGCTCTGCCTCCCAGGTTCAGGCCATTCTCCTGCCTCAGCCTCCCGAGTAGCTGGGACTACAGGCGCCCACCACCACGCTCGGCTAATTTTTTGTATCTTTAGTAGAGAGGGAGTTTCACCATGTTAGCCAGGATGGTCTCGATCTCCTGACCTCGTGATCCACCCACCTTAGCCTCCCAAAGTGCTGGGATTACAGGCGTGAGCCACCGCACTCGGCCTATGCCCTCCTTTCCTAATGCTCACTTAGGTTATCTCTAACTCTATTATCAAACTAATACTGTGACCAACATCCTTTCATCTATTAACTGGTGTTTTTGTCTGTGAAAGCTTCTTTTTTTGTGAAAGAGCAAATGTGGGACTGAGGTTCTCCGAGTCACCAGATACTCCCCAGCTTTTCTCCACGGCAGTTTTCACTTCCACCAGCAGCTGACAGGGCTCCTCCACAACCCTTATCATCCTATAACTTTCAGACCTCTTCCTATTGGGTAGACAGTCATATCTCATGGTATTTCAATGTTCATTTTCTTGATGTGACTCTGTGCAACTCTTCAATCCCTATTAACCAGGATTTTTCCTTCTTTAGAGTGTCTATTCCTAACTTTTATCCATTTCCTTATTAACCGCCTTTCCTTTTTCTTGCCTGTTTGCTGGAGTTTTCTCTGTATTCTGGATATTAATACTTCTGTCAGTTATTTACATTGTACATTTCAAGGTTGGTATTTATAGATACTCCTTGACCCCATCGTAACGGGGTTATGTCTGCATCAATCCATTGCAAATGGAAAATTTGTAAATCAAACCATAGTAAGTCGAGGATCACCTATATTCATCCAAAGATAAAAATCACTTACAGGCAGCACCTGAAGTCCTGGTA
The DNA here is from genome assembly GCF_000001405.40 of Homo sapiens. Lineage (NCBI taxonomy): Eukaryota > Metazoa > Chordata > Mammalia > Primates > Hominidae > Homo > Homo sapiens. Next base: position 60,887,264 of record NC_000020.11, on the reverse strand, counting down.
GTTTTATCTTTCATTTTCTGAGTGTGCAGTACAGAATAAACACTCCACACATCCTTCCTTCAGCAGCAAACCCAGTGAAATGCAAATAAATGGAGACGCAGAGTAGATTCGTGGTGAAAGCAGGGCTTGGAAGTCCAATGGCCCTTTCTGTTTTGTGATCAATTCTAGCTCAGCCACTGCCTGGTAGTGTGACTTGGGGCAGGGTGCCCACCTCTGGAGGACCTAGTTTTGCACACCTGTCTCACAAGGTGGAAGTGGGTGGTGGGTGGGTCAATAAAGGGCTGATATGGCATAGAGGCGAGGCTCTAAACAGGAAGCAAGGACTTTCCCCTTTACCTGGAGCAGCTGGTAGAAGAGAATGGATATTTGAAATAAAAACCGTGGAGCCTGCAATAATTTAAATAGGCAGAGCAAAGGAGCTACTCCCTAATCAATCTTTTATCGTTTTTTTTTTTGTCTTTCCCTGAGAGATATGGAAGTAAATTTGGCCATTAAACAAAACTCAACACTTAATGGCACTTTAATCAGTTAAAGACAGTGTGTGACTTATGATCCCATTTTGTCTATATACAAAATATATGCGGTGGGTGAAGTTACTCTTGTCTGTATCCGTGGATGTGTCTGTATCTGTATATTAGCTCTTCTTCTATGTATATTGAATGAATACCTGCCTGAATAATAGTGCTTATTTTTAAGTCTTGAAATTATAATTCAATTTAATTTTTCCTTTTGCATAACATTTGTTTCTACTTTCTCCAGAGTTAATATATAATAATATATAATTATAGGCACAATAATAAAAAATACAATGTGTTAAAATAATATTTATGGAGCATAACAACTTAGAAAATGTTTGCAATGTGTTAATAGAAGTAACCAGTTGCAAAGCTGTCTATCCACTCTGATTACAATTGTTGTAAAAACAAACTTAAAAAAATCTGTAAACAGAAAATAGATCAGAAGGGAAATGCCCAAATGCTAGTAAAACTTATGGCTGTACAAGGCTAGCTGTGAGTTTCTCTTTTCACTGTTTTTCTTCCTCTTTTATTCTTTTTTCTCATCTCCTTCATTCTTGCCTTCTTCCTTTTTTCTCCTTCTGAAATATGTTTATTAACCTTATATTGACTTTATATTGTTTAAAACACCATTCAAGTCTGGAAAACCTTCAATAATATATAGAACATTTTTTAACGGAAATCCTCCTTTAACCAGAAAATTCTACATTCCATCCCTCCAAAACCCAGGTTAATCAAGGATGTAAAAGGAATTTTGTGAAATTTTTGCAAAGCAGGAAGCCATGTGAATGTTCCCTGCATAGAGTCCCATTTGGGAAGCTGCTTATGGCTGTTCCAGGGTATGTCACAGGTATACACCATTACACCATATGTACACACACGTGGGCCATTGCACACCCACCTCCCCACCACCCCCCACACACGATTCCTCTAGTTTGAGCCATTTAGGCACCAAGTTGTCACCAGTGGAGAATTGCCCAGGTAAGTGGACCCAGGGTTATTCTGTTGGCTTGGTCAGCACTGTCCTCAGGTAGAAAGGCTGCCATCTCCCTGTACGTGTCCACTTTATTCCCTGATCCTTGTTGTGGCTTCACCCTTTATCCCTGCTTGGACCATGCTGCTCATCCCCTGGGCCAGAGCATTTGCTCTGTCCCCTGGATAGAACATTTAGGGTCAAGGGAAGGTGGAGAGAACACATAGTCCCACTTGACCAGAGGGGAGGGCCTGGCCATCACCAGCCTGACAACTCCAGGGTAGCTGCTGCCTCTAACATCACAAAGCTGGTGTCACTGCTTAAACCTAAAGCTGACTCCCCTGGCCTGGGTGGAAAGGTTATGCAGGGAAAAGGACCCAGCCTGAGTTTATCACAAAAGCCACCTTTGAAGGAGCCTTGGAGCTGAACTTTCTTCCCTCTGTCTACCAGCGCTTTCTGGTCCTCCTGTGTTTAATCAACAGTGTGCTTTGCTAGACAGTGGTCTAAGACCCCAACTTCCTTCTGAAAGATTCTTATCACCAGGTGAGTGCTCTCCAAGTCCAGACCCTTCCTTAATCATTTGGAAAAGTGTCTTTTCGGTATGAGCCATTGTTTCACCCCTTACAATTTCATCAGGATGTTTTAATTATTTTTTCTTATCACTAGTCAGTCTATAGTCTTATTATGAGATGCATTAGACATTTGAGTGAGGCATTAGTGCCAGGCAGCCTAGATTTAATCCCCATTCTCCCAGTCATTGGTAAACCTGGCAAACTAAAAATGCGCTGTGCCTCAGTTTCCTCAACTCTAACATGAGAACAAAGATAAGTCACTGTGGGGACCAAACAAGTTGTTCATTAAAAGTGCTTAGAACAGTGCTCAATACATAGCATGTGCTCAATAAATGTTAACTGCACATCATTATCAATACCAACACCATCATCTTCATTACTGTAATTACTATCAACATCTTATCGTTATCATCAAGAAAATAACCATTATCATCGTCATCATTGATATCATCACCATTATCATTATCATCATTACTATCATCATCATTATCACCATGTTATCAACATTACAACCTCATCATCACCACAATTATTATTTTCACCATTACCATCATCACCATCATCATCACACACCATCATAAACCTCACTATCATCATCAGCATCACTATCATCACCCTCATCACCAAGATCATTACCATTACCATCATCACTACCACCATCATTATCACCATAATCTCCATCAACATCATCATCACCATATTACCATCATCATTACTGTCATCATCACCATCGCTATCATCATTATCACCACCATTGTCACCATCATCATCACTATATCATCAACATTACATCATTATCATCATCAGAATCATTATCATCACCATCACCATTACCATAATTGTCACCATCGTCATCATCATCACCATCATTACCATCATGCTGATGACAGTGCGGTTAAGAGTTTGGACTCTGGACTCTGGACTCTGAAAGATTCTAGTTTACATCTCAGGCTCACTGCCTACTAGTTGTGTGACCTTAGCCAAGTCATCTAATCTCTCCACCCCTCAATTTCTCCACTAAAATAGCATGCAGTGCCTTCTTGGTGCGGGTGGTTATAATGATTAAACTAAATTATGGGCCTAATTTGCTTAACACGGTATCAGATACATGGTAAGTGCTCAATAAATGTGTGCACATATATATCATATAACATATATGTCATATCTCCTTAACATACACATATACATATGTATCTACATGTATATACATTCACACATGTGTGTATGTATGTACACATGTATGTCTGTGTGTATACTATGTTCTAATCAGTTTTTCTTGTCAAACTTTAAGAATAAAATTAAGTCTTCTTATTATAAGCCTCTTTTGTTATTACTTTCGAGACATCTGAAAATCTGTGGCTCCCTTTTCCTTCCTTGTGGGTTCCCCCAGTGCTTGCTCAGGTGCTAGGCAGGGAAAGCTGGTGCTGAGCTATTTGTCGGTGGATGTTGGCTTTGTGGCTCTGAGGATCAGCCTCCAGCAGAAGTGACATGACCACATTAGCAGGTGCAGGTTCAGGGCTCACAGCACAGTATCTCACTCTCAGTCACCACAAGCCTCCCTGTGCTTTCACAGCACTTATTCCTGCTCCTGGCATCAGAGCAGTTGCCTGGCGCCCTGCTACCCTGTCATGGGATATTTACATTTGTCTTCTCATTTTTTCTTCTAAGAATTCTGGGAATATTCTCGAAAGCACAAAATACCACAACTGTTTTGAAAGCTAGTTGTTTTGTTTTGTTTTGCTTTTGCTGTGTGTCCTATACAAGTCACTTAACCTGTGTGGGCCAGAGTTTCCTCTGGAGACCCTGGGTGTGTGGGTTGCATTGCCACCAGGGATCGTCACACATTAAAGGCATGCATATTTATTGAGAATCTATTGTCTGCTGGCCACTGTGCTCCCTGTTAAGGACGGGTGGATAAAGATAACTCTTATCCAGAAGAAACTCACATTTTAATGGGAGACATCACATCAATAGACATTTATATAGAGACCTGGTAAGTACAGAGGCAGATGAAAAATAACAAGTGTGGAGATAAAATAAAAAAACTTGATAGGCGTGGTGAGTATAAATAGGTCAGTGTTGCTGAACCATAAATTGTGACTCATTAATTCCTGCATTGAACGAGTATCCGCCTGAACGCTGGTTATGTGCTGAGGACTCGGAGAGGAGAGAAATGGAGCTGGAGGTCCTTCCATGCTTCCTCGGGTCACTGCCTCAAGCCTGGTCATGAGAAATAGCTGGGGGCAGGGTTGAAAAAAATCAAAATTCTAGGGACCCTCCCTGGAGATTCAGATTAGTAGGTCTGTTGAGACCAAAGCATCTGAACTGTTAATGAGCACCCCAGGGGATTTTCTTACTGAGCAAGTTTAGAAGTATTTTCAGCCAGCAGTGACAGGGCTGATTAGTTTTTAGCCAGTGTGAGGAATGGGTCTTGGGGTGGACAGGAGGCAAGGAGGTCCCGAGAGTCTGGCGGGTATTCCCGCTGGCAGGGGATGCGGGAGCTAGGATGATCTGAACAAGGGGCAGATGCTGGATTCAGTGGGAAGTGGTGGTGGCTGAGGGGGTGTGGGAAGCAGGTTTTCACTTCTCTGGGAGGGGTGGATTTTCCTAATGCCAAAGGCTGAGACAGAGGATTCTGGATGGGGAACAGATTAAACAGGACCCCAGTGAGCCCATCTGTGGACATTTTTATCTAGTTGAGTTTGGAAATCTATCCAAGTCAGCAATATCCCCCACTCTGTTCTGTGGGCCACCCTCTAGTTATTTTAAACACAACAAAATTATAATTTCAGAACATCAAGAATTCAAAATCCATAAACACTTCACACTCTTTTTGAATCCCTTCTAGATGAACATCTGATAATATTTAAATTCTACCCGCAGGGCCTCAGCCTGAAGGTGGGAACTTCAATTGTGTGAGTGTTCTCGGCCCTAAGTACGTGATGCTCATCCACACTGCGGAGTTCCCAGCAGAGGCCAAGGCCCTCAATCCTCAGCTAAGTACAATTCCAGCGCTGCAGCAATCCTGTAATTTCCCCCAAAGCAAGGGGGACACTGAAAATACAGTTTCGTCACGACTTCCCCAGCACAGTCTTCTATGAAAACAGTGGTTCTCAGCTCTGACCATGCATTCATCACCTGAGAAACTTATGCTCGTCGATGCCCAGACTCTGCCTGCAGAGATGCTAGTGAATTGCTCTGGAATGGGTCTTTGGCATGGGTACTAAAAGATTTGCTTGGTGTAAATATGTGCATGCAGATGAGGACTACCACAGTCCACCTTATCCTGCCAATGTCTTCCCCTAGGCAAATCCTACCAAAGAGATTTGCCTTAAAAAAAAAAACACGCTCAAAGACCTAGAACCAGAAATACCATTTGACCCAGCTATCCTATTACTGGCTATATACCCAAAGGAATGTAAATCATTCTATTACAAAGATACATACACACTTATGTTCATTACAGCACTATTCACAATCAATAGCAAAGACATGCAATCAACTCAAATGCCCATCAATGACATCAATGACAGATTGGATAAAGAAAATGTGATACATATATACCGCAGAATACTATGCAGCCATAAAAAAGAATGAGATCCTGTCCTTTGCAGGAACACAATGGAGCTGGAAGCCATTATCCTCAGCAAACTGACGCAGGAACAGAAAACCAAACATTGCATGTTCTCACTAATAAATAGGAGCTGAACAATGAGAGCACATGGACACAGGTTGGGGAACAACACACATTGGGGCCTGTCCGAGGGTGGGCAGGGAGGAAGAGTTTTAGGAAAAATAGCTAATGCATGCTGGGCTTAATACCTAGGTGATGGGTTGAGAAGTGCAGCAAACCACTATTGCACACGTTTATCTATGTAACAAACCTGTGCATCCTGCACATGTACACTGGAACTTAAAATTAAAATTAAAATATTAAAAAAAATACAACCTGTACGTCAAACTAGCAAGATTCCCTAACAAAGACTGAAATACATTCTGCTTTTTCCTCTATGCAAATATGGCTTCACTTACAAAGGGAGAAGTGACTTTTGGCATACCTCGTTTGGAAGCAAAATGTGTAGAAGCATTTTGCATATGTATTACTATTAGGAGGCGGGGAAAAAAATCTCTCTGTGGTTAACACCCTTAGGACTAGGGCAGTTTTCTTGAGACTTTCCTATAATCCATTTTCTTTGGGACACCTAAGTAGAGAAATCTAGCAGTCTAGTGGAAATATGGCTTGTGGCTCAGCGTGATCCTTTGTACTTCATTTGTAGTTTCTATTCAATAGAAATGAAATTGGTTCGCCCTTTGCCCTTCTGTGTTTATATTTTTGTTTGATATAGAAAAGGATTTTCTAATGCTCAAACTGTTTAATAATGGTGAAAACTGCCTTGAGAGGGCCTGAGGGTATCGTCCTAGCTGAGGATATCATGCCAGGACGTGCAGGTACACAGTCATCCACTTACTACATTCTTACTGGGCACCCATCTGAAGTGGGTCAGATGTGGTCCTCCCAGCCCCGAGACAGTGGGTTTGAACTTTGTGGGTCCTCAACATTAGCCTTTGTTAGTGAAACCACTTTCCCCAAAGCGGCGATGGTGCCTGATTTTGATTTTTATTTTAAAGTTAAATGAACTGTATTTCATTTTTAAAATAAAAAAAGTAAAGCTTTCATTTTAGGTTCAGGAGTACATGTGCAGGTTTGTTATATAGGTAAACTCATGTCACAAGAGGTTTGTTGTACAGATTATATTGTCATCCATGTACTAAACCTAGTACCCAATAATTATTTTTCCTGATTGTCTCCCTTCTCCCACCCTCCGCCCTCAAGTAGGCCCCAGTGTCTGTTTTTCCCCTTTGTGTCCATGAGTTGTCATCATTTAGCTCCCACTTACAAGTGAGAACATGAGGTATTTGGTTTTCTGTTCCTGAATTGCTTTACTCAGGATAATGGCCCCCAGCTCCATCCATGTTCCTGCAAAGGACAAGATCTTATTCTTTTTTATGGTGACTGGTTTTTATAGCATCACAAACACCCCTCTGTCTTTTATGATGAGTTGGGTTCCCTGGAACCTCATTTCTCTATGTTAGAATCCCACTCCCTCAAACCCATACAGCTCTGGGAAGCCATACCATGGCATGGGAATGTGTTCTCCCATGGAGAAATGGATGTGGGGGTCCTCAAGACCCCTATCACTGTCTTCTCTCCAGTTTAGTCCCCAGCAAATGAGGGTGCAGCCTTGCTTCTAACCTGTGTGCACGAAGGAAGGCTTGTCCTCTACATGGTCATCTGAGCTGGTGGAGCCGGAGGCTGCTGAATCCAGGATTTGTGGGTTAACCTGTGGATTAATCTACACTAGATTATTGTCACAGGATGAATTTGCTGGAACCCTACAAAACTTTGAAGTTACAAAGATACATGTAGGAAATACTGTCTACGGATGGAAAGAATCAACCCAAATTATTCCCTGTGGTTAAAGACACCCCAGACTGGGTCAGTTGTGTGGCAGGGTTGAGGCAGTATTTTATATTATTCCTCTGTAGGGTGGTGCTTTCTCTCATAACCTGTTCATTTCTTGAGATATGTTCCAGTTGATTGGAAAAGACACTATGTGACAATCATTTGGTGATAAACCACGAAACATCTTGGCTGATTCTTTGTCAGTCTGGAGAACACCGTAAGCCCAGTGGGAGTGTTCTGATTTGGTAACAATTGCCTCCAAGATCTTAAAGGAAACTTCCAGCCCTGTCTCTTTAGATTGTCATCAACATTAGAAAGACATGGTGTTGGTGTTTGTGAGTCGAGCCTGAAAACACTTCTCCAGTTCCAAATACCTGTCACCTTGTCTCCTTTCCCATTCGTCAGTTTAATATTTCTTCTCCTTTTATTATGCTTTGCGCATTTGCTTTTTAAACCGGGAATCCAGATGAAAGAAAGAAAGAAGACTTGGTCAGATCACCCCAGTTCTGGTTGCAGAACTGGAGCGATGGTGGCAACCTGGCCCTGCACCCACATGTGTTCCTTGGGAAATCTGCAGTTGCCCTCACTAATCCAATTTAAAATGACTCCCTTGAACACCCAAGCTCTGAAAGCATTCACTGCCACTGAAATAAGAAATTACAATTTTAAGATCATAAATGTTTATTGATACCATTTGAATCCAAGCCAATCAAGCGGTTCTTTGGGGACATCCCTCAGTGCCTCCTTCACTTCAGGTAAGATGTTGTCTTTCCTTAGGGCTATCCGCCAACCCCTATCTCCAGGTAGATTGCTCTCCAATGGATGGCTTGCCGTGTTGGGAACTTGCACTTTGAGGCTAAAATAGCGTGGAAGCATCATTTACCTTAATGGCTGCAGGACCCATCGCTGCTGTGTGAACTGCCAAAAAAGATCATACTCTGTTTCCCTGTGTCCACAAAGTCAGTTCTGAAAGGTAGAACCCTCTCTAACACAGGCAGAAGGCCAGGCAGGGCATGGAGTGTTAGCTTTTCATCTCAGGCTCTGAGCTTGTGCTGTGAGGTTCAGATTTAACTCAGATTCTCACATGTTGGGGAATCAATCATTTGAAAAGAGCATTTGTCAGCATCAGTGTAACTCCTAGAAAAAGGAGATTCAGCATCTCCAACTACTTGGCAGCAAGTTCCCTCCGAGGTGAAGCGCTCACACCTATTTCCCGGGGAGACTCGGTCTAAAAGAAGAATCACTTTGATTTTTATCTCTAACATGTTGTGTCAATTTCCCAGGGGGAATTCTGCACTTCTCTTTAGCCCTTGAATTTTCAAATACCTAAGACCAAGAGCTTGTGAAAATATGCCGGTCTCTATGTGTGGCATAGAGACGAATTTTACTCACAGTCAAAAAAACTTTATAAAACGTGAGTGTGCAAAAAAAAAAAAGTGTAGCTTTATTCCATTTCCCATAACTTGACTTGTGTCTATCAAAAGCCCACATTTTCCTTAATAACAGAAAATTAGTGAAGTCATTTGTAAGTGGGTTCTATCCAATCCTGTGATGTCTTTGTTAATTCAAGTTTAAAATGTAGTCACGTTCAAGGTTATTGCCTTCCTCCTTAGGTTTTTCTCTCTTCTTCGCCTCTATGGTTAATTCCTTTCCCCTGGGGACTATTGGTGACTGCAGTGGATTCCATGTGGTTTCCTGGGCTTGTTCTGTGTTTGCCCCATGCAGCCTCCCATGCCAAGTGGAGCCCATCCCATGATGAGTCTCCGTTTCTTCTGGACTCTGTCCTTTTTGCCAAGGCGGCTGTCAGCGGGACCACCCGTTTACTGCACATCCTCCTCATGTAACCCACCAGACAATGCCTGCCCTTCTGGCCTCCCTAGACTCCCTGCGGCTCTCTCAAGCAGAGGGAAGTTTGGGCTCTTCCCTGGAGCCTTTCTGAGTCCTAGCAAGAATAAGAGCTGCGTTAGTTCATTTGGTGCAGTAACAAATAGTCCCCAGACAATGGCCATGCTACCTGTCTGTCAAGTGACACGCTGGGGGCTGTGGTGTGGGTGTGGCTGTCATCTATGTGTTTCCTCATTCTGAGACCTGGCTGATGTCACAGCTCCTAATGAGATAGGCCATGTCGCAGGCTCTGAGCTGTTCAGTGCAGGGGGCAGAAAGGTGATGAGGGCTTTGTTGCTGACATCCAGTTGTATTTCCACCTAGAGAGATGACTTAACAATCCAAACATGTACACACTTACACACTGGAGTGCAACCAGGAATGTGATGCAGGTGGCTACCGTATATGCCAAGTGCTACCCAAACGCAGAGGGAAAACAGTGGATTGCAAGGGATTAGAATGGTGGTTGGGGTCAGCCTGTCACAGTTGGTGGATTGTGGGTTAAGGCAGCACACCGTCTGGCTTCACCGGCATGCATGGCCCACGAGGCAGGATAAAGCCATGGAGAGCTCACAACAGTCCCAAGCACCATCCCGAGGGAAGGCATGTGACAGGCTGGGGAGACTGGAGGGAGCTGCTTGGCACACTACAGCAAGAGGGATTATGTCTCTATGTCTGGGCTCAGCACAAAATAGTACCAGGATGGATTAGCGACGTCTGCCTCAGATGTGAGAAGGGAAGATGCATATCCTGTAATCGCCGTCCTTATGCTGTGCTAAGCCAATAATATCGTAATAGAATCAGGTTGGAGAGGAGGCTGAAAGGAGTTGGTATAAATAGATTGAAATGTGGAGGTGGGGGAGAGGACAGGAAAGGGGTTTGTCAGGAGGTTGAAGTCATCTCCCGTCTTGAGCTTCAAAGTGTGACCTGACAAGCAGCAGTGGCAGCAGCGGGGATGCTGGTTCAGATGTAGATGCTTGTGCTCACCCCAGGCTCACAGAAGCAGAGTCTGCATGTTCATAGAGTCCTCAGGTGGCTCTTATGGTCTTTAGAGTCCAGGAGGCACGAGACCCTTCTGCATCCATACTATTCTCAACAAAGTCTAGGCTAGCAGCAGTACCACCCTCCTCCCGGGAGCTTGTTAGAAATAAACATTCTCGGGCTCCACTTCAGATATGCCAAAACAGAGTTGTTTTTAGCTTGAGGCCCAGGAACCAGTTTTCCAATGAGATTTTCAGGTGGTTCTTTTGCAGGTGACAGCATGGGCCTACCCAGAGAATGCCTGGGCTAGAGGTGGCTTCTGCAGAGTGGAAATGGAGATATTTGCAAGAGCTGTGGACGACAGTGACAAGGCCTCTGAACTCGGGTCAGGCAGCATGAACATGCCATGAAGGCAGCTGGCTCTGCTACATCACTATCTTCAGCAACGTCAGACCACGTGGGACCAGGATTGGAGGATGATGGTGGAGGGGGCTCCCTAGGCCTGAGGATGGGTGGCTACTGTGAGAGAATAGAGCCGTGAGGGCATCCTGGCATGGATGGAGTGTGTAGCTGACTGCAGGGCCCTGGCTGAAAGGGAGATGGGTGGGCTGTGAGCTGAGCCTGGAGGGAGAGTCTACAATCAGTGCGGATGCAGGACAGGAGAGGGTGATTTTTTGACCGGCAAATCCAAAGCACTGGTCTATGAAGGTGTCGTTTTGTCCCTTGCAGGAAGAGGATCAGCGAGAAGGTCCAGGCCAGGCTCTTGGCCCCACCATTCTACTTAATTTCATTGTTTAAATAGTTAAACTAGCTTTTTACAGATGTGTCTGAGATTTGGAGACTCATTTTCAAAAACAGTGAACAATGTTTGTGTGATGATCGGAGAGAGCTCTCTCAATTTTAGAAGTGATTGTGGGCCAGGCGCGGTGGCTCACGCCTGTAATCCCAGCACTTTGGGAGGCTGAGGCAGGCGGATCACGAGGTCAGGAGATGGAGACCATCCTGGCTAACATGGTGCAACCCCATCTCTACTAAAAAATACAAAAAAATTAGGCAGGTGTGGTGGCAGGTGCCTGTAGTCCCAGCTACTCAGGAGGCTGAGGCAGGAGAATGACGTGAAACCGGGAGGCAGAGCTTGCAGTAAGCTGAAATCACGCCACTGCACTCCAGCCTGGGTGACAGAGCGAGACTCTATCTCAAAAAAAAGAAAGAAAGAAAGAAAGAAAGAAAGAAAGAAAGAAAGAAAGAAAGAAAGAAAGAAAGAAAAGAAAAGTGATTGTGAATATGAGAAGCGGCCACACCTTGTGCACAGATCCTGCTTCTAAAGATTAGCCAGGGCAGGTATGAACAGATCTCTGAGCTTCCCGGGAGGCTTGCTGGAGTGACGTCATTCCAACATCCCTTGCAGAGATGTCTCAGCAAGTGGAGCCGAGGCCACTGTGCTCGTTCGCGTCTGGGTTTCCACCCTTGAAGCCCCTTGCACCTCATGTCTGACTGCTGCTGCAGGTTGGAACTAGAGCAGCTGGACATGAATTGCACATCAGAATTCCTATTGTCAAAGCAGTGTTTTAAGTGAATATTTTAATGAAATTATGCAAATAATACTGGTTGATTGGAATTTGTGTTGAATCAGCAATATGTTTAGCAATATTTCATTTGTGGGACTTGTAGAAATCGATGGTTTGCTAAAATTTTTTGAATGAGTATCTTGAAGAGTTAGAGATTCCTCACTCCTTTTCATAGTCTTGGAACTAAATTTTTATGGAATCTTCGAGGGCTCTGGGATATTGAAAAATTCCATTTTAACAATTCGAATACGAATTGTCTAACAACAAAAAAGATGGTTTTTATTTAATGCTTATGAAACTATAGCAATGTATTCTTATAAAGAAAAGAAAAATTTGTTAAAGAACAAGAGTGGGAAACTATTTTTATTATTGTCTGCCTTAGTCCACAACGATCTACGCAATAATTTGAACTAGAAATTGGACAAATTTGCTTTGGTATAAAAACAATGAAATACCCAAAATATTATGGGAAATGAGCACAAAAGAAGCTCTGGAAGTCACAGTAAGTGTCATAAAATATATATAAAAAGAGACAGACATTTAGCGACATTAGGAGTGAAATTTACTGCAGGTACCTAGAGAGCAGAGAGCCTGTCATGTGAATTTATTTCCACAGCAACTAGCACAATTTCTGGCTCTCGAAGTTATTGAATAGATATCTGTTTAATGAATAAATGGCTGGCTGGCTGGATGAAGCACACAGAGGTGTGCTCAGCCCCCTCCCCAAACATTGTGGAGGCTCTGCGTGCAATGGGGGTCACCCAGGAGCAAAGAGCTTGGAAGAATCGCATCAATGTGCCAGCGTCAAAGACAGAGGCAGGTCTTCGCCATGCTGCCCTCTGCTTCCGGGATAGAACAGCAGGTCTGGGAAGCGGCTCAGGTGTGGAGTCGGCCCTAAGTAGATTTGTAAGGATGAAGTCTTGCCACAGTTATTGAATACTGGGCTTGCCCATGCAAATATCTTTCTTTCGCCTCTTCCATCACCATCCTGCCTCCTCCCTTTCAGCTGCAGGGACCAAGTCTGTGTTCTATCCTTGCCAGTTCCTGCCAGAAGAATGCCTGTTAGGACAATCATGATGGCCTCCAGTGCCCCTTCCGCCCACCCTGTTCCCTGAGATGGCTTCACAAGGACAGGAATCCAACTCCTGTGTTTTGGAATCCAGGAAACGCAGTTCCTTCACAATACAGAGGTTGCTAGCGCAGCATCTTAGGCACAGCTCCTAAGAGGAATGTGGGAAAAACTACAGCTCCATGCACGTGGGAACTTCTTGCCACTCTTCTCCAAGCCTAGCTTAGCTCCATGATTACATGATAAGCAGGAGCGAGGTTTTAGTCCAAGAATGTAAATGGGAGATTCGAGTCTACAAATGCAGACCTCACAGCTTGTTCAGTCTATGCCATCCAAGGTCTCACAGGCCCTGGCTGTGGATGCATTTCAGCAGAAAGCTAATAGGAAGCTGAAAGTCCTTGTTTGGGCCAGGGTCTCCCAACGTCTTGGCCCAAAGGTCATGATTCAGAACACAATAATTTTCCTTAACACCCTGCACCAGGAGGTCAATTAAGTCCAAGATGATATACATGCTAATAATAACTAAGCAGAAGGTAAAGAATGCCATCTTCAATTGCCTCAATATCACATCCACACACACAACTGTGGAATACCCTGTGGTAGGCCGAGTAGACCCTAAAGATGTCCATGTCCTAATTCCTCAAGCTGTGAACATGCTTCCTTTCATGGCAAAAGGGGCTTTGCAGATGGGATTAAGTGAAGGACTTCGAGATGGGGGATGACCCTGGATTATCCAGTTGGGCCCCACATAATAACCAGGATCCTTGTAAACAGTAGAGGGAGGCGGAAGAGGTGGTTAGGGTGACGCCATGTGAGAAGGACCCAGCCAAGCTCTTCTGGTTTTGAAGACAAAGGCACGGGCACTGGGCAGAGGAATGCCCACAGCCTGCGGGAGCTGGGAAGGCAGGGGATAGGCTCTCCAGGAGGAACCCAGGCCTGCAACAACTCCGTGTTAGCCCAGGGAGATCCGTTTCAGGCTTCTCAACTCCAGAACACTAAGATACTGAATTTGTGTCATGCAAGCCACTGAATTTATGGTCATTTGTTGCAGGAACAACAAGAAACTAAAATCCTTGATGCAGAACCAACAGAGGGCCTCAAAATAGGGTCCACTGGGGGGCATTTACACAGGGCCCATGGAAGGCAGTGCCATGGGGGCCACAAGAGAAGAGTGAGACCACCTCAAGGACATTTGAGATACCCACTAAGGGCACACCCATGACACTTCAGCACCTGGCTTTGTCAGTCTCTCAACGGCATCTAACTGGCCTTCTTAACCAACAGCGGCACACACCGGAGTCCCTCTCTGGGCTATTTGTAATTTTATAGGAACGGTTCTGAGAACAGCACATCTTCAAGCCTCCAAAGAGGAAAACTGTCCTAAGGCAGGAGAGGGCACACGGGCTAACATTTTTGCAAATGAGTATCTGGGACCTCAAATGACATTGAGCTAGTGCTCGCAGTCCTTGGCTTCTCGGACTAAAGGATGTCTAGTCTAAAAAACAATTTTTATGTTCATCCTGTTTTTCAGACCAAACATGAGAACACCTGGTGGCATAACTGCAGGCACATGTCACTTCAGAGCTGCCCTGGACAATCTGTCACTCACAGTCACTTTGCATAAGTCTGAAGTTGATAATATTTATCTTAAATGCACCCCGCTGAGTGTGCCCTGCTCACTTTCAGAGGCAGTAGGGCATCGTGGTGATCCCAGGCTGGGGTGTCTAGCACACCAGGCTCAAACTCCTTGGCCAAGAGCCTGAATCTCTCTGAGTCTCTGTGAGCTTCTCTAGAAAATGCAGATACAGGCCTGGCATGCAGGCGAGCATTCTTGCCTGTAAGTGTGAGAATAGAAACGTTCTGAATGCCAAGTGCCAGCACAGGGTTTGTTCTCATGGATGTCAGCTTTACTGGATGTCTAGAGGCCCAGTGTCCTTTCCAACGAGTACTTTACGACGTGAGGCTGCAGGTCAGCCACGCTCCAGCCAGGTTACCTCTCTCCTCAATGGCTACTCCAGATAAGCACAGCTGTCCTTCAAGAGCCTTGTTTTCTCTTAACTTGATAAGAAGCTCAGGCGTATTTGCTTGGAACTATGTGTGGTTCCCACCAGGTGCCCTGAGGAGGGCAGGCAAAGCTGAGAGAGAAGCTCAGGGTCTTTTACAAGCTCCTAGGCACACCTTTCGGGCAGGTGGAACCACCTGAGGCCCTGGCCATCTCTGCATCAGACTTCTCGTGCCACCTTTGTCTCTAGATCCTTTTCCTGCTGAGGAAACCAATCTGGGCTTTCACCCAAGGCTATGCTGAAAACACAAGAGCCTGGTTGAGGGGGAGAAATAGAGTGGCTCTCCATGCTGTGAAAATCCTTCTGAGTTACTTTCTCCTAAGGTTTCTATAGTGACCTCTCTGGAGCAAATGAGCTCCTGACTGCAGCCCATAAAGCAAGGATTGGCAGAGAGGGCTCCAGGTTACCCACAAGTGCCTGATGTTTTTATGCAGAGAAATTACAGGGAAAAATGATTTTTTTTAAATAAATGGCTAAGTAAGAGGAGCCCACCTCCCGTGCACATCACGAGTCTCCTCCACTTTCCTGAAACTGGCCGTTGGCATTTCAGGCAGGTGACGTGCACCCTCAAACAGGAAACCACCATTGGTGCCCCTCCCAGGAGTAGGCTCCATGTCTCCTCTCCCTGCCTGTGCATGCATGAAGTGAAAGTTGGTCTTGGGAACTTTCGGTTGTCATCCAAGGGTCCCAAATCTGTTCCACCTCCCAAGGATTTCAGCATTTTTTACATCAGAGAATCTCCTAAGTGAGGATCTGGGCCACAACTTCAAACTCTTCACCAGGACAGCTTTCACAGCTGCTCTTCAAACTGGTGCACCTGCTGATCCCAGGAGGCATCTTTGTCAGTGACAGTGATGGGGAAATATGTGTCCGGGTCTCCAGCACAAGTGAGCACTGCACTGATTAGAAAACACCTGTCTTGGGTGCGTCTGGTCTCGAGAAAGATATTGTCTTCATTTTCAATGTCTTTGCGTTTTGGGTCTGTGATGAGCTCACCTGCCTGGAGAATCCCTGGGTGGTTGCAGGGTGGAGGGGCTCCCGTTCATGGGGAACCCCACTGGGGCATGTGAGTGCTGACTGCAGATTATTAGGTGGGCCAGGCCTGAGGCTTTTCAATGTCCCCCTCTCAGCCCCCAGCTGTGTGCTGAGGCAGCTGTGAGCCGGCCAAGCCGTCATCTGGAGCCACGGCCCTCAGGAGGCTTCCTTCCCCAGGAGGGAGCTGAAGCCACCACCAAATCTGGCCCAAGAGCTTCCTGAATCTCCCTCCTGCCGCACCCCTCCGCTTGGGCTGTGGCCCTGCTGTCAGTGTCTGTGGAACCTCCAGGCCACTGGACAAGGCCGTTGTCTTCTGACTCATCCCACCCAAGCTTGCAGCCTGCAGTTGGCTCTGAAGCTGTCTTGGGGCAGCTGCACCCCTCTGACCTAGAGCATCATTGCAGATGTTCTATGGACTTGGCCTGGTGGGTGGCATCAGCGTGGAGAGTGGGGAGGGAGGGCAGGGAGGGCAGGGTCTGTTGACAGTCCCTTACCAAGGGTTCTGGGGCCATCTTTATGGATCTGAGTAAAAAACACTTTGACTTTGAGCCACACTTCAAACAGCAGCCACCCGTAGCCAGCGCTCTGTTAGCAGTGAAAGGGGGATTTGGGAGCTAAGGAGAGGCCAGAGAGTAAGGAGCAAATAAAGGGGCGGGATGGTGGAACAAGTTTTCTCTTCAAAGAAATGCTTCTCATTTTTGTTTCTTTCTGTATGTAACCCACACATCCTCAACAGTTCTGAGAGGTCTGGTGCCCTCAGAAATGATTTGCATGTGTGTGCATATGTGTGTGCGCTGTGTGTATGTGTGTGCCTGTGTGTATGTTTGTGTGTGTGCATGTATGTATGTGCACACCTGCATGTGTGTATTTGTGTGTGGGGGTGGGTGTGCCCATGTGTGCGCATGTTTGTGTGTGTGCATGTGTGTGCGTGTGTGTGTGCGTGTGTGTTTGTGTGTGTGTGTTTGTGTGTGTGCGTGCATGTACGCACTGATAGTATATGCTGTGCTTCACATGTTTCACACTGCAGTCTTTCGGGGAGGAAAGGCCCTTTAGGACTTTGAACTTGTTCCTGGAGGATGGAGCTAAACAGTAGCCCTACCCCATCAGCTCTCCCGTCGTGGGGCTGGGGATTGACCTCACCTAGGCCAATAACTAGGTTGAAGGGGTAAGAGGAGCCCAGCCCACATCTGGATGCCTACACACAGAAACACAGACACACACGCTATCCATTTCTTCTCCATTTCCTCCTTACTGTTATTTCACAGGGCCTGACACATGACGCACAGGCTTGCTCCCTCATGAAAGGGCTCCTGATGCAATCGCACATCCTGATACGCCTTCGCTCACCTCCCTCTGCCTGCCCCGCCTCCTGGTTTTCGGATTGTGCCTTTCACATCCCTCCCCACCCCTTTGAGTTGTGCTTATTGGCAGATGGATTGGATGCACTCCTGTGTGGTGAGCCCCACCCCATAAGCTTTGCCAGCGTCCCTAAGGGGAAGCTTTTCTGAAGAATGTGGGTACCCCCATGGCCCAGGAACCAGGGCTGAACTGCCTGGTCATGGTTAACGCAGCATTTGGTCCATTGGGAAGACTGAACGTTCCCATACTTAGGATATATTTATGGCTTTCCTGAACCCATGCATTCAGGGCCATACCTATCTGATTCCTTAAAAAAAAAAAAAATTCCGGTGGTGCCTTTGCAAACATGCAGGCTTCCATTTGTCCTAGCCGCAATTCCCGTCCCATAGGCAGGAGGATTTCAGCAGCCCGTCAGGGAAGGGCTCAGCCCCTCCTGACACTTGACACTTGGAAGAAGCTCAGAAAATGTTAGCTAAATCTGAATCAAAGTGCGCTTGTCCGCACAGAGCTCAGCACAGCCTGTTCCTCCAGATGAGGGCTCTGTCAGGCAGCTGTCAGTCAGCCCGCAGCGGCAGCCTGGGGCGAGTGGGGCAGGACAAATGCAATGTGCTCCCACTGCACTGAAGCGCGTTCAGAGGTGAGAGGAAGACACTGAATAATTTACTCCTATTCTGTCGTCCTGTGTTTTGTTACCAAAGGGGCTGTTCCTGGGAATGTGGCATGCTGTGAACTCCCTTCCAACGCATACAGGGGTTCAGGCTTGCAGGCATGGGGGTCACGGAGGCGAAGCGCCCCTTAAGATGTTCCCTCCCACCCTGCTGTCTGGGGGCATGATGTCACCTGCGTGTCTGGATGGAGGGCGTCTTGCGACTGGCACTTCTGCCACATCACAGAAGACGACGTGATCAAATAGAGCCACGGGGCTGCTGCAGGAGGGGCGTGGTGGAAGTTCTCTCACACCTGGAAAGAGACCCAGGAAGAAATGGCTCTCACGGCGACCTATAACACGGTGTGAGTGGGACGTAGAGGGAAATGAGGGACCAAGTCCAGGATTCAGGGGTGATTGCCCCCTCCTACATGGTGGGATCCCTAGGGTTGCTTTCAAAGACTTGACCACAGCTTCTCTCCCATGCACTGCCCATGATCCAGGCGGGGCATGCTGTGCTCACTGCTTCACCACCTCCCGTGGTTTCTGAAACTCCCCTTTCTACTGAGTTCTTTCTGTGGGATGCAGAGCCACACAGAAGCACCGGACGTGCCTCACTGTCCTTCTCTCGGCCCGAGGCTTGCAGTCCAGCCTGGCTTCCCGACATGTGTCCAGCGGTTGGCGGTGGCTGCTATCTCTGGGCCACCCTCGATGTTCCCCCCAAGGCTCACTCCTGCAGCCCTTCCTATCTGAGCTGGCTCTGAGGGTCACTGACACACACTCCTGCGTCAGCCCCTGGCATCCCGCCGGAGCTCCGTAAGATGTTTCCCCTCCCCTGTGAGATCCGTAAGTGTGCAAACTGCATTCCAGCACTATGCTTGGTCTATTTTAATTAACAAATTAATTAAATCAAAGGTATATATCTGTGAACTTGCTTCACCCAGGACGGTTGTCAATACCTGTTGGTCTAGGCAGTTCTCTGACACTGGGTTTCAATCCAGCCCCCTTCTCTATCCAGCGCTCCAGCCCTAGGCACCCCACCCTGCAGGAGAAAATTACTCTTGAATCCTGGACATGGACCCTTGTTTTCTTCTCATAAGGGAAACTTATCCATCCTTCCTGAGCCCCTGGCAGGTGGTGAGCATTGGTCTGGATTCCGATAGTTTTCAAATGTATGTGATTAAATTCATTCCCAACCCAACGCCGCTAGAA
This sequence comes from Homo sapiens, assembly GCF_000001405.40. Lineage (NCBI taxonomy): Eukaryota > Metazoa > Chordata > Mammalia > Primates > Hominidae > Homo > Homo sapiens. Next base: position 60,867,923 of record NC_000020.11, on the reverse strand, counting down.
AAATGGGAATTGTCCAGGTGTAAAACATATGTGTCAGATTTACTAGGAAGGCAGCAGGTGTGCCTGACACTTCAAAGCCAGCTTTGTGGATTTAGGGAAATGGCTGGAAGCCTGTTGTTTGTTCCCAGAGAATTATTTTTTTTTCTCATTTGTAGCATGTATCAGAGTAGGAGTTTTATTTTTATTTATGTGGTTTTCTGATGATGCTTGTAGTATTTCACAATCCTCTGGGACCTGACTATCTGATTACCTGTATACCTGCTGCCAGTAAGTGCTGGGCAAAGAATAGGTGATAAGTTAATGTTGATTGAAAGAATGTGTATTATAAACATCTTCATCAGCGGAATCATCTTATTCACCATAAATATTGATACTGACAGTCTTCAGTTTCACATTTGTTGCCTCCATCATACAGCAGTGATAAGAAACATTGTCCTATTTATGAGGTTGTTCAAAGTTTATTTTAAAAATTCATTTCTCTAAAAAGTAGTTGAAATGGTTGTGTTTTTCTTTCAGGTTATGAGGATATTTTATTTCCCAAGGTAAAGCTCATGAATCAGAATAATAACTTTAAAACTGTCCTCCCCCTACTCTGGGCTCCTTGAAAATACTTTTCTTCTTCTGGGCCAGGTGTGGTGGCTCACACCTGTAATCCCAGCACTTTGGGAGGCCGAGGCAGAAGGATTGCTTGAGCCCAGGAGCTCAAGACCAGCCTGGGCAACGTAGCAAGACCCTGTCTCAAAAAAAAAAGAATAAAAAAGAAAATATTTTTCTTGATTACATACGCAATATTATTTTTGAAATATGAAAAAATACAATATAGTTTAAAACAAAAAAGACACAGATTATCTATAAGTCTGTAACTCAGAAATAACCATAGTTGAAATTTTGATAGTTTTCTAATATGTGTGTGTGACTGTGTGTGTATTTCATATACTGATTTTTAAATTTGTATTCCCACAGTATTGTGGGAATTTTCCCATATGGATAAAACTTCTTTAATAACATTGTTTACAAAGAAGCATGATATTTCATTATATGTATATATCACAATTTATTAAAAAATACTCAAGTTTGGGACATTCAACTTGCTTCCAGTTTTTGCCATTTTGGTTGATGTTGAAGTAACTGCCTGTAATAACTGCCTGGTGAGAACCTTTCACATGTCCCCCTGAGGCTCAGTCAGAAACGGTGGAGAGGTTCCTTTTTCCTTTCTCTCTTTACCCCTGTACATACGAAGTCTGCTCTGAAGGTACACACTAATAAATATTCACCAACAATTTATTTTATAAGCCTTTTAACTGAAGATAAATATAAACACAGCAAATGCACAAATTTATATTTATGGTTTAATAAATTTGTACAAATGAATACAACGCCACTCGGCTCAGAGGATATTCCTAGCCCCAGAAGCCTGTCTTGTGCCCCCTGCTAATTGATAACCCTTGATTGAGGGTTGAGCCCTCTGTGTACTTCTAGTCCCATAAATTGTGCTGCTGTTTTTAACTTCGCATAAAGGGAGCCGTACGTATGCTCTTTTGCATCTGGTGTCTTTCAGTTGAGTCAGCCTGTGAAACTGATCCAGGCTTTTCCATGTAACAGAGGTTGTTCTTTTCATTTCTCTATAGTGGAGTTTGGCAAACTATGGCCCAGGGGCCACACCTGGCCCACCACTGTTTCTGTATAGCTCATGAGCTAACAATGTTTTTTACATTATTACGTGGTATATTAGTACCTATATAATACTCTTGGTTTTGCCCCTTGGTTCAGAAAACCTGAAATATTTACTATCTGGTCATTTACAGAAACAGTTTGCTGACTGCTGCTCTAGAGTATTCCATTATATGAGTAGACTGCATTGTATTGAATGATGGTCATTAAGACGGTTCCCAGTATTTGACTATTGCAAATAGTACTAATTCAAACATTCTTATTTGTACCTATTGTTGTACAAACATTTATGCTGGTTAGGAACCCAGACTGATATGCCTACATTCAGTTTTAGTAGACAACGCCAAAAAGTTTTCAAAGTGGTTGTACTGATTCATACTCTCGCCTGATTGCACTGCCCGAACTTTCAGTGCAATGTGAATAATAATGCCATTAGCGGATATACTTATCTTGGTTCCGATTTTGATACTTCATCACCAAATATGATTTTCATATAATTCTTAAGAAGATACCCTATAGCAGATTAAGGAATTCACCTCTGTTCCTAGCTTACTGAAATTTTCATTATAAATGAATGTTGAATTTTTTGAGTGCTTTTTTTTAGCATCTATTGAGATAATTACATAGTTCACCCTCTGTATTCTACTAGTACAGGTAATTGATTTTTGAATGTTTAAAACAATCTTTTTATTTCTGAAATAAAGCCTAGATTCAATTAATAATGATTTGTTTAGAATGTTGCCTTTATTTTCATGAAATTAACAAGTCTGTAATTTTCCCTTGCTGTAATTCCCTTGTCAGGTTTTGTACTGAATTTATGCCAGCTGTTAATGAGTTTCCCAGTTTCTGTATAATTGGTATTATTTCTCCTTTAAATATTTGAAAGAATCAACTGCTGAAGCCATTTGTCTGTGGAGTCTTTCTTGGAGAGGAATTTTAATTATAGGTTATGTTTTTTTGATATATTAAGGGCTATTCATATGTTCTATTTCTTCTTGCATGAATTTGGTAAATTGTGTCTTCTAAGAAATTTTGTTCATATATATTTTCAAATTTATTATCAAGAAGTTGTTCAATTAATCTTGTTTTCTTTATTAATGTCCATAGATTCTCTCATGATGTCCCCTTTTTCAATTCTGATTATTCTATTTTTTTCTTGAACTATATTGGTAATGATATATCAGTTTTATTAATATTTTCAAATAACCAACATTTGGCTTTATTGATTGTATCTAACTTTCACTTCTATTTCATTGATAGTCATTCCCTTTTTTGCTTTTTCTTTTTCTATCTAATTTTGATTTTTTTTCCAGCCTCTTCAGATAGAGACATAAATACTCAGCTTTCCAGCATTTCTTCTTTTCTAATGCATATATTCAAGGCTGCAAATGTGCCTCTGTGCAACACTTTAGTTACATTTCATATGTGGTATGCTACATTTTCATTATTTTTAGGGCAAAATATTTTGCAATTTCCACTGTGATAGTTCCTTTAACCCATGAATTATTTAAGAAATTCACTGCTATTTTTCAAATATCGGTCATTTTAGTTATCTCTTTGTTATTGATTTTTAGCTCAATTTTCATCAATAATGGGGTGCTCTACAACTTTCCTGACCCTTTTTCTTCTGTTGGCATCTATTTTAGTGTGTAGGATGGAGTCCACAGAAAACCGGTACCATTGGGTAAGCTTCCTTTTGCTGTCGACAAAAGTAATAAGTTGTCTAAATCTACAAATGGCTCATTATATCTTTACCAGACAATTTCATCAGGCCTTGGTCTGTGTGTGTGTGTGTACCATATGCATATAGACATGTCACATATTTGTCTTACATATGTGTGTGACAGAGTCTAGCAGGATCTCCAAACCAGAGTGGGCCCTGAACTTCTACCTCCTGTTTCCAGAGTAGTGAGACTCAAAAACTCTGCTCAGTTGTTTAGCCTCCAAGCTCCTGCTTTTCATTTGGATTTCAGGTGTCTCATGTTTCAAGAAGGAATTGGTAGATGCCTTGAGAGAAGATTGAGTGCAGAATTTTCCAGGCTCGCTTTTTTGTGGTTCCCTCTTCTCTAGAATCTAAGCCCCTCAAGTACTGGCTGACTCGGGAATACCAAACTTCAACCTCAGCCCCCACAGCTTAAGGAAGCACTGCAGTCCCAGGTCATTGCTTCCTGTTCAGCCACAATTTCCCCAAATGACGTCTGTAAATATCCCAAGGAAAGAGCAGAAGCCCATGTGTGCTCCTCAACGCCCTTCTACACATCTGGGGGTTTTGAGTCCTGGTTGTCCTATTTGTTCTTTGTTGCCCTCAAAGAATTTTCTTTCTTCTGTTTCCTTCCTTCCTTCGGTTCCTTCCCTCCCTCCCTCCCTCCCTTACTTCCCTCCTTCCTTTCTTCCTTCGATCTGCCTGTCCGACCATATGTCCTTCCTTCTTTCCTTCCTTCCTTCCTCTCTTCTTTCCTTCCTTCCCTCCTTCCTTTCTCCCTTCCATCTGCCTGTCTGTCCATCTGCCCTTCCTTCCTTCCTTCCCTTTCTTCCTTCCATTTGCCTCTCCATCCATCTGTCCTTCCTTCCTTCCTTCCTTTATTTATCTGTCTGTCCATCTGTCCTTCCTTTCTTCCTTCTTTCCTTCCTTCCTAAAAATTTGTCCAGCATTTACAGTTGCTCTCAATGAGAGGGTTAGTCTGCACTGTTAAGGTCCAAACAAAGGTTCACTCCAATCCCTTCAATTGCCTAATGTTTTTCTGTCTTTATAATTCCTCCTGGGACATCTTTGGTGCAAACAAAGATGTGCTGCATTTTGCTCCTGCACTTAGCCTTTTGTTTCAAACCATCCTTGCCTCTATACATTTGCAGTTATGTTTAAAAAATAAGATTTTTGGCCTGGCGTGGTGGCTCACGCCTGTAATCCCAGCACTTTGGGAGGCTGAGGCGGGCTGGTCATGAGGTCAGGAGATTGAGACCATCCTGCCTAACACACGGTGAAACCCCGTCTCTACTAAAAATACAAAAAATTAGCTGGGTTTGGTGGCGGGCACCTGTAGTCCCAGCTACTTGGGAGGCTGAGGCAGGAGAATGGCGTGAACCCGGCAAGCAGAGCTTGCAGTGAGCAGAGATCACACCATTGCAATCCAGCCTGGGCGACAGAGCAAGACTCTGCCTAAAAAAAAAAAAAAAAAAAAAAAAAAGATTTTTAAAGTGTATACTAGGGTTTATTCATATGGTGTCTATATTTCATACTGTTCTCCTTATGCCAGTATCAACTGTTGTAGCCATTGTATTTTTATAATGTATAATCTAATCATATCTATTATTCCAGGTACCTAGTAAGTGCAAGGCATTGTGATAAGTGCTTCCCATGTATTTCCAACATGCTTTTTTTTTTTGAACAAGTTAAAAAAGTGGGGCTCAGAAAGGTCGCATAACTTGCCAAATCACTTAGCTGGTGAGTCATAGAAATGGGATCCAAGCGCAGCTGTGATTGCGATGGACTCCAGCCTCAAGATTGTCACCGTTACAACCAGGTCCCAGTGGCTTGTTAGAAATAGCAAATAAGGTCTATGCAGGTTAAGAGCTCTGACTCCAGGGATCTATCCTTAGGTAGAATGAGCTCGTTTTTTGTTTGCTTAATTTTATTACTATTATACTTTAAGTTTTAGGGTACATGCACACAATGTGCAAGTTTGTTATATATGTATACATGTGCCATGCTGGTGTGCTGCACCCATTAACTCGTCATTTAGCATTAGGTATATCTCCTAATGCTATCCCTCCCCTCTCCCCCCACCCCACAACAGTCCCCAGAATGTGATGTTCCCCTTCCTGTGTCCATGTGTTCTCATTGTTCAATTCCCACCTATGAGTGAGAACATGCGGTGTTTGGTTTTTTGTCCTTGCGATAGTTTGCTGAGAATGATGGTTTCCAGCTACATCCATGTCCCTACAAAGGACATGAACTCATCATTTTTTATGGCTGCATAGTATTCCATGGTGTATATGTGTCACATTTTCTTAATCCAGTCTATCATTGTTGGACATTTGGGTTGGTTCCAAGTCTTTGCTATTGTGAATAGTGCAGCAATATACATACGTGTGCATGTGTCTTTATAGCAGGTGATATTTTGTTACATGCATCAAATGTGTAGTGATCAAGTCAGGATTTGATAACTGAATCAGCATCGTTTTTCAGATGCTGATTCAGTTATCAAATCCTGACTTGATCACTACACATTTGATGCATGTAACAAAATATCACATGTACCCCATAAATATGTGCAAATATAATGTATCACTGAACAAAAAGCTAGTGGGCATGGTAATCACCCACTGGGCTTCTTAACACCGGACATTCCTGAGTCTCTGTCCTGGAGATTGGATTTGGAAGGTCAGAGTGGAGCCCAGGAGTCTGCATTGTTAAGCCAGCATCCCAGATGTGTCTCATTCTGGAGGTCTTCAGGACTACACACCCAGCAAGCCTACTTCTTGTTGGGAGACAGGTTCTGGAATCCAGGCAAGAGCCCCTGAAGACTGCGGTTTGAATGCAGCTCGGAAGGCTACATTCGTTTCCTAGGGCTGCTATGTCAAAATACCACAGACTGGGAGACATAAACAATAGAAGCTGATTTTTCTCACAGTTCTGGAAGCTGGAAGTCCAAGATCAAGGTGCTGGTTGGTTTCTCCTGGGATGTCTCTCTGTGGCCTGAGGGTAGCTACCTTCTTGCCGAGTTCTCATAGGTCTCTCCTCTGTGTGACCATCCCCTGTGTCTCCCTGTGAATCCCAATTTCCTCCTTTTATTTTAATTATTCATTTATTTTGATACAGAGTTTCACTCTTGTTGCCCAGGTTGAAGTGCAATGGTACAGTCTCAGCTCACTGCAACCTCCACCTCCCAGGTTCAAGCAATTCTCCTGCCTCAGCCTCCCCAGTAGCTGGGATTACAGATGCTTGCCACCACGCCCAGCTAATTTTTGTACTTTCAGTAGAGACAGGGTTTCACCATCTTAGCCAGGCTGGTCTTGAATTCCTGACCTCAGGTGATCCACCTGCCTTGGCCTCCCAAAGTGCTGGGATTACAGGCGTGAGCCACCGTGCTCAGCCCCGATTCCCTCTTTTTATAAGCACAATAGTCATAGGGGATTAGGGCCCACCCTAAAGGCCTCCTTTAGACCTAATCATTTCTTTCAAGGCTGTCTCCAATGCAGTCACGTTCTGAGGCAATGGGGTTTAAGACCTCAACATATGAATTTGGAGGAGACATAGTTCAGCTCATAGCAAAAGGTCAGAGCTGAGGCAACAAACGGCAAGATGGCCATTTTTTACTCAAAATCTCTTACTGCCCAAGAACGTGCTTGATGCTGTCCTAGAATGAGAGCACCACGGGGCCTCAGGAACTGACTCTGCAGGTGGAGAGATGCTTCAGGTACCCTGAGGATGCAAGGTGTTCCATGGCCAGCATGCAGAGAGCCTAGAGGAGGGGCTGGTGGGCTTTGGGGTCTTTGGGCTTCAGCCTCACTAATGCTCATAGTAAACAGAGGTGCAGTTGAGACTGTTTCTCCTGTAACTGATTTCCCATGAGCACCCCCCCTCCTTTCTCTCTGTCACTATGTGATGGAGACCCCTGCACCCTGAGCGTCTGTAGCCTGCAGCCCACGCACCATTTCCCAGGCTGATTCCTCCGGCAACAGTGTCTGATCTCCTTAATGACATTCAGTTGTGTTTCTTCCTAAATCAATTTATTTAATTGTATATCACATCATAATTATGTAATTTGACTAAATACTGTATAAACCAATGAAATGGGAATGCAAAAAGAGAGTTCCTTTTGTGAAAGCTCAGTTAAACATTTCAGAAAGTGAATCACCAAAGAGTAAGTGCTGTCAAGTCAGGTGTGGAAGCAAAAGCTGTGAGTGGAGGACACACCATTAAGGACAGTGACAGAGTTTGGGTATTTGACCCCACCCAAATCTCACGTTAAAATGTAATCCATGGCCAGGCGATGAGGCTCATGCCTGTAATCCCAGCACTTTGGGAGGCTGAGGCAGGTGGATCACAAGTTGAGGAGTTCAAGACCAGCCTGGCCAACATGGCGAAACTCCATCTCTACTAAAAATACAAAAATTAGCCGGGCAGTCTTGGTGGGCACCTGTAATCCCAGCTACTCAGGAGGCACTTCTCCCATCACCTCCAGATGGGACTGTCTAGTTGCAGGAAAACAAGTGCAGAGCTCCCACTGACTCTACATGATGGCGAGTTGTGTTATTATTTCATTATATATTACAATGTAATAATAATAGAAATAAAGTGCACAATAAATGTAATGTGCTTGAATCATCCCGAAACCACCCCCCTCCCTGGTCCATGGAAAAAATGGTCTTCCACGAAACTGCTTCCTGGCTCCAAAAAAGGTTGGAGGCCCCTGCTCTAGGTCATTCCCATATGGCTTCAAGTTATTGCTTGTGTATAAAGACACTGGAACTGTGACATAGTGACAATGCATTATGATTGGTGACAGGAGGATGAAAAAACACACTCAAGAACTGTAATCAGAGGTGCGGTACTTAAGGTAAGACTTTGGGATCATTTCAAAATATTGGAAAATATGTGCATTTTCACGTTTGAAATATTTAGATTATATGCGTAACTTCATGATTTCTCATCTTGACTGATTTTTCAACTAAGCTACTGGCAACTGTTTCCTATAGAGTCAGGTAAGAGGGCTGGTGCTGGATAATGCCTCCTTCTCTGAGCTTTAGGGAGAATAACATAAGGCAATGCAGGGGAAATTACTAGCCCAGCCCTTGGTGGGTATGAGCACTTCCGAAACTGCTCTGACGACGATGTTGCTGTTACCTTTGTGTTCATGGCGAGCTCCTTCGCGACCTTTTTGGAAGGGGCATGACTCCCTTGGAGGGATGCCCTAGCTGCAGGGTTGCTGGCCATTTGGTAAATAAGAGCAGCCTCCTTGTCTGAACTCAGACATGTCATTCCTGGTCAATTTCTTCCTGATAGTGGTACAATAGAGGTCCACACACATTCTGCTTATAACAGAAAATGTACACCTCATAAAGTTAAAAGCTTAACACCAAATAAAAAGTAAAACCTAAGTAGAAAAAGAGGAGAAAAAGGCACACAGCTGACTGAATAAAGTGATGAATTGTGTGACATGCACTGTGAGCTTTCAGAGAGGAAGTTGGGCATTTTTTTCCCCCAAGAGAGTTTGTTTTTATGTACTTTCTTCTTAGAAGCAAAGAAACCTGGAGCCACATCTTTTCTTTTTTTATTTTATTTTATTTTATTATTATTATACTTTAAGTTTTAGCGTACATGTGCACAATGTGCAGGTTAGTTACATATGTATACATGTGCCATGCTGGTGTGCTGCACCCATTAACTCGTCATTTAGCATTAGTTATATATCCTAAAGCTATCACTCCCCCCTCCCCTCACTCCACAACAGTCCCCAGAGTGTGATGTTCCCCTTCCTGTGTCCATGTGTTCTCATTGTTCAATTCCCACCTATGAGTGAGAATATGCGGTGTTTGGTTTTTTGTCCTTGCGATAGTTTACTGAGAAGGATGATTTGCAGTTTCATCCATGTCCCTCCAAAGACGTGAACTCATCATTTTTTATGGCTGCATAGTATTCCATGGTGTATATGTGCCACATTTTCTTAATCCAGTCTATCATTGTTGGACATTTGGGTTGGTTCCAAGTCTTTGCTATTGTGAATAATGCTGCAATAAACATATGTGTGCATGTGTCTTTATAGCAGCATGATTTATAGTCCTTTGGGTATATAGCCAGTAATGGGATGGCTGGGTCAAATGGTATTTCTAGTTCTAGATCCCTGAGGAATCGCCACACTGACTTCCACAAGGGTTGAACTAGTTTACATCTTTTCATGCGGACATTTACATCATAATCACTCTGAGTTTCTTGCTAGGATAGATTGTGTCCACTGCCACACCTCTAAAGAGGACGGATTTGGGAGGGAGTGGTCCTGGAACATACTTGCATAGAATGCTCCAGTAAGTATGTTCACTCTGTGTCATATAAACTCACCAAAGGCACGGTTACAGGACCTCCAGGTTCCTGGGCCTCCTGTGAACTAACAGACCAATCCACCAAGGCAGCAAGGTTTACAGCAAAGAAAGAGATTAATGATCACATGACAGCCGAGGGAGGAGACAGGAGGGAACCTCAAGTCTGTCCCCCCGAGGGGCTTTAGGCTGAAAGTTTTCAGGGAATCATGGAGGGTGAGAGGCAGGAAAATTGGGACCATTGATTGGTTGGAGTCCAGGGTATGAAATCATCAGGATGTGGAAACTGCATTCATTCTTCCATGAGTCAGATTCCTGTGGGGCCCTTCAGGCCAGCTGACATCAGTCATTTCACTGATGCAGGAAATGAAAGAAGACCTCAAATGGAAAATGGAACATTTCACCATGCTTACGTTGTTATCTACAGAGCAGGATCTCTGTGATTCTGGGGCAACAGGTAGCAAACGACGATGGGGCAGTGGTCAGAGAGTGAGCTGTCCTAATAACGAATGCTGAGTGTGCTACAAGCTTCGTTTGTGTTAATTTCCCCCCTCCCTTCTGCCCTGATTAATTTTATAGTTTATGGAGATGGCTTCAGCACCTGCCCCTGCAAGGCCATCTTGATGTCAGTCAACTGGACACTAGAATCCTCTGTTTGGAAGGGGGCAGATCAGTCTTTCTTCCTCTTGTTTCCCTGGACCTGAGGTGAGATCTCAGAGTTCTGGCTTCACAGGAGAATAAAGAAAATGTCATTCTTCCAATCTAGGCCTGTCACCTGCAGATGATGGGGGCTTTCCATTGGTGGAACTTTTTCTCTTTTTCATGTCCCAGCCTCTTCTTCAAAGTGACCACCTAGCTTGCAGCTTTGACTTTGAAAATGAAAGTGTGTCCCTGAGTCACACTGATATGTGCTGATATTTAAAAAAAAAAAAGATAAAAAATAAGAATAAAAAAACATAATACTCTTTGCAATATTTCACATTCAAGCTTTCTCAGAATTAATTTGAAAAAAAGAATCACCCAGTCTCTCACAACAATATTGCAGAAAACCCAAAGTGTTTCATTTCACGGTTAATTTATTTTGTAATTATAGATCTGTTGGTAAACAGTACAATAATATTTTTTTTCATTTCACTGATTTGTGCTGTTGATGCCCTGGATGCTTCACTGTGGTGTGATAGCTGTGCATGGAAGAAGCTGCCTAACCACATTAATTCAAATAAAATTATCTGCGCTTCACATGTACACGCAGACAGTGTTTATGCGTAATCAGAACTTCTAGGAAGGCTTTTTTTAAGAGGGAAGAAAATGCATATAATCTATTTTTATTTTTAATTAAAAATACAAGTTAAAAAGCAATATTAAATCTCTATACCTGATTTTAAGAAATTACATTAGCACAAATATTTTCATTTCCTATCTTGAGATTTATGTGCATATATATTTAAAAAGATAAATAAATAGCTATCAACATTTTTATCACAGCAGTTTATTTTTTAATAATATTTTTACAATCATGAGCGCCACTCAGATAATTGAACACAGAAAAGAACACACATACATACACAAGAAAAAAAAGAAAGAAAAGTACCCAACAACAGGTTAGCAATTCTTGTTCTCTGGGAGTTTGGAGTACAGCTGTGTGTTTGTGTGTGTGTGTGTGTGTGTGTGTGTGTGTGTGTGTGTGTGTGTGTACATACTTTCTTACAAAGTTAGTGTGTACACTGTTTTCTGGCATGCTTTATTTCACTAGTGGGATGTAATAAAATGATTTCCATGCTGACCAACATTGCTCTGTGGTTCTTCCAGGCTGCCTGGTTGTCCATCCAGTTGATGGAGCATCATTCTCTGAACTGGGCCTCTGTTGTTGGACACTTGTATCCAATTCTGACTCTATTGCAGATTGTGAGTGCATGCTTTTCACGCTGCAATTTTTATGAGCATGCCATCTTGCATTTTTACTTTTTTATAGCTTTTATATCGTCAACTTAATGAATAGATCAAATTCTTTTATTTCAACATACATCGTTTCTGAGGGCATTTCCTAATAATTTCAGTTATGTATAATTTTTACTGTTAAGGACAATGCTGCAGATAATGATTTTGGTGTACACATGCATACATATGCATTTTTTTTTGTTCTGTTGAATTATTTATTGGGCATAGTTGTCAAGTAGTGAAATTTCTGAGTTACAGGTTCTGATCAACTTGAGAGCACTTGGTTTGCAGTACCCATTTTTTTCCCAAATATTTTATTCTATGTTTATAATGGAGGGATCATCTACCTTCATAGCAAGCTAAATATAATTGAGTGGTATCATTATTTTTAAAATATAAGTTATTTTTTAATCAGTGGTTTTAAGTTCAGTTGTTTAGAAGTTCAATACAAAGAATGGGATATGGAAGGCATTTAGTATAAGTAAGTTGTCTGAAGTTTCCCAGACTCAGCTCTCTGAAACATAAACTGGAAGCTTGTTTGAGATGATACTTTAAGTTTCTTCATAACCTGAAGATTCTATCTACAAATGCTATTTTAAAACTATTTTTAGTTTAATGGAGGTACTTACTCTGCTGAGATTAACAGGAAAGCATCAGTGCTGTCTGCATTCGGATGATACTTCAGGCCAGGGCTCAAGAAACCCTGGCTCTCTTTTTGCTGAGGATGCCCTGTGGCTGCGCTATGGACCTTGGGAGCTGCAGACAGCAGCAGCAAGCAGGATGCATGTGCTGCCTTTACCCTGCAAGGTGCACTCCAGTTCAGGGCTGTCTGAAAAATGAAGCTTGGGTCTGGAGGCATGGGAATGATGAGGTCAAGAGAAAAGCAAAACTGGAGCCGCTCAGGCTGTGTTTGCATCAGAAACAACATGACAGTAAACAAAGTTGTCTCCAGAAGTGGTAAAAGTACAAGGTGAGCTTTTGTTTGTTCTGCAGCAAAGCAAACAGCCCACTTTTCTTCCCACTAAACACTAAGAACAAGATGGAACTCTGGCTTCTGTTTTGTGAACTGTTGCCTTCCTAAGTCTGGGATACGGATTGTCAGTGGTCCCTTTTTATTGGTTGTTTTTGCAGTTTTGGAGGGGGAAGGGCAAGCGATAAAACAATATTTTAATGAAGAGTCACATATCAATTATAATTTGTATTAGATAAAGAAAGTTTTTTTATTATTATCCAATCTATGATTTTGTGCATATCATTAATCTGGACAAAGCTACATTTTCAAAAAATAGTCAGTGTAAGGTTGACATGAGAAACATTTTCAGTACATAAGAGATCATTTGGCATAATCTCATGGAGAAAATGTGAAGGAGCCAGGTGTGTTGGGGGAGAATGACTTGCAGAGACCTGATATCATCCTGCTTAAGTGTCAGCTGCCCTCTCTGCTATGAAAGGTCAGCATTTGGAAGTAAATCCTAAGCAATGGATTAGGTGTTTATGATGGTCAGTATTAGGTGGCATCTTGACTAAATTGAGGGATGCCTAGGTGGCTGGTGAAGCATTGTTTCTGGGTGTCTGGAAGGTGTTGCCAGAGATGACTGACATTTGAGATGGTGGACTGGGAGAGGAAGACCCACCCCATCCAATCAGCGGCCAGTGCGGCTGGAACAAAGCAGGCAGAAGAAGGGGACAAACAACTTGCAGAGTCTTCTCCTTCTCTCTGCTTTCCATGCAGGATGCCTGCTTCCTCTCCTCCTGCCCTTGGACATCAGACTCTAGGTTCTTCTGTCTTTGGACTCTGGGACTTGCACCAGAAGCCTCCTGGGGGCTCTTGGCCTTTGACCTCAGACTGAAGGCTGCACTGTTGGCTTCCCTGGTTTTGAGACTTTCAGACTTGGACTGAGCCCCTACTGGCTTCTCTCTATCCCCAGCTTGCAGATATCCTATTAAGAGACTTTGCTGTGTAATCATGTGAGGCAGTTCTCCTGGATAGTCCTTTATATACACATATATCCTATTGGTTCTGTCCCTCAGAAGAACCCTGACTAAGAGTCTTAATGAACAGACTTTACTGTGAAGGGCCAGGTTCCAATGCTCTGAGTGATCTCTGAATTTTCTGTCCTTTATTCTGAATCCAGTAGTGACCAAGCCTCCACTTGTACCTTGTTTGTACTTCCTGAATGTCTTTCTTCTGCTCCACCTGGCTGCCCCCACCTGGCACGAGTCTCCTCTGTGCGACTGCATCACTGCAATGGCATCCTCATTGTCTTCCTGCCTGTGAGACTCCTGCTTTCCCTGCCTCCTGCCTGTCTTCTCGTCTCCTCATCCCTGAGCCCATGAGCTGCCAGTGTCTTCTCATTACCTGAGAATTTAATTAAACTTGTTCATTAAGAGAGAGTCATGCAATTGAAATGGCTGTGGGGTTGCAGACTCAACTCTGTCTCTATTTTTGTCCAGCCTTGGACAAGTCCATTTCCTGTTTGTGAACTAGGAACCTCCATCCCTGCTCTTCCCCTCCCACAAGACTGGTTTGAAATTGTGGTGAAACCATATTGATTCTTCTTACAGCCATCCCGTTACTATGTATATACCCAAAGGATTATAAATCATGCTGCTATAAAGGCACATGCACACGTATATTTATTGCGGCACTATTCACAATAGCAAAGACTTGGAACCAACCCAAATGTCCAAGAATGATAGACTGGATTAAGAAAATGTGGCACATGTACACCATGGAATACTATGCAGCCATAAAAAATGATGAGTTCATGTCCTTTGTAGGGACATGGATGAAACTGGAAACCATCATTCTCAGTAAACTATCGCAGGAACAGAAGGCCAAGCACTGCATGTTCTCACTCATAGGTGGAAATTGAACAATGAGAACACACGGACACGACACAGGAAGGGGAACATCACACACCGGGGCCTGTTGTAGGGTGGGGGGAGAGGGGAGGGAAAGCATTAGAAGATATACCTAATGTAAATGACAGGTTAATGGGTGCAGCACACCAACATGGCACATGTATACATATGTAACAAGCCTGCACATTGTGCACATGTACCCTAGAACTTAAAGTATAATAAAAAGAAAAAGAAATAAAAAAGAAATTGTGGTGAAACCAATTGTTTCTCATGTACATAGAATGTCAGAAACAGAATATTGTAGGTGAAGGGGGCTGTGTTTCTCTCCAGCCCACATATGATGGGAGCTAGGATGCAAAACTCCATAAGGAAAGTCTACAGCCCCAGGAGAACCCTGAGCCTTAGGTTGCTCAAAGCCCTTCTTGGGCAGCTTCAAGCTGTTTCCCCTCCTCCCTCTTCTTGGCCTAACCTTGATTCCCACTTTTCCTTTGCACATTTATTTCCCCAGTCGTCACCAACAACCTCCTTATTCCTCTCCATACATTTTAATCAATTCTCTCCCCCTCCTCTTAGCTTCAGTGGCTTCTCTGGCCTTTGCCACTCTCCCTTCCCTCGCCCCGGTATGGATACCACCTGTGTCCTTCTGTTGGCATTTATTCATAACCTCCTTATGCCATTTTGATGTTTTTGTTATATTTACTTACCTTTTTCTAAAAAAAACCTATTTGTTTATTTCCAGAAGTTAGCAACCATGTCATAATAGCTGTGATTTCTTTGTGCCAATTTCAGATCCTGGCACCTGGCAAGAAGGCGAGTGACATTTGTATGAAGGAGTATAATAATCACAGTAATAACCATGACAAAATGATGCAGGTGCTGATAGTAGGTGGTTACTTCTTACAGTTTCCTGGGAAACCATCTCATCTAATCTTCCCAGGCACCGGAAGAGGTGGGTACCATTTACATCTCCACTGTAGATGTGAGAAGGTCTCCCTTCTAAGACTAAGGCCAAAGGGTACATGGTGCATCTCATCAGCCTGGGTTAGAGCTGGAATTCTGAAGAGTCTGACTCCAAAGAATGGACATCATCTCAGCCAGGGATGCTTGTTCAGGAAACCATGGTCTTAAATAAAGGCTTTGCTGAATCTCCTCTTGTTGCCCTTGGGCAACATTTCTGATCTTATTTGTTGGCAATATAAGTAAGATACCGTAAACTTGTTCATCCTGCAAGGATCACAGCAGGGAGAGTTTCACATTTCCAAGCCCTCGTCCAGTTGTGGTTTGCGTGTCTCCTTCTTTCTTCTGTCTGCAACCCAGGCAGACCCCAGAAGTCAGCTCCCCTGCTGCCCACGTCCCCCTCATCCAGGCTGGTGCAAAGTCAGAGGGAACAGTGCCATCTACTGGGACTCCGGCTGAATACCAGCCCAGGTTTGCCCTCTCACTTGTGAACAGGTGCTGCCATATCCTGAGAAGCTCAGGTAGGGGACAGGTGATATTGACAGGTAACAATAGAAGAATGTGACACAGGGCAGTGGGCAAGGGCAGAGACACTTCCCAGAGAAGCCGCCAGGAACCCCCACGCTCAGAGAACCCCCAGTTCTCAAATGCAAGTCAAAGAATGGAGTGGAGCATGTTTTCTTTTAAAGGAGTAAACTATCTTTTTAAAACAATGAACATCTAAGCACCCTTCCTCCACCTGATGAAAATATCTTTATAAAAAGACAATAAAAGACGCGAGATTCTTTGAGAGCACTGGTTTAAGCAAAGACAGGGATTTGCCTGTTGTCTTACAACAAAGTATACTCTTTATGGGCCATTAGTGTGTTACATGTTTTATTAATGGTTGACCCTTACACAGCATACGCAAGCAAGACAAAATGGCATAAAAAACTGAGATGTGTGTTCAATCCTTCTATTAAAATATCAAACAACGTTCACCAACTTTTATCTCCTCCCACATTGTTCAAGTAAAACATGAGGGGAAAAAAGCCACGTTGTAATTACTAACTTGGTAGTTTCTGAACAGGCAACGGGCTTCTTAGTCTTGATAATGAATCCACACTATGGAAAAATAGGGACGGGGCCTTGTGACCTGGGGGTGGCACCTGATCATCCTGCCATTTCAAAAAGAAAGGAAAGGAGAGTTAAAGCCTCTTTCACCAAATTTGGTATCTAGGCATCTAGGCAATGTTAACTAAGTCCAGAAAATATACTGTCTACAACACAATCTGTAGAGTTGACTGCTTCTAAATTGAAAGGTACTGATATCTGTTGAAAGGTTTTCCCACATATCAGTGCAAGTGAAGTGGGGTGGAGCTGTGATCATCTCTGTTCTGTGCCATGGGTGTCAGGTGGAGAGAAGCCAGGGCTGCCCCAGTCATTGGGGAAAGATCAATTGGGTTTCTTTCCACAAATAAAACACCAAACTTGGATATTTTATTGACAGGCCACTTGAGGGATGGGTTGTTTTGTTTTGATTTGCATATTTTCAAGGCCTGGAATGTCTTTTCTGTTTTCTGCTAGGTCATGAATACCCACATTGGAAATGACGTGGAGAACTTGAAATGCATGCTCGCTCCCTTGCGAGACTGCCCCGTGCCAGCTGATCGCTGCAGTCTCTTGGCTCACCATTTTTCCTCTGTGTTTGGGCTAGGATTTGAGCCACGGAAATGGGATGAACTGAATTCTGAGGATGTCCTGCATTCAGAAAGACCCTGCCTGCTAAAAAAAAAAAATCCTATTCCCTTTTGGGTTTTCAGCCAATCGGAATTCTTGTTCCGGTGCTGCCTTCTCAATGGCATCACCTCATTTTACCAAGCACGACTTTAAAATCCTTGATTTGCATCATTGTAATGACCGCTATTAATGACTGGACATCCACTGTGTGCTAGACGTTATGTTCAACATTTTATTTCTAAACCTCAGAGCAACCCTACAGAGTAGGCGTTTTGGGTAAGGTGACTGGCTGGCAAACCGTGTTCTGCTTGAGTTGTTGGACTCTACTCTCTGTTGGGTGAATTGTTGAGACAGCATTACACAGTAGCTAAGAGCATGGCCAACAATAGCATTTTAGCTGAGGTCTAAAGGTGTTTACACTCATTTAGATTCTTTTAGGAGTGTTTTGCTGAAGCTGCAGTAGGCAGACATCTGTGTGAAGTGAGTGTATTTATTACGTATGGCCGAGCGCACCCTGAGTATATACCATATGCCATGCATTGCACTAGGGTAGGCGATGTAGCTTGGAACAGGAGAGACATTTCACCTGACCTCATGGAGTTTCCCATCCAAAGAGGAGAATAAATATTAATCAGAGGAACAGGCAGGCCTTGGTGCCATAAAAAGAATTCAAAACTTTTGGGATGCCATTAAGGGCATTTTGGGCCAATGTCTTTGTGAGATTGATGTTTACAAAAGATGACTTGATTAGAAGATAAAGAATGGGTTGGAGGACCCCAGAATGGTGCAAAGACCTCAGTAAGGCTCCCATGCAGGCGTTTGAGTGGGTTAATTCGGAGACGAGGAAGCTATGATGAGCAAGAATGGTGGCCTGGCATGCAGGGGCCGTGGTTGCAGAAAACAAGGAGTGTTCAAAGAGTCATTCTAAGAGTGGGAGGCAATCTGAGGTTCTCAGTAACTGATAGATGATGGGTGGGGAGTAGGCATTAATGATGACAGAAGGCATTTGTTATGTTTGCTGTAAATGCTGAATGTGTTTTTCTCCCTTGCAAACATTGTTGGGAGAGAAGCTGACAAGGAAGTTGATATTGCAATATTGACCCAGGTTTTTAAAAAGACATCTATTTACTCAAAAGGGAACATAACAAAAATGCCTAACTCTTCTCCCAGCCGGTGAAGAATGCAAGTCCCGGAGCTGCGCACGCTCATGATATGTGATGTGCTGGCCATACAGGACCCATGCCTGGCACATGCCCAGAGGAGGGGACAAGGCCTCCAAGGGATGCTCGGAAGGTTGCCCAGTGCACTAGGGAAAGCTGCTGCAGGGAGAGCTGGCAGAGGTGCAGAGGAGTGCGGATTACAGTACCTCGGGGTGGATTTCAGTCCTGTTACTTAAGAATTCACCTTTACATGAATGGAAAATCCAGGGTGTCAGAGAAAGAGCTCCAAAGTTCTCTAGAGAGGAAAATGAGAAAATCCATCCATAGCCATATATTACATATTGGGGATCTGGAGAGTCTGTCAGACAGAGATGAGTTTTATTTGAAGTAAAGGAAAAACCCACTGATTTGGGGTTTCCAAAGGAACACCATGAAATAAAATCCACCCAGCAATGTCTTCACTTAGGAAGGGGTGCGGAATTTTGTTCCAGTCAGAATTCACCCCCAAAGCCACTCCAGCTTAGGAGAGTCTAAACATTCCACGTTTTATCGTGAAGGTAAATGGTAGAAGCAGCCGATTTCCATACATCTTCACATTTAAAAACAGAAAGTACCATTGGTAAACAGTCATTACAATGGAATAATACCAGAAAACTTTAAAAAATATGTTCCTAATTACCCATACCCCCAAAATGTACATATTATCAATTCAGGATTCTTTAAAGATTATAAATTTAAAGCTATATTTTTCCCCATCTGAAACTTTGATAAATGAGATTTCAGACTCTATAGGTAAATAAAACTGGGTGCAGGATATGAACTTGCAATATATAATTTATTATGGGTGCCACTGACTACTAATGCTGAGAGAAAACAAATTATCGGCTCCTCCTGCCAGAGCCATGAGAATATGATCCATATTTCATTATATGGGCTCTTCAGACATTTGAATAGCTCATCTGTCCTATTTATGCCGGTTAAAATGGATTCAACCTATCAGGACCAAATGCATTTTTAATGTTTCTTGTTACCTTGCAGGGATGTGGCAGCAAAAGTCCATCTCCCTCCTGGCCACAACTTTTATTCCATCACATGCTGTCTGTAAACTGTTTATAAGGGAGTGAGCTTTCCTTATTAAAAACAAATTACTGTATGTTTAAGGATAAATGCATGAAAGGGCTTGCAATGCTTACTTTGGCAGTCCTGGAAGTTGTGTGTTACGTGTTGAGGTCTTACTTGGGAATAGAAGGTAGTATTTCTGGGGAAATGGATCCTCTCAAATCTGAATGGGCTCCTGTACGTGGAAAAGTGGTGAGGGGCATTTCTTTGACAGCTAACACTCACTGACTTACTACACCCCGAGAACCCGGCCACGTGATTTACACCTATTTCTTAATCAAACCCCGTAGAGATCCCATCACTACACAGGAATCTGATCCTGAATTTACTGAGCAGGAAACCCCGGTTGGTACAGGTTACGTAATGCGCTCACATTCCCTACCTGCCAGTGCTGAGGATGGAAATCAACAGCACGTTTCTGAATGCAGGGCTCACCTGGTTTGCCACTAATATCTTTGAATAATAATTATTTGCAGAGACTTTGCAATCTTTGATTATTTCCTACCAGGAGTGGCAGATCCTGGAGAATAAACTTCATCAGAGAGGATTTTGCTTTATGGAAATAGCCCCAAGGAAGCAAAAGGTGGAAATTTGCAGTCATGGGTTCTTCCTCGGTTTGAACTTCCTTTTAGCTCAACCCCAGAGAAAGCAGCGGGCAGGGGCTTGCAGAATCGCTACCTTCTTGGAGAACCCCCCTCACACCTGGGTTGCCTAAGCCCTCCTCTTCTGTGCCTTCCTTCTGATAGAACAGGTGCTGTTCCATGACCTCCCATGCTCATGTTTCTCTAATACGATGCTCTATATGTGAATTTTGAAGATTTTGGAACTTTGTACACAGATCGCAGAAACATAGATATTTACTAATGTTTTTTCTTCACTGTTAACAGAAAAGGGATTCACAAATGCAGGTGGGAAATGGAGAAAAATGGTGGCTATCTTGTATGGACATTTTTCTACATTCCTCCAAGCTGAAAATGCACATTTAAGTGGCCCTGCTGTTTTACCTATTCATAACTGAGAGATTTTATTCACCACTAACCATGGGAAATTAAGGCTTTGCATCTCACATTACTGTTCAAGGTGTGCCCTTGTTTATTTTGAAGGCTGATTATAGTTTGTCAATACAAAGAGGTGATTTGGTAGATAAGACTTAAAATTGTTGCATATCATGCTCAAAATAAACCCTAAGTTATTCACCTTTTCAGCAAACATCTGAAAGGTGGTTATTCTGAAGACTAAGGAGCAACAAAGTATTTATTTAGCATGTAAATAAAAGTGTCGTAACAAATGTGTCACCTTTAATAGAACCTTTGCTAGAACCTTGAAATGTGTGGAACCTGGTCCAGGAAGAGTCCTAGTTACTGTGTACAAATTACTTTTGTTTATATTTAGCGATGACTCTTATCTTTGAGAGCTGTGGTATATTTGAGGTGAGTGCATGCCTACCAGTTTCCAGTGACTCTGTTTAAGGCTCAGTAACAGAAGCAGGGACACAGTGGTATAATCTACAGAAAGAATAGACTTCATCCTATCCAGGCTGTATTCGGTGCTAAAAATCATTACTACGCTGAAATGCATGGAGTCTGTTAGAATTATCTGGGTATCTGAGTCTGTCTTACATGCCACAATTAAGGATGATAGCATTTTGGATAGCTTTGTGTTGATTCTTTCAATACTAATTAATGAAAGGGAGTTTTGTAGCCCAAGGCCAGTTAAAGATGTTAATGGCTCCTAATTTCCTGCCTCAAACCATGCCAAACAGCAATTGGTATCACCTGCAAAGTAGGAGTCTGGGCCAGTGCGGCTCTTAGCTTATTAAGCCCATGTGGTATTGGGGTGATGGTTTCCTAACCAGAAGCACGTGTTTTTCTCACATGAAGAGGGCAGGATGCTGGGCACACTAAAATCAAAACTATATTATTTAGCAGACGAGGAAACAGATTTAAATAAGATGACTTTCCCACATTCACACCTTTTCATGTGTTTTGCATCCAGAACTTGAATCTAGGTGTGTCTGAACCCAAAGATCATGTTCCAACACCTGCGAGACAGTTCTCAAGAAAGATTTATTCTACTCAGCTGTAACTCAGGTAAGGCTGGGTGCAGAGGGGCAGCTACTACCAGCAGAGCTGGGACATTCGAGGACCTGCAGCTTCTGATCACGTGTGTGGTGCCCTGAGTGAGGACTTCATCTTTGGACCAAAGCTCCTACTCCCTTCCCACCACTCCTGAAAAAGGGTAGTAGCTGTTTGGGCACAGTAGCTCACGTCTGTAATCCCAGCACTTTGGGAGGCCAAGGCAGGCAGATCATGAGGTCAGGAGTTCAAGACCAGCCTGGCCAAGAAGGTGAAACCCCATCTCTACTAAAAATACAAAAATTAGCTGGGCATGGTAGTACGCTCCTGTAGTCTCAGCTACTCGGGAGGCTGAGGCAGGAGAATCACTTGAACCTGGGAGGCGGTTCCAGGTTTTTATGAGATGGAATCTCGCTGTCACGAGGCTGGAGTGCAGTGACATGATCTTGGCTCACTGCAACCTCTGCCTCCTGGGTTCAAGCGATTCTCGCTGCCTCGGCCTCCCAAGTAGCTGGGACTAGAGGCACCTACCACCACTCCCCTGCTAATTTTTGTATTTTTAGTAGAGACGGGGTTTCACCATCTTGGCCAGGCTGGTCTCGAACTCCTCACATCGTGATCCACCCGCCTCAGCCTCCCAAAGTGCTGGGATTACAGGCGTGAGACACCATGCCTGGCCGGGTATTTCTTTAAAGCAGTGAGAACTGACCAATACAGGAGCCAAGGCTGGGTTACTGAGAAGTTGCTCATGTGGCTGAATCATTACTTTAGAAATGCATACATTTCTAGGAAATGGATACAACCAGGAAAATAAAATCATGACATAAGCCAAGGACAGGGGCATCTTGGACGTATGTTTTTCTTTTGTCCTCCACATTTTTCTCCCCAGTTCAAACTTATTTTTTATCGTGCCTTTTCTTTCTTTTTTAACTTAGAGCCTTTGGAAGGGCCCAGTGATATGGTTTGGCTGTGTCCCCATCCAAATCTCATCTTGAATTGTAGCTCCCACAATTCCCATGTGTCGTGGGAGGATCCCAGTGGGAGGTAATTGAATCATGCGGATGGGTCCTCCCCCATACTGTTCTCCTGGTAGTGAAAAAGTCTCATGAGATCTGATGGTTTTAGAAAAGGTCTCCCTTTTCACTTGGCTCTCATTCTGTCTTGTCTGCTGCCATGTAAGGCATGACTTTTGCCTTCTGCCATGATTGTGAGGTCTTCCCAGCCACATAGAATTGTTTTAAACCTCTTTTTCTTTGTAAATTACCCAGTCTCGAGTATGTCTTTATCTGCATCCTGAGAACAGACTAATACACCCAGAATATGATGTGGCAATGGTACACAGCAATTTTGGGAATTCCTTTTCCTAATCATATCTTGTTCTGAATTATTTCACTGAATATTATTAACTTTGTGTGTGATGAGAACTTGGCAAGTTTATTTTCAGCTTAAACTTCCAAATGGTTCAAACCAAATGTGACACCATTAGGCCACTTGAATTTGTCAATCAAAGAAGGCTCCTTGGAGACCTCTCTGCCTGATTCCCAGAAGCACAACACACAGTGGGTGGCATCAACTGCTGGTGCACACGATTGTCAAATGCGAAGGTGGGGTGAATTGCTAGAGGAGAAAGTTCTGGGGGAGCTCCTAGGTTCAAACATCCTGTTTGTCTCTAGACCTCTTTTCTACTCATGTTCTTTCTTTGATGTCTTATTTTCATATTTTATAGTCAGGGTTTTCGCATTGCTTATAAAAAAAGAAAACTGGCCTCATATTCAGGCTAGCAAGTGCTCAGTAACTCTGTCCTGTCGTTCACACCAGTTTCTGGTTTTAAGCCAGGCAGGAAAGCACAAGTTTGCCACAGACGCTTTTTTCCCTTGGCCACCACCATCACCACCGCCTTGGAGGTATAATTTATCTGGACTGGCCAAGGGTGATCTGAGGTCCAAGGACACAGAAGCTCACTACTTCTTCAGCTTATGAGCCTCAAACATCCCCTCACTCAAAGGAAGGAGGGAACATTTCCTCAATCCCTGGGTGGTTTCCAGCCATCTTCTCTGCACAAGGAACAGGACTATCTCCCTCCTGCAACCTGCAAAACCCATGCGCTTGGAGTTCTGAACAACAACCCAAGCTCCCCTCTGTGTTTCGGAGCAGAGGGCAGAGGGCATTGCTCTCTGCTTTACTTATGTAAGATGCTTTGCCAGAGAGGATTCTCCTGTCTCCTTAGTTGTTTTCCCGTCTCCGTTTTCAAGGTGAACCAGAGCTGATGGGTGATCCATCCTCAGTCTTTGGGGTTTACGAATGCTGTGACCCTCTGGCTGTGTTGTTCAGGAGGGCTCCCCTGTCTCCCCAGTGGAGAGACACTTCTTCCTATGCACTTATGTCACATTCACATCAAAGCCACAAGCAAACTGGGATAAACCTAAAGGTCACCTGGGAGCTTTCACTGTGGAAAATGAATCTGCACTAACTGCCAAACAAGCCCACCCTAGGCAGGGGGTAGTAAAGAGAGTGAATGCAAATGTATCTGAGAAAGGAATGGGGACTGCACGGGGAAGACGAGATGGAGGCAGGGACAGCAAGAGAATCTGCAGCTCCCATGACGGGCCTCCCTTCTCCTGCCCTCCCGTGTCTCTGACTCATGGGGGATTATTGGTCCTGACATGGGCCTCTCCTGCCTGCCCCCTGCTCCTGCCCTTCCGTGTCTCTGATTCACGGGGGATTCTTGGTCCTGACATGGGCCTCTCCTGCCTGTCCCCTGCCAGTTTTCCCTTGGCCTCTGCTTTGCTTTTTCACCTTCCTGGTGGCCAAAAATAAACATGCATGCATGAGCTGCTGTTTGCCCTGCGGGAGGATTGTGCCTGCTGTGAAACCCTCAGGGGTTCCAAATTTGCCCACTCTCTAAAGTCAGTTTTCTTTTGCTTTTTTTAAATTTTCCTTTTTTTTTTTTTTTTTTTTTTTTGACATGGAGTCTCACTCTGTCACCCAGGCTGGAGTGAAATGGTGCAATCTCAGCTCACTGCAACGTCTGCTTCCTGGGTTTAAGCGATCCTCCTGCCTCAGCCTCCTAAGTAGCTGAGATTACAAGCATGTGCCACCACCTCCAGTTAATTTTTGTATTTTTAGTAGAGACGGGGTTTCGCCATGTTGGCCAGGCTGGTCTCGAACTCCTGACCTCAATTGATCTGTCCGTCTTGGCCTCCCAAAGTGCTGGGATTATAAGGGTTAGCCACCGCGCCCAGCCCTGAAGTCACTTTTCAAGCTGCGGCGTGCACACAAATCGCCTGGGCTCTTGTTAAAATGCAGGTTCTGATTCCTCCCCCTCCTGCCCCCTAAATTTCCACACTTCTCACCAGCTCCCAGGCGATGCCCACTTCGAGTCCACTAAACTGATTCTGCCAGTACCAAGTAAGAACAAAATGGACCTCTTTGCTGTAAGCATCCCCACTTCATCTCTATCTGTTACTTTCCTGCCCAGCAGCACTCTGGGAAAGAACAGCTGCTCAATGCAGAGAAGATACCTCCTATGCACGAGACAGCATGGCCATGACTAACCAGAGCCACAGGGTGAGCCTCACTCTAAATTCCAGGGACATTGTCCCTGGGAATGATTGCAAGCAGGAGGCTCTGTGACGATCTCCTTTAACAGAGGTGGACGCTGAGGCTCGGAATAGTTAATTACCTTATAAGCTCATGGCGGAGCTAGTCTTTGCATTGATTATACCTGTGTGTACTGTCTCACTGACTGTGTTAAAATATTGCCAGACTTCTGCTTCCAGGAGGAGGAAATACACATACTGTATCTAATTCATCTTGCTAAGTTTAGTCAAAACCCTGGGAGACATATATAATATCTATGTACACACACACATGCACACACACTTTCCCTGCATATACATAGTATATACTTTTATAATCATACAGTATATACATAGTATATAGAATATATATCATACTATATATACACATATATAGCATATATACACACGCATGTATACACACATGTATATATCGAGTACAAGGAGACTCTGAAAGGTGGATAGCAGAGGCAGACCACTTAGGAACTCAGGATCCCCCCAAAACAGCATGGTCACTGACACTTCTTTGGGTCTTCTATGGGTCTTGATATGGTTTGGCTGTGTCCCCACCTGAATCTCAATTGTACTCTCATAATTCCCATGTGTTGTGGGAGGGACCTGGTGGGAGATAACTGAATCATGAGGGGAGTTTCTCCCAGACTGTTCTCGTGGTAGTGAGTAAATCTCATGAGATCTGATGGTTTTATCTGGGGTTTCCTCTTTTGCATCTTCCTCATTCTCTCTGCCTGCTGCCATCCGTGTAAGATGGGACTTGCTCCTTCTTGCCTTCCACCATGATTGTGATTGTGAGGCTTCCCCAGCCACGTGGAACTCTAAGTCCATTTAAATCTCTTTCTTTTTTAAATTGCTCAGTCTCTGGTATGTCTTTATCAACAGCATGAAAATGGACAAATACAGGTCCCATATATCCCAAGCTAGGTGCTGGAGAAGCCAGCAACCTGGATATACTACGAAGTGCAAACCACAAAGTTCCCTTCAAAGTCTGCTTTCTCTAGCCAAAGAATCCGGAAAGCAGAAGCCTATGACTAGAGAAAAGTTTTAGAAAACAACAGCCCAAATTGAATGAGAAAAGGGAATCAATAGATGCCAGCACTGAGACAATAAAGATGTTAGAATTATTTGACAAAGTCTTTAAAGAAGCAACAATAAAATCCTCCAATGAGCAAATACAAATACACCTCATACAAACAAAGCAAAAGGAGAGTGCCTCAGAAAAGACATGATATGTCTCATCAAAGAAATAGAAGATATAAAGAAGGACAAAATGGATATTGGAGAACTGAAAAATAGGATAACAAAAATTAAAAATAATTCAGTGTATAGTCTAAAGAGCAGAATGCAGAAGAAAGGGGAAAATAGTAAACAGAAAGAACCAAAGAAAAGCAGAGAAAAAATAAATTAAAAACAAAAATGACAGAGCCTCAGGCACCCATGAGACTATTAAAAATAGATCTAACATTGATGTCACTGGAATCTTTGGAGGAGAGGGAAAACAGGGCAGAGCTAAAAACGTGTTTAAGGAAATCATGGCTAAACCATCCCAGTCTGGCAAGAGACATAAACCTACAGATGCAAGAAGCTGAGTAAACCACAAATAGGATCCATTTAAAAACATCTATGCCAAACGCATCATAATTAAACTTCCGAGAACTGAACACAAGGAGGAAAGTTGAAAACAGCCAGTCATTGAACTCTTAGGCATTTATCCCAGGAAAATGAAAACTTATGTTCACACAAAAACCTATATATGAATATTCATGATAGCTTCATTCATAATAAATAACTAAAAACTGGTAGAAAACATCCCACATGTCTTTTATTGGGTGAATGATTTAAACAAACCATGGTACATCCATAGCACAGAATGTGACTAAACAATAAAAATACTCGTTGATTCACTTAATAACATAGGCGAATCTCCAGAGAATTATTCGGAGTGAAAGAAACCAATCCCCCAAGTTTACATACTGAATGGTTCCATTTATATATGCTTCTTGTATCAGTCAGAGTTCTCCAGCAAACAGAATGAAAGTGAGAGACAGAGAGTGAGAGGGAAAAGGGATGTATTATAAGGAATGGGCTGGTGCAATTATGGAGAGTGAGAAGTTCCACAATGTCCCTTTGCAAGCTGGAGATCCAGGAAAGCCCATGGTGTAGTTCCAGTCTGAGACCGAAGGTATGAGAACCAGGAGAAATGATGGTGTAAGTTCCAGTGTGAGACCAAAGGCCTGAGAATGCATGGAACTGATGGTGTAAGCTCCAGTCCAAAGCTGAAGGCCTGAGGGCCAGAAGAAGTGATGCTGCAAGTCCTAGCCCAAGGACGGAGAAGAGCCTTATTCCAGCTCTTGCAGTCAGGCAGAGAGTGAACTTTTCCTTCTTCTTCCTTTTTGTTTCATTCAGCCCCTCAAGGAATAGGGTGATGCCTGCCCACCTCGGGGAGCAATCTGCTTTACTCCTCTACTGACTCCATAGTGCTAACTCCATAGATGCACCCAGAAATAAATGTTCAACAAAGTATCTGGGCACCCAGTGGCCCAGCCAAGTGGACACGTAAAATTAACCATTACACTTATTGAGGTGACAAAAAATCATAGAAATAGAGATGGGATTAATGGTTGGCAGGGGTTAAGAAGGGTTGGAGTAGGAGAGAAGATGGTGTGGCTACAACAGGTGTATCAGTCTGTTCTCACACTGCTATAAGGACATAACCGAGACCGGATAATTTATAAAAGAAAGAGATTTAATTGACTCACAGTTCTTCAGGTCTGGGGAGGCCTCAGGAAACTTACAATCATGGTGGAAGGGGAACCAAACATGTCCTTCACATGGTGGCAACAAGGAGAAGTGCAGAGCAAAGTGGGGGGAAAGCCTCTTATAAAACCATCAGATCTCATGAGAACTCACTCACTATCACGAAAACAGCATGAGGGTAACCGTCCCCATGATTCAATGACCTCCCACTAAGTCCCTCCCATGACACATGGGGATTATGGAAATTACAGTTCAAGATAAGATTTGGGTGGGGACGCAGCCAAATCATATCAAAAGGCAACATGAAGAGTTCTTGTAAAGGCAGAAGTGTTTTATTTTGACTGGATCAAAGGCAATATTCAGGTGTATATTGTACTATAGTTTTGAAAGATGTTTCTATTGGCAGGAACTGGATAAAGAGTGTAGGGAATCTCTCTGGGTTATTTCTTACAACTGCATGCGACTTTACATTTGTGT
This sequence comes from Homo sapiens, assembly GCF_000001405.40. Classification (NCBI taxonomy): domain Eukaryota; kingdom Metazoa; phylum Chordata; class Mammalia; order Primates; family Hominidae; genus Homo; species Homo sapiens. Next base: position 60,839,555 of record NC_000020.11, on the reverse strand, counting down.
CAAAATAAAACATTTAATTAAAAAATTCAAGGATAGAATGGATATTTACATAGCTGATATTAAAAACATTTTTGAACACCAATCCCCATGGGATTAAGTGAAGGCAGAGCATCTTCAGTAACAGAACCCAGGAGGAAATCAGATTTGGTTTTTACGTGTGACCAGTCAACATTTGAAATGTGCACTACTTGCTAGGCTAAAGTAAATATGTCTTCAGTGAACTGGAGAATGCAAATGCTGTCTTTGAAATTGTTCTGGGACTTACAAAAAGAAAAAAAGCAAAAGGAAATGCAAGAGAGTGGAAAGGCCTGTCTACCAAATGAGAATAAAAATGAAAGTAAAAATATCTTATAGAAAAGGCCCTCTAGGAATGTGTTAACTCAGATGCCTTTGATAGAAATGAGTAAGCCTGATTTGTCTTGCTTCTATTGCAAAAGTTTGACTGAAAACATAGTTCTTCATATGACCTGGACCAAAGTTCTCCCATTGGTTGTGAAAATGGTGGTGAGGTTTCCAAGACAAAGCTCTTCTATTTTATTAACTGTGAAATCGTGGTGTTTAAGTATTTTTGAGAAAAAGAAGTGTATTTTTTTCTAATCAGCGGAAGAGAAGCTTTTCATAATCGTCATATCAAAGGATGTGCTCAATGCCTGAGGGTTTTTCCTAAATTCATTAATTCCACAAGCACATCCTGCATGATGTCTGCCCTCATGGGGTTCCCAGTCCATCCGGGGCAGCTTGCCACATTTCATATCTGTAACAAAGAGCTACGCTGTTTATCTCTATTTTACAGTTCAGTGGCTCTCAACTGGGGTGGTTTTGTCCTCCTGGGAACATGTGGCAATGTCTGTAGACATTTTTTATTGTCAATACTATAGGGGCACCACTGGCATCTAGTGGGCAGAGGCCAGGGATGCTGGTAAATACCCCACAGCAGGGATGTGTTGGGTATTTAACAGCAATGCACAGGACAGCCTCTCAAGAGAGAATTATCCAGCTCTCAATGTCAAAAGTGCCAAGGTGGAGAAATCCTGCTACAGTGGAATAAACAGCTCCTGAGGAATCACGTGATTTGCTAGACATGAGGCAGCTAGTTTATGGCATAGCAGAGGTTTGAGCCCAGGTCTGTCCGACTGCACTGACTCATTGTATTCTGCTAAGAGAAACCTACAACAACATCAGCAATGTCCGTACCCTGCATGGAAATCTGACACAGGTGGCTGCCTGAATGGCAGCTGAAGAGTGGCTGAGCATAGGAAGAGTTGGGTCCAGCCATTGTTGTGAATACCAGAACCCAAGGGCTTTGGGTTGAATATATGAGGAAACTCTAGTGCAATCAAGCGCTGTTTATGCTTTTCTAGACTTTTTCCAATTTCTGACATTCTTTTCATTGGCTTCTTCTGACCATTGACCCCTCATTGTGACCTTCAAGGCTGGCTTTGGCTCCTTGGGAAAACTCAAAAGACAGAAGTGAGGGTTGACTTCATTCTGACAGGCAGTGGCTCAGTCACAATACGTGTGTGGTATTTTCCCTCCTCTTTGAACTTGACTCCATCATCCCGTATTTCTTTTTCCTGCATAGGAGCAAAAAGATGAGACTGAGAGTACAAACTTAAAACTCATCTAATCATAAAAAACATAAAAAAAGACAGGGAGTGGCTCAGCCACAATACATGCGTGGTATTTTCCCTCCTCTTTGAACTTGACTCCATCATCCCGTATTTCTTTTTCCTGCATAGGAGCAAAAAGATGAGACTGAGAGTACAAATTTAAAACTCATCTTATCATAAAAAACAAAGGTCACCACCCCCCACTTCAGAGTAAACAACACTTTATTACTTTTGTCTGTGTCTGCTATCTAACTTCAAATTAGTTCAAAGGAAAGAGGATGCCTCCTTACTTCTTTCTATCCTGCTTAAACAAACAGCAGCACTCTCAGAAGAGAACTTGCAACACAGTGAATTACGTTATTTTCAATAAACTCCAACAGCGCTGCTATAGTAACTGTCTTAACCATGATTAATGTAGGAAACATTAGGAAAGCATGTTATTATTATTCTAAATTAGGTTTTGCTTGAATTAATTTTTATGCATGGTTACTAAGATGTAAAAGAGTTTCTGAATTGCTAATTGTAACATTCCTTCTTTGGAGATAAGATGAGATTCTTGGAACAGAAGGACATCCTGCTGAAGGATTTTTAGTTTGAATATTTGCCTAAGGGCCAACATATTATTTAGTCAGTAGCCTGCTAAGGAACTGCAGCTTGACACCCGTGGAGTCTTTAGTTAAAGATTTTCTTTTAGCATCACCCACCTGAATCTACTTTGTGGAAAAGGCACAATGGATATTAATATCATGTCATTGTCATGGTGTGTGGAGGGTAGGAGAGGAAGGAGGCGGCCCCCTACAGAGCCAATGGTACTCTTTTCTTTCTCTTTTCAAATCCTTTTGCCGGTGATGATGGGAATAATGAAAGTAGTAATATTAAGAAACATAGATTGAATGCATACCATGGGCTGGGCTTTTATCAAATGCTGTCCATGTCTTGGTTTTGCAAAGGTTGCCTGAGGGTCTGCCACGTACCAGGCATGGTGGGTGCTGCTGATAAGGTATGAAGTGAGGGGGGGTCCTTGCCCTCATGGAACTTACATTTTAGGAAAACAGATCATCACTATCTAGGATGAAATGAGCAAGGGGAAAAATGATTAGAGGTAAGGCAGAGAGAGGCTGGGAATGGGCTTAGACAGTGTATGGCCTCAGGGGACATCAGGGAATCTTGGCTTTTCCTCTGAGGAAGTTGAGAGCCTAGGGATTTCAAGTTAAGGTAGGATCCTAACAGGATCCCTCTACTGTGTGATAAGAAGTAGAGCCTGGGAGTCACGGTGGAAGCAGGGAGACCTATCCAGGGATGTACAGCCACCCATGGAAAATGGAAAATGGATTATGGGTATATGGACCATGGCCACAGCAGAGAGGTGGAGAGAATTCGTTGGATCCTGGGTGAATTTTAAAAACTTGGCAAACTTTGCTGATGGACTGCAGAGAGAGGATGCAAGGGAAGAACAAGGCTCTTGGCCTTTGCCTCTCAAAGAAAGGATTTCTATTTCCCAAGGTGAGAGAGAGTGCAGGAGTAACATGTTTGTGGGGAAAGTGAAGAATCTGGTTGGGGGCATGGTAAGTTCGAAATGCTGACTAGTCATCAAGGGAAGAGGTGAATGAGATACTTGATTATCAGCAAATGGAGTCAGGGAGTAGGGCTAGAAATGAAATTGTATGAGTTATCATGGTATGGATGGCACTTGAAGCCATGTGACTGGCCATTCCCTGAGGAGTCTGTGTAGCTAAAGAAGAGGGCTGAGTTCTGAGCCTTGTTGTACCCCATGTTGAGAGGTTTAGAACAGTAGAGCCTGAGAAACGAGGACTAGAGAGGTGCAATAAGAATCCAGAGGGTAAGCACAGTGAGTGTCCACAAGGGCCCCACCCACTGTCTGGCACTCTGCTGAGAGCGTGAGATGGGGCTTTCCACAGCAGGTTCCCCAAGAATGCAGATACACATCTCAGGCCCCTCAGTGGCTTGGACTCCTTCCAAGGCTCTGGGAGGGGCCCTAATGATGTGTTCACAAATTTTGGAATATTTGCAAAAGAAAGATATTTCAACCACAGCTAAGACTTCAAGACTTCAGTTTATTCCCATTTGACTTTGTTGGTGGTATTTGAGCAGGGTCATGAGGCATTTTGGGATTCAGTGACAGGGAGGTTGACTCGGGAACACATTTAGCTGACCACCAAGTCACTTCATGTGGAGTTTAGTTATTGCTGGGAGTCTGGGTAGGCATGGCTGTCAGGAATGATTTCCTTCCACAGTGTCCACTTGTGAGGTGTCTTGTCCAAGGGGCAGGACCAGAGGTTGTCTCATAATACAAGCATATCCTGTGGCACCAGTACCAGAAGCATATGGGTAGTGGAGGAAGAAAAGGAATTGGAATGTGTGAAGCCAGAAGCCAATCTGTGAAAAATTCTTCCAAAGCTTGGAGTTTGGAAGAGGCTTTTTGACATGAGTTTGATAGAGGCTTTTTAAGAATTTGATAATAATAGTAAAAATTTATATGATATTACCAGTAAAGTGAATTGAAAAGAAACTTTTCTAAACTCTTAATAGTTAAAAACAAATTTTGATCAGCCATGACAGAGGAAAGGTTGGATTATCTTTCTAGGCTCTCCAAAGAAAATTATATTAAAATCTCCTGTCATGTGAAGAGGTAATCAAAGATTGTCCAATGAAAAGATGCAAGGATAAAAGTGTCACAGAAGTGTCAGGAAATTAAATAATACAACTGAATGCTATTTTTCTGGATTTAGTGATGATTATGTTATTTGCCAGCATTTTAACATTTGAAATTTGTTATGATTTATATTCTCGTTCTAAATAAATATTTACTTTTACACCTAATTTTATATTTATAATTTTCTACTATTGATTTTAAAAAGCACCTCTCCCCAAACTGTAAAATTTCAATTCCCACAAAACCTGAATTTGCTCATGGAGATGGGGATATTTGAAGTGGAATGGGAGAAGCTTGGCGATGGTATTTTCTAGGGTTTTTACTCAAAGGGAAACAAAGAAGGGGAGCTCACTGGGAAGGATGGGAGATGAAAGGAGGGTCCTGAATCTTAAAAAACAATGGGATTAATTTCCTGGAGAGGAAAAACAGTTGCAGGAGGGGCTATGGCTGAAATCATGACCTTAGGCAGGCTGAAAACGGTGAACTTGGTGCTTCATTGGAGAGATTGGCCTTGAATGGGAGCGTGGATAGTAGCGCCTGGACAAGAACCAGGTGGTGATTCAGGTCAGTGGGGAGATACCATGGAGAGGGTAAATATTTCCTTCCTCTAATTCCTTTGACAACCTGTGAATTAGTTATCCCCTTTTTACAGATAAGGAGTCCAGAAAGATAGACATACCCGCAGAGGTACCCAAGTAGGACGAGGCAGGCACGTCTTGACTTCTGTAATACAGGAGCCAGAATAGTGACTGGAAAATAGAAGTTACTCAATTTAAAAAAAAAAATCCCTAACTAATGTAAATAAATTTAAAGTAAATATTTTCCCTATGTATGTGTCCTGGAAGTCCCAGCGTGGTCCTCCAAGGGTCCCCAGTCTTTGGCCTGTCTGTGTGCACGTGCACTGCCTTCCTGACAGGGGCAATGCTCAGTATTTCTCTTCCTCATCCTTCAGATTCAATGGTGTCTACACACCCTTTAGCTCTTGACTTACATATCACTTCTTCAAGGCAGACTTCCCTGACCTCTGATCTAGGTTAAGTCTTCTTTTGAGTATTTTCTTTTCCCACTATGCACTCTTTTGATGGCTGTCACTGCCACAATCAGAGAATTATTGTATAATTATTTTTAAATATCAGTCTCTCTTCTTAGATCTATAATCCCAGAGATCCTTTGTGATGTTATTAAATCCCTTGTACCAGATCCCTAGAAAGCACTTTACTTTTTACTTCTGGATCAATAAGCTGCTTGAATAAAGGCAAAAAAATGAGAATTAGATTATTTTTCTTCTTTTGAGCAGCTTAAGTAAAAGGCTCTTAAAGGTCAGAGAATTGAAACTGGAGAGCAAACCTGGATTTCAATTCACAGGCCAGTCCCTGGTCCTCATTAGCACATTCAGGGGAGATTATGAGTCCTTCCCTCTCAGTTAATTCAGAAGAGCCCTTTTCTCCTCCAAAATTTTTCCAACATCTAGATGAAGAGGGTAGGTAGATCTCACTTTTAGATATCAGTACCTATTTTCTTAACACATCTAATATTTGTGACCATTTGCTTTATTTAAAATAGAACATGTTGATAAATATGTTTAAAATCTCAGAAAGAATAAAATGAGATACTTGTTTTTTTTATAAACTGGCAACTTCTTTTTACTGTTTGCTGTGCAACAATAATTTACATTGTGTGTGGTACATGTGTGTGTTGTGTTTTTATTTTTATGGTGTCCCAAGAACATACAGAAATGAACTAGCAGTTTGGTCTTCAGAGCACAACCCCTCCCAGGGATTCTCTTAGTGAGGGGATCTACTCCTGGGCGCAGTGAGACTTCATAAGGCAGCTGAGGCTTAAAATGTCTGGTTTAAAATTTGCTGCGGCCTGCTCCACTTTCCAATTCCTCTTTCCAGCCTTAACTTTGCAATGTTTCCAGTCTCTGGGAAGCAAAGCAGGAGCTTTTGTTCATTGTTGGCTTATTTGTTTCTGTTGGTTAATTGCTTTTTATTATCTGTTGAATGGCATAATTAGGTGCATAATCCACCATACTGTGTTTTTTTAAATTAATACTTTATTTAGAAATGTTCTGTATTGAATGGATTTTGAGTGAATGAGCGTGTGTGTGTGTAAATGTGCACGTGTATGCAGCTATAACCAGTAGTAATTGATCCATTGCTAACAATGAAGAGATTTGTAAATTTGGGGTTTGAGGCACACATTTTTCTAGTTCCCAACCCAACAATCTTCTTTATCCTTCAAGATTTATTGTGTTTTCTTATAATTAACTTTTACATGTCCTTAGGGCAATTTTGTCATTTCGAAAAGATATTTTAAATTGAGTGATATTTTGGTAATATATAAGCTATATCTTATTTATTAATTATGCATCCTCTCTTTAATATATATTTTACTGAGAACTAAGTGGACTCTCTAATGCCCAAGACTTCATCCCTGAAGACAAATTTAACAATGAATATTTTCTCTGCTTTTCTAACTGATGTGATCCGGGGGTTGGTGTTCCTTAGAAAAAATAGACAGAATTGGCTGATGGCTCTTTAACTTTCTTTTCAATAAAAATTTACAGTTCTCACCCAATTGCATTTGTTGAATTTTCTTTACCACTTTTAACCCTGGAAGCAGATAATTAATATATTAATGGTGTAGATCTTGGGGTGTTAAAATAATTCTGTATCACTCTTGAAATATCTGATTCAGAAAAAGAAGTTTCCGAGTAATCATATTATAGCCACTTTCTCCCAGGGATTAAATGTAAAATTATAGAGAAAGTACAAATTACTGCTACCAGAGGAACTAAAATGAACCACTAGTAGGTTGGATGGGTAGGGAAAGAAAAACATGATAAAGCAACCTGTTGTTCGTTTTTCATGTTTTCTCTCCCAGCATTGATTCCTGGATGGCGCCAGTTGCTAAACTACACCACAGATGTGGGCACCAAAAACTCCAAGAGAAACCCCCATATGCTGGCCAGAGGACCAGGAGAAGGGGCCTTAGCAAGCCAGAGAGTCTAAGAAAAATGTTCTCCTCTTCCTCCTATATCCCTCTGGCACTGCTTCAAGGATGGCCACAGTCATGCAATAGCAAGTTAGAAACATGGAAAGTTAAGACACTGATCACTCCCCACCAGTACCACCATTGTTTTCTACAGAGAACTGGGAGGAAGGTCCTTGGAGGCTGGAGAGTAGAGGGGGAATGCTGGATGGAAGAGGATTGAAGGAAAGCCATAAATTCTGATATAAATCAACACATCTCTGACTTGCCCTCAAGCAGCACCTGTGCAGCCAACATCCAAAGAAACATAGCAAATAATTCATCTGTGCTATAAACAACTAGCATAGACAGGATGCTAGACCAGTCCCAGAGTGGTGCACATGAAGGGGATATTTGTGTGTAGGTGTGTGTGTATTTAAAATACAGCATGACTAAGTTTGGTTTAATTGTAGGAATGCAAAGCTAGCTCGATCTTCAAGAATTAATCGTCAATGGACTTCAGAAGCTAGTTTCAGCATAAAAGCTTAATCATAAGATTTTAGAATGCTTCTCAACTTCCTACAAGTACCAGGCATCCGATATAAGAGAATTACAGCTGAAAGAGCTGCAAGATGCAGATTCTTTCTAAGCACAAGTCCAAAGGGAAGACCAAGCCACCAGTAGAGACAAAACTGAGGACATTTCAGAAACTTGACACCTCTGGCACCCACAGATATAAAAACCACGAAAAACTCAAAGACACTATAAAAACGTAAATGCAAGGAATCAAAACCACTGTAACAGAGAGAAAGAATGCCCTTGGTGGGCTCATCAGTAGCCTGAGCATGGCCAGGGCAGGCATCAGTGAGTTCAGAGATAAATAAATAGAAACTTTCTAAACTGAAATGAAAAGAAGAAAAAAGAAATAAAAAAACCTCAGAACAGGAATCCAAAAATTATGAGATAACTCAAAAGGTTTAATATACATGCAATTAAAATATCAGATGGAGAAGGAACAGAGTAAGAAAAAAATATTTGAGATAATAAAGGACAAGAACTATACAAAATGAAGAATAAAAGACACCAAACCACAGATCCAAAAAACTCAAAGAACACCAGCCAGGATAAATATTAAAAAAACACAGCTATGCATATGATATTCAAGCTGCAGAGAAACAAAGACAAAGAGAACATTTTGAAAGAAGCCAGGGGAAAAGCTATCTTACCTATTAAAAAACGAGATTTACAGAGGACATCTAAAATAAATCATACAAGCAAGAAGAGAATGAAGTGAACTATTTGAAGTGTTTGTTGGGAGAAAACCTAGCATTCTTATCCAGCAAAATGATATTTCAAAAGAGAAGGAGAAATAAAGACAATTTTAGACAAACAAAAATGAAGTGAATCAACTGACAGTAAATTTGTCTTGAGTGAAATGTTGAAAGAAGTAATATGGCTAGGCATGGTGATGCATGCCTGTAGTCCCAGCTACTCGGGTGGCTGCAGTGGGAGGATCACCTGAGCCCAGGAGTTCAAGGCTGTGGTGAGCTATAATCACACCACTGCACTCCAGCCTGAGTGACAGAACAAAGAACAAGGCCTCTTATCTAAAACCAACCAAACAGACAAAACACAGAAGTAATGTGCATAAGGAAATCATGTGGATGAAAACTCAGATTTGTATATGAAGAAAGGAAGGACATGAGAGAAGAAAGAAATGAAGGAAAAAATGAAGTATTTATTTTTTCTTGTTAATTTATCTAAAAGATATGTGATTGGTTAAGGTAATAATAGTGATAATCTCCTGGGTAATTATAGCAAATCATGAATGGTGAGAATTTAATAAGGGAAGGAAAGAAAGGATTGGGACTATGCTGTTATCGTTCCTGTACTGCATAAGAAGTGTTATAGTGCTATTTGACGAAGGACTTACGTGACTTAAATATGTATATTGCAAACTCTAGGGTAACTACTAGAATATTTTTTAAAGAAATATAATTGATATGCTAAAAGAAAAGCTAAAATAGAATCATGAAGTTCTCAGTTAAAACCAGAGAAAGCAGAAATGAAGGGGAAAAGTAAACAAATAACAAAATAAGAAATGTAGTGAATAGAACCCGGTTATAAAAACGGTAGATATTAATTCAACTCTATCAATAATCACTTTAAATATGGATAGTATAAATATATGCTAATTAAAAACCAAATATTTTCTGAGTGGATAAAAAACAGGATCCAAGTCTATGTTGTCTGCAAGAAACAGAGTTTAGATATAAAGCCTCAGAGCAGGTTAAAGATAAGGGATGGAGAAAGATACACCATGCTGACACCAAGTAAAACAAAGCTGAACTAGCTATGTTATTTTCAGACAAAACAGACTTCAGAACAAGAAAGGTAGTCAGATAAAGAGGGGCATTATAGAAATATAAAATAATTAATTCTCCAAGAAGATATAATAACCCTAAACATGTATGCAGCCAACAACAGAGCATTGAGCTATGTGAACAAAGATTGGTTGGACTGAAAAGGAATAGACAAATCCATATTGTAATTGGAGATTTCAACACCTTTCTTTCAGTAATTGATCAAAAAGGCAGAAAATCAGTAAGAAAGGGTTAATTTAAACAGCAATACCAATCAATTTGATCTAACTGATATTGAAGGAATATTCTCTCTACCCAACAACATCAGAATACACATTCTTCTCAAGCTCACCTGTACATTCACCAATATATATTACATGTATCACATTCAAGGCCATAAAACAAACCTTAATACATTTAAGTATATAGAAATCACACAAAGTACCTTCTCAGGTCATAATGGAATTAAACTAGAAAGCAATAAGAAAAATAGAGCTAGAAGTTCTCTCAATATTTGCCTGTTAGACAACACACATCTACATAACACGTGGGTGAAAGAAGAAGTCTAGGGAGAAGTTAATAAAAATATTTTTAATTAAATAAAAATGAAAATGCAGTGAATCAAAACACTGGAAAGCAGTATTTAGAGATAAATTTTAGCATTAAATGCATGTATCAACAAAGAAGATATAAAATCAGCACTCTAAGATTCACCTGAGGAAAAGTAGAGAAAGAAAAGCAATTTGTGCCTCAGACAAGTATAAGAAATAAAAATTGAGCAGAAATCAGTGAAATTCATAAAGAACATAATTTTAAAAAATCAAATTCATAACTTGGTTTTTTGGAAAAATTGAAAAATTGATAAAGTTTTGGCTAAGCTAACTAAGAAAAAAGAGAGAAGACATAAATTACCAATATCCAAATGAAAGAAGGATGCTCACTACCCATTCCATCAATACTAATTGGATTAAAAAGAGAAGCTATGAACAACTCTATGCTAATTTTATAACTGACATGAAAGTGGCCAATTCCTTGAAAGACACAATACCCAAATATCACACAAAGAGAAATAGATAATTTCAATTAGCATATATCTAAAAATAAATAGAATCAATAACTAATAAATTTCCAAAAAGAATGCCCTAGGCTCACACTTTCAATGTTGAATTTCAACAGTTTTAAAAAATTGTGTCAATTTTGAGCAATCTCTTCCAGAAAACAGAATAAGAAGAACTGCTTCCTAACTCATTATATGAGGCCAGCATACACTAATACCAAAACCAGATAAAGACATTGCAATAAAGGAAAACTATTGACCAATATCTCTCATGAATGTAGATGCAAAAATCCTCAATGAACCATTAGCATATTTAATACAACAATGTATAAAAAAATTAAACACCACACCAAGTGGGATTAATTCCTGGTATGCAAGACTTGTCCATCATTTGAAAACTAATTGATGTAATCCACCACATTCATAGCTAGAGAAGAAAAATCATATGATCATATCAGTTGATGCAGAAAAAGCATATGACAAAATCCAACACACAATCCTGTTAAGAACTAGGAATAGAGGAACATTTCTTTGAATGGCAATGAGTATGTACAAAACCCTACAGCTAACAGCATACTTGATAGTAGAAGACTAGAAACCTTCCCTACAGGATTATGAACAAGGAAAGGATGTCTCCTCTCAGCACTTCTGTTCAACACCATACTAAATATCTCAGCCAGTGCAATAAGAGAAGAAAAGGAAATATAATATGTGCAGCTCGAGAAAGAAGAAATAAAAATTTTTCACAGATGCCAAACTTGTCTACATGAAAAATCCTTTAAAATGAACAAAAATGCAAAATAAAACAACCCTGCAACTAGCAAGCGAGTATAGCAAGGTCACAGAATATAACGTTAAAGTACAAAAGCAAATTGATTTTCTATGGACCAATAATGAACACTTGGAAAGTGAAATTTAAAAAGCAATGCCAATTATAATAGCACCAAAATAAATAAAGTACTTCAGTATAAATATAACAAAATAAGTACAGTATCTATATGTGGAAAACAACAAAATGCTAATAAAATAAATAAAATATCTAAATGAATGGAATGGTATTCCATATTCATGGATTAGGAAATGCAATATTATTAAGATATAAATTCTTCCCAATTTGATCTACTTATTCAATGCAATCCCAAACAAAATCTCAGCAAGCTGTTCTATACATACTGACCAGTTGAATTTAAAGTTTATATAGAAAGATCAAAGAACTAGAATAGCTAACATAACACAAGAAGAACAAAACTGTAAAATCGCTGAACTCAATTTCAAAGTTTACCCTAAAGTTATCATAATCAAGACAGCACGGCACTGGTGAAAGAACAGACATGTAGATCAATGGAACAGAACAGAGATTCCCAAAGTAACACATATAAATATAATTATTCGTTGCTTGAGGTAACACATAATGGTACCAAAACTGTGGAAAACAGTCTGGCCGTTCTGTCCAATGTTAAACCAACATTTACTGTACAATCCAGCAATCTTACTTCCAGGTATTTACCCAAGAAAGTTAGAAATGTATATTGAATCATAAATCTGTAGACAGATACTCATAGCATGTTTATTAATTATGGCCCCAAAGAGAAAACATACAACATGCCCTTCACAGTGAAATAAACAGACTGCAGTACAGCCTTGCGATGGCATGCTATTCAGCAACTAAAAGGGGGAAACTATTAATTTGCACAACATGGATGTATTAGTCTGTTCTCACACTGTCGTAAGAACTGCTTGAGACTTGGTAATTTATAAAGGAAAGAGATTGAATTGATTCACAGTTCCATATGGCTGGGGAGGCTTCAGGAAACTTACAATCATGGCAGAAGGTGAAGAGGAGGCAGGAGAGAGAATGATCAAAGGAGGAACTTGCCAAACACTTAAAAAACCATCATATCTCGTGAGAACTCACACACTATCATGAGAACAGCATGGGGGAAACAGCCCCCATGATCTAATTACCTCCACTTGGTCTCTCCCTTGACACTTAGGGAATATGGGGATTGCAATTCGAGATGAGATTTGGGTGGGGACACAAAGCCTAACCATAACAATAGATAAAACTTAAATGCATTTTGCTAAATGAAAGCAGCCAGGTCAAAAAGTCTATATACTGTATAATTCCATTTACATGATAATTTAAAAAGGAAAAACAACAGAGATATAAAACAGATACCTGGTTACAAGGTTTTGGGGGAAGTATGAGTGGTTGACTACAAAATGTCATTGTAAGAGAAGTTTTAGAATAATCAGAATATTCCCTATGGTTTTGTGGTTGTGGATACATGACTTTAAGTATTTGTCAAAACCAGGAGAATCATACATCACAAAGATTGATCATTACTCAATGGAGATTAAAAACATTAAAATTACTTAAAAGATAATCAGCCAGGATGTTGGGTATTGCAGGATGTGATGTAGATTGTGACAATGCATCTTATCGTATTACACAAGTATTGCATACCGTCATTGTAGGGGGTAGAGAAAAAAAAATGCCCGCCTAATTAATTTTAGAAAGCAATGATTTGTCTAGATATTTGAAGGCAACCATAAATATACAACACTACACTCTAGATGGTAAAGTTTTTCCTCATGGTGATAAAAGTTTTGAAACTATCTGTACACTAGAATTGAACAAATAAATGAATAAATTGTAGATAATGAGAACCAGGTTTTTTACTGTCACAGGAAGAAGTTACATATTAGTAAGGGGAAGACTGAACTGGACCTGCAGTTGCAAGATTAGAGTTAGGAATATTAGCATGCAGTCATGTTTATTTAAATATATGTACAGATAGATACAGAAAAAAATGCATATTTGCATATGAATGGACTTAGTGTTTATAGATATAGTTATGTAAGTAGATATATTTCTTATCCCTGTCTGCAGAGCAGTTATATCCCAGAAGAGATGAGCACATCTGGTACCCATATCTTGGTTTCTAAGCTTCATTCTCCAATGAAAAGAACCCAAGCTTTTTGAAAAAAATGACTGATTTTAAGGATTACATCAGAAAAAATACCAGATAAGTCTGCAGCACCTTGTAGTGCCAGAAAGTTAAAATGGTGCCCCCCGCAAAAAGATGGGAGCATGTCACAAGGACAGGAGAACCTGAATGAGCTCCTAGTTGTCCAAGATAGAGTAATTTGGGTCACAAAATAAATCATGACACTGAGCTAATAACCCAAAGAATAAAATTTGTAATCATGACTTCATACTGATAAAAATAGTTGACTGAATAAATAAATAAGTGGGAGAGATGGGACAAATCTTCCTTAAAGAAGAATTTCAAATAATAAATGTAGATGAAATGAGGACATGGAAAGTTAGCATTAGAAGACAACAGTAGTAATTGTTGCAGGTAATATCCATGGATGAATGCTAAAGTCAGACAGAAAAACTTTGAGGAGAAACAGAGTATTTGCATAGCTTCAATGCTTTGCCCCAAAATAATTACTATTTGCCTTGGTGGTTTTACCAAAGTTTTTGTTACTCCTTCTTCCAGGATATGGAGGTTAGTTCCCTTCCCCTCATGTACAGGTAAGACTTGGTGACTTGCTCCTGAAAAACAGAGCATGAGTTGGCAATGTGTGGTCTGAGGACCGAAGCCAGCTGTTTGTTGTTTTGACTGTTTGTTTGTTTTTTTACTGCCTACAAGCTAAATGTTTTTTCTTTTTTCTTTTTTTTTTTTTTTACATTTTCCAATGCTACATTTTATATATGTAAATATCTACAGGGTAATCTCAGTTTTTCCCCTTGATCTCCAAAGTCTGGAATATCTACTATCTGGCCCTTCGAAAAAATGTTTGCAGACCCTGGAAGAGAGGTTGGACGTGGGAAGCTGGGAGCTTTACAGAGAAGCAACTGGACAGACCCCACCAACCCAGTAACTAACAGTGTGTCCAGGGTGCCATCTGGACATCTTGTACTCTGATGTGAGGTGGTGAGAACAGCGTTTCACCCACGGGCTCTTTTCCCGCCCCCAAATCCATAACCGCAGTCTCATAATGAGAAAACATGAGACAAACACGACTGGGGATATATAAGAAACAGGAAAGTCTGAGAAATTATCACAGACCAGAGATGACTAAGGAGACAGAATGACTATGCAAAGTGGTATCTTGGATGGGATTTTGATACTGAGAAGGGGAATTAATGGAAAAACTGGTGAAATTAAATAAAGAGTGTGGTTTAGTTAATAGTGTACCAATGTTGAATTACTGGTTTTGGTAAAGGTACCACAGTTTTGTCAGATGTCTCCATTAGAAGAAATTGATTAAGCATGTATGGTAAAGGGTATACGCTAATACCTTCATGACTCTTACGTAAATCTAAAATGATTTCAAACTAAAAAGTTAAAACAACCACAACAAAAGAAACGAAGCCTCTTTCAGAGGCAGTATTAAGGAGTGACTATGGGTGGAGTGTGGGATTGTTGGGTCTCATAATTCTCAACATTTACTCCCTAGTTACTCTGAGTAAATTGAGAAGAATAATAATAGTTTTTGGGCTGGGCGGAGTGGCTCATGCCTGTAATCCCAGCACTTTGGGAGGCCAAGGCGGGTGGATCACTGAGGTCAGGAGTTCAAGACCAGCCTGACCAATCTGGTGAAACCCCGTCTCTACTAAAAATACAAAAATTATCCGAGCATGCTGGTGCATGCCTGTAATCTCAGCTACTCAGGAGACTGAGGCAGGAGAATCACTTGAACCCGGAAGCACAGGTTGCAGTGAGCCAAGATAGTGCCACTGCACTCTAGCCTGGACAACAGAATGAGACTCCACCTCAAATAATAATAATAATTATAATAGATTTTGATATGTATAATGATATTTTTACAAACTTATGCAGAGTGCAAATAAAAGCATCCTTGGCACACAATGCCATCCTAAAAAATGTGTGGCTTAAATATTGTAAAAGAATATACTTGTTCTGCCATCGCCACTTTCAGGCAAACCCTCTTCCATACTCCCCTCCTTCTTTCCAGATCTCTTCCCCAGATTCTAGCATAGAATCCCAGAAACATTTGCAAGAGCTTTGCAGTGTTTTTATTTCTCACGGCTGAATGAGGTAGACATCTGTATCTCCCTTATACAAATGAGAGTGCTGAGACCACTCTTTAGAGATCCGGGTCATCGCAGGGCTTGGAAAGCTGTAAAAGGAGAGAAGGGCCCCATGGAATCAATAAGCTCTGGGTGGGAGATGTGGGGGATGGAGAGTCAGAGCCATCAGCTATGGGCGCACCGATTCTTACTGCTCTCATTTGTCCTTGGAAAATCCCATGAAGGAAGGTACATCAATGAGAAGTCCAGTCTGCCTGCTTCATCTGGAGCAGAGAGTGGCCCTGGGCTTGGGTCAACAGAAGGAGGACTAGAGTGTACAGGTCCCATCCCTTGGATACAGACTCAGAGGCCACCAGTGAAGATACAAACCAGAATAGAACCTGACTCATAACCCTCCCAAGCGGTCCATGAATTTCAAGAAATGAAAATCTTGCCATCGTAAGCAATCGTAAGTCAGTTCACTCACTTTTATCATGCCCTAGGGAGAGATTACATTTGGTGATGTCCTTGGCATGTGGTGCTTTTAAAAACGAACCTCTAAGACAAGTATGTCTGAGTGAATGTTTAATCTTCTCTTTTGCCACAGCAGGCCAGGGAGCCAGGGTGGGGTTCAGAAAGGAATGGGCTATTTCTGTCCAGGAAGAGACCAGCGCATGGGATAGCTGCTCTGTCCAGATGCAAATAACACATTCAGCAATCACCCTGGATGTTGTGCACTTGGGAGAGCCCTTCTCTATGAGCAGCAAAAAGGGCTGAGACAGTCTCTGAAGGAACAAGTTCATTTTCATCAAACAGAAACGCCCGGGGAAGAAAGAGGAATGGAGACTAAACGCTTAGGACGATATTTCTGTGAAAAGCTCTGTGGTAGCTTTAGCTCCATTTCCTTAAATTACCTGTGCACATTAGTAATTGCTATTTCAAAGGCAGCTTTCCTGGAACAAAGTGCTGCATCACTTGAGCTAGCTTAGCTTTTACCCTTTCCAGACAGTGGCTTTTATCTGGGAAATGCTAATGGAAACAGCAGATACCTATAACAGAAGGCAAGAAAAGGATCTGCTGGTTATCTGGGGTGTGTAGATCGAAGCTCATGGAGAAGTTGAGCCCAGATCTCTATGTGGCCAATATCTGTTATGCCTATAATTGCTGCTGAAAGTTCAGGGTGGCATTTTGCTGATATGCCTAAAATAGTCTTCTTGGGGCTGTTTGATACGATTTGACAGCCTTTGAGGTATAAGGGGCGATGATCCAGCTGAAATCTTGTCTAAGTCATTTTGATAAGTGAACTGCCTTGCAAAGCTTCTTAATTGCTCCCACATTCTTCAATTGTTCCATTTAGCAGGGTCCTTTAAAAGGTCATTAATCAATCACTAAAGATGTGAAGGTTTTACATTTTGCTTGCTTAACAAAACAGAGCCTTAACAAACTATCCTCCACTTAATTTCAGATTAGCTGATACCAGGGTGCCTTCTACTAACTGGCAGTCAATCTCTGTAATTGTACCTTGGGAAATGTGTCTGTTTGGCTCGGGGTCAATGGACAGGGCACCCGGAGTTTAGGGGTTGGGAGGAGGGATCTTTTGTAAAGACACTGTAAGCATTATCAGTTGTATATCTCAACTTTAAGACGTGAGGATACAAATACCCTATTTGCTCATTTGATCTTAAGTTTGATGAGAGAAAAGATGTATGCAAAACAGGGAAGATCAAGCAAGTCTGGTCAGTGCTTACTGCACACAGCACAGAGGTATATTTACAACTTGGTTCTGTTATGACAATATCCAGTGATCTCCATCCAAAAATAAACAAGTTAATGCCTATCTGGTTTAGATACACACTGAAGGCACAGTTTCTCAACCTCAGCGCCATTGCATTTGGGCTGGATCATTCTTTGTTGTGTGGCGACTGTTCCTGGCATTGTAGGATGTTTAGCAGCATGGCTCGTGTCCATCTCCTGGTTACCTCCCCACCTCCCTGCATGCCCTGTCGTTGCAACCAAAAACGTCTAAATGTCTGCAGTCATTGACAAATGTCTCCTGGGGACAAAGTTGCCCTCAGTTGAGAACCACTGGTCTAAGATCACAGAATTATGTTTTGTCTACATGACACTGTAAATAGTTAATTTATCCAGGTAAAAATATAAAACATAGTGAAATGATTGACTGTGTCTCTCCCACTTTTATTTAGTAAATTTAGTGTTTGTGGGCACCACAGGGGTTTTCTTCCCTTCGCAGCTGTCACACCTTTATTTAAGCCTGTGCACTTTTGCATCTGTGTACCCGGAACAGCCTGTCTCATGGTAGGCTTTCCATAATGATCTTTTTTATTTAAAAAAAAAATAACAAACAGGGCAATATGACTAATAGAGATGAAATCAGAAATTGGAAGGGTTAAAATTCCTCCTTTCTCATGCCCCATCTACTGCAGCACGGTATCCAGGGCAGGACAGCCCAGGGGTGAGTATCTGGGCTCTAAAATTAAGCAGATCAAGCTTCAAGATTTGGTTGTACCACCTGGTTCTTGGGGCAAATTTGGGAAAGCCTCCTAAACCCGCATCCCTCAGCTTCCCCATCCTTACAATGGGCAGACCCAGTTTTGCCTCCTCAGGTCTCTCTGGATCCCGGTGAGTGAACACAGGTGCAGTTCTTCAAAACAGGCCTGGCACGGGGGCTTTGCTCAGTGCGTGGTGGCTGCTCTTACGATGGTTATCATCATTGCTGCAACCACAGCAACCACAAGCCTCTGTGTTTCAATTCCTGTTTACTCATCTGGCTTCATTACCCATCTGTAGTCTCTGGAGAGTAAGTCCCATGTTTTATCCCAACCCTTGCTGTTCACTTGGCATTTATTCTATAAGCATCTATTGAATGTATGTCCAGGGCATAGCTCCATTTCCAGCACAGAGAAGACAGTCAACAGATGCTTATGGAAGAAATGCCAAGTGAACAGGACAAGCTGTGGGTACAGGAGCGGGAACGAAAGTCACAGTTTGTGCAGGAGACAGTGTCTGGATGTATTAGTCTGTTCTCACACTGCCAATAAAGACACAGCCACAACTGGGTAATTTATAAAGAAAAAGGGGTTTAATGGACTCACAGTTCCATGTGGCTGGGGAGGCCTCACAATCATGGTGGAAAGCAAAGGAAGAAAAAAGTCACGTCTTACATGGCAGCAGGCAAGAGAGAGCTTGTGCAGGGGAGCTCCACTTTATAAAACTATCAGACCTCATGACACTTATTCACTGTCATGAGAACAGCATGGGAAAGACCTGCCCCTATGATTCGATTATCTCCCCCCGGTCCCTCCCAGGACACGTGGGATTTGTGGAAGCTACAATTCCAGATGAGATAGGGGTGGGGACACAGCCAATGTGTATCACTGAGTGAACTGAAGATGCCTGCATACCTCCCTGAGCATTTGAACCCAGATGACACAGCTCAAGTTCCAAACAAGGGACAGTGTGGGTCATCACGTGCAGCAAGGATCCCCCCTTTCTCAGTCACACATTTCCTGAACTAGATCCACATCTGCAAATAAGAAAAATGTCCTCAGTGACCCAGGGTGACCACCTGCTTATACCACAGGCCTCCCCTTGGGGAGTAACAATTCCTTAAAACACATGGAAAACTTTTACAATTTTGCTGTAAAAAAGTAAATATGATATTCTATGGGGATACTGGAAGAGAAAAATGGCTTCCTTTTGGATAAACAAAAAGATAGGGAGCAGGGTAAATGTTTTTGTGTAAATGTATTAAAAAAAGACATAGGCTTAAATAAGATTTTGTAGTTTGTTTGTTTTGCTTTGTTGTTCCTCTCACAAGTGGAAATTACACTTATGGGGATTTTGCCTGCACTATTTTGTATCTTGTAAGATTGCAAACAACACGAGGAAAGCCAGGGAGATACCACAGATTTCCTCTGTTCTTCTAGACTCAAACACTAAACAGAATTTTCAGTGTTAAGGCTTCAGACAGGAGGGAGGCAGGAGGCAGGAGGGAAGGGCTGTGCTGCCGTCAGTGGAAGTGGGCAACATGGTGCCTTCGTGGCTCCTATCTGAGCAGGCAGCTCTCTGCACATGGGCCTTATTGCTTTTCTGTTCTGGGGGAGGGTGGGTCACGTCCCAGGGCTTTCAAGCATCTTGAGGTTATCTCTAACAACTTAAATATTCCAGCAAGATCACGCCTCCCCCTCCTCCTGCTTTTATTTTAGCTCACTGCCATGGAATGGAAACACACAGTGGTGTGCATCGGATTTCTTGCAACTCTTGAAAAGGAGCAATCATTTGGGAGAGGGGCTCCCTTACCTGATATTTGATCATGAATAAATGAAAAGTCTCAGGCTCATACAGGAATAAGGCAGGGGTTTCTCTCAGAAAATTGGAGGGGGGTTGAATTCTTGATCTGCCCTCTGGAGTGTGTGAGTGTGTGTGTGTGTCAAAGAGCACGTGTTAATAGTGTGTTGACTTCTCTATTTTCAATTTAAGACCCATTAGCATCCATAATCAGGTTCTGGATTTAAATGTAGTTAAACTGAAATGATCAATCATTATTGACAGCCAGAGTCTGTTTCTAAAATTTAACAGTAGACCAGGCAGTCACATTTCCCAAACAGACCTACACAGCATACAATAAAGGCACACAGAATTAAAATGGGAGGCGTTCTTAGCATCATCAAGGTCAGTGCTCAGGACATGGTATACACTGAGGCTCCAGTCAATTTTCAGGATTAAGTAGTAGCATCTGCTGAGCTGTTATGTAATGTCAATGAGATATTAACATTTTAGGATCATGAGAGAAGTACTGATTTTCTTATTAATATTTTTAATGGCTAAAGTAGTTACCCTGAGAATGTAATAAAACAAGTTTTTTCATGTGAATCAGTAAATGCATTTTCACTCTAAGTCAGATTATAACAAGCCTATTTTGGTTCATATATGAAAAATAATGAGTTGTTCTGTACTTACTTAACAAAAAATTGAAACAATTAAGCAGCTTGCTTAAAGCCAAACAGCTATTTAGAGATAGAACCAGGCTTAGATTCAGGTCTCCTGAGGCTGTGTTTAATTATTTTTCTCTTGATGAAGAAATAATTTTATATTCCTGAGGACAAAAGGAAAATGAAAATTACTCCACTGTTTTTGTTTTTGTTCTTCATTTCCATATTACCTCCCATGTAGTAATGGCTTTACCTGCCAAATAAACATTTTATACATTGAAACCACAGGCACATGTGTATGTTTAAAATAAATGTATATTTTCTTGTTACAAAAATCTTCAGGTTTTTCCTGGCTGCAGGAGCTCTCTTTGTTTTTCTGAGCATCCTTTCTCCCTTGCAGCACACTGTAGAGCACAGTGGTTTGATGGAGAGAAGAAGAGAGCATTTCAATACAGCTGCAGAGCATAGATCAGATAATTTGATCATTGGGGACCATGATTCTTCTTCCCAGCAAACTTTAAGGACAAATGATATGAACGAGCTGGAATTTGATTTTATTAATCATGCCCTGCAGGTGTAACCTGGACGCATTGGTTCTTTATGGCACACCCTGCGGTGGATTAATAATAAGTTTATCTTCCTCTTGTTTGAGCAGAGACACATGGACAGTAATATTCAAATGTCTCTTTCTCTAAGCTCTGTGTGTTGATTCTCCTGCACTGGTAGCAGCAACACTCTGCTGGCAGTTGAAACGAATCATAAAACAAGATCTAGGAAAATGGTGGCCACTCAGGCGTGGTGTTGGAGGATCTTGTGAACACTGGGAAGGTTTGTATTCCTACCGAGAAATCTGATGGGGCAGCCTATGGCATCACATGATTCTGAGAGTGGCTGAAACTGGCAATTAATTTATGAGTATCCATCAATTTCCTTGAATCTGGTTATTTTCCTCTCTTGGCCTTATGTTTTGCTCTAGAAAGTAAAACCAAAATGATCACAGATATTTGGTCTTCCCTCAGCCACCAGGTCTAAACACATTTTCTGTGTGCCTGAATTGATGGAGTTTACTTGATTCATATACCCATTTATTTAGCTTGTCTACACTGAGAGCCTGCTCTCAGCCTGCTACCATGCTAGGGCCTGAAGCAGGTTATTGTCAAGGGGTGAAGACAGTCCCCAAGTAACCATGTGACCAACATGTAAAATCCAACTGCAGATGTTGCAAGAGCAGGAGCTGTGGCCCTATGAGAGGCAATCACCTGGGGATTGGAGCTAGTGGGATAATCCAAGGAAGACTTCAAATTTTGAGGAGTTGTGTGGAGATGAGGAGAGAAGGAAGAACATTTCAGCCAGAAGGAACAGAAAATGCAAATGTGTCAGAGGAGGGATCATGGATTTTCTGTGGGTGAGTAGCTTCAAAGTCCATGATCTAGTTAATTGTGCATTTGCTGAGTCTGAGATTTCAACCACATGAAATAGCAGAGCAAGATGCCTTGATTCAGCTAGCAAGCAGATCTGGCCTTCCACAGATCTGAGCCTGAGCTCCTGTTTTGCTGTTACTATGGGGCTTGATGAAGCCATTAGAGCTTCATTTGTTTAACAGTATTTATGGAGAGTCTACACTAGGGATACAATGGTGAGAAAACCCATCAGGATCCTGCCCTCATGGAGGTTACAGACAGGAAGGTGAGTGCAGTCACTGAGAAAGCAACCACAAATGCAATCACCACAAAGATAGCACAGCCTACCAGGCAGAAGTTCCTGGTGCTCTGAGAGAGGGTGACATGAGGGCGTGTCTTGAGAAGGTGCCATTTGCACTGAGTGATTAGTGAAGAGGCTGTCTCCAGGCTTGAGGTGCAGAGGTGAGGTGGAGACCAGAGGATTCCACACAGTGACAGGGTCTGGAAAGGCCTGACAAGCATGCGGACACAGAAGAGCCACTGAAGAACTCAAGCTGATCAGGTCAAGGGCTGGGCTGGCTTGACCTACAGGATGGGCACGATGGTGACATTTCCCTATGCGCCCCCCTCCGGCTCCCTGCTCCCTGGGCCTGGCTGTAATGAAAAAGAAAATGGTCAGTAAAATAAAGAAGAGAACACTGTTAATAGTCTGTTCTCACCTGCTATAAAGAACTACATGAGACTAGGTAATTTATGAAGAAAACAGGTTTAACTGACTCACAGTTCAGCAGGTTGTACAGGAAGCATGACTGGGGAGACCTCAGGAAACTTACAAACATGGAAGAAGGCAAAGGGGAAGCAAGCATGTCTTCACTTGGCGGCAGGAGAGAGAGACAGAGCTAGGAAGAAAGTGCTACACACTTTTAAACAACCAGATCTCATGAGAACTCTATCATGAGACAGCACCAGGAGGATTGTGCTGAAGCATAAGAAATCATCCCCATGATCCAATCACCTCCCACCAGGCCCCACCTCCAACACCAGGAATTACAATTCAACATGAGACTTGGGTGAAGACACAGAGCCAAACTGTTATCAACTACCAGTCTGGAATGTGCCCCACATATGTTTGTATAATAAAAGGAGAAGGGGAAGGGGTGGGAGAAGAAGAAGAAGAAAGAGGAGGAGGAGGAAAAAGAAGAAGGAGGAGGAGCAAGGGGAGATTAAAGAAAAAGAAGGAGGAGGAGGAGCAGGAAAAGGGAAGGGAGAGGAGAGGATAATGTATTAAACACTTAGCATTCACTAGCATTTGATATTCATTACCCTGCTTATTGTTCACAGCAATGTGAATGGCACCTATAAGGCATTAATACCATATGTATTTTTATTCTACAGATGAGAAAACCGAGGTTTAAATGCAGGTCAGACTCAGGAGCTGGGATTAAAATAGCAAAGCCCAGTCCCCAGAGATTAAGCTCTGAGATGAGAGACCGCACAGGCCACTCGGAGTCTGGGCAGGGCTATTCCCTGAATGGGGAGTTCTATGTCCTCAAATGAAGGTGGTGGTGGGAGCAGAGACCAGAAGGCAAGGAAGGACCAGGTGTGTTCACAGAGCATGGAGGCTGCTTGTGTGTGAGGGAAGGTGGGAGTGTGGGCCGAGTGCTGGCCTGGAGCTGGGCTTGCTAGCTTGCTTGCATAGCTGGTTCAGTGAAGGAGTGGGAGTCCGTAGCGTGTGAGCAGAAGCAGTGGTTTCTTTTATTTCACGGTCCCTTTAAACCTGATGGGTAGACCTAGGACAAAAGACCAATACTTTCTTCTGATGCTCTCAAATAATAGAAATTCCCTCATGTCACTTCTCAGTCCAGTTCAGTTCACACTCAGGTTCACACTCTCAGTCCAGTTCAGTTAAAAAAACCAGAACCCTGGGTGTGAAATGGTGCAGCCACTATGAAAAACAGCCTGGAAAATTCCTCAGAAAATTAAAAATAGAATTACCACATTATCTGGCAATTCTACTTTTGGATCTACATTCAAAGGAATTGGAAGCAGGGACATGAAAAGATAATTGCATCCCATGTGCAGAGCAATATTATTCACAATCATCAAAAGGTGGACAAAACCCATACATGTGACATTCCACACAATGGAGTATTACTCTGCCTTGAAAAGGAAGGAAATTGACACGTGCTACAACAGGGATGAACCTTGAGGACATTACACCAAGTGCAATAAGCCAGTCATGAAAAGATAAATACTGTGTGACACAACCTACACGAGGTATCTAGAGTGGCTAATTTCATAGAGAAAGAAAGTAGAATGGTGGTCATGAGGGGCTGGTGTGAGGGGAAATGGATGCAGAGTTTCAGTTTTTGGAAGACAAAATAATTCTGGAAATTAGCTGGGCAACAAGATGAACATACTTAACACTCGTGACCTACACAATTAAAAATGACTAAGCTGGTAAATTTCATATTATATGTATTTTAGGCTGGGTGCAGTGTTTCACGCCTGTAATCCCAGCAGTTTGGGAGGCCAAGGCAGGTGTATCACCTGAGGTCAGGAGTTTGAGACCAGCCTGGCCAACATGGTGAAACACTGTCTCTACTAAAAATACAAAAAAAAAGCTAGCTGGGTGTGGTGGAGCATGACTATAATGCCGGCTAATTGGGAGACTGAGGCAGGAGAATTGTTTGAACCCAGGAGGCAGAGGTTGCAGTGAGCCAAGATCGTATTTTATATATTTTATCACAATTTAAAAAATCCTTTCAGCAATGTTGTATAGATTTTATTGTACAAGTCTTTCACCTCTTTGTTTAATTCCTTACACTTTAATAATAAAATAAAGCATTTTATTATTTTGGCTGCTATTGTAAATAGAATTGTTTTTGTAATTTCCTTTCAGATTGTTCGTTGTGAGTGTATAGAATTGCAACTGATTTTTGTGTGTTGACTTTGTATTATAATACTTTATTAAATTCATTTGTTAGTGCTAACAGGTATTTTTGTGTGGAATATTTAGAGTTTTCTACATATAAGATTATATCATCTGTGAACAGAGATAATTACTTCTCCCTTTCCAGTTTGGATGTCTTTCATTTATTTTTATTGGATCATTACCTTGGCTAGAGCTTGCAGGTTCTAGCAAACATCATACTCAATGGTGAAAGACTGGAAGCTTTTCCTCTAAGACCAGGAACAAGGCAAGTATGCCACTCCCACAGCTTCAGTCAAGCGGTAGGAGTTCCTGGTCTAAGAGGAAAAGCTTCCAGTCTTTCACCATTGAGCACGATATTCGCTGTGGGCTTTCCACATAAGGCTTTATTATGTTGAGGTAGTTTCCTCCTATTCCTAGTTTACTGAGTGCTTGCATCATGAAATAGCATTGAAGTTTGTCAAATCCTTCTCTGTACCCATTGCAGTGATCAGGTTGCCTTTTTCCCTTCATTCTGTTAATGTGATGTATTACACTGATCCATTTTCGAATGCTGAACCATCTTGCACTGTTTTGGTTTGCTATTTGTTTGTGTGTTCGTTTTTCATTGAAGCCAAAAAGCCATCATAATTTCAGAGTTTCACGAAGTATGGAGTGGTGTTTTTGTTGATGTTGGGACTGGGGACTGGCTAGCACCATCTCGTTGAAGGAGAGGGGTCATCTCTTTGCTTCTTTTTCAAGTCTCCTGAAGAGTTGAGGAGAAAGCCTCACCCCTGTTGTTATCCTGTCTTCAGCAACCCTCTTGCCTACTAATCTTCCTAAAGAAAGAGAGAAGGGCTGCAGGCTCAGGTCCTCGGCAGGCGCTAGTATAAAGCAAGACTTTTCAAGGAACATTTCTTTGTCTTCACTGTTTTAAATTATATGGTAACCTTCTTACTGTGAATGGTAATGGTTTTGCATTCACACTAAATATATGCATTGTGCTTCTGAAGCAAATTTTATAAGTGATAAGGGGAACTTTATCAATTAGAGTTAATTAAATATATGGTTTGTGGGTATGATTGGCAAATATCTGACATGGATGCCGTCTTCCCATCACTTCCAGTTTTGTTTCAATCCTAATTCCAGGAACGGTCCCCAGACTCAATGTTGGAGACAGGTGTCCTCATTCAGGGCTCTAGGAAATGACTTCAGGTGACTGGGTGGCTCCATCCTCTAGGAGAATTCCTTGGCAGAGCTGGTAGTTCTGACCCATGGCCAGAAGCCTGCAGTCGAGGTGGGCAGGGCCAGGCAAAGAGTGGGTCAACAGAGGCCCAGGCAAAGAGTGGGGGCGGTGCTGTCTCCACTGAAAGCAAAGCAGTTGGAGGCCTAAATGCCAGTTGCCTAGGGAAAGCCCTGGAGTCTTCTGGAGAGACCTCTGGTTCCAGCCACAGGCAGCCACCTAGGTCCTAAAGGGATTCTCCAAACTGAAAGGCAAATCCGTGGAAATGCCTCATTAGTAATATAAATATCAGCTTTCTTTAATTTTGAATGATAAATATCAAAATATCACACATTGCATTATTATCTAAACTGAAAATGTACACACAGCTCTATCTTGGGGGTAGAAAGGCCAGGAGGAGAGATTAGAGAGAGAGAGAGAGAAAGAGAGAGAGAGAAAGTCGCAGAAGAGTGAGTGAATCAGAGGAACCAAGACCTAGGGGAACATGAGGACCAATGGGAGAGGAGCCCTGAGCAGGTGCAGGCATGATTCCAGTGAGCTGCACATTTCCCCTTGTGCAAAATCCTCATGCCTTTCCACTCTCGTGGAAAGCTTCCAAAAATGCTAAGCTGCTTGCTTTCTCTCATGCGTGGCTGAAGGCAGTGTAGTGGACAATACTTGACATTATTTGTCAACAGCCCTAAAGCATTCAAACCACTTGATGTAACATTTTCATTTCTAGGGAGTTTTCTGTTTGGGAATCATCAATTAAGTATATAAAAATACAGGTAGAAATATGTTACAGCATTTTTATAACAGGAAAAAATAAGGACATTGTCAATAAGTGTGTTAAGAGGGAAATTGCTGAATAAGTCATGTCTCAGTATTCTATACTTTGATCACTTGAGGTACCATCTTTATCATTTTTGTCAAATCTGAGAACCTCCTGAATTATTATTCACTCAAATTTTTTTTAACTTAAATAGTGCTTAGGCTGAATTTAAAAAAATGTGCAATCATGGGGCTGATAGGCTGCTTACATAATTTTTCAAGTGCAAATTATAAAGGCATTTTTATCCATGTGCCACCTAAGATTCTTAGTGGTAAAATATCACCCTTTGGGAACTACCGAATTATAATATCATCCAATGTGCAATTGCTGACGTGAGACTGTGGTTCCATGTTTGTTTACAGGGACAGGTTTGCTCTACAGATATCACTCAGGACTCACTACATGCCAGTGCCGTGCTTTGCTCTGGAAACACAGCAACATGTAAGACATGGCCTTTATTTTGAAAAGAACCTTGTCTAATAAAAAAAAACTGATTAGAAAACAACGAACATGTTATCATCTCCTTAATTTTAAAATGTTCTCTCTCTTGCTTTCTCCACATATACATGTAAGAAAAGATTTTGAAGGAAGAGATCCTAAGTGTTTGGTTATTTCTACACTGTAGGATTGCAAGTGATTTTTCATTTTCTTTGTGCATAGATAAATGTCCTACTTTCTCTAAGATAAAGATGGATGCCCTGCGCTACTTAATAAAAACACACAGAAAAACACAATAGTGCATCTCTTCCTCTTCTGGGCTGTTTTCTGAGGGGTATAGGGAAGCAGCAGGCATAGTCCCCACTTTCGGGTTTCTATTATGTTGATGTGATGGGTTATATGAGACTCTGTTGGGAGAACAACCTCCTGCCATGAATTTGGAGACACTTGTTGAGACTGCATCTGCAATGCCCAGTTACCAGAATTCCCCCACTTGTGGGATGTAGGGGGAAAAACACTTTAATTGAGGATATTCTTACATTCAGTTATTGGTTGCCACAGGTTTTAATGTAAATGCTATCTTCTCCTGTTAGTAAGGAGACACGTCTGGGCACCAAAGACTCCTTCCAAGTTCTCATCAACGTCAGGTTGTAAGTGATCTCTTCATTTCACTGTCTGATAGCTACACGAAACTGCCAGGATACCCTTAAATGGCTTTCTTTGCTTAATAGCACAAAGAAGGAAAATAGAATCCCAGTAAAGCCTCCTTTTAAACTCTCACCAGGACATCTGAAAACTGTTAAGGGATTCTAACATACATTCTGTGTTTAAAAGGAAAAAAAATACAAAGGGAATTCTAGGAGCCAAGGCACCTGGAGAGAATGTGACTTAATGAATTCTCCTCTTGTTGCTGGAGAGCTGTCCTCCCTTCCCAAGTGTACTTGCAGCCCATTCCAACAGGGGACTTTTAGATGGAGAAAACAGACCCCCCCCACCGGTAGAGGCCCCATTTCTAATGCTCCACGCATGAATTACTGTGCTCCTTGTCCTTAGGTAATAGCTGCACTGTGCTTTCTTTGGAGAAATAAATACTTATGCTCTTAGCAGCAGCCTTAGAAGCTGATTTAGATTTGGTAGCTGTCATGGCAGAATTCTAAGATGGCCCCCAAGGTTCGTACCCCTGGTGAACATGCCCTGTGTGACCCCCTCCATCTGAGCGAGCATGGGACCTATTACTATGATGAGATGTCACTCCTGTGATTAGGCTATGTCACATGGCAAAGGTGGAATTTTTCAAATGATGAAATTAAGATCCCTAATCACGTGACTTTGAGTTCAGCTTATCCTGGAAGTGCCTGATCTAATCAAAGGAGTCTTTTAGAAAAAGAAACTCTAAAGGTCAGAGATGGACAAAATCAAAGAGCTTCACAACATCAGAGACTTTTCCTCCTGCTGTACTTGAAGATACAAACCACCATGGCTTTCACAGCTGCAAGGAAATGATTCTGCCGACAACTACCTGTCCTTAGAATTGGACCCTAAGCTTTGGATGAGACAGCCCCGCCCATGTCTTGATTTCTGCCTGATAGGACCCTGAACAGAGGGCCCGGACGAGCCACACTTGAACCTATGACCCACAGAAACTAAGAGAGAAAAAATGGCTGTTTTAAGTCACCAACATTGGAGAAACTTATTCTGCAGGGTAGACAACCTGTACAGTGGGGCCCAGGGGCCCAATGAAACAGTGAAAGTTGAGGGAGGGCATTTCCTCTCAGCTGGGCAGAAGCTTATTCCCATTGCACTGGGTTCTGGGCTCAAGTCTCCCTTAGGAAACCTGCACCCTTGGCTTTGCTGGAAGAGTCTCAGCTATTGGGGTGTGTAGATTAGGGGCCTGTGAACTATCTCACTGGAAAACCTAGGCAATAAGAACCAAGCATAAAAAAATGGAGTGCTTAGAAGAATTTTAAGGGCCTCTGCCCACTTGAGCCTTTCCTGTTGATCAATCATCAATTCCACCTTCTTCATCCATTGGCATTTGGAGTGACCAAGACATAGAAATTCTCACCAGACTTTGGTGGTTTACCCTTTTTTGTGTTGATCTTCCAATTTTTGAGGGTTTTTTAATTTTTTTTTTTTTTTTTTTGAGACAGGGTCTTGCTCTGTTACCTAGGCTGGAGTACAGTGGCACGATCTCGGCTCACTGCAACCTCCGCCGCCCGGGTTCAAGTGATTCTCCTGGCACAGCTTCTCGAGTAACTGGGACTACAGGTGTGTGCCACCACGCCCAGCTAACTTTTGTATTCTTAGTAGAGATGGGGTTTCGTCATGTTGGCCAGGCTGGTCTTGAACTTCTGACCTCAGGTCATCCTCTCGCCTCAGCCTCCCAAAGTGCTGGGATTACAGGCCTGAGCCACCGTGTCTGGCCCAATTTTTGAGGTTTTATCATTCTGGTTGACTCTTCCACCTCAAAGTTTATGCAATTGCCTTATTTGTTTAAGTCAAGAATACATAGTGGTTTTGTCTGGTGTATTTTATCTCTTTCTTCTTTGTTTTTGCTCAGATCTTATTTATCTTTCTATTTCCCTTTCCTCACTCTAAATTTTTGTGTCAAAATGAGCAAACAACAGAAAAACAGCTATGAACTACCTTTTATTGTCTTAAAAATAATCCCAAATAGTACCCATGTCATAAGGGAAGCTGTTTATACAAATGAAATGTTTGCACAGATCGTTCTGCTTTTCCCTCGGCAATGCCGGGGCCCCTTTATTTTATCTCAGTAGAGGCAGTGAAGAAAGAAATAGCTCCATTTCACAAGAAATTAGTTATTCCAAGGCACATGTTAGCTATTTTCCCTAACAACATGTCATTAGGCACCTTCTCTCTCTGCCTGTAGGTGACTGTGCATGATTCAGGGGAACATCCCCATTCCCCTTTGGATGGAAGTTGATGACAAGGCACCTTGTACAAAGCAGTCAGTAAGGAGGAACGGCCCAGCCATCCAGGCGAAGAGCTCTGCCCAGACACCCAGGCAAGGAGCTCTGCCAGGACAACCAGACAAGGGGCTCTGCCCAGGCACCCAGACAAGGGGCTCTGCCCAGACACCCAGACAAGGGGCTCTGCCCAGGCCCCCACAAAAGGGGCTCTGCCCAGACACCCAGGCAAGCAACTCTGCCCAGACACCCAGGCAAGGGGCTCTGCCCAGGCCCCCACGCAAGGGGCTCTGCCCAGACACCCAGACAAGGGGCTCTGCCCGGACACCCAGACAAGGGGCTCTGCCCGGACACCCAGACAAGGGGCTGTGCCTGGACACCCAGGCAAAGGGCTCTGCCCAGATGGTGGACACAGTGCCTCGGATCCAAGTGAAGGGCCTAGGCAAATTGGAGCCTAAGTATAAATGCTGGGGCTTCAGGGGTTCTTTTGGAACTAGTATTTTTTTAAGTTGAAACAATTTCCCCCATACAATGGTGTTAGAATATTTTCAAATTGAAAGGCTAAAACCAGCTTCTTCCCTCAGGAAAAATGGACCTATTTTTAAACCGCCACATCTCACGTTTCTCTCAAATCACGCCGCTGACTTCAGAATGTAGCAGTGTTTTGGGGTATAAATTAAATTTCCCTTTAGGGCCTCAATTAGGGCTAATGGAAATGACTCTAATCCACCCTCCCTGGAATACAAAGTGCCAACCCCTTGTTACTAGTTGAGTTAATTTAACTGAACATGGGGGAGAAACGTTCAGATCCAAGTGAGGGCTTCCGCGGCAGCCATTGTGCCAGCAGCTGGCCAGGCCTGCAGGGCGATGGGCAGACAGGCGGGCAGTCTGTGATGGTGAAAGCTCTTAGGGTGGCGGCCTGTCCTCCAAGAGCACATCTGACGTGAAAGGTTAGAAGATGTGTCAGAGGATGTTAAGGTCACAGTAACCTGGTCAACCAGGGCCAGGGAACGGTCACCGACCTGTATCACAATCTGCAACCCCAGGGAGCTCAGCACCCACGGCCACACCAGCACTGCAGTTGTTCTCCCATCCTTTCTAGTACCATGCTATGTCTGCTTCCGCAGCCGCTGCACCAGAAGGAACGAAGGGGAATGCAACAGAGAGGACACTGGAATCGTCAGGGGGCAGTGAGGAGCTGTATCCATCTGGGTCTCATTTCTGCCTCCACCACATCCTAACCAGACCCTTCTACACATTTCATCTGTAACCTGGGGTTAATGAGAATGCCTACCACCTAAACTTTTAGTGAGAATCAACCAAAATACTATGTGGTCCAGAGGCTGGAAGTTTTCTCCAGAAATAAAGCACAACTGGAATTCTAATATTCTCCAAATATTTCTACTACTCTCCTCCTGGGGTTCTTAGAAAAATGGCTGATTCTGGGACTGGGGCAAGAAATGGACAAGATGAGCCTGGAGCATCCTGTAGGTCTTGGAAGTAAGAATGTTCCAAAACAACAACAAAACCTCCAGTTTCAATGACGGCGTTATGGCAAAAAGACACAGGAGCCACTGAAGATGCCCCAACAGCTGAAGCTGAAATAATTGGAACAACAAAATAAATAAAGTGGTATTGGATTACAACCCAAAATATAAAATAAATATCTGTAGTCCATTAGTGATATAAATAAATGTTGGATACACAAATAAATGGGGGAGAAGACACAAATCTCCTTTGCAGAAGAATTCTGGATAATTTTGTTAGATAGCCGACTCTCTGGGAGGTGGCGCTAACTCCCACCTCGAAGCATGGACACAGAGTGCAGTGTGGAAATGGAGAGAACGCGAAAGTGCAGGGGAGAGCCCTGACACCACCTTGAGCCTGGTGACCAAGGTCAACGTCAGCAGCTTAAGTCACACTGGTACCACATACCCTGGACGGAAGGTGACAAGAATGGCACTTCCGCTCTGTCCTCTTCCTCCCCAGAACTGACAACCTTAGCCCAACCATGACAAAAACATAAGACAAATCCCCCTTGAGGGGCACTCCATCAAATATCTGGCCAATACATCTCAAAACTGTCAAGGTCATCAAAAACAAGGAGAGTACGAGAAACTTTCGCTGCCTGGAGGAGCTGCAGACACAACCAAATGTAGCGTGGAATCCTGGGTGGGATCCTGGAACAGAAAGTAAACATTAGGGAAACATGAAGGAAATTTGAATACAGTCTATACATGAATTAATAATAATTCATCAACTTTAGTTTACTGGTAGGTTTATTGACTAACATGCCATACTAATGTAAGATGTGGATAGAGATAAGAGGGTGTGTGGTTTATGGGAATTGTTTGTATTATCTTTATAATAATTCTATAAACCTAAAATTAACCTAAAACAAAAAGTTAATTTAAAAGAACACAATGTGAAATGTTTTGAACAATATTATAAGACTGTCTTGATAAAAATGTATTCAAATTAAATGAGTGCCTTTTATTTTGAGATCACGCTCATTCTGAGGCGAGGCGGGGCTGGGAAGATGACCTTTAAGGAATGTCAGGACTAGCTCTGGACAGCCTTCCTCCTTGACGTTCTTCGATGATTACGATCTCCACATGGCCAGTGTCAAGCCTGAGGCCTACAAAGGTCTAGTGACCTCCTCAAAGTGACACTTATGCTCTGTGAAGAAGCAGGGGCAGTTTCTTCCTGTGCTGTTGATCAGCTGGATTAAAATAATCATCTCTTTGATGAAGTAGATGGAGAAGGAACTTTTTAGACAGGAAATAAAGCATGCTTCCTCCTCTTCAAACACATTCTTGCCTTTGCTGTGAAGCATTTCTCAGCTCCTTTAAGCACAGCAAGCAAGATTAAAAAATTCCATCATATCATGTGGCAATGCACCCATTCATGCACATGTTGGGACCAATTGCATGCTTGTGGGAACTGAACATTGTTCTTTATGTCATGTCTTAGTGAGCTATTAAAAAAATAGATGCATTACCTGAGAATGACAGTGTTGAGCACTTACATATTGCCAATTACCTGTGCATCATAGCCGTTCACGAAAGAAGGCTGTTGGAAGTGACGTACCCGAGCACACTGCATGCATTTTAACAGGTGACCATCCTGGTTGCAGACATAGGCCACCAGAGGCAAGATAAACCCTGCCATGTCTGGAGCCAGCACCGACATGGATACCAGCAGAATGCCTCACTGTTTTTTAGCCCAGAGACGTCTCCTGGTGTCTGCATCTTTACTCGCTGAGAAATGAGCCAGAGGACGTGATATTATCCGACTTTCTGCAAAGCAAAATTGCAGTCTGAAGTTCTTCAGGGAATTTTAATGTCCGACGATATATAGCAGAAGATTCAACCTGGGATAAGTTTTGGAATGTTAACATGGGTTTCCCCCAGAGATGGTTTATTAATACATGCTCTGGTCTCTGGGATCATGAGTATAAATCAGATTCTATTGAACTCTGTTTAAATTGTGCTACTGTGTCTGCTCTTATCTTTGTACAGTTTCTAAATCTGCTGAAAAACTTCTTGAAAAATATATAGAAAATGAAGTTTCTGTGGCAATGTAATTTGTTTTACCCCCAGAAAACTACAAAACAAGTAGAAACCCGTCCTTAGACCAACCTCTTTCCTCATGCATTTTTTCTCCCAGCGTGGAGTTTTCACTCAGCTCAGCACAGGATGTCAGGAGGTGTGGCCAAGCAGGCGGTTCAGGAAAGGAATCCAGGCAGCTCTCTGCAGGGAGAACAGACACACTTCTGATTTTTTAAAGTAAATGACGTCTCATCTCAGAGTCACACTGAGCTCCAAATTTCAATTATTTAAATCACTGCCTCTTTAATACCCCTCCTCCCACCCACAAAAAAAAAGGACACCATATTTCCTAATGTTGGAGAAGCACCGTACCAGTTTGTAGGCTTCGGCCCCTTAGAGCTAAGTAATTCTAAAACTCCAGGCTCGACTCTGACAGCTCTCACACTCCAGGACTGCCGAATCTGAAAGGAGACTGTGGCCAAATCCCCAAGAACCTTTTCGAAATCATCAGATCTGCGTCTCCCTCAGGGTGGGTGACAGTGCAAAAAGGGAGTGAGCAGGTGCCAGTTTTCATTAATCTTCTTGTCATTCAAGGTTTCAGGGGGAGGGTGTTACAAGGTGACAGTGGGTCCAGATTTGCAAGTACAAAACAAACTTTCAGGTCCGAAGAGACAAAACAGTAAATCCCATCAGACAGTGCTGTCCTTTCCAATCAACCACAGCAGAAAGAAGAGGTGCAGCCTGGAGTTTTACCTT
This sequence comes from Homo sapiens, assembly GCF_000001405.40. Taxonomy (NCBI): domain Eukaryota; kingdom Metazoa; phylum Chordata; class Mammalia; order Primates; family Hominidae; genus Homo; species Homo sapiens. Next base: position 60,804,839 of record NC_000020.11, on the reverse strand, counting down.
CTCCACGGCTGTTTCTCCTCCAGGTGTCATATAAATTGGCCAGGAATGTGTGCCTTTTCCTGGGAATGGTTTGTCTTCAGCAGTTTGACCTGGCTCTGGATACGGGTGAATTTGTCATTGCCTGGGGAATCCAGGATCCTGCTGAGAAGTGAAGTCCTAGCCGTGTTGACTGGAAACACAGAAGAAGCTTAAGGACAAGGAGACCTTAAAGGTCCTATAGGAAATCCTGGTTTCCTCCTGTGCCCTTGGTTGATGGGAAATCAACATTTTTGGGAACCATTTTTTTTTAAATGGCCCCTCTTCCTTCCTGACCCACAAGGATAAACCCTCAGAGGCCAGAAGGGATCGGATCAGTGAAGACACCTAAAGTCAACTGGGTGAATGGCATTCTCCTCCTTTGGGTATTTGTTATGCAGAGCAGGAGGCAATGAGCTGCCTTTTGAACCTGGAAAGAACTAAATGCAAGCCCTTTGTAGCAGCATGGATGGGGCTGCAGGCCCTTATCCTAAGCAAACCAGTGCAGGAACAGAAAACCAGATACCATATGTTCTCACTTGGAAGTGGGAGCTAAACCTCAAGTGCATATGGATGCAAAGAGGGGAACCACAGGCACCGGGGCCTACTGGAGAATGGAGTTTGGGAGGAGGGTGAGGATCAAAACCTACCTACTGGGTACTATGCTTGTTACTTGGGTGACAAAATAATCTGTACACTAAACCTCCGTGACATGCAATTTACCTATATAACAAACCTGTACATGTACCCCTGAACCTAAAATAAAAGTTAATGGAATGAATCAATAAATAAACACATTCTATCAGGAACTCACATCCACGGGAAGGAAGAAGCTACTGTGTGGAGAGGAGCAGGGATGAGAAGGGCCTCCTGGTGCTGGCTCGTGTGCTGCCCAGAGGCCTGCTTCTGCTATCTCCAGGCAGCTGGCTTTCATGATTCTCACTATGTCCTCATAAAAATTCCCCCTTTCAGCTGCCTCCAACTGGTTCTGTTCTCCAAGAGCCCTCACTGCTGTGCCTCTTAAAGCGGCTTCTCTGTTTAGGGTTGGAGCCAGTGATAGCCAAAACACACAGCTTAGAATTGGGCTTGGGGACTCCCAAAGCACAGGAGGCTCACTGGCTACTGCTCCCCAAGGCAGGGGTCAGGACGAGTGGAAGTGACGTCAGCCCTTCATGAGCGAAGAGGGGTTTGGAAGGAAGGTTTGGAAGCTGTGAGGCTCCCCCATGGCCCTTTCACCCTGTCGCCTGTCCTGCCCCAGCTTTGCCTGGTCTTGATCCAGGGTGTAGGGTGCCAAGATGCTGGGATGCCAGAAAGCTGACCTTGCTCCAAACTGGCACACATATGAAGTGGGAGCCCTGTGTCCATCTGCCTTCCAAACCTCAGGGCTGCCTCCTTCACCACTGCCTCAGCCCTCCCCAACAACAGATACCCCATGCCTTTTTCCAGCAAGCATACTCTTATTCCACAAACAGCTGTAGGATCTGGGTCCTCCAGGATCTGGGTCCTCCACCATCATGCCCACGTTAATGATAATGATTTGAAAATTAGTAAGTGGTTGGTGTGCACTTACTAGGTGTTAACCTCTGTTCTAAATCTTTATATGTATTAACTCATTTAATCTTCAAGCAACCCGATGTGGCGGTCACTATCACCATGCCCATTTTATATATAGGAGAAAACTGAGGCATGCTGTGGTTGGCCGAAGGCCTGGCAGTAAAACAACAACAAACATAAGAATAAGACAGCAAGCGCTAATGGCAGATTTTAAAAATATTACATGGAACCTCATGGAAACTTTCATGACAAAGAACTAGGTCTTATACTAGACTCAAAGTCACCCAACCATGCATCCCTACCCACATCAAGCTCCAATATCACTAAGCAATGTGAGATCCCAAACAGAAAATAATTGCCAAGATCACATAAGCATTTGGGCTTAGTGTAAACTACAGGGTCAGCCAACTGTGTCTTCTACTACGCAGAAAAGATTATGTTGCCTTTTCCCCTGGCAGCCTGGGCTGGAAATGGCCACTGAAGTTTTAACAACTGTTCAAAAAAAACCAGAAGTGAAGAATGTCTTCACGCTCTTGATAGTTATTCTGGTTTGTGATGGCCACAAAAGGAGAGGAAACAGGGGCCGTTTCCCGTTCTCCCCCTTATCCAGACAATTAGTATCATTGATGTGCACCCAAAATAATCCCTCTTTTGTTCATTTGTTCACTCCTCCATCTGTCAGTCTTTTATGGAAGTACTATGGTACACAAGGAAGTATTCCAGATTTTTTCAGGCATACAAAGGTGACTCAGGATTGCACTGAAACCCTGTTCTCAGGAAGATCACACTCCAGTGAAGAAGAAGAGAACATCTGTCTAAACAAACACCGTGCAAGGGGTGGTAGGACTGTGCTGTAAGAAATGTGAACGAAGCTTCCAGAATGAAGAGGGCTCTTGCACCTGGGACGTAAGGCTGGTGCAGGGGATGCAGGAACAGATGGAAGGGTGGATTTGAATGCAGTGACAGAAAGAGCAGCGGCTCCTGGGTAAGAAAGAATGCAGCATGATTGGGAAAATTAGGAGTATTTCCTCTTCTGTGGAATCATACAATATACAAAAGGAGTAGGTTTGCTTAGATCCTAGGAGGCTTATCAGGCTAAGAATGTCATAGGTCATTCAGTAGCCTTAAAAGTTTTCTGATTTTTTTAGTAAAAATAATCCGAGTGTTTCTTTAGGTTAATTAATTCTACAATTATTGAGCAGCTTCATGGAATAAGATGGGCTGGGAGAGCAACAGCCAGCCGGAATTCCATTACACACATGGGAGGGACTGGCCCAGGCTTTGGCTTAGTTGGAGTTGCTTAAGCAAAGAAGGTCATTTATTGACTCATGTAAATGGGAGGCTAAGAAGTAGGGCTCCCTCCAGGCATGGCTGAATCCAGGAGCTCAAACACTGTTCCAGGCATTGGTCTGTCCCTCTCCTCATTCCTGCTGCCTTTTCTGTTGGTTTGATTCTCTGGTAGATTGTCTGCAAATGGAAGCAAAGATGGGCCCTGCTGCTCCAGGCTTCCATGTTGCTTAGCACTGATGGTCCTGGAAGCAGAGAGATGGTTTTCCTTCATGATAACCATATGAATCCCCCAACAGGCTCTGATGGACCCATTTATCACGTCTCTATCCCTGAACCAGTTACAGTGCCCAAGGGATGAGGATGCTCAGATCTGCTGGGGTGGAGTGTGCGATGATCCCAGTGGGAGGAAGTGTAGAGCCTCAGATGAATCCCATGAAGCTGGCAGAAGACATTTCCCCAAGGCAGCTGTCAGAGGCCAGCACAAAGTCAACAAATATTCACTCCTCAAGGCTCCTCTTTCCATTTTCCATGTTCCTGTGGCACTTTGCAAAATACTTATTGGTTTTGCCTATCTTATTACATGCTGATTAATTGTGTGTCTAGTGTATTTTCCCAAGCAGATCATGAGATCCTTGAGGGCAGCACACTTCCGGTTGACATTGTGTCTCTGACATAGCAGACTGTCTGCACGATATTAGATACAAGACACATTTTTTATGGGAATTCAGGAGGGCTTAAGGGCAGTAGTGCTAGAATGAAATAGAGAGGAGGTACACAAAAGATAGACTGTGTGTCCTGGAAAATTTCAGTCAGAAATTCTAATATTTGAAGAGGATCCTTAAGGCATAAACAACTTAGAAATAAAACCTAGAAAGCTTGAGGTAAAATTATGAAGATGACAACTAGGGACAGAACTTGGAAACCCTTAGCAAGAAGCTGTGGACTGTCAGGACCCTGGTTTCATCTGTTTCATCATTGCTCCAACACAGTGAAAATGGAAGTTTTGAAGAAATTTCCACTGGATGCAGCGCTAGCAGTCCATGCGGCCTAAGAAAAGCATTCTATGCCGAAAACATACCTCGAAGCAGAGTTTCTCTGAGTTCTTCAATGAGTGTTCTTAGATACCCAGAAATGACGGCTGTCAAATCACCGCACAGGCGATTTGTGTATTCTCCTCTATTTATGTATTTATTCCTTTTTTGGATTAGAAATCAAGAGCCTAGATGTGCTCATCACTGCTAAGATGTTACTGCTTCCAGGCCCTCTCACCTGACAGTGTTAGGAAATATATGTGTTTATGTTAATCTTGTATATACATATATAGAAATATTTTTATATATAATCATCTTCCTTTACATTATCCGAACATGAATTCATACTCATGTCTGCAACTCTAATTCATTACCACATGGATTATTCCAGCGTCCTCCCCTTGCTTTTCTGTAAATTTTCACTCCAGCAGTGAGAAATCTGGCTCCTACCATCCACTATCCATTTACTTATTCAACTCCAGTATGCACATAGAGGAGTGTCAGAACTGTTAACCCACAACCCTGAGAGAAAGAATGTTAACAACTAGAGTACAGTGCTATGTGCAGTTCCCTTTGCCTGCAGTCTGCACATGATACTCAATTTCAGAGTTATTTAGTTGGCACCTTTTCCCCCAGCACCTTCAGTGAGGTTGTGTCATACATCTGCAATGCAGTTATATTCTTATGTCACATTCAGTCTTCTATCCTTACTCCCTCCAACCTCCTAAATTATTTTTTAAAATTTGTTTACATTAAGGTGTACTACAGTGAACCTTATGGTAATGTGGGTTTTGACAAATGCATAGTGCCATTATACTATCATTCAGACTAGATTAACTGCTATGAATAATTTCCTAGGTTTGTCTGGGTGTGGTGGCTCACACCAGTAGTCCTAGCACTTTGGGAAGCTGAGGCAGGCAGATCATGAGGTCAGGAGATTGAGACCATCCTGACCAACATGGTGAAACCCCATCTCTACTAAAAATACAAAAATTAGCCGGGTGTGGTGGTGGGCACCTGTAGTCTCAGCTACTCAGGAGGCTGAGGCACAAGAATCACTTGAACCAAGGAGGCGGAGGTTGCAGTGAGCTGAGATCATGCCACTGCACTCCAGCCTGCAACAACAACAAAAAAAAAAAAAAAAAAGAAAGAAAAAAAATTTCCCAGGTTCACCTATTTAACCCACCTCCTCTCAAACCCTGGCAACCACAGATCTGTTTATCATCTTTGTAGTTTTGCCTTTTCCAGAATGTCATATAATTGGAAGCATATAGTATGCAGCCTTTGACACTTGCTTTTTGCACTTAGCAAAATGCATTCAAGGTTCATCCATGTCTTTGTGTGGCTGGCTATATCATTCTTTATTAAACAGTAGTATTCTACTTAATGAACGCACCACAGTTTGTTTTTCAATCACCTACAGATGGACATTCTGGTTGCTACCAGATGGTGATATGAAGAAAGTTGCTAGAGGCATTTACCCACAGATTTTTATGTGGACATGAGTTTCAAATCAGCTACATAAATACCTAAGAGCATGATTGCTGGACCTCATAAGACTACATTTAGCTTTGTAAGAAATTGTCGACAAGTCTTTCAATGTGGCTGTACCATTTTGCATCCCCATCAGCAGCAAATGAGAGTTCTTGTTGCTCCACATCTTCACCAACAATTGATAGTTTGTTTTTCATTTATTTCAGTCATTCTAATGGATGGGTAAACAAATATATCTTGAAATGAGCTCCTTTGGTATATTTGTTGTGGTACCTGGTTACATTCACTTTGATTACAAGTAACTATGCCTTTGGCTTAGCATTTGGTCCTCAGAGTTCTCCTGTCATCCAGAACTGTTAGGAATATACATTAAAGGGATTGAGGGGCCACAGAGGCATGTCTCTTCCTCAGATAGGGGTTACCTAATGTCAAAGCTGGTATCAGTGGAGAGAATAGATAGGAATTAAGATAATGAATACATAGCCGCATTAACTTTGAATATTTCTTTAAGATGACTAGGTTTTCAATTTAATCCTAGGCTTAATTGCAATAAGTAGAAGGAAAGGCCGGGCGCGGTGGCTCACGCCTGTAATCCCAGCACTTTGGAAGGCCAAGGCGGGCGGATCACGAGGTCAGGAGATCGAGACCATCCTGGCTAAAACGGTGAAACCCCGTCTCTACTAAAAATACAAAAAATTAGCCGGGCGTAGTGGCGGGCGCCTGTAGTCCCAGCTACTTGGGAGGCTGAGGCAGGAGAATGGCGTGAACCCGGGAGGCGGAGCTTGCAGTAAGCCGAGATCCCGCCACTGCACTCCAGCCTGGGCGACAGAGCGAGACTCCGTCTCAAAAAAAAAAAAAAAAAAAAAAAAAAAAAAAAAGAAGGAAACATAATCTAAAATTATGATTCCAGAAGCCTCCAAATGATTCAAACCATAATATTTTATTACGAGTAGGCAATGGGGTTTTCCTGTATCTCTCCAAGTGCCCCTGGAGGTCTGCCCTCCCACCTAACTTTTATGACTGACATCAAAATGAATTTGGTGGAAGCCAGTGTCAGGCCAGTAGTGCTCTTGATTAGGAGAGCTTTCTACAAGAAGGGAAGAAACCCCAACACCAAAAGGAACAGTTTGAGTGTCCCTGCTCTGATAGCAGTTGGAAGTCTGGCTGTGCACAGTGATCGAAGTGGGAGGAAAGCACCCCACGGTCCGCCTGGCCCTCAAACGCCTCCTCTTTGGCCTGTGTGGTAGCGATCCTATGGGAAATCCCTTGATTTCCACATCCTGGAGCTGTCACCTTGTAAAATCCAGCTTCTGGAACCTTCTCAGGGACTGACCCAGTTTCTCTCTTCCTATCTGATTCCAGGCTGGTCTGTTCCACTTCCTTTTCTGGTTCCTGGTCCCACTGCATTTCTGCCCCCTTGTTGGCTATAGTTATGATTCCCCCTCGAGTTGTCCTTGGTAAACACCCATCTTGCTCTGATCCAGGCCACACTCGGTGCACAGGCCCACATAGGTGCAAAGTTGCCAGAGACAACCTTGCTGTGATGCTCTCTCTGCTCGCTAACACTGTGTCTGAAATTCTTGCCACTGGAGCCACTGTTTGAGGAAGACAGTCACAGTGAGAAACTGTCCCCAGAGGTCCCAGTGAACACACTGTGCAACCTTAGCACCCGATGACCTGGAACACCCGACAGCCGGTGTTATCTCAGATCCTGCAGTGGACAAGTTCCCTGGAAGCTACCAGAGAGGAGATGAGCAAATCAGCCAGAAACAGGAGTGGCTAAGGGTCAATTTGGACAGGAAACCTGAAAGCAGAATGCAAAAATCCATGCAGTGAGCTGGGAACAGAAGCCGAGTCAGCAGGGCAGAGCAGGAGCTGAAAGCCTGGGCAGTGGTGAAGGGAGAGTTATGGAAAAGGGCTAAATCTGACAGAAGGTCACAGACAGGCAAGACTCAGGGGTTGAGACAGGTCCAGGTCTGAATTCACAGCAATGTCCTGCATGGTAAGTCGTTCTTTCAAAGGCCCATGGTCTTATGTGCATGGGAGGGACACCCACTGTCTCACGGGCATGGTGCTGTAAACCCAACAAAACTCTAAGATGGCTTGATAGGTCTCAGGACTTCACCACTGTCCCCGACTTCCTCAGCTATCACCTCTGGTGGCAAACAGAGCCCTGAGAGCTTGAGAGGAAGAGCTGGGATTGGTCAGGAACGAAATGCAGGTTATGAGTTTCCTGGGACTGCTGCAGCAAAATACCACTAACTGGCAGGGCTTAAACAGCAGAAAAGGATCGTCTCATAGTTCTGGAGGCCAGAAATCTGAGATGAAGGTGTCAACGGGATCGCGCTCCCTCTGAAGCTGCTAGGGGTGGGTCTGTGATTCCAGGCTCCTATCCTAGCATCTTGCAGTTTGCTGGCAAACCTTGGCCTTCCTTCACTTGTAGAAATGCTACCCTGATCTCTGTCTTCACCTTCAGTGGGTATTCTCTCTATGTATGTACCAGTGTCCAAATTTCCCATTTTCTAAGGACACCAGTCATACTGAATTAGGGACCCATTTCACTCTATACAAACTCATCTTTATTAATTCCGTCTGCCATGAGCCTATTTCTAAATAGGTCACAGTGTGAGGTTTTGCAGGTTAGAGCCCGAACATATGAACTTTGGGGCACAGCTCAATCCAGTATAGGCAACAGCCTTGGAATCTCCTAGGAACAACTGTGCTGTGCTGGAGAAAGACACTTAGATAGACACCTGGAGGGGCCTAGCTTCATAATTTATGCAAAATGAAATGTGAGATCCGTTGCCTAAAAGTTGTTAGCAGTTTCAAGGTGTTGACAGTAAAGCATTAAACCAAGTGTGGGCCCTTCTGAGCTTGGGCCCTGTGTGAATGCCTAGGTTGCTTGCCCCTGAGGAGGAGAGGGAGTAGGCAAGGTCCTTGAGATCATCACCATCAAGAAAAACCCAGGGGAAGCAAGGGGAGCTGAGGGTGAATTCTAAATTTAACATCTACTCAGTACCCGCTTAGCTTCTCCTTAACACTATTACAAATACATCAACAGAGAATCTCTTCAAATGCATTGTACAAAGTTTAATTTGTGTGCTGGGTGTGGTTCATGGGTATTCACCATGTTATTCTTCATACCCTTTTCTTATATCTAAAATATTTTCTAATGTGTTAACAAGTGATATTTTAGTGCATGCAGCTCTAACTCACTTTTTTATGCTTTCTGTCGCTGTGCAATTTTCCAGCCCCCTAGCTGAGCCCTCTCTGTGGACACACATATGGTTTTTGTTGTTGTTGTCTCACTGTTTTCTATCCTTGGCCCGGGAAGTTTCCCTCTTTGAAGTGTGTATGGGTCTTGCCTCTCTTTCGTCTCAGCCATATGCTTTCTCACGTCTTGGAATAAATAAATCATGCCCACCTCTTTCTCTGAACAGAGGATTATTCCCATCCAGGGCACTCAATGTGCTCCAGGGCTTGAGTGAGCTGTGAGATCCTATTGTTTAGTGGGGGATAATTTTCAACACTCCTGCAAATATTCCCTCCCAACACTCCTGCAAATATTCCCTCCCTCAGGAACTTGGGTAAGTAACACAGAATGAGAAGGTCATTCTCTGAGCTTAGCTACAACACCACACAAAAAGCAAACTGTTGTTACTAAGAAACTGACCATGCAGAATGAAGAAAACCCTTGTGTGTTTTACATTTATGGGTTGCAGGGCACATTTCTCTTCATAGCCAGCTGTTCATTGTTGCCACCCCTCGCCACTGTCAGGAGGTGGCAATGAGGGCAGTTGGAGTAACATTTGGGTTAGTATGGTGTTTAATTCCATCACACATCAACGTATGCAAGTAGCCTCTCTCTTCTAATTGATAATTGTACACCAATTAACTTATTTCTGAGGGTCATTCTCAAATTCTAATCATGTTCCTTTCATGTCCCTAGAGAATCAAATTCATGGCAAATTTGCCAAATCTCATTCTTGTCTCTCCTGGAGCTCTCGAGCAGATATTCTACAAAGGATAAACTGGGCGTGCATTTCCTCAGTAGCTTCAACGATTAATAAATGTTGATACCTTAGAAACATATCCCTCCGGAGCTCCCCTGGAAGCTTCCTGTAAGGACGCCCAGCTACTTTGGATTTATTTTGCCTATTTCACTCACTGTGTCCAAAGCCAAACTCTTCACCTTCCTAAACACACTCCTGCTTTCTCTAAACTGGTGGATGACCCAACCCCCTCCAAGATCATCACTGTCTGAAGCATCTTTGCCCCATCCCCCCACCCACCTCCACCCGGCCACCCGATCCTGCCAACCCTAGCTCCTCTTACTCCCCACTGACCTACTTCTACACCTCATTGTCCTTCCCTTTGTCAGATCCATGTCATTTTTTTCTTGAGGGCAAGCTATAATCTCCTAACTGACTGCAGCATTCAATTCCATATTCCCTCCTTACCAATTCTGTCTTCACACTGCAGCCAGAAACCTTCTGAAATATCATTTCATGCCTCTGCTTAAATGCCTCTGGGCAGTGTGTTAGTTTCTTACAAAGTTAAACATACATCTACCATATGACTTAGCCATTCCACTCATAGCCTACAGAAATAAAAGACATATGTTCATGCAAAGACTCGCACGCAAATATTCTACCAGCCTTATTCATTGTAGGCCTCAAAATAGAAATAACCCATATGTCTACAAACGGATGAATGGTTAAATAGCTGTGGCACATCCACACCATGGAATACTGCTCGGCAATGAAAAAAATGCATGCACACAATGACATGATTGAATCTGAATTACAATATCAAAGGGAGCAGCCTGTCACAAAAGAGTGCACACTGCGTTCCATTCCTTTGAAATTCTAGAAGTGACACCTCTGTTCCATGGAGACAGAAGCAGGTATGTGGTTGCTGGAACTGGGGAAGGGGTGGGTCGGATGAAATGGGCACCAAGGAGATTTGGGGGGCAGTGCAAACTCTATGTTTTAATTGTGGTGGTTGCACAGGTGTATATATTTGTCAGAATGTAGTGAAGTCACAATTGAAATGGATGTATTTCTATTACATGTGGAAGAAATAACTTCTAGAGGGTCCCCCTTCCTCTTAGCATGCCAGATTCTTTAAGGAGTCTACACAGCCACAGTCACCTGGCTCTGGCCCCGATTTCCAGGAACTTCTCTGGCCTCTTCCCATCTCCTAAACACACACAGTTCCCAGAACAACCCATGGTGACTCTCCTTTTTAGGCCTTTGAAAGGTTTGTTCCTCTGCCTGGAGCAGTCTTCTGTCCACTGTTTGTCCTGCATCCATCCTCAGGTTTCTGCCTCCACATCATCTCCCCTGGGAAGCCACCTCTCCCCTGAGTGAGACGCTGCTGCATCATGGAAACCCTTCTGTCCATCGTGTTCTGAATCATCCATGTGAGGGGCTGGGAGTCTTGATGGAATGGGGCTGTGACCTTATTATTGTGCCCCGAAAGCCAAGCACAGGGCATGACCTGAAGCAATGGTCTGTGGCTATTTGCTCAATGAATGAGAGAATGCACTGACAAAAGTCTACAGATCCCTTCGCCGAAGGATAAGCAGTGCGAATGTTGTTGTGGGGCTGTCGCCGGATGTGGCCCGACCCCGCTGTTCTAAGGCCTGCCTTAGGTTGCCTTCCCAGGGAGTTCTGATTTTGAGACACTAGTATGCTGTGCCCTTTTCTCCATGAATGCATCTCAAAGACCGTCCTTCCCAAATCCTACTGGTTTGTCATCAGTTTAGCCTGTTCATGTAGAACCAACATCTTGACTGGCCTTGAGACTGACACAAGCCCCTTGCCTCCCAGCTGAGGGTCCTGTGAGCCTTTGGTCTACAGAGTGTGATTGTGCTGGCCCCAGCCTCTTAGGTCTTGTGGCAGCAGAGAAGGACAGGGGCTCTCTGAGAAGAAATATCAGAAAAAATTCATTCTGCAAGATGGGTGATGAAGGAAACACACAGAGCAGCCCACCCTTCCCTGTCCATAGCAGGGGCTGACCCAGCATCGTGGCAGCATTGAGCAGGGTGAAATAGAACTGTACCTCCCCAGCCAGCCAGACCCTCAGCCAGAGACAAACGCCACAGACAGCGCTGAGCTCTCCAGGCAGGATGGGGCTGTTCCTTACTCTTCTGAATTTCTTTAATGCAACCCCTAATACAAAGTTTTTAAATTTTTAATGAAGAAAAACATAAAAAATTAAAATTAAAAACATTAGGAGTGACCTTCTGATAAACAAACGCCTGGACCCGTGAGCCCCTGTGCGGGGGATGTGCATGCCTTGCCCCCGGCGGCCCTGGGTTGGCTGCCCAGCGCAGTCTTGGCTCCAATTAGGGCTGAAGCAATTTTGGGGTGGACTCAGGAAGCAGTGGAGTTTGTTTGAGAGGCAGGTGTCAGGGTTTGTTGGTGCCCTGAATGCTCACTTTGGGTTGTATTAGCTTGAATTTTTTATGTTTGCCCTCATGAAAAATTAAACCAGAATGTTCTTACCCTTTAGCAATGCTCTTTATCATCGGGACTGATAAAGAAATGGAGTTCCAAGGAGTCAGGAGGGACCTACAATGTGCTCAAGTTGCATCAGATGCTGAAGGCTGGAGGAAGCTGGGTCCCTCATGCAGGCTGGCTTCCCACCTGCTCTGGCCAAAGAGTGAGGGCCTGGCCACAGTACAACAGTGGCATCACACAGGGGAGGTTGCGTGTTGCTGGACATGAGCCCATGAGCGTGATTCAATCCGTAATCCTTGACATTTGTTGAGCAGTGGCAGGGAAGGTGTGGGTTCCTTCCCAACACGGGCTTTTTCTGATGCATCCTCATCATTGTCCACATGAGAATTCCAAACCGGGATGGGACTGAGTTTTACTCTAACACAGTAAGGGGAGGCTCATTTCCCTGACGTGCACAGTAGACCAGTTGCCCTCTGTGGCAGGCAGAAAAACCGTCCCCTAAAGATGTTCTATTCTCAAAACCTCTGAATATTTCTCCTTGCACGGCAAAAGGGACTTTGTAGATGTGAGTAAGGTAAGGATCTGAAGATGGGGAGTCTCCTAGACTGTCCAGGTGGAGGCAACATGATGCAATCATAAGGATCCTTAACAGAGGGAGGCAGGAGGGTCGTGTCAGAGTGACGCAGTGTGGGCAAAGCTTCCCCGGCCATCCCTGGCTTTGAGATGGAAGGAGCCACAGGCTGACAAATGCAGGCAGCCTTCAGAATCTGGGAAAAGGGGATAGAAAAGGAGAGGAGAGGAGAGGAGAGGAGAGGAGAGGAGAGGAGAGGAGAGGGGAGGAGAGGAGATGAGAAGGAAGGGGAGGGCAGGAGGGGAGGAGAGGAGAAGGAAGGGGAGGGGAGGAGGAGGGGAGAGGAGAATGAAGAAAAGGAAAAGGGAAAGGAATAAAGGAAAAGAAAAAGGAAAGGGAAGGAAGGAAAGGAACGGAAAAAGGAAAGAAAAGGAGAGTTCTTCCCTGGAGCCTCCAGAAGACATGCAACCCTGATGACACCTTGATTTTGAGCTCAATGAGACCCATCTTGAACTTTTGACCTCCAGAACTGTAAGACAATAAATGCATGTTGCTGGAAGCCACTAAGTTTGTGGTTTGTTATAGTGCCAATAGGAGGCTAATATATCCACTTATTCCATATATGTTATAGAGGAGATGCAGGAATGGATGAATTTGTTCTTTCATGGGGAGAATTTCTTGTATTTGTTATCCCCTAGAGGCAGGGAAAGGGTGTGGCCTGCACTGCAAAGACCTAGGTTTGAGTCCCAGCTCCACCTGCTAAAGGAGACATGATGTCGGACAGGTCAGTTTCCTCTAAAATGCAGATGGCGGTAGGCTGTTGGGAAGATCATCAATGGGAGAATGTATGGAAGGAGGATCTGTCTGATAGAATTAAGTACTACTGTCACTTTCCCCAAAAACATACATTTAGTATCTGCAGGGACTGAGTCAGGTGTCCACCTTCTGAGCTGGGTGTGGAGGAAACTTCATCTGATCCACAGACTGAGAATACGGAATGGTGCAACAGAGAGTACAGAAGGGGCGCTACTGAAGCAGGAAAGGGCATTACTGGGAGTCTAGAAACAGTGCTGCTAGGATGTTACTCTCTGAGAGTACAGAGGGGGCATTGCTGCAGCAGGAAAGGGCTTTACTGGGAGTCTGGAAACAGTGGTGCTAGGATGTCACTCACTGAGAGTGAGTAAGGTATTATTGAGAGTATGAAATCATGGAAAGGCGACTGCAGAAGGGGTATGCTCAGTAGCACCCTCCATGCTTTCAACAATGTCCCTCCTGTACTCTCAGTAACACTTTCAGACCTTCAGCAACACCCCTTCTTTACTCTCAGAAGCACCTTTACATACTCTCAGGAATGCCGTCTCTAGACTTGCAGTGAAACCCCTTCTGCAGTCACCATTTCATGATTTCATGCTCTCAATAACACCTTACACACTCTCAGTGAGTAACATCCTAACAGCACTGTTTCCAGACTCCCAGTAACGCCGTTTCCTGCTTCAGTAATGCCCCATTCTGTACTCTCAGTGAGTAACATCCTAACACCACTGTTTCCAGACTCCCAATAACACCCTTTCCTGCTTCAGTAACACCCCTTCTATACTCTCAGTAACATCCTAACAGCACTGTTTTTAGACTCCCAGTGACACCCTTTCCTGCTTCAGTAATGCCCCTTCTGTACTCTGTGAGTAACACCAGCAGTACTGTTTCCAGACTCCCAGTAATGCCCTTTCCTACTTCAGTAATGCCCCTTCTGTACTCTCAGTGAGTAACATCCTAACAGCACTGTTTCCAGACTCCCAGTGAGAGGTGAAGCCAGCTGGACTTCCTGGGTTGAGTGGGGACTTGGAGAACTTTTCTGTCTTACAAGGAGATTTTAAAATGCACCAATCAGCACTTTGTAAAAACGCACCAATCAGTGCTCTGTAGCTAGCAAGAGGTTTGTAAAATGGACAAATCAGTGCTCGGTAAAATGGACCGATCAGCAGGATTCTAAAACTAACCAATCATGGGGAGGATTGAGAAAAGGGCATTCTGATAGGACAGAAACAGGACATGGGAGGGGACAAATAAAGGAATAAAAGCTGGCCACCCCAGCCAGCAGCAGCCACCCAGTCCGTCCCCTTCCACGCTGTGGAAGCTTTGTTCTGTCGCTCTTCACAATAAACCTTGCTATCGCTCACTCTCTGGGTCCATCCTGTCTTTAAGAGCTGTAAGTCACTGCGAAGGTCTGCGGCTCCATTCTTGAAGTCAGTGAGACCACGAACCCACCAGATGGAATAAACTCCGGACACACCAGTAATGCCCTTTCCTGCTGTAGTAATGCCCCTTCTGTACTCTGTTGCACCATTCCATATTCTCAGTCTATGAAGCAGATGAAGTTTCCTCCACACCCAGCTCAGAAGGAGGATGCCTGACTCAAGCTCTTACCCACTGGACCACGGTGTCCTCTTGGCCATGGGCTTAGCTGAGTTGGGCCACACGGGCCTCACTGGAGGTTCCAGTTGGAGCCATGGTTTAAGCCACTCTCTCCTGGGGCTTGCTGAGCTCTGGGGATGACATCGTGGAGCTGCTGCCATCTGTCCTGTGACGATATCTGAAAGTGAAGTCATGCTGAGGGAAACGAGGCTGAAAGATGAGGAAAGATGGATTCCGACTGGCATCGTTGGAACACCTGGATGCTGTCGATAGCATCAGCCAATACTTGATGTCTTTCCATAAGCCGGGGTAAGCTGTGTTTTCCGTCACTTGCAACACAAAGAGATCTAATTCAAAGGCGTTCTTATGTAGAATGTGGTCTGCAGTCTGCCCTACCTTCAAGCCAGGCTGAGGGCGGGTTCTTGCGTCATCTCCTTAAAGTGGCTTCTGTAATGTCCCTACTCGGTGAACCCCTTTAGGCTCCTCAGTGCCTCCAGTAGTGGATGAAATTACGCCCCAGGGGATCAGGCCTCCACAGCTGACCAGTGACAACTCCCTGACTTTATTTTCCATCACCCCTTACATCTGGACAGCACCCTAAATGTTCCAGCTACCTTCTGCCTTTCACCATGCTCCTTCCACCCAGCAAGCTCTTGCCACTGATATTCATGCTGCCCAGTTTTGAAGTTCAATTTGAACTTGAACTTCATGCCCTAAGTCACAAAAAGCTTTCCACCATAACTCCTGAGTTGGCCTCCAATGTGGCTCATTTCTTGAGCATCTACTATGTCCCACTGAACTTGGCTCATTTATTATCTGCTTTGTTCCACTGAATGGGAAAATTAAACCCTATGAAGACAGGGACTTCTGTGCTCCCAGTTCCTACTTCAGACCCTGGATCACAGCCAGCACTCAATAAACATTTGTACATCATCATATAGGTTTCCTATAACAACTCTGAGGGACAAAGTTCCTGCTGCATGAATGAAGGGAAACTGAGGCTCAGAATGAATCATGCCGCTCAAGTTCACAGCAACCTAGTCAGGTGTGGGCTGGTCCATTTCAAACTTATGCTCTTGCCATTGTGAAAAACTGTTTCCCGTATTCATTCCCTCATTTGTTCACTCACTAATAATTCACAGAGTTATCTACTATGGGTTTTGTATTGGAGTCATTTGCAATGCAGGTGTAATTCACTCCTTACCCCATACAGTGGGCATCAAAGGGCACCCACTGCACAGAACCAGTGAATGCTACTGCTGAGACACTCAGAAGATGCTCAGACAAGTCCCAGCAAGGGCAGGCCTTGGTCCGTTTTCCTCTGCCTCACTGCAGGTTCTCTGGGAGCCGAGATCATGTCCCATTTGCTTTGTTATTTATTCCAAATTAGCACACAGCGGGATTCCTTATTGATTTAAAAAACTTACTACTGTTACAGTGAATTGCCATTTCTACTCATCTCATCAAAAAACAAATACAGAAAAGAGATCAATTAGCAGAGCGTGGCCGAAGCTGGAACTGTGTGCAAGGCTGTGCTGTGAGAGAAGGCTGAGGAGGTCAGAAAGCTGACTGGAGAATTCAGGCTTCTTCCTGGGTAAAGCACCTCCCAGAGGGTAGGGTTTATACCTCCAGGAGTATATGGGCTTTTCCCTAAGGCATGCAGATGATATTCTGAAGATGAAGTGTTTGAACGTGAAAAACTGACAGCATTATGTTGGATCTGATGGTGTCTATCTTAAAACATTCAGGCTTGTTGTCACTAAAATAGCTCAGATTAATAAGGGGCTTCTTCTTTTCCCAGAGTGACTGGGGATCTCCAGGGCTTTGAAAAGACGAGGTGATGGGTAGACATATCGACATATCACAAAAAGTGGGTTTTTTTTAATGTGGAGGAAAGAAGAACCTGAAAATAAGGGAAAAATGGCAAATGAAGGAGAATCACTTAATTCTGATTCTGGCAACATGATAATTTGTGAACATTCAGACGTGGGTCAGGAGGGAGGTTCCTTTTTCCTTGTTAAAGATTGTTCAGCAGATGAATTGTGAATAAGGGGTGACTGTAGAAAATATATGTTGAGTTCTGTAGAAGAACAAATTGTTTTTAAGGTTACTGTGGTCATCAGATTGCAGAACAAAAAAGACTTCTATTTTTAGTTCTTTCCTTTAGTTGCTATACAAGCTTGACATATTTGCTCAAAAAAAAAAAAAAAAAGAACATACATCTAGAGGCATTTTATAATCTGGAATTTTTGCTAATTAACACTGACGGTCTCCTAATTTGGTGAAGTTTGATTGCGTGAATACTTTCTTTCAAAGAATTCTATAATTTTAGACTTGGAGAAAGCCTGAACAGTTGTCACAAGTATGACAGATGTGAAGATGAGCTATGATTTTTCCAAAAGTTTTAGGGAGGGAAAGGCGGAGAAGGGAGGAAGAAAAAATATGAAGGTCAGGGAGATGTGGGTGTGGATCTCGGGGCCATCACTCACTCGCTCTGTGAGCTTTGTCAAGTTTCCTAAACACTGTGACCAGCTGCATTCCGGAGGAGAGGATACAGAGAGGGGTTTGGCATGGAGCAGGATGACTATTAGGGTTGAACTATTCAACCACAAAGATCCAACTGATTTCTTCTGACTTTTCACTAAGGTGCCT
The DNA here is from genome assembly GCF_000001405.40 of Homo sapiens. Classification (NCBI taxonomy): domain Eukaryota; kingdom Metazoa; phylum Chordata; class Mammalia; order Primates; family Hominidae; genus Homo; species Homo sapiens. Next base: position 60,787,353 of record NC_000020.11, on the reverse strand, counting down.
GCCACTGAAATAAGATTTATCAGTCTGTCAGTTTTGTTATTTCTGGAAGGCATTTCAAAACATCCTCCAAGGATCTGAATTAATTTTGTAATAATGACATAATATCAAAATATATATAACATATATATATAATATATATAGATCCCTTGGGATCTATACCTAAAGAGGGGGTGGAGGTAAGAAGAGGGAGGTGGGGGAGAAGAGGACAGAGGAGGAGGGAGAGGGGGATGAAGAGGAGGAGGGGGAAGAGGAAGGGGTAGAGGAGGAGGGAAGAGGGTGGTGGAAGGAAAGAAGAAAGGAGTAGGAAGGGGAGAAAGGAGGAGGAGGAGGGGGAAAGGAAGGGGAGGAGGAAGGGAGAGGAGGAAGGGAGAAAAGGAGGGGGAATGAGGAAGGGAGAAAAGAAGAAGGGGAGGAGGAAGGAGGAGGGAGGAGGAGGAGGTGGAAGAGGGAAGAGGAGGAGGAGGTTGAGGAGGGTCTTCGTCATCATACTGCGGTGGCCTGACCAGCAGTCCCAGCTGACCGCACGGGAGCTCTGGAGCTGAAGCAGCCTATTACAGGGCATGGGGCTGAGAAGGCAATGCCTTTATGCCTCTGCATCCATTCCTCTTTAGTTGGGCTGCCCCAGAAGGTGTGTGAGTGAGGAAGCTCTCTGCTTGTGAGGCAGCCCTGGAAGAGGGTGATGACTGAAGGTTGCCTGCTCACAGCACCCAGCAGCTGGTTGGGAAGGTGAGCTGGCAGATCATCCCTGCCCACCCAGCTGCCCTTAACTCCCCGTTTTTAAGTCTGTAGGACTGAAATCAGAGGCCTCTTAGGGCCCCAGGGGAATGAATGAGAGATTCCAGATAAAATGCTTAGCACAATGCCTGGCACGGGAAACGTCAATGAATGTGAATAAAAGCAATAACAATTATTTATTATTATTAATAGTTATAATAACTTGAATATGACTATTTGGGGATGCTTTACAAATATCTCAGTGTACCTAACCTCAGGCATCATTACAGGCCGGCGAATTGACTGCTGTGCCCACTTTATAGATGACAGCCACAGACTCATGGAGGATGAGCGCAGAGCCGTGACCAGGGCGGGGGTTTCAGCCAGGAGTTGGGATCACAAGTCGTTTTTGAAAATTTCACAGTGGTCCTGTCTTGCTGACATTGTTTGAGATGGTTTTTCATCCTTTTTTGAGTGGTCTCCTGACTTTTCCTGGTCTTGCTGGAAGGATGTTTGGTGGATAAGGAGGAGGATGTGACCTCCCCCAGCGTGGCTCTCCACAGAATGCAGCCAAAGTCCCGTCCTTCATCTTGAGGTCGCACTCAATGTTCCTGAGCTCCTCCCCGTGGTGGGGGAACAGCTCCAAGGGCTGAGCATGAGCACAGCTGCTTCTGCGTGTGAACTACACAACTGTTCTGTGATTGCCTAGAATTACGATGTTTCCAGTTCGGTGTAGTAAAAAAATGTGCTTCAGTGGATGCTTTTTATCCTTACAGCACCAGTGTCAGAAGCACATGCATAATTTAAAAACTGTATATTTTCAATTATTGTGAGTTTCCCAAACAAGGGACTTTTTTTTTGTGAATGTTAAATGCAACCAGGTGATCATTAAAATCTTTTTTTGTGTTGACAGTTTCTTCAGCTCTGAAACTGAGTTAAAATTTCTTAGTAGTAATTGAGATCTCTTGGGAAAAGTGTTTCAAAAAAGAAAAAAAAGATGTAAACAGATTTTCCAGCAAAGAAAAAAAATAAAGAACAGAGGGGAAAAGAGAAATAGGCTTCAATTTTACTTGTTTTGGAATCAAAGTCCTAGCCAATATCTCACTGAGATGAAAATTATTCCAAGTTAGAGGAGCAGGGCTAAGAATGTGTGTTTTTGTGAAATGTATTCACATTTTGGCCTTGCTAATACATGTTACTATCTAGCCAAAAATGACAACATAACCAAAAGCACTGGCCAGTGTTATCTAAAATATCAGATATATAGTCTGATATGATCTCATTATTGCAAAATTAATTCAGATCCTCGAAGGATGTTTTGCAATGCCTTTCAGAAATAACAAAACTGATAGCCTGATAAATCTTATTTCAGCGACACCTTAGTGAAAAGTCAGAAGAAATCAGTTTGATCTTTGTAGATGAATAGCTTGATGTTCAAACTCCTTCCAGCCTTTAGATTCCATGTCTGTAAAAATATCACATAACAATTGGCGATGCTGAGACATGTCAGGACTCAAAGTTTCTTGGTTAGAATAATTGATTTCTCGTTAAACTCCTATACATACACTTTTAATTTCTTTCAAACCAAATTTCAACCCCCACACATGATTTTTCCAAAACTCTTCTTGTAATAAAATGTCTAGAAAACTGAGAAAGTTTAATTCATTTTCAACTTAGAAAGCTAAGAGCCACCTTAAATGTTGTAAGTGACATCTCAGGGTAGCCCCACAGCTGCTCCTGACAGTGCTCATAGGGTGGCCAGCATTGGTGCACTCATCACACTGGGGCTGTTTTGTGGATCCAGATGAGGAGGTAGAGGCTCCCCTGTCTTTCTTTTTGAGAGCTGTGTCTCCACGACATCCATTAGCCAGACACATCTGCACAGAATATGGAGGTCATGATAAACATCAGTAGTGTGTCCAGATGGCAGTCCCCATGTCTCTTTTTTCCCCTTTTCATCCAGGTGTTTTGGCAATAAAAATAGCTGCCCAGCTTTTTATGCAACGATTGCTCTCTCCGAATATTCAGTGTACCTTCCTTTGTACCAGTCCAGAAGTCACTGAAGCATTTCACGGCATGACATCTGGAGAGGCTCTGGGGCTGGGCTGCTGGGTTGGATGTCAGGTGTACGTCTTCCTGACTGCGGCATCCGGGACATCGCTTAAAAGTTCAGCGCTTGGACTTCCTCATCTGTGGAGTGCAGTTATTCATGGACTTAGGAACGAGATTAAGTGAATTCATAACACAAATGGCTTTGCACCGTGCCTGTCCACAGTGAGTACTCAGTACACCGGGCTGTTTTATCATTGTTGTTACTGCTGTCGTTAGAGTGTGCAGAACCTGATTGCTGTTTTGATTTATTGCTTTCAAGATTCTACAATTCTCTACAGGCTTGTGGTCAAGCCGTTCAATAAGAAACTTTTCTCACCTCACCTGCTGTCAGGATTTGATACAAATTTCGTGTTGGTGTAGAAGGAGATTATACTAGCAACAAATGCTAATAACGCAGGGGCCTGAATGCTTTTCAATTAAGTAGATGAGTGTCAAGTAGAGTGTTCTGGTTGAAGAAAGAGGCACCAGCAAGAATGACAGGTTTAAAGTTAAGATTCGGACTTCAGTGCAGTTGGCCTTTTGCTTTTATAGCGGAATGGTTTTCTAACATCTTCTAAAGAATCCTCCAAATTGTTCGGTAGGTATTTTCCAGTACAATACTGAGCAGAATTGATACACTAAAAATTTTTCCCATTTTATTTATTCATCCATTCAACAAATACTTATGGACCACCTACTACATATATGGGTGTGAACAAGAACCTCAAGTCTGATGGGAAGGGCCTGTGTCCTGGGCTGCCAGGAAACAGCTGTGAAGGAAGGAGCAGCTGTGACGGCTACTGTTGTGTCCGAGAGGGGTGCAGTGGGTAAGAGACTGGAACAGAGACTGCGCTGGAGTATGGTGGGGGTGTTAGGGGGCCTGCAGTTAGGGAAACATTGGGTTTTGAGGGGAAGCATTGAAGCTGAAATCTAACTGATAAGAGGAGACCAGCATCCAAAGACCCGGGGAAGCGCGTTCCAGGCAGTGAGGCAGCAAGCACAGGGCACAGGTGTGTTTCTATGTTGTATCCGTGTGTGTGTGTGTTGCATCATCTGTGCACGCTATGTGTATTGTGTGTTGTGTTTCTGTGTATTGTTTCTGTGCATGCTCTGTGTGTTTGTATGTTGTGTGTGTATCTGTATGTTTGTATGCTGTGCCTATGTGTATTCTACGTGTTTGCATGTTGTTTCTGTGTGTTCTGTGTGTTTGTGTGTCTGTGTTTGTATTTGTATCTCTGTGTGTTGTTTCTGTGCATGTTCTGTGTGTATATTGTGTCTTTGCACCTTCTACATGTTTGTATGCTGTTTGTGTGTGTGTTCTGTGTGTTTGTGTGTCTGTGTTTGTATTTGGGTCTCTGTGTGTTGTTTCTGTGCATGCTCTGTGTGTTTCTATGTTGTGTCTGTGTATCTGTATGTTTGTATGCTGTGCCTATGTGTTCTACTTGTTTGTATGTTGTGTGTGTGTTCTGTGTGTTTGCGTGTCTGTGTTTGTATTTGGGTCTCTGTGTCTTGTTTCTGAGCATGCTCTGTAGGTTTGTATGTTGTGTCTGTGTATATGTATGTTTGTATGCTATGCCTATGTGTATTCTACATGTTTGTATGTTGTTTCCGTGTGTGTGTTCTGTGTGTTTGTGTGTCTGTGTGTGGGTAAAGAGCAGCTGCTGGGACTGAGCCTGTGTCCAGAGCTGTAGCTGTCTCACAAGGTGGCTGTTGGGCCCCTCCCATGGGTCCAGCTAGGAGCAGACCTGTCTTACTCCAGGGTAAGAGTCAGGTCATCAGAGCTTGCACAGTCCAGGCACACCCAGGATGGCCAGGCAGGAATGGAAAGCAGCTCCACACCTGTGCCACCCACTGGCGTTCCCAACTGTGGAACTGAAGCTAATTGCTCACAGGCACCTGCACACTTCCGCCACACACGTGTGCACGCTCTGACACCAAACTCAAGCTGCCATACCATCACTTCTCTAGAAGTTCAACAAGGGAAGTAAGTTCCAAGAAGAAGAAAGCATGAATACAAGAGCAAGAAGACGAGGCTTAGTTTGGGGTTTCAAAATTGGTTTCAGCTGCAAACTCTGGGTCACAGCTCGTAAAGGTGCTGTCCATGGGAGAGAAGAGCAAGGTGGGTAGGAAAGGCTTTGGCCTCCTGGGCAACTTTGATTCTTAGCTTTTCTGGGACTGCATGTAAATGTCCTGTTGTTCCTGTTTGTACTTTGAGCCCTTTGCTCTAACTCCAATTGTCTAATCTTGGTTTGGACAAACTCCTCCAAGGACAGGAACAGGCCTTTTCTAAATTGCACTGAGACTCCAGGTTTAGATGGAGGATTGGTTGCCATGGACTCAGACTCATTCAATATCAGGGCTCTAGGAAGGTTCCTTAGAGACAGAGTGACAAGCTCTTCATTTAGAGAGAAAGTCCAGACAGACAGGATGGCCGCACCAGAGGCAAGTGAGTTAGAGACAGATGCTGGCCTTGAAACCTGTCCTAGGTCTGAACCTTGATCTTTCCCTTTGTAATTTATCGTGGATGACTTAAAATTAGCTTATTTCTCTTTTTTTTCACTGCATTTCTGCTTTGCAGTGAACAATCTCTTAAACACATTTGGAAAATAACAACATATCTTTCCCAAGGTAATTTCTTATCCTGCTTTTCTGATTTATGCATTTACTACTATTTTAACATCTTCTTTTTTTTTTTTTTTTTTTTTTTTTTTTTTTTTTTTGGGATGGAGTCTTGCTCTGTTGCCCAGGCTGGAGTGCAGTGGCATGATCTCGGCTCACTGCAAGCTCCGCCTCCCAGGTGCATGCCATTCTCCGACCTCAGCCTCCCGAGTAGCTGGGACTACAGGTGCCTCCTACCATGCCTGGCTAATTTTTTGTATTTTTAGTAGAGACGGGGTTTCACCATGTTAGCCAGGATGGTCTCAATCTCCTGACCTCGTGATCCGCCCGCCTTGGCCTCCCAAAGTGCTGGGATTACAGGTGTGAGCCACCACGCCCGGCCTATTTTAACTTCTTAAACTCTCATATGGTATTCCTGGCATGTAGGCAATAACTGATACACTTATCTTCAGTTTGGCGTTGTTTTTCTCCCTTCCGTCTCAGGGAACTCACATATACTTTCTAACTTTTCCTGTCTTTGCTGCCAAGACCTTCCATAGCCATTTTTGACATGTTTACAAATACCTTTGGCCATAAGAGTAGGGCATATTTGAACTTCTTTAAACAACTGATAACATGGAAACATTCTTATTATAATCAATTTAATCATTGCAGAGTACACTGAGTGAAAGAGGCTAAACCCTCCTTTGAGTGTCTCTGTCACACCACTGTCTCCTCATGGAAATTCTTTAACCTTGGGGAGCATAAGAGTGTGCTCCATAGACCTTAGCCATCAATTCCTATAGCTATGGGCATGCACATACATTCACTTTTCTTTTTTTTTTACATAGAATTAGGAATTAAGATCATGTCTTTCTCTGGTCTTTTAATAATATGTTGGTTCTAAAGAGCAGTGATTATCACCTGGGAGCAATTTTGCCCCCACCCAGGGGACATTTGGTGATACCCAGGGAAAATGTTGGTTGTCACAATGTGGGAGGGGGAGCTACTGGCATCTAGTGGGCAGAGGCCAGGGATGTTGCTAAACATCCTACACTGCACAGGACAGGCTATCAACAGAGTGAGTCAGTAATACTGAGGCTGAGAACCCTGGGAGGGCTCTACCTTCCCTCCTTGGGGACAGTGGTGCCCATGGTGTGGATCCTGAGTAGACAACAGGCACCCACGAACATTCAGGTGGTAGCTTAGTGTCCAGGGTTGCAAGTCTTGCTGCAGTAAACATCCAGAAGCACCCTTCTTTGTGGTATCAGAGGCAAAGTATTCAGCGAGGTCGAACTCCTTGCTGGACTGCAGACACAGACACACCACATTGTCACATGCTTCCAAGTAACACACATTCTGTTCCTTGGAATTTCCTTCCCATTCTTCTGCCAGAACTACTGGAACAAGAGTACTTCCTACTCTTTTTTCAAGGCTTCCTTCAAGAACTTCGTTTTGGAAGCCCTCCCTTAAGACCAGACAGAGCAGTTATTCTTTCCCTGTGTGTACTTGGAGGGTGAAGTGCCTCCTACGCAGACCATGGCCTCCACGAGAAAAGGACCCAGGCCAGTCTTGCCCATGGTATGAAGCCCAGCATTTAGCACAAGGTTGGCACAATGGCAAGCACTCAGAAAATGTCTGTTGGTTGAAAAAGTGACTGAACATATGTTAGCATTTATCTCACAAAAGCAATTATTTAAATATGCCCTGTCATCTTCATTAGACTATGATGTCATTATGGACAGGGGCTGTTTTTATTTTCATTATCTCCAGTGCCCAGGACAATACTTGGCACATAGCAGCATGAATAAAGGAATGAGTGTGGCTGACTGGCTAACTGAATGAATGAATGAAGTGTACCTAACTGAATGAATGAATGAAGTACAGCACCCTAATCTGACCTTATCTGATCTATGCTCATCCAAGATAATTTTCCTCTTTAATAAACATTTTGGTATTCAAAGCACTCTGCAGCCCCACAGTGAGGACGCTGGGTATCTATTGCTGAATAGCTGATTATTCCAACAACCTAGTGGCTGAAAACAACAAACATTTATTATCTTGTAGTTTCTATGGGCTGGGAATCTGGGTATGGCTGAGCTAGGTGGTTCCAGCTTGGGGTCTCTCACCAGGCTGCACCCAGGTGTTACTGGGCCTGCAGTTACCTCAAGGCTGACTGGGGTCTGTTTGCAAGCTCATTCATGTGTCTGTAGGGAGGCCACCATTCCTGACCAAGTGAGCCTGTCTGTGAGACTGCCTTAGGATGTGGCCAGGAGAGAGTGCCCAAGGCAAAAGCCACAGCCTTTTTATGACCCAATCTCAGAAGCAGCGTCTTATCCCTTCTACCATATTCTGCTCATTAGGAGCCAGTCACTAGGTCCATCCCACACTTGTGAAGAGATCACTCCAGGATGTGAATTTCAGAAGGCTGTAGCATTTGGACCATCCTAGAATCTGCCCACCACAGTGGCAGTTAATTGGTGTTTGTTTATTTGGATCAGGTGATTCCTGGGTTGTTTTATTATTTCAACAAGTTCAATAGCTTATTTCTTTAAAAATGTGCTAAGAAAGCACAGGCCACAGTAGGCACTGGTGGAGCTGATAGTCCAAACAGCCAGTGCAGGTCCCCTCCCAATGAACCCTTCAACACTGCTGGCCTTGACTGGGGTTAGGAGGGGCATTGTTAGAAAAACTGAGGGGTTCACAATTTGAGGCCCTGAAATTAATCAAAGACAATAATTGGCGCCTAAGGCACTAAGAGTAAATATCTCACAGAAGAATTGGATGCCAAACCCTCAGGTGGCAGAATCCCTGCCCAGCTCTGCAAAGGGAAGCAGAGCTATGTTAGCGTCCTGGGGCTGCTGAAGATAGTTGCCACAGCTTGGGGGACTAAAACCACAGAAATGTGTTATTTCAGTTCTTGAGGCCAGAAGTTGGAAGTCAAGAGTTGGCAGGGTTGGTTCCTTCCGAGGGCTTTGAGGGAGAATCTGTTCCATTCCTCTTTCTTGGCTCCAGAAATCCTTGGTGTTTCTTGTTTTATTGTAGGCATATCCCTCCAAGCTCTGCCTCCACTTTAGACTGGCATTCTCCTCTCTGTGTTTCTGTGTCCAGCTTTTTAAAAGGACATCATTGGATTTAGGGCCCACCCTAATCCTGTATGATGTTATCTTAACTTGATGACATCTACAAAGAGATTGTTTCCAAATAAAGGCACATTCATAGATACTGGGGGTTAGGATTTGAATGTAATATTTTGGGGGATTCAATTCAACCTGCTACTATGGAAAGTTATAGTAGGAAATGGCATTTATGCTTGAAGCATTTTGCAAATAGGTTTCTCAAGGTCGTCTCTGTTGTTCAAGCTCAGGACAGGTCCTGCCTTTCCTATGAGCCTTTGTCCTGTCTCTTTCAGCTCCACCGATGGCTACAGAGCTGATGTGCAGCCTTTATGGGCTCAGACTGTTTCCAGCTTTGCCTGTTCCCTTCCATATTCCAAACTCTGCATCTTCCAGACACTTGGCCCTTCCTCCTTCCTGAATTAGAGCTACTGTGTAATAATTATACCCGTTTCATGCCCAGCTCACAGCCTTGGCATTTGCTGTTGCTGTGCCTGGAGCACTTTCCCACTGCTTCTTTGCATGTTTGGCTCCTTCTCTTATGTCAGCCTCAGCTCTGGTGCCTCCTCCTCAGCTAGACCATCCCTGACCTGCCTGTACAACAAGGCCTCCCCATGTCTCCTCCCCAAGCATTTACTTTTCCATGAAGTTTTGTCATCTTCATAGAAAATGCCATGAATCCTGCTCTTTGTCTGTCTTACCAGTGACATGTGAACCCCCAAACAGCTGCACTCCACTGGCCTCTGCTGCTTCCTCCTCATTTTTAGAATACACCTGCCACCTGCCAGGTGCTCATAAATATTCATGGAGTGAATGAATGTCTCCCTGCAAGGCTATGCATTATTTGAATTTAGGATATCTGTCTGATTTGTTTCATCTTTGTGTCATCCTCAAGGCCCAGAAAAATCGTTACATTCATAAGGCCCTCAATAAATATCGATTGCGTGCATAAATGCAGTGAATTGATGGGTTTATTCATGATGTATCAGATTCATAGTAGTTGTTCAATGTAGAAAAAGTAGGGTCTGGAAAGCATTCCATTTGATAGTGTAGCTTCAGTGTTTTCAGTGTTTCCTGAAATTCAATTATGTATCATTCACTTTCATTTTCATACAGCTAGCACAATCATTTATATAATATATTCTTTAAAATAACTCAATTTTTAAACATAAATCAATTTACTCAGTAATAAAATTTTATCATTATTGTAAAGGGAAAACCAGTATCATTTGTTATAAATAGAATGTAACCCTTGAAACTGAATATAATAAAATAAAACACTGTTACTAAGTTCTAGCTACACAGGGAAGGATCTGAGCTTGAGGTGGGAACCCTCTCTTTGTTATAAAAAGAGATTTGGTTTTGATTTTGCACCATAGTTTCGCAAGATGTTACCATTGGGAGAAACTGGGTGAAGAGTACATGCAATCTCTCTGTTATTTCTTACAACGCATGTGAATCTAGAACTCCTTCAAAATAAAAAGCATAATTTTAACAAGGAGTTTAGCAAGCGGTGCAGAGATGTTAAGTAGCAGTTAATCTCCTCGATCACATCAGGAATATTCAAACAACACCTGAGAAGGGAAAAGTTCCTTCCAGAGTGATTCCATTGTATTCCATGACATTCCTATGCACCATATGACATCATTTTGGAAAGAATAATGCGCATGGCCCATGCTTTGGGAAACACTGGCATAGGAGGACCCACAGATGGGCGCAAATGTAAAGTCCTCCAGAGTCATCTTGGGCCCAGCTACTGTGATTCCCAACAGCCACTGGGACACGGCATGCAACCACCTGGTATCTGGCAAGGACAAGAAGCCCTGGAAACTCACACATGCTGGTGGAGGCAGAACGTGGTACAACCACTTGGGAAAAACAGTCGGCAATCAAGTTAAATATTCTATCCTTGGCCTCAGCAGTTCTATTCCTAAATATTTACCCAAGCAACATAAAAATAGCTGATCATACAAAGACTCATACCCAAATATCTATGGTGATAAAAGCAGATCAATGGTTGCCTAGGCTGAGTGGATCAGATATTGACTATGAAGGGGCATGAGGAAATAGTGAGGGACGTTTCTTTATCTTGACTGGAGGAGTTGTTACACTGGTGCATACATTTATCAAATCTCATTGAACTATACTCTTAAGATCTACGCATTGCATTTTATGCAAAGAGATTTCAATAAATTTGGTTTGAAGTAACTCGAACCATGCCACACCTCAGGTTCAGGCTCTGCAATGGCTTCTTCCACATTTAAAATTAAGTCCGCCAAGCCCCGTAGGTCCCATCCTATGGGCTCCCTCAAGCCCCGTAGGTCCCATCCGATGGGCTCCCTCAAGCCCCGTAGGTCCCATCCGATGGGCTCCCTCAAGCCCCGTAGGTCCCATCCGATGGGCTCCCTCAAGCCCCGTAGGTCCCATCCGACGGGCTCCCTAGAGCTCAATAAAGAGCTCCATCTTCTGCCTCAACCACGGTCCTCACTCTACCCAGTCATACCGGCCCTCTTTACTTTGTGGATCCTCTCAGAAGATAATCCTTCTCTTGCCACCAAAACTAATGCAGCCCCCGCCCTTCACTGTCCTATCACCTGATTTAAATGATCTGTCTGGTGAGCTCACTGGGTCTTTACTCGCATGCTGGGTCCACAGCTCCACTGTCCTGCAGGGTCCGTGAGTGTGGGCCCCTTATCTATTTCATCATCATAACCCTGCGTGTCCTCAACTCCTGGCACATATTGGGTGGCCCCATCCACACACGGTTGTTGAGTGAATCCATGAGATGACAAAGGCTATGATGTAGACTATATCATGAGCCAGAACCAGGCTTTCCTACCTCCAGACAATCAAGGGCCTTGATTTGGGATTGAGGGAGAAAGGAGTAGAAGCCAGGAAGGAGAAGAGATTGAGGTTTACCAAGGGTGCAAAGTCCTGGCCCCTGACTGTAGGCTGAAAACTATAGAAATGATAGAACAATTTTGCAATGAAATGCAGAAGACCCTGCATCAACTTTAGGTGGGACTTCGGGTATTTTTATGGCCACAGAACATCCTCCCATTTACCTGCATGGCCCAGACACAGACTTCAAAACAGTTGAGGCCAGCAGGCTCCAGGTAAGTGGTAGGATTCCAGAATGCCCTCAGAGTGTTGTGGGAGGCAGCAGGCGATTTTCCTGGACTTCTGAGTTTATGAGAACCCCAAACCCCAATTGGCATTAACATTGAGGTCTCAATGTATCATGGCAGGAAGCTTCCGAGTGGTGAAAAGGAAAGTGAACATCAAAGCTCGGAAGACAAGAGGGTGGAGTGATGGCAACCAAGAGCAAGACCCTTCCCTCTCCTGTGATGGGGTGGCTCTATGTGAAGCCCCCAAACTGGACACAGGTCTGGCAGAATGAGGAACCCACTGAGATTTAGCGCCAACATCCAGCATAAAAGGGAGACTGACATAGAATTTGAGTTAGTTAAAAATAAGGCACAATGCTTTTCATGTATTCCTGAGTTTTGTGGACTGGTGTTCAATTTGCAGCATTCTTAGTTGATTAAATCTGAGATGAAGAAAGAGTGTCCAACACTTTCACCTTGGAAAGCTCTGGAAAAGCAAAAGGGAGAGACAATTAGCTTCATCCATTAACTCACTTAGTCATTATGCATTCATTCATGTAACTACCAAACACGTACTGAGTGCCTAACACTCCTGAGACACTGAGAAGTTTCTTGGGAATACAAAGATGAATAAAAACCACGCCAGGCAGGAGTTGGAGGAAGGTTCTGGATGCCACCACGCTCTACCTCCTGGCTGGACACCAGGCAATGTTGGTAACCTTCTGCCTCCAATTTCTGCAAATACATAATTAATAAACACAAGGTTATCTTCTAAACAGTTCTTAAAATGAGTCAACTTTGTTTAAACTTGTTCTTTTTAGAGAAAAATGTATTTTTGAAAGAGTTGGTTAGTGCTAGGGGAAATGTCTGGGCACAGCTCAGTCTGGTGTGAGAGCAGGAAGCAGCTCTGTGTGTCTGGGGTGGGTACGTATGTAGGACCTGTGGGAGACCAGGTTGGGGGAAGGCCCCTCCTCATCAAGGGCTCCTTTGCTTTGGTTTGCTTTGGCGTGGGAGGTGCTGTGCCACAAGGGAATACGGGAAATAAGATCTCTGCTTGCAAATTATTACTGAACAGGCAGGACACTGCTGACCCATTGAGTCATTGTAGCCCAAAGAGCAATATTGTTTCAATTGCACAGCCTTAATTTTGCTTGTCAGTTGTTGAGACAAATGCTGGATGTTGGCTTACTCAAGTCAACTTTAACCTCTTTCAAACCAGCTCTTCAGCAAGACAGAGCCTGGAAGGTAAAATCTACATTTGCCAGACTCTTTTGTAGCTGGTGCTGCAGGTGACCTCGGTGCTAGCTGAAGTTGACCTTGATGCCAGCAAGCAGACAATCTCCACGTCCTGGAGGGCGGGAGAGAGTGAGGAGAGAGCTGGCATGGGGAGGCCAGCAAGAGCGGAAAGGCCCTGGGATGCTCAGCAGTGGTTGTGGTCCCTAGTGTCCTGAGGGCTGTGACTTGCTAGGGCAGCAGGTGTTGGCACACTCCATAGTATGGCTGAGGGGTTCCTGTGATGGCATTGCCTTGGCTGCATGGTATCCAGGCTTGATTCCCTGGTCTTCCTGGAAATGCTATATGCTACCCAAGGTCCAATAATCAATTCATTTCTGCTTAAATCAGCTCCACTGGATTCTGTTACCTGCAACTAAGAACTGTCTGATAGAGTTGCCAAAACCCGATGTTTGGCTTCTCTTGAAAAACTGAAAATCTTTACAAGCTGCAACGGATTTTCACAAAGCAACAGCTACAAGCCATGTAAAGGTGGCCTTCCTGAGAGAAGCTAAGTGCCGGCCGGTTAGCCACCAATAGGCCCAGTGCATTCATTTCACTGTTGGTCTGATTTCCACTGGCACTTGAGTTTAGGTCTGACCTAAAATCACTCCAACATACAGGGAGCTCTAGACACCAAATCCCATTTTGTTGCTTTATTTTTTTTTCTTTTTGAACCCAAAAGCCTAAATACTCTCTGAAGTATATAACTATTTTTAACAAAACCAAAGTTTTCGCTTTCACTTTTTGTTTGAAACATTAAAAAAAAAAATCAAGCCGGAAAATTAAATAGATGGGTAGAGTAAAAGAAAGATTGATTTGAAATTTTGAAATGCACGAAATATATTTTTCTCCTGATGGGAAATGCCATCATCTGGTTGTGGGCCATTAATATGCTATTCATATACCAGAAGAATATCATGTTAGCAGAAATTAATCCATCAGCTTTTCTATGTGGTGACCAGCACTGTCAGTTTAATAGCCACCAAAAAGCTGATGAAGTGGAACGAGACTAAATAGCAGTGTAAATAGAGAGCTACACGGTAATTCTTCAGATGCCTAAGTAGATTAACCTGCTTATCGATTAGCTGGCTTGTAAATTAATGAGTTATCCCCATTAATTATGTGTGTGTCTTCATAAAAGTCCTCATTGGATTTTCTAGTGATAAAGTGAGCCAAGTAAAGAATAAAATGAGGACGATGCCACATGTAGATCCCTGAATTTATGGGGCAATTTCTCAGGGTGTTTTCTCCCGGGTTATGTGATTGCTCTTTTGCCTTTCCCCGTGCTCAGAGTGCACTGGGAATGTCAAAATTGACTGCCCTACCTGGAAAGTCACTCGGCCTACGGCTCCGCTTCCTCTGACAGCTGCCCCTAACTCTGGTTAACACCTAAATTACCCCTCACATCTTTCTTCAAGACGCCTCCAGTGAAAAGCTTCCCGGACGCCTTCACATGCAGCTGGGTGTCCCCTCGGCAGCTTCCTAAGGTGTCCCCCATACCAATTCCTGCACTGCAATTCCTTGCCCTGCTCCATCTCTTTAGCTGGGCCATGAGCACCTTCAGGTGGAGCCTGTGGTTTTTGGTTCTCTGCTCCCTCATGCCCAGATAGAGCTGGGTACAAGGTGGGACCTCATTGGGTGCCAGTCACGTTGAGGAACCATATTTCTATTGTCAGAAACCCTTGTTATGGGTCCGCCTTAGGATTGCTACTGTGGAGGATGTGATGAGCTTGGGGAAAAATGCATCCTGCAGGTGGGATGCTCCCTGGATCCTCGAAGGTGGCTTCTGTGTCTATAGGCTGGAGAGTGGAGAGAAGGTGCTCCCAGGGTCCCAGCCAGCTATGAAATCCTCTTTTTGGGTGTGCTTCCCCACACTCGGTGTCTGGCCTCAGGGCTGCCTGCCCTTTCTGAACCCCTGCTGCTCCTAGCTGCTGCATGTGGTCCCATCCCTTATTTCTCCATTAGGTGTTTCAATCTCTTTTGGTGACTCATCCAGGGCATCCTCTCTTTCTTGCCCTATATCCTTCGTAAATTTCTTGACATTTCAGATAAGTGGGTTGCACCCTTCTCTGATGTAGATATTTTCCTATTTAGAAAACAACATATATTTTCTTTAAAAATTGGGAAATGAAGGAAGGTAAACATGTGTGATGAGTTCCCCATCTTAAAACAAAACTTTTGGCCTTTAAGCACTCTGTAAATTAAGCTGCCCTGGACCATGTCTGAAAAACTATGAATGATAGTAAGTGAGTCTTTTTGTACACAATTTACAGCTTTACAGCTCACATATTAAGTCCTTTTTGGATGGGCTTAGCCAGGTTTTATTTGCCTTTTCACCACATTTATCTGAACTGGAAGGAGTGGGTAGGAATTGCATGAATTGCCTGGCTGGTAGCACTGACGCTGTCCTCAATATTTGACTGACAGTGGGGTGGAAGGGATGAGTGGGCCATCCTGGCTACATCTCAGCTCTGCCACTGATGATTATGTGAAAATGGCACATCTGCTTTCCTCTCTGAGATTCAGCTCCTTCTCCCTTCACAGTGGGAGAGTGTGCATGAGATGATCACCTGCCAGCTGTGGAATGCCATAGTTCTATGGTGCTCCAGTAAGGGGCAGTAGGCGTGAATTTCTAGACATCTTGTCGAATATGCGAGGACAAAGTGAATGCTTGTGTTCCCCTTTGGAAATGCCAGACTCCAGGAAAGTAGTCAGTGAAAATAGATGCTTGGAGTAGTTGTGTACAAGAGGAAGTGGTGCATATCAAAGTGCCCTTTTCTCTGTTGCCTGAGGGCTGTTTCTCTATGTATGAGGACCATTTATCTTTTATCTTGCCTCCATGTACAGGTAGCAAGATCCACAGAAAACATCATCTGTTGGATTAAAACTCAGAAGGCATCACCACACAAAACAGGGGAATGGGTTCCTGACACATTTTTACTCTCTTTATTTGAAAACCCAATTTGGCTTGAAATTGAACCAGTTTTATATTCTGCTATGAATATGGAGGCTTCAGATTAAAAGAAGCCAACAAATTAATAACTCAACCATTCTTAGGTGAGGAAAATTCTCTGAAAAAAAATAAGGGAGCAGGTTATGACATAGTAGGAGCTCAATAAAAGTTTGATGAATAAAAGAACGAATGAATGAACCAATGCACAAAAAAAGAATGATTTTCCAGTTGTTCAATCAAACGACCAAGAAACGACCTAGCCTGGTTAAGCTGTAATGAGAGGGCATTATCTCTGCAATGCTGATTCTTGTTCTCATAATTTGGCAAGGAGATGGTGGTCCAGAGAAGCTCAGAGACCACCTCACTCTTTGCATGTATGATGTTCACCTGACATGCTTGTAAAACATGATGATGCCCCGTGCCACCCCTGGAGATTCTGTTTGAGTGAGGCTGCCAGAATGCTGTATACCTCTGGTTCTCAAACTTGTCCACTCACTGGTACCACCTAGAAAGCTTGAAAAATGATTATACTTAGTCCCCACAATTAGGGATTCTAATTAAAATGGTATGGGCCATAATGCCTTGGCATAGGGATTTTTAAAACTTCTCTGGGTTACTGTAGTGTGCAGGGGAGTTTGAGAGACACTGCTGTGAGAGTAGCAAGTGTCTCAACTGGTTTTGATAATTGCTTAAGAAGACAGCAGCCCAGAGTTTTGCCTGTCATGAGACACAGTATGCAACGAAGTCTGTGAAGAGATTTTTGATTTGGAACATCTGATGGCATAGATACCTTTACATCCCGTTACCTACAAAATCAAGAAATGGTATATTAAATATGACAAATGTGCTTTTAAATGTACAATTGATTATGCAAGAAAGGAAACAAATTCCCCAAGTGCAATAAGAAACAGAGAGAACGAAAAGGCAGTTTGCATACCTATGCTATGTGACATCTAGGTGTAAGAAAGGGAGGAGGGGTACAATCTCTATAATCTAGGGAAGAGATTCTTAATTCTAGCTATGAATAAGAATTGCCTAGGGAAATATTAAACCACATTAATGCCCCGTCTCATTAAGTATCTGTGTGGATGGGGCTCAGCCATCAGCATTATTTTAAGTTCCCCAACATGATTCTAATATGCAGTCAGGTTGATTTGGGATCTTGGGGTTAATTTCCATATTGAAATCGAAGGAGGCTGATTATCACATTATTCATCATGACTCTGGATGCCCTAGTAATGCAGAAAAACAAGGAAAAGGAATAAAAACTAAAGGACTGGAATACCATTAATTGTAGATGGTGTGATTGTCTACAGAAAACTTTAAAAATTGACAGAAAATCTATGGGAACTAATAAAAAAGTTAAACAAGGCAGACAGGTACAAGAACAATGATGAAAAATTAGTTGTATTCCTAACAATAAAGAATACAATTAGACCATGGCATATTTTAAAAAGATATTCACAACATTAAAAACTGTAGAAGTAGCTAAAAATAAAACTAATGAAAGACAAAGAAGTCCTTTAGAGAGAAAATAATAAAAGGTTAGTAAGGACATAAAATAAGTTTCAACTAGATGATGAGGTGTACCATGTTCATGAACAAAAGACTTAATCTTTTAATTAATTTGACAAATAAAATTCAGCAATTTTCACAGGTCAGGTGGTATTCTGTGAATGAATTTCATACTTAATGGAGCGTATAACATTATGCATAGTATACCTGATGTTAATAAATCATATGGAGAAAAAATAAAGCAAAGTGAGGGAGATGAGAAATGAGAGAGTGGAGGGGATTTCTGTTTTTTATACAAAATTTAGGGATAATGAATCCTGATAATGTGATATTTGAGCAGGAAGTGAGGGCATGAGCCAGGAGGATATTGGAGTAAGTTATTTCAGCCAGGGGAAAAAATGACACCAATGCCCAGAGAAGGTGCATGCTTGGTGTGCTGAGAGATGACAAACTGGTATCTCAGTATGGGTGGAGTGGGGAGTGTGGGTGTGTGTGGTGGGAATGGTGGAATTTGAGGCAAGAGAATTAGGCAGGTGCAGTCAGGCAGCGCTCTGCTGGATACTGTAAGAAGTTTGACTTTTATCACTAGTAGGATGGGAATCTTTGGATAATTCTTAAGCAAGGGAGTGAGATTATCTAACTTAGGCTTTAAATGGCTCACACAGCTTCTGTGTGTCAATAAATTGAAAGAGCACCATGGTGGAAACCATAATACAAGTTTGAGGTTATTGCTATAATCCAAGTGGCAGTCATGGTGGAGGTGGTGAGAACTGAGAACAAATTCTGGATACATTTGAAAGTACAGCCAGTAGGATTTGCTGATCAACTGTATATGGAGTGTGGTGTAGGAGGAAGGGAATGAGGAGTTAGGTCTGGAATCTATAAAGTCTCAGGTGATTATTAAAGTTACTACATTGTTAGTTGTACATGGAATTTTGGAGTTCAGAGGAAGGTGGATGAAGTTTAGGCTGAGCATAAAACTTTATCAGTATATAGATGGTATTTTTAAAAAAGGCTCCGTGAACAGCTCTTCTCAAAGGGTGGTCCCAGGAATAGCAGCATTGATTTGTTAGACAAATTCTTGGGCCTAACCTCCAACCTACTGAATTAGAAGCTTCAGGGATGGGGTCCTACAATCCGTGTTTAACAAGCCATCTATGTGATGTGAAACATGCTGGAATCTGTGAACCTTGCTCTGGTGATTATGCATAGAGAGAGAAGATTGTTGTTCCAACTAAGGAGCCCTGGGACCTGCTCAGGCACTGAGGGCAAGACATGGAGATAAGAAGGAAACCAGCCAAAGAGACTGAAAAGAAGAGCAAGCAAAGTAATACCAGGAAGGTGGGAAATCTCCCCAGATAAAGCACAGATTTAATGCAATCCTAAACAAAATCTCAGAAGTTAACAGAGCTTGACAGCTGATTCTAAAAGTCATATAACAGAGTAAAGGACCAAAGATGGGTAAGACAACTGTGAGAAAGAAGCAGGATTAACCTCAGTAGAAATCCCAACAGCTGTAGAGGATTTGTGCATGAGAGAAGCAGTATCTCAAGTCAATGGGAAAGGATGGACTGTAATAACCGGTGCAGAGACAATTGGCTAGACATATGGAAAAAGATATATTTAGATCCCTACATAACACCATATACAAAAATATATTCCAGATGGATTAAAGTCCTACAGTGGAAGGCAAATGTTTAAAAAGAAAATATAGAATAATATCTTTAACTTATTGGGATAGTAAAGAATTTCTCAAGAAAAAAGTGATAAATTTGAATACAACAAAATTTAAAATATTTGAATGATTAAACTCAGTTTCACAAATTGGGAGAGAGTATCTGGAATATGTATCAGGGATAAAGTTTGATATCCAGAATATTCAGAAAAAAATAATAATTTTTGAAATAATAAGGGGAGAAAAATCTGGCAAAACTATTTTAACAAGAACTCTCTAGAGTAGAAAACCTAAATATGCAATGAACATATGATACAAAAATGCTTGGTCTGGTAAGGATGAAAATGCAAACCAAAACATTAGCATATCATTTTCTACCAGGCTGGCAGAAAAATAATAAGGACAATACCAAGCTGTATTAGATTCCTATTGTTGCAGTAACAAATTGCTGTAAATTTAGTAGCTTAAAACAAACCGAATTTGTTCTCTTACAGTTTTGGAGCTCAGAAGTTGGAAAACAGTCTCGCTGGGCTAAAGTCAAGGTGTTGCACAGCTGGCTCCTTCTGCAGCCTCTCAGGAAGATTCCCTGTTCTTGCCTTTTCTGGCAACTCCAGCTCCATTTCTCACATTCCTTGGCTCATGGCCCTTCCTGCACCTTCAAAGCCAGCAGCCACAGCATCCTCAACTCTCTCTTAGATTCCATCCTCACATCACCTTCTGGTTCTCTGATCTCATGCCTCTTTCTTATAAGGACCCATTTGGATTATCCAGGATAATCTCCCCACTCAAGATTCTTAACTTAATCCCAGCTTCAGAGTCTCTTTTGTCATACAGGCTAGCATTCAGAAGTTCCAGGGATTGGGAATTGGACATCTTGGAAGACATTACTCGGCCAACCACACAAGCTTTGGAAAGGATGGGGCCACTAAGAGCTCCCAGGCCTTAAAATGCAGTACAGGTTCATTTAAGACTAATTTGTCAACACCTCTTGGCAAGTGTTCATCCACTATGGCCCAGAATTTCACTTCCACTTGTCTATCTTGGAGATACTCTCACACGGTCTTGCACAAGAATGTTCCTGGAAGCACCTTTTGAAGTAGCAAAGTAAAAAAAAAAAAGGAAGAAGAAAGTTGACTTTCAGAAATGTCACGGAAAAATAAATAGTGGGTTTATTTACAGCAAGACACTGTGCAGCAGTGAAAATAATATCAACATGTATCAATAATATGTATCAAATGCATTCTAAATGCAAAAAGTATCTTGCAAAAGAAAGAATATTGTTGTACGCAAGTAATATTAAAAACACACAAGAAATGTGGATATTGTTAATGGATGCATACATATGTTGTTAGTCTAATAATCCAAGGAAGGATGAACAAGGATTTCAGAAGTGATTATTTTTAGAGAGAGTGTTAGGGGAGAGAAACCAGAAATCGGGGTTTAGCTTTCTATCCTGTTTCATTAGAATGGTAAAATGATGGCATTTTCTCCTTTAATCTTGGTGATATGGGTTTCTATTATATTGCTTTTTAAACTTTCCTCTAATAGCTTATAAATTCAAAAAATAAAAAATAAAACAGGGGAGCCTGAAGGTCCATTATTGAAAAGTATCCCTTCCTCTAACTGTATCAAGTGGGGGTTCATCTGTGCTAACAATGCTGTTAGAACGCACCGGGCTTATGCTGCACACTGCCCGACAAAACCACTACCTTTCCTCTATTTACAGCACCCAGTTTTTCTTCTGACAAATGAGCCCTTGGCCTGCCTTTCCCAGCCAATTTCTGCATCCCACAACCCATACTTTGGGCCCTAGAGTGGTGAGTCTAGCACAGAATGGCCCAGGATGGAGAATGATTAGTGCAGGCCTATCCTGTGAAGATACTCTGAGGAGTCTGGCCAGAGGTTTCCACCACTAGACGACCAGAACAGCTCTGGTCCCTGACCACTCCTGAGTTTTCACTGTTCCTCTGATTCTCTCGGTTTTAATTTTCTTTTTCATGTAGTTTAGCCACAGTCTGATTGTGTTACTTGTAACCAAAGAGCTCTAATCCCGATCCACTTCCCCGCACCCATGTCTGTGTAGCAGAACCGGATTCCCGTTCCACTTCCCTGCATCACTCTGTGTTTGGAGCCCTCGTCTCCAGCCTCTCTCTGGCACCACTACTGTGCACATCTGCATACCTCCTCTGCAGTGTGTCTTATTCCAACCCTGCTGCAGTGACCAGCTGCTCTCAGGTTTGGAGCAGCTTCTGAACCTTCGTCACTAGTGTGCCTCTTGTTTCATGGCCGTGTGCCATGCCTGCACAGACCTGGGTGTTCACCAGGTGTGAGCTAGAAGTGCTGGGAGACAACACTCAGGGAGCCGCCCTTGAGCAGGTAGGCAGCTGAACAATCAGTGTTTCTCCCCTTAGACTCCTCAGCAAAATGTTGTGAAATGCATTTAGTTAGGTCCCAAACAAGGTTCACTGGGACCTAGGAGGGAGCTGTGGTCACGGCAGTGGCCTTGTGCCCACGTCCCTGGTTCCATCCCTTATCACTCAGTACTGCTCTCTGCATGCCTTCGTCTCCACCCCTGCTTTTGGGGAAACTGAGGCTATAGCACTCACTTTGGGGTTATTTATTTTTACTATGGAAGTTTTCAAACAGACACAATAACACAATAAAGCCTCCTGTGTCCATCACCCCGTGTCAACACTAACATGTGGCCGATCTGGAATCATCTTTAGCTCCTCTTTCCCTTCCCTTTCTCCTGCCACCTCCTCCACTGGGTTATTTAAAAACAAGTCCCTCATATCATTATATTTCACCCCAAATTTTTCAGTCCACACCTCTGAAAAATTAAGCCTCTTTTTCTTAACACAATCTAACAACAATTTCATACCTAACACTGTTAATAAGTTCCAAAATCAAATATTCATTAAATGCTAAAACGTCCTACTGGTCAATGTCTATGTATTTATATTTAATTGGTTTGCACTGGGATCCTAAAACGTCCATAGTGCATTTGGCTGCTCTTTCTCCCATCTCTTTTCATCTGTTGCATCCTCCCTTCTCCCCACTTCAGCTCCTGATGTTTATTTATTGAGGAATCTGGGCCATTTGTCCGGTAGTTTCCTGCATTCTGGATTTTGCAGAGTAAAACCCCATGGTGTCATGTGACATGGTTTCTGTATCCCCTGTATTTCCTGCAAACTGGTTAGCAGGAAACCAGATCTGGAGGCCCGACCGCACTCTGATGCATGTGTGTGTGTGCGTGTGTGAGGAATACGTCCTCCAGAGAATGGTGTTCTCCTTGCAGTGCGTGGCCCAATGTCATCTGGGGAGGTTCAGCTCCACCAAGGTCCACTTTCAGGGAAGGAATCACAGAGTGGGATTTACCTGGAGGCTAACAAAGCTGAAGCCTCAGGGCCGGTGACTTCTGAGGGCTGGAGCTGCTGGGAGCCATAGAACGTCCTGGCTGGGGAGGGAAAGCCAGAATGCAATCGGGACTCATATTCATGATAGCAAGGCCCAACGAATCTTAGAAGAAAGAACCTGAACTCCAAGGGCTACCATAATTTATTGTGACTTATTTTCCAATTTTAAATTAGCATTTATTTTTAAGCCTGTTTTTCTTTTTAAAGAAGGCTCCAAAAGTTGTATTATGAGTTTTAGGTCCCACAAAACCTGGATTTGCCTCTGCTGAAGAGCGGAGGTAGTGGACAGTGTTGCCTACGTTAAGGGGAGTGTATGTGAGTGTGTGTGTGACAGTGTGTGAATGTGTGTATAGGTGTGTGAGATAGTGTGCAAGCGTGTGTGAATGTGTGTATAGGTGTGTGTGACAGTAAGTGCAAATGAGTGTATAGGTGTGTTTGTGTAAGTGTGTGAATGTGTGCATAGGAGTGTGTGAGCGTGGGAATGTGTGTATAGGTGTGTGTGAATGTATGTATAGGGGTGTGTGTGGATGTGTATAGGTGTGAGTGTGCATGAGTGTGTGAATGTGTGTATAAGTGTGTGTGAATATATGTATAGGGATGTGTGTGGATGTATATAGGTGTGAGTGTGCATGTAAGTGTGAATGTATATATAGGTGTGTGTGAATGTGTGTACGTGTGTGTATGTGCATACCTGTGTGTGTGAATGTGTGTATATGTGCGTGCATACAGGTGTGTGTGTGTGAATGTGTGTATAGGTGTGTGTGTATGCATGTTTGAATGAGGGTGTGTGTGTGAGAGAGGGTGTATGTGTATGTGTCTGTGTGTGTGTGTGAGGAAGGCACTGAGGGCCTGGGATCAGGAAGTGGAGTTTGGATGCCAACGATGCCAACTGGGTCTGGGGAAGGAGGGGGCTGGGAAGATGCTGTCCACGGAACAGGACTCAGGGTTCCAGCCCCAGGGCTAGGCTGAGCTTGGCTGTGGCCTGTGTGTGCTTGGCTCCTTCTGTGGTCTCCACTTGATGCCCAGGCTGGCCCTGCTGACCTAGCTGTGGGCTTTCAGAAGAGAAACCCAGGCTCAGGAAGAACAGAGGCTGAGTCTGGCCCACCTAGATAGAGAGAAATAGGTCTAAGACAGCCACCTAAATTTCCAGGTTGCTTGTCGACCTTACAGAGCCCACCACCTGACACAACCTGCAGCCCCTCCACTGTCAGAGTGAGGCAGAGGAGAGGGCAAGACAAGAGAGATGGGCAGGTGCCGGCTCACCCTGTCTCTTCCCAGCAGGGCAGAGCAATATTATTAAGAGGATTTCCTCTCTCAAAGGGCTTTTAGTCATATCCCTCATGACTGCCGAAGTCTGCAGTTAATCTAGGCTGAGTCCCTTGCAGGTTTTAAATGAGGTTGTGTGAAATACCAACGTGTATCCACCAGCACGGGTGTCATTTGCTTCTGAATATATCAGTGTGCACGCACACATCTTCAGAAATAGCCTTTTCATTAACTGCAAGTGCATAGTTTGGTAATTTAGAATAAATTGGCTTCCAGTGTATTGGCATGTTTTGGCAGGAAATTTGAAGTAGTGGGGGATGTCTCTGCTACATGGTATGATGTTCATTACTTAGAACTCATTTTAATGGTTCTTCAGAGGGGTCTGTCTGTGTCAGAAATCTGGCTATAAATAAACATGGGCTTCAGGGGCTTTAGGGGAGAACAAGACCGCCCTTTCCTATGCACCCAGTGGCTGCTAAGGAGCGAAGGAGAGAGTGTGGAAACCGGGTTGAGTGTGGCTTCCTTCATTCTTTTTCACCACCTCCCCAACCCAATGTGCATGGAAGACGCATATGTGCAAGTCTTTGAAGTACAAGGATGAAGGGTACAAAGATCAGTTAGACATGGGTCTTTTTCTGAGGGAGTTTGCATGTAATTCAAATCAATTCCACAGCTATTAATAAGCATGTCTTTTGTGTTAGACTCAGAAGAAACAACTGGTAAACCTAGCCTGGGTTCTCAAAGCTTTCTGTGCAACAGAAGAGGCAGACTGGAAGCTGGAATTTAGAGAGAGTCAGCTGAGTGAAATTCATTCATTCATTCATTCATTCATCAAATACATGCCTATCACATTCCAGAGGCTGTGGTGGGGGTACAGGTGCTTAAGAAACAGATATCTTCATTTAATCTCTACAGGTGTGGGGAGCAGGGGTGATAGGGGAAGCTTCCCGCAAGTTCCTTCTGCCTTGTCCTGGAGAAAATTCTGCTCTCAGGCTCTGAACTCCAACCAAGCTGGGATTCTAGTCCTTGGAAATTATCCTGCTCCTTTCTTTATCCCTACATGTGGTCCCTGTAGGCTGGGTGGGGCTCTTTTCACACCATCCTATCTGACCTACTTGTAGGTCTCCGCTTCCAACTCACCTCCTATGAGAAAACCCAACAGGACTCAACCACCGAGGTTTGCCCAGCGTCACCCATGAGTCATATCATTTGTGCGTCTCATCTGTAGTGCCCATCGCCTTGGCAAATAGCTGTCCAGAGTTTCTTTGTAGACGTCCAGCCTCAGCGGGAAGGCAACTGTGTCTGTCTTGTGTGTTGCTGTATTCCACTGACAGCAAAGGCCTGAAATACAGGAGGCCACCAACACATATTTGTGATATGAATGAATGAATAAGGGAATGGAAGCATGAAGGAATGAATGAAAGCCTGCATGGTGTCATGGTACCCTTAGGGTTCTGGTGTAAGTCTGCCATTTTTGCTTTGCAAAAAATGTAAATGGGGGGCAATGTAGATTAATTATTAAGTTGGCTGACGCAGCAGAAAACGTGAGATGACTTATAAAACAGGCATCCCTGCCCCCTTTTCTGATGCCATCCACTATAGAGACTTGAAGATGGATTATTTATTTTCTTACCTCTCTGCTTTAAAGTCTGACCATATGACAAAGTTCTGGCAAGTAAGAAGTAAGCATAATGCTGCCGTGGACTTCCAGGAGAGTCTTTTCCTCTCTTAAAAAAATGAGCAGACATATTGTTGGCACTGTCCTCCTTCCCTGAATGCTGATACAACGGGTGGAGCTATGGCAGCCCCCTTGTGATGACGTTCAGCAGATGTCGGAAGAGTCCGTGGATGGGAAGGTGATGGCAGTGCATGAAGGTTGAATAAACCTGGTGTTTGATGGCATCCATGAGAAAGTGAACTTAAAGTGACAGCCACCTCTTGATACCTTACTATGTGAAGACACATACTCTTGTTTGTTTTAGCCATTATTTCTTGGGACTTCTGTTACTCACTGCTAAACATGTTTCCAACCAATACTGCTAACTGGGGGAGGGCCCTGGCATTTTATGTTTTAATTCTGAACCACGTTGTAGGTTAACTCAGTACTTGGGTGCTGGGCAGAGATGGATCACTGTGAAGAAGCAGAGAAGGCCTTTAGTCCTGTAATCCGCGGTGCACCTCCTGTGGCCACAGCAACCTCCCTCCAGCAAGCCTGGGAAGGTTATGGTGCTACTGTAATTGCTGTAATTGATGACTTGTCCACGGGCTTCACGGCTGCTCCCTTTTATAACCCTTCTTAGAAAAGCCTACAGCTTTTATTCGGCTGCGGCAAAACACAGACAACTTTGATGAAGCTTCTCTGCCTGGATCCTGGACATTGTGCGTGTCTGTGCATGAGGGGAGAGAGAACCACTTCCCTTCACTGCTGGCGCGCTGCACCACAAGAAACTCACCTTAATGCCTCAAGCTTCTCAAACTCATGGGGCTGTGCCAAGCCCCCTCCCTGCTGCACATCTGAAGATCCCGGCCCTGTGTTCTGCAGGATGCCCCGGCTCCTGCTGAAGGACCCCTGACTGCATCCTCACACTCGCCGTAGAGCTGCTCAAGGCACCGTTTGCACAGGCTCCAGGCTCTGACTTTCACTTTGTGCAAAGTGCATGTTTTTGTTGAAAATATCCCATAATCCCCAGGTATGAATGGCGATACTGGCTCCCACAGAAGCCCCTAGAAGCTACAGTCCTGTTTATTCATTTCTACTTTCAGCAAATATTTAGTGAGCCTGACTACGGGGCCAGGCGTTGTGCTATGTGCCCTGCACAACAGGGAGGAAACTAGCTCTCGCCCTCATAACTGTGATGGGGGAGATGGATGCTAATCACAAATTCACATGCATAAGTGTAGAATTGTTAACTAAAACAAATGCCACAGGGAGGGGGTTTTGAGGGCCCATAAAAAGAGGGTATACTCCTCAGAAAGGTCAGGGACAGAAAGGTCTCTGAGGAAGGAGCATTGAAGCTGAGATCTCAGTCAGGGTTCCCGGCTTCAGTGCTTTTGGCATTGGGCTGGATCATTCTCTGTAGTGGGGAGGTGGGTGGAGGGAAGGAGCTGCGTTCTGCTCACTGTAGGGTGTTGTGTGCTTTCTGTAATTATTTCCTTAAAAGTTTTGTTGCTAGCATGAGATATTCTTTGGCAAACATAAGCCTTTCTCAATTGTCCTCAACTGGGGAAACAGGAGAGGCTTATTTTGCCTAAGATCCAGCCAGCAATAAAAAAATAAAGAACATCTCTCTGGTAGGGTGAATGGTGGCTGCTATTCACCCTGAAGGAGAAGCAGAAATATAGGGCTCCTCTCTGTTTGTGTGTTTTGTGTATCAGTTTTTACCTGTGATGAAAGTAGCTGCTTCCTCACCATCGCCATGACTCGCCATAAAGTACCTGTAGACTCCAGCCTCCAGGTGCCCCAGTGATCCTCAATTCCTGATAGTCACACTCTTGTGTAATTTCCTTCCACATGGTACCAGGGTTGGTCTGCGAGACCAAAAGAACACAGAAGAGGTGCTTCTTCATTCCTGATATTGGGTTATGAAAGACACGGTGGTTTCTAGCTTGGTCTTTCTTTCTTCTTCTTGGGTCATTCCTTCTAGGGAGGCCCTGTTGGCAGCAGCCCCACGGAGAGGCCCAAGGGTGAAAAAATGAGGCCTCCGGGCCACAGCCATGAGTATGATCCCAAATGCAGAGCTTCCATCCCTAGTCCAGTCTTCAGATGACGGCAGCCTTGGCTCACATCTACAGTGCAACCTCATGAGAGGCCCTGAGCCTGAAATACCCGACTAAGCTGCTTCATGATTCCTGATCCACAGAAGCTGCAAAAATGGTATTTGTTGTTTTAAGCCAATACATTTTACAATAACTTGTTACACAGCAATAGAGAGTAAATTCAGTGTTCGTGTGCATTCAGTGAATGGCAAAATCCAGAGAAACATATGGAGGGACCTAGACCACATGGAAAGAATAAATTCTGGATTTTTCATTCATGTGTCCATCTATTTGAGCACATCAGTACAGTTAGAAAGTTTTTCAAAGGTAAAACCCAGTTTTATTTTTCCTAATTAACTTTAAAGCATCCCAAAGAAGTGATCACAGTCTTGGTGATAGGTTCTGAGAATATTTGAGGGATGGATTTTATGTGGAGTCAGTGAATGACGAGTTAACTTGAAATATCCAAAACATCACTGCCAAGGCCAATGTCATAGAGTTTTTCTTGTGTGTTTTCCTTTAGGACTTTTATGGTTTCAGGTGTTACATTTAGGTCTTTAGTCCATCTTGAGTTGATTTTTGTGCATGTTGGAAGAGAAGGGTCCAATTTCCTTTTTTTTTTTTTTTTTCTTTTTTTAGCATGTGGATATACAGTTTTCTCAAGGTCATTTATTGGAGAGGCCATCCTTTCCTCATTATGATTCTTTGGTGCCTTTGTGGAAAACTAGTTGACCATGTATGGTTGGGCTTATTTCTGGGCTATCTGTTTTGTTCCATTTGTCTACGTATTTGTTTTTATGCCAGTACCTTAGTGTTTTGATTACCATAGTTTTGTAGTATAATTTGACCTAAGAGCTGTGATGTCTCCAGCTTTTCTTTTAAATCTTTTTTCTCAAGCTTGCTTTGGCTATTCAGGGTCTTCTGTGGTTCCGTATGAATTTTAGAGTTTTTTTTTTCTAGTCCTGTAAAGAAAATTTTGATAAGGATTGCATTAAATCTGTAGATTGCTTTGGGTAGTATGGACATTTTAACTATATGAATTCTTCCAGTCCATTAACACTGGACATCTGTTTATTTATTCGTGTCTTCTTCAATTTATTTCATCGATGTTTTATAGTTCTCAGTGTACAAATATTTCACTTCCTTGGTTAAATTTATTTCTAAGTATTTTATGCTTTCTGATGTTATCATAAATGGGATTACTTTCTCGATTTTCTTTTCAGATAGGTCATTATTAATGTAAAAAAATGCAATTGATTTTTGTATGTTGATTTTGTATCCTGCAATATTACTGAATTCACTTCTTATTTCTAACAGCGGTGTGTGGGTGTGTATCTGTGTGTGTGTGCATGCACATGCATATGCACGTGCATACACACTTGTGTGTGGGTGTGGGTGGTCTTTAGGGTTTTCTACATATAGAATGAAGTCATCTGCAAATAGAGATAATTTTACTTCTTCCTTTCCAATTTAGTTTCCTTATATTTCTTTTTCTTGTCTGTCCTTGCTAGCACTTACAGTACTAACAAAAAACAAAAATAAACAGATGGGACTATATCAAACTTAAAAGCTTCTTCACAACAAAGGAAACAATCAACAAAATTAAAGGCAGGTTACAGATTGTGAGAAAATATTTGTGAGCCATCTATCTGATGAGGAGTTGCTATCCAAATTGTATAAGGAACTGCTACAACTTAATACCAAAAAACCCCAAAACCTCCTTAAAAGTGAGCAACAGACCTATATAGACATTTCTCCAAAGAATACATACGAGCGGCCTACAGGCTTACAAAAAGGTGCTCAACATCAGAGAAACATCAGAAAACATCAGAGACATGCAAATCAAAACTACAATAAGATATCACCTCACAACTGTTCGAATGCCTATTATCAAAAAGACAAGAAATGATGAGTGTTGGTGATGGTCTGGAGAAAAGGAGCCACCATCCACTGTTGGTGGGAATGTAAATTGATGCAGACATCATGGAAAACAGTATGGAGTTTCCTCAAAAAATTAAAACTAGAGCTAAATACCTTACGGTCCAGCAATCCCTCCTCGAGATATGCATCCAGAGGCAATGAAATCAGCACCATATGAAGGTATCTGTGCTCCCATGCTCACAGCAGCATCATGGACAATAGCCAAGATATGAAAACAACCTAAGTAAATGGATAAATTGCTGTGTGTGTGTGCGTGTGTGTGTGTAATGGAATACTATTCAGCCTTAGAAAAGAAGATCCTGCCATTTGCGACAACATAGGTGAAACTGTAGGACATTATGCCAACTGAAATAAGCCAGGCACAAAAAGAAAAAATATTGCAGGAAACTCAGTTATAAGTGGAGTCTAAAAAAAGTCAAATACATAGAAACAGAAAGTAAAATGATGGTTACCAGAGTTAGGATGGGGGGAAAATGGGAAGATGTAGGTCATGGGTACAAAGTTGCAGTCATATATGATGAATAAGTCTAGATCTCTAATATCCAGCATGATGACTGCAGTTAATAATATCGTGTTTTACTGGAAATTTGGTAAGAGAATAGATTTTAGATGCTCTTACCTGTCTCTTACACACACAAGTAACTATAAGAGATGATGGCTTTGTTAATTTGCTTCACCATGATAATAATTTCATTAAATGTATAGTAACATATATCTAGTGAGATATATATACACATATATTTACATATATGTATATCTCAAAACGTCATGTTTACCATAAATATATACAATAAAAAAAGAAATTTCTACCATGAAAAGCATTTCATATGGAACATTCACAGCACTGAAAAAGTAGTTGAAATTAAAACAAAAAAATTCTTTTAAAAAAGATTTTACTTGTGCTTCTATTTTCAAAGGACACTTGTATGAAGTGAACAAATCGTGTCCTTTTGTGCAACCTTTTCCCCACTCCCATGATCTTTAGGCCTTTGTGATGAGGAATCTGAGATGGGAATTGATTCACATTCTTACAGGTTGACCTGGCTTCGTATTTTTATTCCAAAGAGTTAAATAAAAGTCAATTGGATCCCTTTTTTCTTAGACAAAAATTTGCCCCATTGATTATATGAAAGATTAATATAAAGAAAAGTATGGAGAATGTCAAAAAGACCCATGGACCTGAAACCACAACTTAGCAAATACTAATTTTTTTTCATTTCCCTTCAGATATTTTTAAAGAAATAGAATGGTACAGAGAGAAAATAATTCTTTATGGAAAACGTCTCAGATCTGTGCCCATTCTACTTTCCACCTCTCAAATTTGGTGATATCCTTTGATTCATGTTTTCATATTTCTACTACACATGCATGTGACCAGTAATGATACATAGTATTATCCTGTGTTTTTAAAAAATTGTAATTTGATCATGTTTCATATACCCTTCCAAAACATGTTACTTTCACTCACCACTATACCGTTATGTTTTTGAGATTTATGAATTTAGACGTATTTAGCTCTAATTTATTCATTTTATCTGCTGCATATTATTCCATCAATGGTGAAACTATATGTGTGTGTTTGTGTGTATATGCTAGTGAAGACTAAAATAGTTCTAATTTTTCTTTATCCCTAAAATACTGCCCTGTCACAGTAACATGTGGCTCTTACTTACTTGTGTTTCGAAGGAAAGGATGTGCACTCTTTTCATAGCAGCAATCATAAACCTCAGTGTAAATTCCCTTTCAATGAAGTTCATTTCCAAGGCTGCCATTGAAGCCATGATGTTTCTTCGTATCACAGGCCCAGCAGGTACAGCAAGGAACTGGTTGAAACCAGGAGCTCCTGGTAGATCACACTCTGGGTTTTCCATTTTCTAGAAGCTGTTTTGTTGACTGCTTAAAAAAATACCAAAACACAACAAAACCCACCAAAAAAAAAAATGGGCAGTGTTTCTAGAAGTGGAAGAAAGTAAAAATCTCTCCAGGTGAACTCCAGGCTCACCCACCTTCTCCAAATGCCAGGATCTCTTGAAGCTTCCCATGCTGTGGGCTCCCTCCCTCCCTGTGCCACTCCCAGGGTGACATTTGAATATAAAACCAATGATAAGGTAAGAGGGGGCTGGAAAGGGCCGGGCGCGGTAGCTCACGCCTGTAATCCCAGCACTTTGGGAGGCCGAGGCGGGCGGATCACGAGGTCAGGAAATTGAGACCATCCTGGCGAACACAGTGAAACCCCGTCTCTACTAAAAATACAAAAAAATTAGCTGGGCGTGGTGGCGGGCGCCTATAGTCCCAGCTACTCAGGAGTCTGAGGCAGGAGAATGGTGTGAACCACGGAGGTGGAGCTTGCAATGAGCCGAGATTGTGCCGCTGCACTCCAGCCTGGGCGACAGAGCAAGACTCCGTCTCAAAAAAAAAAAAAAAAAAGGTGGCTGGAAAGTTTGGTGATCAGAGTCCTGCAATCTCCAGCCACAATTCATTTCTATACACTGAAAATCGTTTGCTCAGCATGTAAACATTTCTGAATGGCGGGGTGTGCAGAGAGCCACTGGGATTTAATGAATTATGTAGCAGCATGCATTTTCTTTCACCAGAATTAGTGTTTATTAACCAGTTTCCTAAATAATAAATAATATTTTTAGAATCTTGGGGAAAAATTAACTGGCAAAACTATCTTTATCATTGAGAATGACTTCTCACTTTTGTCAAGATGCTGAAAAATGTTACAAAGATGATGCACTGACTTTTAGTAAATTATTTTTCAACTTACCTTATCCAAAATATGAATGTTCCAGTGTGCGAGCTGCAGGGATTTGATGGCTCTGAACTGAAGCCAAGGAGCGAGAACAATGGACAGCCATAGCCACAGCCTCTGCAGGCCTTAGAGATGAAGCTGCCAAGTCCCTGGGAGGACTTGGGAGAAAGAGGCCCCTAGAAGGATGTGCTGTGAGTTTCTGAGCCATGTGGTCATTAGGAAATGATCAATTCGGAGTGGTTGGAAAAAGCCAGGCACACGGCATAGACCTGTGATATGAAAAGGGGTACAGAATTTAATCCTTGGTCAAATCCACACACAATGAAAACTCTTTCTATAATACAAATTAATTTCTAAACTCTACATTTTTTTTTTTTTTGAGACAGAATCTTGCTCTGTTGCCAGGCTGGAGTGCAGTGGCACAATCCCAGCTCACTGCAACCTCCACCTCCTGGGTTCAAGTGATTCCCCTGCTTCAGCCTCCCGAGTAGCTGGGATTACAGGCACGCGCCACCACTCCCAGCTAATTTTTTTATTTTATTAGAGACGGGGGTTTCACCATGTTGAACAGGGTGGTCTTGATCTCCTGACCTTGTAATCTGCCTGCCTTGGCCTCCCAAAGTGCTGGGATTATAGGCATGAGCCACTGCACCCGGCCTAACCCTACATTTTTTAACCAACATTGTTAAGACTCTGGGCCAACCAACAAGAGGTGAGGATCTTTACCCTGTTGTCAGGAGTCTTGCTGCCACCTGGGGCCCCATGAGGCTTAATGTGTGACATATACAAGAAGAAACTGGAAGAGATCAGTGTTCTTACTGTCCCTCACGGAGAGCTTTCATATGGAAAGATAGCTCTCTCTCCTGACTTACATGTTGTTAACATTTCTTAATATTTTCTGATGAAATTATAGGCTTTTTGGTACCAACATTTCTGAAATATTAGTAAGAAAAGAAAGTTTTTAAGAGAGGGAACTGTTGAGCCGGTTCTTAGTTCTCATCAACACTGCAAACTCCACTAGGAAACCGTGAGTCTGTCCAGTTCTGTTTTTCACAGAGGCCCTTCCCATCCTGTCCTTCCTAAATGTGGAGCCAGCAGAGCCATCTTCACAGAAACCTGGCAGATCTCTCTCAAGTTGCCACAGCCTTCTGACCCCATCTTCCTGCCTGACTGATACATGGACTCTCAATCCTAGAGACCAGGAAGGTGCTGTCCAAAGGCCACGCCCCAGCATCAGGTGTGGGAGGCTCTCCTTGTCCTATTGGAGGAGATGGGCCCAGAGGGACAGCGAAATCTGTGCACGTTGCCAGGTGTACTCAGACCTTCAGTAGCTTGATTTTCCTGTGCATGTTTTTACCCATCTGCACCAGGATGTGGCATTTCAGAAACTGATTTCTAGGTCCAAAACCAATGGTGAGTGGGAAACAAAGCACAGCCATGTCTCACTGGGGGACAGGGACCACTGAGGCAGAAGATGCTATTTGCTCAACTCAGCACTCATGTGCAACACGACGGCACAAGTTGTGGGGCCACGAGATGTGAGCCATGAAGATGTGAGCCACAGCTGAGATGTGAGCCATGAAGACAGCACATGCCACGTGGATGGTTGCGCTGGTCTGAGGTCTGCACAGCATCTCAGCTTGCTATGCTTGGGACTATGAGCAACAAGAATCTTGCTTCGTTAATCAAAAGTCTTCACCCAAGTGAGCTTCATTTATTCACCTAAGGAGTCTGGAGGGAGGCAGCGGGTGTGGTCCCAGGGCTCCGCAGTGTCCAGCTGCACTACCAGTGGTTCTGGTGGCCTTTCCATCAAGGGATCACGCTGTCACCACGGCATGGTGTCTGCCCCTCAGACCTGCAAAGGGGAGGAAGGACAGTGCTGGCCCATTATCAGGAAAGAAGTGAGATGTCCCAGGGCAGAATTCCTTTGACACTTCCTGCTGGAATGAGGCCACGTAGGGCTGTGGCTGCCTGAGGGCCTTGGAAAGCCAGAATGGACTTTTCCTGTGTGAAAGCAGAGCCAGGCCTGCTGGGTGGTTAGGGAGCTGTTTGAAAAGGAGAAGGAGGAAGGCAAATGCACATTCGCCCTTTTTACTGGCTCCTACACGTGGCCTCCTGAGCCCTGAGCGACCTTTCGCTGAGCAGAGTGTCCTCATAGCATTGGGTCTGCATCTGGCGCAAAATAGAGCTGGCCACTGGTGCTTCACGTGGGAGGGAATAGGAGAGAAAGGGGACCTGGCAAGGGTCCAGGGACACGGGTGTGGGAAGAACACACACCGTACACGCTCATGCTTCCTGCCTGTATCGGGACAACAAATCTCAAATTTCTCCTTGCTGTGCACAGTGAGCAGAGCTGGGCGTGGCCACGGTGAGCTGTGGTCATGGCCAATGAACTGCTACGCTTCCAATTCAATACCCAAATTTACAGGGCCTGGGAGATGCACCCAAAATGTGTGTCATGTCTTCGTTTCGTCCTAGCATTCCATCAACCTCTTCTTCTGATAATGCTCGAGTCAATACAATCCCATTAGCACAAAGACCTTTTATTAAGCTTGACAGTTTACAAATTGCTGGGGTTTTCATATCCAATATCATCAGGTTACTAGGGTCCTGAGCTGCACCAGTCCAGGCTAGAGAGACTTTGAATAATGGGGATGTGATAGTTTTGAATTGTTCCTTCTTCCTCATTAAATGAGATGATAAACTGGTTGGAAGCGCTCAGGAAATCTCAGAAAACCTTGAAACTGGAGCCTAGTGGTAGCTGCACCTCCAGATGGAGGCTCAGTCTTGCCCCTGTGGGTCAAAATGCAGAATCGGAGACCTGGTTTTATGCAAATGCAGCTCTCACCTTTGCTGAAAATGACAGACAGCACTGAAAGTCTAGCCTTTTGAAAAATGAGACGCTAACATGGTGCCCCAAAGAGTCCCTACACTCCTGAAGCCTAAGCCATTGTCATTTGCACATGGGGAAGTCAGGGTTGAGAAACCCGCTCCTCACCTGCAAGCGGCCTCCAACACTAACAAGCTGTGAGACCGCCAAAAAGACACTTAACCTCTCTGAGCCCTAGTTACTCCGAGTGTGAAATGAAGGGATTAGGGGGCAGCTGAAGACCTTTCCAGCAACAAACATCCATGATTCAGGGTCGGTTCCCAGCTGGTCTCAGAGGGAGAAGACAAGCCAGAGAAGGCCTTCCCTGTACACAGACGAGGTGTGAAATATCAAATCAATCACACAGAGAAAGGACTGCGATTACAAGAAGAAAGTTCCAGCCTGGTGTCTGTGAGGCTTCCATTACTTTTTAGCACTGGATAATTCTTCCTTTTAACCAGGAGCCTAGGGGCTTCAGGCTCAGAGGCTTCTTCAAGTCACCTCATGGAGCTGGGATTTCATCGTATCAATAGCTCTTGTCCACTGTATTTAGTTTTACATTTACTTTCTCCTCATGGCAAAGGGATACTAACTGCTTTGCCACTTAAGGTAATGGTATATAATCTCTTTTTGACATCACTTATTTTAGAATATGAATGTGATTTGCTTAAAGAAAACACAAATTAAGTAAGTGGCTGAAATTTGGTGAGTTGTCTTTATTTTCTTTCTTCTTT
Organism: Homo sapiens; assembly: GCF_000001405.40. Classification (NCBI taxonomy): domain Eukaryota; kingdom Metazoa; phylum Chordata; class Mammalia; order Primates; family Hominidae; genus Homo; species Homo sapiens. The sequence continues at coordinate 60,751,572 of NC_000020.11, read as the reverse complement.
GTTTTAAAAAAATGTGAACAGAAATGCAAAATGTGTGGAGAGGTCCTCCCTTTTTATCATGGAAACAATTCATTTGGAAATTCAGCCACTTCCTCTACCTAGAGCCTGGAGTGACAAAGAAGTCAACGGGGAAAGATTCTGAATGCGGGAGAGGAGGGGCTGACACGCAGAGTGAGAAATAAATAATATCATGTGTAAGGAACTTAGTAGCTGAAGAATAAGCCTCAAACTTAGAGAGAATAAAAGACCATATAAAGGAAAGGGTCCAAAGAGTAGAATGATGGAAAATTTAATAATAAAAGTAAATGGACAGGCAGGGAAAGGTGCCTGACGAAGGAGGATCTGGAGAAATACCGAGAGTGGATACTGGGGGTGCTCACGCTTCTAAAGATGCACCCAAGCTGCTTTCCTGTCTTTGAATTAAGCAACATACCCCGCACCTCACACCCCACGGTTGTCACGAGAGAGTGTGGGGGCGGCCTTTACACTATGGGAGGATGCATTGGATTCAAGCTAGGAAGGGTGGTTTGACTGCGGTAAGGCCTCCTTCTTCCCTTCTGTTAAATATTATTTTAAAAATATGTTGTTCTACTTACGCTAAGCAGCCATCTGCTCACCGGAGAACCCCCAGTCTTGAGACAGTCAGACAGGCAACCCAGGGCATGAGGCAGAGCGGTGTGGGAGAGGAGGTGGGAGCCCTGACTGTGGAGGTCCCCAGGGGCCTCCCCCATCTCAGGATGCCTTCACCAGCCCTGCAGACTCCAAAGGCAAATTATCTGGACAGGTGGTCTGTTCTCTTTCTCGTCGTCTCCTGTGATTTGGGAACAGAAGAAGGAATGTGTGGGAGAGCTTGCAAACGGGAAAGGACTGTAATGCGTCGAGCACTGCAGTACTTTTCCCTTTGGGGAAATCTCCTTTGGCACCGATGCTGGGTAAAATAACCAAGCAGAGGCCTCGGGAGAAAACTACACGCCCAAGAAATAAATCATGGCCTTGCTGCTTTCACACTGATCACACTGCTTCCTTTAGTCCCTGTAGTACCCCCAGAACCCTTGTGGTGGAGTTTCTGTCCCGCTCACAACCATCCCGTCTACGAGGAATTCCTTCCCGTTCCAAACACAGGCCTGCCCCTTGCAATCATGGGAGGATGGCATCGGCCCTCCCATTAGCAATTGCTGATTGGACCACTGTGGATGACTGACTCTCACTCGTCCAATCAGGTTGGAGTTAGCCTCTGCAAGGGGCTTAACCTGGAAATAATTTTACTTCTTAGGCCAGAGGCTGCCATGTTGGCTCAGCCGTCACCAGTTACGTGGAAAGAGAGCATAGAGAAAGGAGGAGAAGGAGACAGGAGATGAACACTGAAGCAGAGGAACAGAAACACCTATGGAGGCATCCAGAGAAATGGTGGTAGGTGTGCACCCCCTGACACACTCAAACCACAAAAGGACAGAGATAAGCACTCAGACTCACAGCAAGGGATGGAGAGATGAAGAGACAGGGACAGAGACATGGAGCAGGACTTCCAGCAAAATTGACCAGAAACCGTGGGACCTTCTTGTCAGCAGAACATCTCGCTTGCTCCCACCCTGCCCTTGTCCAGGGCACACCCTGTCCTTGGCTTTGGTAAGATTCTCCTTCATCTTTTCAATAAATACACCCTTTTATTTCTTCAACTACTTTGAGTGAGTTTCTTTCACTTTTGTCCAAAAAATCTTTGGCTCTGTCAATAGAGCCATCCATGGGGGTGGCAGAGGTGCCTCTGAATTAGCTCACCCTGCCATTCCCTTGCAGAGAGGCCTGGACATGTCCCTTGAATCTGTTCCCAGAGCATGTTAGAATCACAGGTTCAGAGGACGCCTTGCATGGCCTTGCTCCAGCCTCCAGGCTCCCAAAGCTTCGGCCTGATGGAGGTGAGTCTCACGGCTGCGGCATTTACATCTTTGCAGTCCCAGTCAGGGAGAGTTTGGCTACTTAGTTCTTACAACAAGAGAGAGCTGAGAAGTGTCCAGAAAAGATGCCCAGCTTTTCTCTAGAGAGATCCAAACCTGATCAAGTGGTAACTCAGGGTTAAAATGTCCCTTTAAAATGAACGAATGTATTGCGAAGTTGAAGCCGAATACGGAATGTTGACGCTGCATTAACCGACAAGACTCACTCCACCCGTCTCAGTGCTGTCTCTGCTGGCTTGGCTTGTGGGTCATCTCCTGTCCTGGCAATTTCTTGGAAGGTAATGGATTCTACTGACTCCTCCCTCCTAGACTAGCATGCTTCCAGATTCGCCCCACAAGTCCTCCATCTCAGTAAAAACACACCATCCACCAGTTGCTTAAGCCAAAAGCCTCTCTCTCCGCCACTGCTCATATCCCACCCAATGGCACGTCCTGGCAGCTCCATCTTCAGCTTTTTCAAACAAGTGTCCACCTCTGCCCATCTCCTCACCTGTGGCCCAGATTCCAATTTGTTTCTCTCCAGTTCAAGCTATACATTGTTTCTCGATAGATCATTTGAAAACATAAACCCCCTGCTTAATTAAAATACTACAATGGCTCCATGTAGCATTGGGAGCAAAACCCAGACTCCTCAGTGTAATCCATCCATATGCAAGATTGGGCCATGCCCCCTCTGTCCCGCCTGCTGCACTCTAGCCAGTACAGGTATTCCTTCAGTTCTCAGACACACTAAACGTATCCTGGATCAGGCTTCTGGACTCATCTGCTGCCGTTAGTTGGAACTCTCTGCCCTCTACACTTTACCTGGGTTCGTCCTGCTCACTCAGGCACTGCTCAAATGCCACCTCCTCTAAGAAACCCTCCTTGACTACTCCAGTTAAAGAAGCTCCCCATCACCTCTGCCATTCTCTGTAACACCCTCTCTTAATGCCTTTAATACACTTAATTGGCCTGAAATGATCTCATTTAGATATGGATTCACATTGTCTCTGTTCCTCACTGAAATGGATGGTCCAGAACTCACCCCAGCATCCTGACACTGTGACTGGCATGGGCGACCTGCTCAACACATCTTTGTTGAATAAACAACTCCCAACCCCCTTAAGTTTTATATCCTGAGATAACCACCATCCCCCAGCCAGGTTTTAATCTCTGACCGTGGGGACGAGTTCAGTTCTGTTTCTCCAGTTTCTTCTAGTCACCAGGCTCCCTTGCTTGTATCAAATGCTTTTGAATATCTTTGTCTCTGAATTGTATTTACATGAAAAATCTTCAACCTAACTTTTACTCCCCCACCATGTGTGTGAGTTGTGGGTGTGGCTTTCTCCTGAGTTCTGGGCACCCCCGCACTGCAGGGATGGCTGGATGTGAGCCAGGCAGAATCCCACGTTATAATGGTTGGTTCCGCAGTGACGCAGGCCTCAGCCAGTCCAATCCCAGTGAATGACAGGAATTTAGGAGCATTACTAGAAGAGACTTGCTCTTGCCTGCTGGGCTAAAACTGAGTGTCAGTGGAAGGAGACTGGAGCTACCTCCTAGAATTATATGGGAAGGCCCTGATACGGCCAAGGGCCACACTGTGAAAAGAACTGCTGTGGCTGGGGGTAAAGTGGGATTGTAACCCCATGAAGTTAAAGTTGCCCCTGAAGCCAGCTCTTCCACAGACATTTCAGATATTGACCCCAACAATTGCTTTGTATTGAAGCCAGTTTGGATCGGGTCAATTTCACCAGAAAGGTATTTTATTATTACAGCGCATGCCACACCCACATTTTCTTTTCTGGAGAAATGGTGCAGCTCATCAATAGGTGTTCAAAAGAATTTGCAACCTAGAAGACCCAAAGGCACTTTCTGGCCCTAAGGTTCTATATGTGTAGCTATTAGGGCCAGAAGCAGGGCAATAGAAGGTGAGCTGAAGTCATCAACTGTCAGCGTGGGTTATTCATAATGTTCCACCAATGTGAAATGTGCACAGTGGAAGTAGAGAAGAAAATGAACAAGCATGCCTGTGAGAATGCACAGAGACCGATTCTTATATTTCACCAGCTGAACATTTAAATTTCCCCAGATGAAAGCAAACATGGAATGAGACATAGGAGAGAGTATGGCTTCCTTCCATCAAGAGTTCTTAAGTCCTCCCAGAGTCTCAGTTATTCATCCTTTCATTCATTCATTCAGCAAACACATATTGACAGCTGGCATATGCTTTGGCACCACAAAAGCAGTCAATAAAAGGCACAAGTTCCCTGCTCTTGTAGAGTTTTGATTCTAGTGGCTGAAGACACACAAAAAGAGGCTGTAACATATCTCCACAAGTTAATTTCGGACAACGAGAAATGCTATGGATAAGGGGAAAAAAAACAGGAAAATAGGCTTTCCGATGTCATGGTTAGTTTTTAATAGGTCAGAAAGACTGCTCTGAGAAAGGAGGATGTGAGCTGAGACATGTAAGACCAGGTATCATCAGGCATACAGGAATTGGACAAGGAGTGTCCCATGAGCCTGAATGGGGGATGGGGGATGAGCTTGGTGTATGTGAGGGACAGAGAAAGGCCAGAGCTCACATTTGCAACTGCAAGGTGAATAGATACAGTGAATGAACATCTTTTTGAACGGTGCAGAATTACATACTTTTTAAATCTTTAAATTATATATTCTTTGGTCTGTAAATAAAGAAAAAACAATAAAAAGCAACAGAAAAACAACTGATAAGTACAAACTTCAGTGGAAGTGGAAATCAAGGGAGTGGAACAGAGCATCACTAAAGCCATTTCTCTCGAGGGCATTGGCAAATCTGGTGACGGTGGCTAGGAGTTCAGTTTCTGTGGCTTCATAGGGCAAATGGTTAAGGGGGTAGGAATCAAGGAGCAGGATTCTCCCCTGCAAAGAAAGCCAATGAAAGACTCCTACATATGGCTGCAGCTAACGGGCTGCATGCTCAACATCAGGATATACTTTCACTAAGAGTAAGCCTGTCCCCACCCTCCTCCAGCTGACTTCTTCCCACTATTGCTACTCTCCCCTGGGGGAGGATAATTTACTTAGGGCAGAGTGCAGGAAACATATCTCTCCTGATAACACATTATTACAAGCCAGACTTCAAGCAGATTTGTAGCCCAATTTCACACTTTTGATCACCCAAAGTAACCTCAAGCTGATAATTTAATGTCAAGTAGTGCAGGGTGGTGCTCCCTGTGTTGCCACAGGAGCATGCCCAGGTCCTTTTTAAAGGAATCATCGTTAATTTAAAGCTCAGATAATAATGAAAAGATGCAGTTCCAAAAATATTAAAACTTGCAATCAAACATCACAAGTGGCAATTGAGAAAATGAACCATGAATGGAAGATGGAAGAAATAATAGCAGATTCATGCTGATATGGTTTGGCTCTGTGTCCCCACCTAAATCTCTTGTTGAATTGTAATTCCTGTTGTTGGGAGAGGGACCTGGTGGGAGGTGATTGGATCATGGGGCCACATTTTCTCCTTGCTGTTCTTGTGATAGTGAGTTCTCACGAGATCCGGTGCTTTAAAAGTGTGTGGCACTTCACCCTTCACTCTTTCTCTCTCCTGTCACCATGTGAGGAAGGTTCTTGCTTCCCCTTCACCCACCCTCTGTGACTATAAGTTTCCTGAGGCCTCCCTAACCATGCTTCCTGTACAGGCTGCAGAACTGTGAGTCAATTAAAGCTCATTTCTTTATAAACTGCCCAGTCTCTGGTAGTTCTTTATAGCAATGTGAGAATTGACTAATAAACATGCCCACGGGAATTCTGATATCAGAATTATCAGATTCAGAATACAAAATAAACCTGTTTAATATGTTTAAAGAAATGCAAGTTTGAAAATATGGGTACGGTGTAAAGCAAGTGAACGTTTAAAAAGGGTCACATAAAAAAGAAATAAATAGAACTTCTAGAAACACATACACACACACATGCACGCACACAGTGCATATTTTTAAAATAACTAATTGGATGAAATAGAGTAAATAAAGGTGAAGGGAAAATTATTGAAGTGGAAGATAATTCTGAGTATGTTAAACAGAATACAACACAAAAATACTAAGGGATGGCAAATATGAAAGAGGGGAAGGAGAAAAGGAAGGACTGAGAATTCCAACTATACTAAAGATGGGGAGGAAAGAGACAAGGTAAGAGGCAATATTTTGAAAGGTATGATCAAAATTCTCCAGAACAAATAAAATCAATCCTAAGCAGATGGAGGAGGGCAAAGTATGTTTTCAGAAGGAAGGAAAAGTAAATATATTTTCACATATGCAAACTAAGAGAGATTATAATTCAGACCGAAGTAAAGTAAAGTGATCCCAGGTGGATGACTTGAAATGGAAGAAAAAATAACAAACAGAAGCTCTCAAATGTAGGTGCAAATATAAGCAAACTTTGATGATATGAAGCAATAAAAAAATGAGTTGTGAAGGGTTTTTCAGCCCTACCCTTTTTCTTCTCCCCTTCTGGGACTTTGATAATGTGATATTAGATTTATTGTTGTTGTTATAGTCCTACAGGTTCGGGAGGCCCTGTTCATTTTTTTCCTGTTTCATTGTTGTTGTTCTATTTTAGTCTGTTTTATTTCTGTTGTTCATTTTGGATAATTTCTATCTTCCAGTTTACTTATTACAGTCATGTGTTGCTTAACGATGGGGATTCATTCTCAGAAATGCATCCTTAGGCAATTGTGTCATTATGTGAATATCATAGAATGCACTTAGACAAACCAAGATGGCGCAGCCTACTACACACCTGGCCACATGGTAGAGCCTCTTGCTTCTAGACTACAAGGAGCAAGAGGCTGTACAGCATGTGACTGTATTGAATACTGTAGGCAATTGTAACACAACGGTGATTATTTGTGTCTCTAAACATATCTGAACATAGAAAGGGTACAGTAAATATAAAAGATTGTAAAAATGAGACACCTGTATAGGGCATTTACCATGAATGGAGCTTGCAGGACTGGAAGTTTCTCTGAGTGAGCCAGTGAATGAGTGGTGAGATAATGTGAAGCCATCAGACATTACTGTACACTACTATAGACTTTATAATAACACTATACACTTAGGCTACACTCTATTTATTTTTAATTATTTTTATGTTCTCAATAATAAACAGCTTATTGTAACTTTTTAGCCTTATAAACTTTTAATTTTTTTAAAACTTTTTGACTCTTTTATAATAACACAAACACATTGTACAGCTGTATAAAAATATCCTTACTCTATAAGCTTTTATTCTATTTGTTTTTATTTTATTTTATTTTAATTTTTACTTTTTAAACTTTGTTAAAAACTAAGACATAAGCACACATATTAGCCTAGGTCTCCACAAGGTCAAGATCACCAATATCACTGTCTTCTGCCTTCACATCTTGTCCCATTGGAAGGTTTTCAGGGGCAGTAACACCCATGGAGCTGTCATCTCCTGGGATAACAATGCCTTCTTTTTTTTAAAATTTTATTATTATTATACTTTAAGTTCTAGGATACATGTGCACAATGTGCAGGTTTGTTACATACGTATACATGTGCCAATGTTGGTGTGCTGCACCCATTAACTCGTCAATTAACATTAGGTATATCTCCTAATACTATCCCTCCCCCCTCCCCCCACCCCACAACAGTCCCCAGAGTGTGATGTTCCCCTTCCTGTGTCCATGTGTTCTTATTGTTCAATTCCCACCTATGAGTGAGAACATGCGGTGTTTGGTTTTTTGTCCTTGCGATAGTTTGCTGAGAATTACGGTTTCCAGTTTCATCCCTGTCCCTACAAAGGACATGAACTCATCATTTTTTATGGCTGCATAGTATTCCATGGCGTATATGTGCCACATTTTCTTAATCTAGTCTATCGTTGTTGGACATTTGGGTTGGTTCCAAGTCTTTGCTATTGTGAATAGTGCCGCAGTAAACATATGTGTGCATGTGTCTTTATAGCAGCATGATTTATAATCCTTTGGTATATACCCAGTAAAGGGATGGCTGGGTCTTCTGGATACCTGCTGAAGGACCTGCCTTAGGCTGTTTTATAGCTAACTTTTTTTTTGGTAAGTACAAAGAGTATACTCTCAAATTATGATAAAAGCAGAGTATAGTAAATACATAAGCCAGTAACATAGTTGTTAATTATCATTATCAAGTATGATGTACTGTACATAATTATATGTGTTAGACTTTTATATAAATGGCAGCACAGCAGACTTGTTTACACTGGCATCACAACAAACACATGAATGATGTGTTATGCTATGATAGTATACTGGCTACAATGTCACTAGGCAATAGGAATCTTTCAGCTCCATTATAATCATATAGGACCACGTCTTATATACGGTCTGTCGTTAATTGAAATGGTATGCACTGCATGACTGTATTTCCTTTCCTCTCAATTCTTCTGTTGAGTTCAGCCATTGAATTTTTAATTTTGTTGACTGCACTTTTCAGTTCTAAAATTCCCATTTGGTTCTCCTTTAAATCTTCCATTTTCCTTTTTGCTGATACTCTATTTTTTCCACTTGTTTTAAATTTATTTGTAATTGCTCATTGAAGCACTTTTACCATGAGTGATTTAATATTTTGTCAGATAATTCTAACTTCTCTTGTATCTTGATGTTGACATTGATTCATTGTCTTTTTTCATTTAACTGTAAATCTTCTTGTTCTTGCTGTAATTAATGATTTTCTGTTGAAATCTGGGCATTACAGGTATTATGTTATGACACGTTGGATCTTATTTAAACTTCTTGTTTTATCTGTCTTTCTCCGGCACAGATCTTTTAGGGTAGAGAGAGACAGTATTTTCTTGTCACCACCAAGAGATGGTAGAAGACCATGTTCTCTACTAGGCCTTTGTTGACAGCGGGAAGGTGGGAGTCTAGTTCCTGCTATGCAGTGTGAAAGTTCTGGCTCCCTATTTATTCTCCTCTGGCACTTTGCTAGTGTAGGTTGTAGAAGTGTCTCATTACTGTTGCCCAAAAGGCTGCCCCAGAGACCATGAAAAAGGAGAGAACCTTTTCACTCATTTCTGCTAAGTGATGGTGAAAGTCAGAAAACATGAAAGCCAAAGGCATGGGATGATATCTTCAAGGTGTTGAAAGCAAAAAACTCAACCAAAAAGGTATATGCAGCTTAACATCGCTCCCCCTGCCAAAAAAAGTAGTAAGATACTCCCAGATAAAGTAAACTGAAGAGATGTATGACTAGTAGACACTTCACGCAAGATAGTCTAAGCAGAGCTCTTTAGCTGAAATGAAAGGTCACTAGATAGTAACTCAAAACTATAAAAGAAATAAAAAGGATTGCTAAATGCAGTTACATAGATGTTATGAAAGTCAGGGTAAATACACATTTGCTTCTAATCTTTCCCAACTGTTTTAAAAGGCAACTGCATGAAGCACTTATTATAAAACTGTACTTATGGCTTTATAAGGTATTAAGGTTTAATTTATATGACAATAATAGTACAAAAAAGAGGAGAGAACAGAGCAACTTGGAGCAAAGATTTGTACATTATTGAAATTGAACTCATACTAATGTGAACCAGATTGTTATATGTTAATATGTTAATTGCAATCACTGGGTCAACCACTAAGAAGATATCACAAAAAATAGTAAACAACAACAACAGCAAAAGGATTAAAAGGTAGACTAGAAGGTATCTGTACACAAAATGCAGGAATCTCAAAACAGAGAAACAAAAGAGACACAGATATGCAGAGACACAGATACTTGTTTCCTACAATCTGTGTGTCTTTTGTTCCTCTGTTTTGGAATTTCCAAATAGCAAAATGGAAAACATAAATCCTCCCTTATCAGTAATTACTTTATATAAAAGTCAATTAGGCACAACAGTCAAAAGGCAGAGATTAAGAGAACGGATACAATTACTTGATCCAGCTATGTGCTGCCTAAAAGACACACGCTGTAGGTTCAAAGAAATAAACAGCTTGAATACAAAAGAGTGAAAAGAACATACTGCTTGGTTTCAAACAGTAATCAAAAAAAGCTGGGGTAGCTATATTAATATCAGATGGAAAAGAATTTAAGAAAAAACAAATACTGAGGACAAAAAAGATCTTAAATGATAAAAGTGCCATTCATGAAGAAGTTATAACAATTATAAACAGATATGTACCTAGCAACACAGCCTCAAAATAAGCAAAGCAAAAGCTGACATAATTGAAAGAAAAAATAGACAATTCAACAATAATATTTGGAGACCTTAATATCCCGCTTTCAGTGGGTAGTCCAGCAAAGTTAAAGGTCGACAAAGAAATAGAAGACTTTAGCACACTTACACCAACTATAGCTAATGGACATCTATAGCACTCTACCCAACAGCAATGACTATAAGTATTTAGGAAATACAAGGAACCGACCTAGAATAGTCAAAGCAAACTTGAAAAAAAAGAGCAAATTTGGGGTACTCACATTTCCCAATTTAAAAGCTTACTACAAAACTACAGTAATTAAGATATGATGGCAGTGATGTTGTGATAGACATACAGATTAGTGGAAAAGAATGGAGAGTCCAAAAATAAATCTTCAACTGATTTTTGATGAGGGTGCCAGAAAATAAAACCAATGAAGGAAAATGGTCTTTTCAACCAGTGTTGCTGAGAAAAGTAGATATACATATGCAAAAGAAAGCAGTTGTTCCCTGCCTCACATTATGCAAAAAATTATCTTGAAATGACTCATACAACTAAATGTAAGAGCTAAAATTATAGATCTCCTAGAAGAAAATGTAGGAGTTTATCTTCATGATACTGGGTTAGGCAATGGTTTCTTTGGCATCAAAGCACTAGTGACAAAAAACAAAAGCTGGATGAAGTGGACTTGATCAAAATGGAAGTTTGCCTCAAGGACACCATCAAAGAAGTGAAAAGGCAGTCCACAGAATGGGAGAAAATATTTGCATTTTATATATTTAATAATGAACTTGTATCTAGAATATACAAAGAACTCTTAAACCTCAAGAATAAAAAGCAAAAATGCATCTTAAAAAGGGGCAAGGGGTTTGAATACTGATTTTTCTAAAGAAGACATACAAATAGCCAACACCTGAAAAGATGCTACCATCATTAGTCATTAGGGAAATGCAGATCAGAACCATAATACGACCTATTTCACACCCACCGAGAAGGCTATAATTTAAAAAAAAAAACAGATAATAACAAGTGTAGACAGGAATGTGAAAAAGTCCAAATTTTTATATATTGCTGGTGGCAATGTAAAATACTGGAACCACTTTGGAAAACAGTTTGGAAGTTTTCCAAGATGCTAACTATATAGCTATCATATGACCCAGCAATTCCAGTCCTATATACATACCCAGGAGATATAAAAACATATATTCACACCAAAATTTTTACATGAATGTTCATGGCAGCATTATTCATAATAGCCCAAAGAGGGACACAACTCCAATGCCTAACAACTGTGAAATGGATAATATTATTCAGTCACAAAGGGGAATGATGTACTAACATGTGTGACAAAATAGATGACTGTTGAGACCAATACACTGAGTACAATAAGCCAGATGCAGAAGATCATGTTTTATGCACTTTCGTGTATGTGAAATGTCCAGAATAGGCAGATGCACAGAGACAGATTAGTGGGAGTTTAGTAGTAGGTTAGTAGTAGGTTGACAGAGACTGGGAGGGTGGAATGGGGAGTGATTATTCATTATGGGGTTTCTTTTCGGGGTGATAAAAATATTCCAACATTAGATTGTGTGAATATGAATATGCTAAAAAGCCACTAAACTTTAGATAGGTGGATTTTATGGCATGTAAAACATATCTTAATAAGATTTTTTTAAAGTTATTGTGGTATTGACATAAGGTTAGACATATATATCAACAGGGCAGAAATAGAGTTCTTGAATAGAATCATATGGTCAACTGACTTTCAACAAAAGTACCAGTAATTCAATGGAGAAAGGATAGTGAAGGATTTCAACAAATGATGCTTGAACAATTGGACATCAAAATTCAGCTTATATAAAAATTACCTTGAAATGGAACATAGGCCTAAGTGTAAAACCTAAAAGCATAAAAATTCCCAAGTAAAATACAAGGGAAACTATTTTTGAAATTTGGCAGATTTCTTAGGAATCAGCCCGAACCATAAACAAAAACATTAATAGATTGAACTTCGCCAAAATTAAAAACTTCTGCTCTTCTCAAAACCCTGTTAAAAAAGTGAAAACTGAAAATTTTCTACCACTGAAGGGTTGAAAATATTTGCAACACATATCTGATGAAAGATATGTATCCAGAATATATAAATAACTGCCTCAGCTTTAAAAATAAAGCAAATGAAAAAATGTACAAAATATTTGAACAGATGCTGTACCAAATAAAAGATATGGATGCTTGACATCATCAGTCATTAGAGAAATATAAATTAACACCACAGTGAGATACCACTGTACACCAACTGCAGTGGCAAAAAAAAAAAAAAAAAAAAAAAAAAAAATGACAGTGGTGAGAGACTTCCAGGAGTACTGCTGGTGGGAAATAAAATGGTAGACACATTTTGGAAAACATTTCAGCAGTATTTTTTTTTTTAAGTTAAACATAAGCCTACTACAAAATCCAGCAATCTGGATTTATCAAAAAAAAAAAAAAGAAAAAAGAAATCAAAACTTATGTCCACACAAAGATTGGTTTATGATCATTTTATAGTAGCATTATTTATAATCTCCCCAAACTGGAAACAACCCACATTCCCATTACCGATAAAGGGATAAACTAACTGTCATATATCCAAACAATGGAACACCACTCATCAATCCAAAGAAATAAATCTCATTTTAAATTTTTGTTTATTTATTTATTTATTTATTTATTTATTTATTTATTTATTTGAGACAGAGTCTCACTCTGTCGCCCAGGCTGAAGTGCAGTGGCGCCATCTCTGCTCACTGCAACCTCTGCCTCCTGGGTTCAAGGGATACCCCTGCCTCAGCCTCCCCAGTAGCTGGGATTACAGGTGCAGGCCACCATGCCCGACTAATTTTTGTATTTTTAGTAGAAACGGGGTTTCACCATGTTGGCCAGGCTGGTCTCAAAGTCCTGGCCTCAAGTGATCCATCTGCCTCAGCCTTCCAAAGAAATGAATCTCAGAAGTACTCTGCTAAGTTCAAATGTCTAGACTCAAAATGCTACATACTGTATGATTCCATTTATATTATGTCTGGGGAGAAATCAAGTGAGTGCTTACTTGGGGGCTAGGGTGTGGAGGGAGGGAATCAATTACCAAGGGGAGCACAGAGAAGCTTTTGAGGTGGTGGAACTGTTCTAAATATCTGTTAGGTTATAATTATATGACTGCATGTATTTGCCAAAATCCATCAAACTGAACTTGTAAAAGAGGTGAATTTTACTTCGTGTATATGTATCATACCTCAGTGAATTCAACTTTAACAAATTGAGTCTTGACTATCCATCTCACATATGCAAAAATCAAATCCACCTGGGTTAGAGATATGAATATGAAAATAAACACAAGCCTCTAGAAGATAACAGAGTATTTCACAGCCTTAGGGGAGCCAAAGGATTTTAAATAGGACACACACACATACGCACACCCCAGCTTTAAAAAAAAAAGATAAACTTGACTTCATTAAGATTAAGAACTGCTTATCAAAAAATACCATTAAGAGAGTGATAAGCTACAGAGTGGAAGGAGACATCTGAAATGCAGAAAGCTGATAACATGTATGAGCATATAAAGAACTACAATTCAATAAAAAATGTAGAAAAAGTAAATTTAGATGAGAAAAATACCAGGAAAGGTACTTAACTAATGAATATTTTCACTTTTACAATGCATATATGAAAAGGTGTTCAGCAACATTAATCAACAGGAAAATATATATTCAAACAACAACAATGTACTATTTACGCCACCATAATGGCCAAAGGTAAAAAAGACTATGGCTGCCTGGTGTGGGCTAAGATGTGGAATATCTGAAACTCTCACACGCTGGGGTGGGAGTAGACATGATCATAGCTGCTTTGGAAAACTGGTTGTATGTGTCTGTATTAATCCATTCTCGCATTGCTATAAAGAACTACCTGAGACTTGGTAATTTATAAAGAGAAGAGGCTTGATTGGCTCATGGTTCTGCAGACTGTACAGGAAGCATGGCTGAGGAGGCCTCAGGAAACTTAAAATCGTGGTGAAAGGCAAAGGGGAAGCAGGCACATTTTACATGACTGGAGCAGGAGGAAGAGAGCGAAGGGGGAGGGGCTGCACACTTTTAAACAACCATATCTCCTGAGAACTCACTCACTATCATGAGAACAGCAAGGGGGGAGTCCGCCGTCATGATCCAGTCACCTCCCACCAGGCCTCCCCTCCAACACTTGGGATTACAATTTGACATGAGATTTGGGAGGGGACACAAATTCAAACAGTATCACTACCAAAATTGACCCAAACACAACACTCTACTACTAGTTACACACTCAATAGAAATGCATCTATTTAAAAAAATGCATATATATTTATATCGACTTCACTTGGAATGGTGCTAAACCAAAGATAACCCATCAACACAGGATGAATAAACAAATAATATAATATTCACACAAGGGAGCATTATATATTAATGAGAAAGAGCAAACTACGGCTAACACAACAACATGGGTGAATCTTATAAGCAGTGAATGAGAGAAGCCAGTCAGAGAAAGTAAATACTGTCTGAATGCATTTACACTAAGTTCAGAAGCAGTATTGAACTTAGTATTGAATATGTAATACTAGAGAGCTGGATAATGGTTTCCTTCAGGGGACCAGATGAGCAACTGTGGAAATCTAGCATGCTGGTGATATTCTGTTTATTGGCAAAATTGCCAGATAAATAGGTGAGTTCACTTGGAAACTGTTCTCTGCCTCTGTGCACTATGCTTTGTGCACATTATACTTTGTAAAAAGTTTGTTTCAGAATTCCCTTTGGGATTTTACAACTGTACTGAATGTAACATTCATGTGACATTCATGCACAACATGAATAAGCCAGAGTCTATCCCAGCACAGTGCCCAGCCATCGTCCAGATGGCCCATCACACCTGTGGCTAGAATGTAGTGATGAATCCTTTGATGAAGTTGTTGCATTAGCTTCTCCCAGGAATTTTGCTTCTATTTGGATTCTCCTGTCTACCATGAATAGCAAGGATAGTTATTCAAGACACACTGGTTTTTGTCCTTCACTGGCTCATTTTCTGTCCATTTTTACCCACTGGGGAGCCAGTTAACATGGTGAAAATACCACAGTGGCCAAGGAAGCCACATCACCCAGGGTTGTGCAGGAGCAATGGAGGAACAGGAGGCAGGAGGGCTGAAGGCATCTCGTTTCTGAGTCCTCTAACTGACTTACATGAGTGCCTGGTTGCAGCTAACCCTGAGACAAATGCCTGCCTTAGGGGATATTAATATTTTCCAAATCTGTAGCTGATTCACTCACTGAGATTTTAATTTACGCCCCAGGCACTCTATTGTTCCTCCACTTTTCCCTCCCA
Source organism: Homo sapiens (assembly GCF_000001405.40). Classification (NCBI taxonomy): domain Eukaryota; kingdom Metazoa; phylum Chordata; class Mammalia; order Primates; family Hominidae; genus Homo; species Homo sapiens. Next base: position 60,736,071 of record NC_000020.11, on the reverse strand, counting down.
ATATCCCCCACCCTTTCAGGTGGCCTGAGGGTTTTTGAAGGGCTACGTGCAGAAGCTGTTTGAGGGTAGCCCTCATCTTCTTTTTCTGAAAGCCTGAGTTTTCCAGGTGTCCTCTAGGAGATGGAAAGCTTAATCCTAGAGAGTGACTTCTAGGAAAGTGGAGAGAGGGTAGAGATGGATAGAGTGAAGGAGAGAGGTAGAGGGCTTACCGAGATCTGGGAGATGGCAGGAGGGAGGTGGCTCATGGGAGGGACCTAGGTCCTACCACAGAGGCGGGATAAAGCCACAGGGGCCCAGGCTAGGCCCTCCCAGCTCTGCAGAGATTTATTATGCTACACTTCCAGTAGATTAGAAAAGCCAATAACCCTTCAGATATCACACACTCACACAGCCAGGGGAACAGATGGCTCGGTGATAACCAAAACTGGGTAGACCAAAATGGCAGTGACGTCTCCAATGTCTGCAGAACTGGGTCCCAGTTCCGGGTAAATGTAGGCTGCTGATAGTGCAGACTGATTTTCCTACCCACTCGATGTGTCGGTGGCTTGATGTGAGAGTCAATAGGATTAAGAGAAAATAAAGCAAAGTAATTTGTCTTCCACAGTATAGTCTGGTGAGTAGGAACCACACCGTCTACATGGCAGTGGACCCAGTATTTTTACTCCACACCCTGGACATGAGCAGTATTTCCTAGGATTTTGCTGTTGGTGGTGTTCTAGACAAAGGCCTAATCATGGAAATGAGACCTCAGGGTCTGGGGTGTTTATAAATTCCATGGAGAAGGTCTTAACCATATTCCAGCAAAGAACACATAATCAGCAGTTCTAAAGACACGTTAGGGTATTCCTTCCTCCAATTGACAGTTCTGATGCTTCTCTTCCCATCTGTCTTATTTCCTCTGTCCTCTGAGGATGCTGCTTATTATTATTTTTATAAATACATTCTCGTGAAGAGAAAATTAAATATGTATGTGTTTTAAAACCAAGTATGCACAATAGAGTCCTACAAAATGCTTGAATGGAGTCAGTCAGTCAATCTTTCATGAATATTTGAATTTTTAGGTGGCCCAGCTCAGGTAACTTACATAATTGCACTGTGTCCTTACAGTGAAGCAAAAAAAAAGAGGGGGGGGTGGTTAAGGCCTGGGATGGAGATGGAGGTTTTACACACACAGGCGCGCACACACACACACACACGTGCACATAGACATACACACACCCATATGTATGTATGTGTGTGCCTATTAATTGCGGTTCCTACTCAGGACTCTGATGAAAGCCACACTATTACAAGTGACTTTGGTTTATTTGAAGGTTGTAGAAAAGTCGGCCTCATCTTTTCAAATACCCCTGAGTTAACTTTCTCCTGAAACCTAACTTTGCCCATCAATTCTCTACTCTTAGAATGACTAGGGAACATTTTTTTAATGTACCAGTGCCTGAAACTTATTCCCAGATCTTCTGACTTCATTCTTCTTGGGCAGGGCCTGGACAGGTGCATTTTCAAAGCTCCCACTGAGCAGTCTGGATTGAGATGAGCTCGCATGCACAGGCCTCTGCTGCTGGCAGTGGAGACCCAGGAGGAAGGAGACTGGATGCTGTGGGCCTATATGTGTGCACGTCTCTTGATAAAAGAACAGCTTCATTCATACATTTTTGTAATACCACCTTAGAAAAGCTTGCTAGTTTTTGCTAACAATAAATGACTTTTTGCATTGATGTGGGAGAAGCCAAACCCTGACCTCCAGTCCGCACTGCACTGTTCACCCAGGAGACAAAGCGTGTTCTCATGTCACCCACAGCAGTGTGCTTCCTAATCCTTACTGCGCATATGAAATCCCACTGGGACCTTGGTAAAATCTGCGCTCTGGCCCAACCGGCCTGGGTGGAGCCTGGGACCTTGCATTCTCCCAATCCAGCAAGTGATGCTGATGCTCTTGGTCCATGGACCACACTTTGAGTAGCCAGGGCCGCAGAGCATTTCCTCCTCAGTTTGTGTTAAAGAGTCTTGTGTTTAGGAAGCTCTCTAGCCAAAAATCTACAGCACTCCAGCACAATTAATCTCTGCCCCCTCCTGTGCAAGAGTCAGTCCTAGGGAACAGGACTCAGGTTCCAGGAGAACGCATATTCAGAGATGTTTCCAGCGTCACTTCCTTCCTTCTGCCTTGCTTTCTCAGGAGATGAAGTCACCTTTCTCTCACTCATTTGCTCCCTAAACATTCCTCAGCCTTTCCTGGAAAACAAGTAGTGTGTGCACCTCTACTTGCTGTGAGTCGTGAGGGAGGAAATGAGAGAAGGCAAGAGGAGACCACAGCAGGATCAGGCAAATTTTCCTTGCTCCTATGGCTGTGAGACAGTGGCTTCCTGGCAAGACATCAATAGGTATTTCAATAGTCCATAGTCAGAGGACTTCAATAGTCAATAGTTCAAAGGAATTCATAGCTAGATAAGGCATTCAATAATTTTCCCCCACATATTTTTGGGGTGTATAAAGTTTTATTTCCACCAAACTAAATAGCTACAATTACCTTTAATAAATAACCGCTGTTTTAACAAGATATATGCTCTTTAACATTTTTTTCATAAGTTTATGTTTCTTTTACATACTTTTAAAAATGTACGTGAAAAATGAGTGTGATTTTTGGAAGTCTTAGAACAAATTAAAATATTTATCACTAAAATAAATGATACTAGCCCTTTCACTCAAACTGTTTCTCTTTTAACTGGAGCAAATTAAATAGGTGGGTACAGGTGCACAAAGAAGGTTTTGCCCAACATCCTTATGATGGAAGAGCTCCGACCACGCCATGTGAGCACGAACGCAGCTGTCCATGAAAACAGATAAAGGGATTCACGTATGCATCAGCCACAAGTGTGGGCACCACTGTAGGCACCAAAACTTCAATTGGGAGGACTCGGAAGTTGAGAATGTATTTAACTATTGTCCTCTAGGAAGCAAGTTAGTCTTTCAGCTGCAGTGTTTGGAATGAACTCTGCCTTGCTCAGTCGCTGAGTACAAAATAAGAATATAAAATGTCAATATGATACCAGTAAAACAAAAGGAATCTAAGCTCATCTGCACTGCTACTGTTGTATAGGCAGACAAAGCCACATGGACCTTCAATGCACTGTCACCAAGCTGAGCCAGACGTTATCTTGTCTCATGAGACAAGGCACACAGTCTTTCTCCAAATGCAAAACCTGCAACAGGGACAAGCACCTGAGGACTCTACCCACCAGTCCTCTCCTGTTCCACTCACTTGGCCCTTAATCCTTCCCTGCAGACAAATATCTCTCGAATTGTTTGGCTCATTTTTCATGCATGTAGAGCTCTTCAACCAGACAGAAAGCTTCTTGAGGAGGAGGACTTGGATTTACTATCTTCATACTCCATAAAGTAACAGGGATCATATTCCAGAAATCAACATGAGGAAAGACGTTTTTGTGTGTATGAGTTTACTTACTTGGGTAATAAGGCAGAATGTTTGAAATGAGAACTGTTTCAGGAAATACCAAGAGCAACACAGTTCCATATGCAATGAATATTTCTTCAGTGGCCTTAAAAGTAGTATGAGCTCCTCCCTCCAATCGAATCTGTTTGAGAATGTTTTTATTCTCTTAGTTAAGACGCCTTCTCAAATCCTGCTTCTAATTTAGGACAGGAAGATAAAGAGGCATGTCTTCAGAGCTGTATAGGGAGCAATTCCAACCCAGCCAAAAGTTCATAATCCAGTGGATCTAATTTAGAAGAGGGAAGAATGGCTTCTAGGGTTCCCAGGTACACACTGTTGTTTTTTTGAGCACTTTTGTATTCAGTACAGCTCTTTGACAAACTGTCCAAGTAAAGCCCAAAAGCAGGTTAAGGTTTTGCCACTCCTGCAGTAGTGGGACAAACGTTTGTGAAGACTGGCGAGGTTGGAAGAATGGAATAAAATCCCAGTAGGCCCATACTCAGAAACTGATTTCTCAAGAACTCCAAATGAAGGAAAGCCATTCTCTCCCCTCAAACTTTCAGTCTTCTCCTGTGTTGCATAAATGCAGTAATGCTGGTCTCAGAGAAGGAAAGTGAATCATAAGTTCTTGTCTTGCCACCTACATTGATCCAGCCCCCATTTCTCAACCTGCAAGATGAGAGGACCAGACTAAGCTTTCTTCCCCATCCAACATTTTCATCAGCAAATTAAACCAAGAGTGAGAATCTTTCCTCCAGATCTTCTTCCAACCTCTGAATACAGCAACTTTGATTGTTGTTAATTACCCAAACCCCTGCCTAGCTGAAGGATGGATGGCTCTGTGTTTACAACTTGAATGTCTTCAAACATAACGTATTCAACCAGGGACAGAACAATGCCACCGCAGACTGGAAAGCAAAGATATTGTTTATACAGGTAAGATGTCTTGAACCAGCTGTCTCTCCAGACATTTTTTGCTTTGTAGAAAACAATGAGGAACACCGTTATAGACATAAATGAAAGCTCCCAAGATGGTTACAGGGAGCCAAAGGATCTGGGAGAGGCACGGCTGGGCTGCTGCTAATTGGACAGGTGGCTCTTCCTGCCAGCTGTCCTCATTCAACAGGCATTTTTTAATGAGAAATATTTCTCTGCAATTGAAGTAATGGTCCTAATAGAATATTATGGCCTTGCATAAGGAAAAGAACACAAAGGAGTTTAGATACACTCTGCATGCATCATTAGAGTGCTCTCTAGAATATCCTCAGTGGGTGCTCACCTTGAATGTCCTTGAATATTGGCAACCATAACTTCATCATGCACCCAACCAATGCTCAAATAGCTCTACAATAAACCTGAAATGAGTGATGGTGAATGATGATGGTGCCTATGGTGGCTTCTACCCATTGACCACTCTTTAACCTGGCATTTGCTTGGAAGAAATGCATACTCTTCCCCATGACATCATTCAGAAATTAGACAGTTCTCACAGTAACCTGTGCAACTCCTTTTAGAGGGAAAAGAAAAAGCTATCTTTCTAATCTCTTGTCTACACAGGCTGATCGTATTTACCATTGTAACTGGATCAACAGATGATTCAATAACTGTTTGGCTCAACCCCAGTGTTGGTTAAGTCAATGTCTCCACGCAATTATCTTTTGAATGAAAATAAGAGCCTCTCCTTGGATAGACATTCCTCAGGCCAGGGTCCTTACAGAGTGCTTTTTCATCCTATGAGTAGACTCACTCTGGGGTCTCATGGAGCAGGAAGATTGGATAAGCACAGGCTCCAGAGTTGGCAGCTGCAGAGATGCATCTGTTCTGAATGATAGAGAACTGCAACGTTGATGTCAAAGTGTAAACGTCCGCTTCAGTTAGACTCAGTAGAAACTCATTTAGCACGTGTTGAGGAACCAGCTCAGTGCCAGCCAGTATTTGTAAATGTAAAGAACCAACTGTGATCTCACATGATCCACTCTCTCTGAACACCATAACTAACCACAAGAACACACTGATGTTGGGCGTGGTGGCTCACGCCTCTAATCCCAGCACTTTGGGAGGCCGAGGCGGGTGGATCACCAGAGGTCGGGAGTTCAAGACCAGCCTGACCAACATGGAGAAACCCCGTCTCTGCTAAAAATACAAAATTAGCTGGGCGTGGTGGTGCATGCCTGTAATCCCAGCTACTCCAGAGGCTGAGGCAGGAGAATTGCTTGAACCTGGGAGGTGGAGGTTGCATCATGCCATTACACTCCAAGCTGGGCAACAAGAGTGAAACTCCATCAAAAAATAAAAATAAAAAAAAAACACACAGCAAAAAAAGAACACACTGAGACTTTTTTTTTTTTCACTGCCAGATGGAAATAGTGATGCACACATCATGCTGTTGGGAGATCGAGTGACAGGATGAATGGAAACTGCTCCACACCATGCCTGGCATGTAGGAATAACTCAATAAACTATATTTAAATAATGAAATTAAGTGTGTTTTCCATCTGATAACCTGTCACGCAAACATGGCTGAACCCATTTTCAGAAAGCTTCAAATATATTTGGAATAGTCTGAGTTAAAATAGAAGCCATGTGATGGATTTTAAAAAATGCAGGCCTTTGGAGATAGCACCTAAGGAGGGAGGTGGTGATCTTATAGAGCGGTGGTCCCCAAGCTTTTTGGCAACAGGGACCAGTTTCATGGAGACAATTTTTCCATGGACGGGGTTGGGGAGGATGGTTTCAGGATGAAACTGTTTCACCTCAGATCACCAGGCATCAGATTCTCATAAGCAGCGCACAACCTAGATCCCTTGCATATGCAGTTCACAATAGGGTTCATGCCCCTATGAGAACCTAATGCTGCTGCTGATCTGATAAGAGACGGAGCTCAGGAAGTAATCCTCACTTGCCTGCCACTCACCTCCTGCTGTGTGGCCCAATTCCTAACAGGCCTCAGACCGGTACTGGTCAGCAGCCCAGGGATCTGCATACTACAGCTTGTGGGCCAAATAGGATTAATGTCTGTTTTTGTAAATAAAGTTTCACTGGAACACAGCTGTGTTCATTCATTTGCATATGGTCTATGGTTCCTTTTGTGCTACATTGCACAGATGAGTAGTTACGACATTGTAGCCATATGGCATTCAAAGCCAAAGATATTTACTCTCTGGCCATTTACAGTTTGCTGGCCTCTCCTATGGCACAGCAGAGACTGAAGCCGACTTAAAGGCTGGGTCACTGCTAACTGGGGAAATGAGCCCTGCAGGCTTAACCACTGTGGACAGATATGTAAGGGTTGGTTTATTAAAGTGGGAGCCCCAGACGTTCCTTATTGCAGGCCGTGCCTTGCAGTTGAGCTGCTTCTCAATTGGGCAACTCCATGTAGGGTGTTTCAGGATGAGCAGCAGAGGGGATTTGTTTAACAATAGTTAATGCAGATTTCCATTGATTCAGTTGTTTTTTGATATGTTGAGCACCTGAGAAGTGCTATGTCCCAGGGACACAGCAGGGAAATAAACTGAATTCATGCTTCCATGGAACTCATATTTCACCATGGGAAAGTCACAAGCATGCATGTGAAGTGCTGGAGACACAAAAAAGCATGTATCAGTGTGAAGAAGAAGAATATAAATCCCAGGTACTGTATTAGATCGTAGAGGTTCTATTCAAGGAAGGCCTCACCACAGAAATGCCATTGAGGAGAGAAGAGAGGAAACTAGCCTTGGAAATGCGGGATACTGGCATTCTTCAGGACAGAAGGAGCAGCACACTTAAGGGCATGAAATAGGAAACGTGTTTTATTTAAGGAAGAAGATCAGGCTCATTACCACTCACTGCACAAAGGAAAGAGTAATGAGGTTCAGACTTACGCTGGCCAAGTAAGTAAGCAATGAGGTTTATGTTTTATTTTAAGGGCACTGGAAGCCTCTGAAGTATTTGTGCTCCAAAAGGATGCCTCCGGCTCAGTTTGGAGAATAAACTACATGAGTCAATATAACCCACCTGTGGAATAACAGACGACTTCTGAATTGTGAGTTTAATTCATACGTTTTTCCTGAGCATTGACTGCATGCCAGTCACAATTCTTGCCATGACTTCATAGACTATATAACTCTTCCAGCAGAAGGCTGAAAAGAAGGTTGCTCACACACATCTCGCAAGAAGTAAAAGCTCAACAATCTACAAAGTCAGAATGTTACTTAAACCCATCAGAGAACTGAGATTGCAGGGCAATCAAGTAGCCTGAAATACAAGGGACAAAAAGTCAAATCCAAGGGAGATGAGACATGATTACTGGCTCACCTGTGGCAGAGCACACAAGTAAGATGGGGCTGCCATGCAAACAGGTGAGCAGAATTGAGTGTAAATTGCTAAAAACGAAGTGTAGAATATCCTGAGGGACACAATGGGCATGCACTTACTTGCAGATTCCTTTCCGTTGACCTCCACCAGGAGCTCAGGAGAAAGACTGGGAAAGAGAGGCTAGAGAAAGCCTCCCTTAGGGGTGCAGGCTCATAGAAGTGAAATGGCTACCATGGAGTGACACAATGTCCTGCCTGAATCCTCCTCCTCTACAAATGTCTTAAGATGCTTCAGGAGGGGCAGCAAACCTTGTTGACCCCTGAGTACAGGTGGAAACTCATTATGACTGAGAGGAAGAGAAAATAAGAAACATTTTACCCTTTGGGAAGTGGCAGGCATCCATCCTAGGCATGGACCATAACAGGCGTTCTGGTGGTAAGAGAGGGGCAGGATCTCTGAGACAGCCCCACCCTCAAAACCCAGGGATATCAAGATTTTCTGAGACTAAGGGTTGATCAGGACAGCATAACTGCTCCCCACCCCTGGCTAACAAGCACAGAGAAATAAGAAATAGAAGTCTACCATCAGAGAAGGGTAAGGGCATGGAGGAGACTCTTTGTGATGTGCAGGCATCCAGGGAAGTCCCAAAGTGAGGGTGAGTAGTATCGTTAAGAAAAGCCCTCCAGTAAACCAGCCCCCACTGGAAGCATGAGGTAATGCCAGAGTTATGTAAAGCCAGTAACCATAGTAGCAACAAAACCCACACTTAGCTCAACTCCTGGCTAGAGAGGCTCAACTCTAGCCCCAACAGTCTATCAAAAGTTGCATGCCCACATCAGGCATAAATATTATTTACATCAATCTCCATTGTTCTACACATGCCATTTACAGGTAAACAGCATTCAAGTGTAAAAAAAAATGTTATGACACACAGAGAGGACACTTATTTAAAATTATTTTAAAAGAAATACACATACTCAAACTGCTGAAAACCAAAGATAAATAGCAAACCTTAAAGGAATCCAAAGAAAAATTGACACATTATATAGAGGGGGAAGAAAGAGAAAATACATAAGACTTATCATCAGAAACTATGCAAGTCAGAAGACAATAGAGTAAAATTCTTAAAAAGCTGGAAAGAAAATTGTCAACCCAGAATTCTATACCTAGTATAGATGGCTTTCAATAATGAGGGATAAATATTTTTTGAACAAATAAAAAACTTAGAGACCTTATTATCAGCTATCTTGCAGTAAGATTAGTGTGCCAGGAAATTCTTCTGACAAAGGGAATATGACTTACAAACTTGGATCTACAGAAAGAAATGAAAACCTCCAGAAATGGTTAAAATGAATATAAATACAAAATATAGTTTTCTTAGTTTTAATCACTCTGAAAGGTAATTGTCAAAAACAAAAACAGTAGCAGTGCATTATGGATTTATAACTATGTAAAAGTAAACTGTGTGACAATACATTTTATATTATCACAAAAGATGGAGAGGAGACATCGGAATTATACAGCTGTAAGATTTCTTATACAGCATGTGAAACACTGTAACATTATTAGAAGGTAGACTGTAATTAATTAAAGGTGTGTATTGTAACCCTTAGGGCAATCATTAAAACTTTTTAAAAAGAGTTACAAAAGAAGAACTCTGTGATCCAGCCTTGGACTGGCCTCATGCCACTGACTTCTTGCTGGCCATGATCCGGGCGCACTCGTCTACTGTGCACGCTACCAGTATGTTCCAAGCTCAGGTCATCGCAACTACTGTTCTCTTTTTCTGAAACAAGCTTTATTGCCTCTTCACATGCCTAGTTCCTTGTCATAATTCAGATGTGTTATCATTTCATCTCATTAGAAGTGACTTTCCAGGCTACACTAAGTAGATCCCACCTAGTCATATTCTATCCCATGACCCTGTTTTATTTTCTTCATAACTTTATTTATTTACTTCTGTTCTGCTGCTTCCCACCATGAGAAGGGAAGATGCAAAGAGGTCAGACAGAAGCCTGCCTTATTTACCTGGTATCCCCAGTGCCTGAATTGTGACTGGCATCTCAAACACAATTATTAAGTACTCACCAACTTTTTGAAAGAATGAATGAGCACTGTGTCGGTGAGTGATGCATGAAGGTGACTGGATAGAGTAGGTCCTGCTCAGGACCCTAACAGAAAAACTGTATGTTTAATTTTGTAGGTAAGAAAAAAAAAACTGAGGGTGAATTTTGTGTTTGACCTTAGAAGATAAACAGAAGTTTGCTATAACTGATACAAAAAAAAGTCTATTTCAGGCAAAGACATGGAGACATGAAATCCAATAGTGTGTAAAAGGATTATAAGAAGCCCTGGTTACTGAAATTTGCATCAAACATAAGAGGAGATGCTGTCATCTTGAATTGGGGCATTAATGAGAGGGCTTGGCTGTCTTGTTTAGGGATTTTGACATTGTCCTGCAGGCACTGGGGAATCATAAATGTGTTTCATCTTCGATATAACATGATAAGATCAGTGTTAAAAAGAATGTTATGACTATTGCATAGAAAAGACTAACAGGTGATGAGCATAAGACCTTTTAGAGGCTCCTACAAGAGTAAAGGTGAAAGATGCTGACTCAGTGAGTAAAGAGATGGTGGAGGAAAATGGAATTGAAAGATTAAGGAGGCGTAATCAAGGATTGTTGACTCATTCAATGTGGGTGAGGAAGAGTGAAATGTCAAAGATTTATCTGAAGACTTAAGCTGGAGAGACTGATGATGTTGCAGTATCAGTTAGTAAATTAGTAGGGAATCTTTTTGGAGGAGGAGGGGAGGATGATGAGTTTAGGTTTCCATAGATGCTTTTGAGCTTCCTGTGGGAGGATCAGGTAGAAGTGGCTCGTGGGTAGTTAGAAATAACTGTTTGAGGTTAAAGAGGCAGCTATTACTTAAGATCTAAAGTGAGAATCAGCAACATGGAGGCTTCTGTCATTGTTATAAGATTAGAAACGATAAAGCAGGGAGAGATAGATAGAAAAAGAGTAGAGAATGGCATTTGCACTTTTGCATTTTCCCCAAAACTATAAATAACTGGATTTCTTACTTTCCCTCTAGTCTGTAACAATTTAATAGATCTTCTCTTACTTTTGAAATAAGCATGTCACAAAGAAAATATGCAAATATGTCCACATGTAATTAAATATTTCCCCAAGAAAGTCAAATTACTTTTTAAAAATCAATTTTTTTTTCTGCAAGTTGCTATAGTTGCTGATTTCTTTGAAATATTGTTCATACTGTATCTAGTACAATGTCTTTTCCTCAGAGGGTGCTCCGTAAATGTTAGATGATAATAATTATATGCATCACAAAAACAGCACTGCGTGGAAAACCACCAGCTATTGAATTCCATAATGTCAAAGTTTTAGAATAAAAAAAGAAACTTGTTCTTCCTTTATATTATAACATTGGATCAAAATCACAGGTTTCAAACAGAATAATAAAAGCAATTTCCTATGATGTAGGTAAGAAGGAAAATAGCATTTATTGAATAGTTCCTATATGCCTTGCATTGTGTTGATATAGATAGAGAAATATCCATATATAGATGCAGAGATACAAAACCTATACCACAGTGTCAGGTGATTATTTCTAAACGGTGGCATTTGCAACTGGTTATCTCTTTCACTTGATAAACAATATTTTCTTTCAAAAAAGTTTCTAATGAACATGCACTTTTATTAAAATACACTTAATTCCTTCCTTCCTTCTCCTTCCCTCTTCGTCCTTCCTTCCTTGCTTCCTTCCCCCTTCCTTCCCTCCATTTCCTTCCTTCCTTCCCTCCTTTCCTCTCCTCTCCTCTCCTCTCCTCTCCTCTCCTCTCCTCTCCTCTCCTCTCCTCCCTTCTCCCACACTACAATGGGCTCACATCAGATTCTGTATCAGCATATTTTAGTATACTCTACTTCCTGAATTTGCCCTGGGAACATAATGGGAACTGTCCTGTTATATTTATGCTCTGCTCTGGAATCTTGTGATACATACTTCACATTTTCCTTGATCTTCTTGTCTAAGACTTTTTCTTGTGGGAGCTATTTGCCTGAAAGGACATCTAACTCAAACCCTGAATTGCTTTTTCTTTGTGTAACATTTGTGCTATTATGAATATGGCACATACAGAAAAGAGTAAAAATGTTAAATGTACATCTCAGTGCTTGGTCACAAAATGAGCCCCCAGTACATCACCACCCAGATAAAGACATAGATTATTTCTACACCCCGAAGTCCCCTCTCGCCCCACCAAATCACTTTCTCCCCACTCTCAGGAGTGATTTTGCTATCCCATCTTTAATGATAATCCCTTCTTTCCTTTTCTTTAAAGTTTTATCATACAAGCACACTACTGTAATATTACAGTTTAGTTTTAAACATACGAGATGAAAAGAATAGCATAGTTCATATTCTTTTGAAGTCTGGCTTCATTGGCTCAGTGTTTTTTTTTGTTTTGTTTCGTTTTTTGTTTTTTGTTTTTTGTTTTTTGTTTTGAGATGCAGTCTCGCTCTGTCACCCAGGCTGGAGTGCAGTGGCATGATCTCAGCTCACTGCAGACTCTGCCTCCTGGGTTCATGCCATTCTCCCGCCTCAGCCTCCCAAGTAGCTGGGACTACAGGCACCCACCACCACGCCTGGCTAATTTTGTGTTTGTATTTTTAGTAGAGATGGGGTTTCACCGTGTTAGCCAGGATGGTCTCGATCTCCTGGCCTCGTGATCTGCCCACCTCAGCCTCCCGAAGTGCTGGGATTACAGACATGAGCCACTGCGCCCGGCCGGCTCAGTGTTCATTTTTGAGATTCATCCATCCATGCTGTTGCACATGGCTACAGTTCATCCCTTTTTCTTTAATGTATAAAAAATACCTACTTGAGGAATAGTAAAATAGTAGTCATAATATTGGTGTAGCTTCAAATACAGAACACTATTACAAAGTGGTTGTTTCAGTTTATATCCCTACCAGTAGTATGTGAGTTCCTCTTCCTCCATATCCTGACCTGTATCTTTGTATTTTAGTCTTTTTAATTTTAGCCCTTCTGGTGAGTGTAAGAGGTACCTCATGTTGCTCTCATTTTGCATTTTTTGACTGCTAATAAGGTTGAGACATTTTCATACATGTATTAGCCATTTGACTATCCTCTTTTGGAGGAGCCGATTCAAGTCTTCTGCCTGCTTTTCTGCTAGGTTGTCCATTTCAGTATTGATTTGAAAGAGGTCTTTATGTATCTCCTACTCTTCTAGAATAGTACCTCTTCATAGGTGAGATGTAAATATATTTTTCAACCTAGGGGCTTCACTTATTTCAGTGTGTCTCTTGAAGGAATGAAATTCTTAATTTTAATATAATCAAATTTAGAAATCTTTTCCTTTATGACTGGTGTTTTTTTTTTTTGTTTTACTACTCTGGGATTTGAAAAACAATGTCCTAACTTCTGAGGTAATGAAAATATTCTCCTGTTTGAGGGTCTCCATGGTTCTACCTTTGACATTTAGGTCTGTGATCCACTTCGGCTGGTTTTTAGTGTGGCATAATATAGAAATCATGCTTCCTTTGTGCCTTACGTGGACATACACTTTATCCACCACTGTGTATTTGACTAGACTCAGCTCTGTAATGCCACCTTTATTTTAAGTCCACTGTCCACATAGGTGGGGCATGCTCCAGACTCTAGATTGTATCCAGTGGCCTGCTTGTCTATCTTTACAGAAGTTTCCTTTCTTTTTTTTTTTTATACTGACCACTTCTCTTCTCATTATATTTTTCTTACATCCTCGAGCAACTGAAGCATGTTTGTAATAGTTGTATTAACCTCCCCGTATGCAAATCTTATCATCATTGTCATTTTGGGGTCTGTTTCTGTTGAGTGACTTTTCTCCTGGTTACAGGCCACCTTGTCTGCTCCTTTAGATATCTAATAAGTTTTATTAGTGTTCATCATTCTAGATTAAAGTTTAAAATATTGATGAACTATATATGAATTATAGGAAAGGCATTTATTAATTATCCTTAGAAGATTTTCAGTGAATGAAGGAAAGTGAATATAATTTCTGAACTAACAGATAGAAAACTGGATATTGTACAATAGGGTAGGAAAATGGGCCGCACGAGAAGAGGAATTAGCAAGTTGAGCCCTAAGATTGCCCAAGCTCTCTGCTAAAAGCAAATTTCAGACTACAAAACAGGGAGTAGTGGCTCACACCTAGCCTGATGATTTTGCTAAGTTGAGGAGACAGAGTTGGTGGGGATGTAATTGGCTTGAAATTGAGGGACAGAGGACTTGAAAGAAGGGAGCTGCACACAGAAGAGGTCCAGAAATCTGCAGAGGGGTTCCCTTGAGAATTGGCTGCAAACAAAATATGTATATGTAGGATGAAAGGCCACAAAACTGAACTAGGAACAACTCCTTGAGTAACCTATATTATATTATATTATTTATTTATTTATTGAGATGGAGTTTTGCTCTTGTTGCCCAGGCTGGTATGCAATGGCGTGATCTGAGCTCACTGTAGTCACTGCCTCCCGGATTCAAGCAATTCTCCTGCCTCAGCCTCCTGAGTAGCTGGGATTATAGGTGTCCGCCACCACACCCGGCTAATTGTTTGTATTTGTAGTAGAGACAGGGTTTCACCACATTGGCCAGGCTGGCCTCGAACTCCTGACCTCAGGTGATCCACCCACCTCAGCCTCCCAAAGTGCTGGGATTACAGGCATGAGCCACTGCGCCTGGCCTAAGCTGTATTATTTTAAAGGATTTTATTACGGTAATTTATACAGCCCGTATTATTTATGTTTGCCTTCACCTTTGCCATTTTTTTTTGTTCTTTGTTACTTTCTCTGCTCTGTCTGAGCCAGGTTCCTTCTGCTTGATGAACAACTTCAGTATTTCCTTTAGTGCTGGCTTGGAGATGCTAAAATTGCTCATATATTTGTCTGAAAATGTATTTATTTCTTCTCCATCACTAAAAGTTATTATTGTGCTGGGCAGAATTCCAGCTTGGTAGTTGCTTTCTTTTAGCCCTTTACCACCTTTTCATAGTCTTATTGCGTTGGGCTTGCGTTTCTTCTGTTGAGAAGAGAGTTGTGGATTTCAGTTCTCATTGTTCTTTTGGAGGAACCCGGCCCCTTTCATCTGGCTGTTTTTGAGAATGTTTAAAATTCCCTTTACCTTTTGTTTCCAAATGTTTTACTGTAATATACCTTAGTGCATATGCTTTTTAAAAATTTTACTATGCTTGGATTTATAAAGCTCCTTAGATTTGTAATTTTTGTCTTTTTTTAGCTTTGAAAAGTTATCTGCCAATATAATATTGTTTCTGTTCAATTTTCTCTCTCCTCTCTTTTGGAATTCCCATTACACATGCGCCCATCCTTCTCTTGGTATCTGCAATGTCTCTTGTGCCCCTTTCTGTACTTTCCACAATTTGTCAGTCTGTGATTTACTCTTGACGTTGACATCTAACCTGTCTTCCATCTCACTAATTGATTCTGCATCCAATTTATGTTAAATCTACCAAGTTCTACATGTTTGTTTATTTTTTTTTCTGTTTCATTATTTTCAATTGATTATCTTTTTTAACAGTTTCTGGGTTCTTTCTAAAAATTCTCAATGGCTTTTACTTCCTTGCACGTGAATGATAATAACAGTTGTTGGGATTTTATTAGGTCCACAGCTCAGTTTTTTTGGATTCCCTTTGAATTTGTCCCTGTTATCTGTATTTTCTATTGGTTTTTAAATATGTTATCTTTCCATCTCATGAGCCTGGCTATTTTATATAATGTCCTGGACGTTGTGTTTTTACAGTTGCTTGCAGAAATGACTTGGGTCCCAGCTGATGCCATTTAACTTTCCTATAGTAATCTGGGTTCAACTTTATCCCTTTTTAGTGACTGAGATCATTAGAAGCTGAGCTGCAGAGTCTGTAATGGCCTGGCTACTTCTGGCTCACGTCAATGACCACAGAGGAGTAGCACCCCTTAATGTTAGGGCATCTTCCCAGCCTCTTCTCCCAGTAATCCATCACTATCATGTTTAATGTTAGAGCATCTTTATGGACTCATATCCCAGTAATCCATCACTTTCATGTTTGCATTCTATCGCATTCTTGCAACATTTTTAATATGTTGTATGATTTTTCTAGTTGTCCTTATTTTGAAGGTTGGTCTATTTACTCAGTTCACAATTTTTAAAAAAGATTACCCACTCATTGAGGCTTCCTAGGTACGAGGCACTATGTTACATGCTGGACATCCAACGGTGAGCCAGTCTATTATAGTGTTAATAGTCTAGCGTTCCATTATCTGACCTTTGGTTCTATGGCACCTTAGCAGGGCACGTTGAAGATGAATCCAGAAAATACCAGCACGGTCCACAGAACTGACCAATCTGAGGCTGTGAGAAGAGTCCTGGAAGAGTGTTAAGTGATCTTGTGACCAATAATACATGCAGAAAAGCCCTGTTCATATGATGACAAATGTATAGCATGGAAAGTCAAATGTGTCTTCTTGCCTCCCCTGCAGCAATGTTGCATGCTAACCACAATACCTATGATTGGTACAATACTGACAAGATGTACTTAGAGTCCAATTGTGGCAAGAGGAAAGAAAGAGAGGTTGAAAGAACTTATTTAAAAGCCATTTAAAATTTAAACACTGTTCATAGTCATAAAAGCCTCATGGTGTTCTAAAGAAACATTACTGCCTTAGAACACTATTCCCACATGTTTACACTGTCTCTTCAAAAGCCCATTAGATCTAAACTCTTTGATGTATGACCAACCACTTCAGTCGTGACTTTTTGTTAACTCGAATCTAAATCCAATGGGGAAAAGGACAAATTGGCTCTTTTATCAAACACTTTCAGTATCAACTAACAATGAAACGGGACATTTTTCCCCCACTTAAAAGCCATACAATGAGTTTACGAGCAGGCGAAAGTGAATAAATATTCAGCCCAGATGCTTGATTAGAAAACAAAACCAGCTCTGCACAAGCCAGAGCTGTGAATACAATTCTGTTCAAGATGAGTTTTTCTAACTTGATCTCTCCCTGGGGACACAAGCACAGCTTGTTGGATAGGGTATTAGCCTGTAAGAATTCTCTGCTGCTCACCAGTGCTTGAGGAAGACCTGCTGGAGTGCCCGTGGCCTGGGGCTGCTGCTGAGTGTGCTTCCTGGGCAGGGCAGACAGGCTGCTACATAGAGGAAATGTTCTCTTGCTATGTCTGAGAGATCGTTACTGGATATGTTGCGTGATGATTGAATGGAGTGAACACACTTCCAGCCCATTCTGTTTTCTTTGGGGAGAGCTAAGTCTCATCGTAGTTGCTACCATACCTGTTATCAGGGCTCAGCGCCCCCTATGGGAGCAGTGGCAGAGACGGGTAAGAGAGGATGCACGGGGGAGGCCCAGTCATCACCCAGTGCTGGGATCTCCTCTCCTCGCCCTTCTTTTAGAAGTGGTAGCATCTCTCTGAAGTGGAGTTTACCCACTGAAGAAGACACAAAAAATAAGAAATGCATAAAAATGTTGACAATAAAGTAATCTATCTGCTGGAGGATAATGGAACTCTTTGCGTGTTAAAAATCTTAATGTAAGAAATTCTTCTGTCTCAATTGACTTGGGCTGTAGTAACAAAGTACTGCAGACAAGAGAGCTTAACCAACAGCAATTTAGTTTTCACAGTTTTGGAGGCTGGAAGTCCAAGATCAAGATGTCAGCAGGGTTT
This sequence comes from Homo sapiens, assembly GCF_000001405.40. Taxonomy (NCBI): domain Eukaryota; kingdom Metazoa; phylum Chordata; class Mammalia; order Primates; family Hominidae; genus Homo; species Homo sapiens. Next base: position 60,718,569 of record NC_000020.11, on the reverse strand, counting down.
GTTTCTTGGGAGACCTTGAGGGCAGGATCTGTTTTAGGCCTCGCTCCACAGCTTGCAGAGGGCCATCTTCTCCCTGGGTCCTCACATGGTCTTCCCTTCATGTGTGTCTGTCTGTAGCTTTTTCTTATAAGAACACCGGTCATATTGGATCAAAGTTCACAGATACGACCTCATTTTAACTTAATTACCTTGTTAAAAGTCCTGTCTCTGCAAACAGTCACATACTGAAGTATTGGGGGTTAGGGCTTCAACAGATTAAACTGGGGAGGACACAGGTCAACCCATAACACTTTGCTAAAAATGACACAAAACCCTAAAATAGATTAGTCTTGGTGACATAGAAATAAAATTTTACAAATTCTATATGAGAAAAATCACCATAATGAAAAGTAAAAAGGCCAATAAGAAACTGGAAAATTCATTGGCTATTTATGTCACAAATGGCCAGTGTGGGTGTGTGGGTGTGTGTGTGTGTGTGTGTGTCCAATTTTAAAACAACCAATAAAAAATAGGTGCAAAATACAAATGAAATACAAGTGGCCCTTAAATAGATGCAGTGATGCTCAACATAAAATGCAACTTTAAACAACATCGGAATACCGTTTTTTCACTGATCACCTTGGCAAAGATTTGATCATTCAAACCTGACCAGCCTTTGTGGCATAGATTTTCATACATAATCAGTGGGAGTATAAATTGATATGACCTCTACATTGGACCTTTTGTAAAATCTATCAAAATTACAATTATACAAAATGTTTGACTTAGATTTAGGGATGCTTCACAGCTGCTAAAGAAATGCATCAGCTCTATATGTCCTATAAGGAAACAATCTCCAATATATATTATTTGGAAAATGCAAAGGATAAGTCTAATTACATAAATGTTGTAATTTGTGGTAAAATGTATAGCCAATGGATGTACTTGAATAGTTATGAAAAGATACACTGAAATCCACGAATCCTGAAAGTCGTTAAGGGAAAAGATCTCAGGAGACAGAAAGAGCAGATAGAACACTTTATACTCTTCCTACCTTGCATTTCAAACCACGCAGATGCTTCAGTAAAGAACTCAGAAGCAAATATGACAAAATGTTAATATCTGTTCAGAGGTGGGCCCATGGATAATTTGTTCTTTTCTGCACTTTTATGCTTATGTGAAATGTTTCATAATTAAAATTTAAAAATAAAAATTTGCATGCTTTTTTCTATGAAAATTTTTAAAAGATTCCCACATATATACACCTAAATTTGCCCACATTTTTGACTATTACATATATTTTATTCAGCACTTTATTAGTTGCAAAGGAAAGAAATACAAATCAGACTGGCTTTAGACAAATAGGAAACTTACTGCCTTCTATTTCTGGAAAGGTCTGGGGGTTGCTTTCAGTTATGGCTGGATCTGGGGAACCAGATGATGCTGTCGTTCTCCTTCTCTGCCTTTGGTTGCATTTGCATTTGCTCTATTCTCAGGCAGGGCCACCATTGCTGTTGTATGGATCAGCATGTAGCTCCAGGCTGACCACCTACTCATTTACTAACCTTTTAATGAAGTCTATAACTCTTTCCCAGTGGTTTCAGAAAAAGCACTAGGGCTCCCTGTGTCGTGTGGTTACCCCTGTCCAGTCACTGTGCCTGAATGGCCAGGTGCCAGTGACACAATTCTTGGGGTTGGTCCTGTGGCTACTCCCACCCAAACCCAGGGATCGTTGAGTGGGATGTAAATGATTCAGCAAATGAGATCTGAGATCCCCTTATCCTAAGAAGAAAATGAATGCAGGGGGCAAGCCACAACAGCAAATACCCATTCACAAATCTCTACTCCCCGCTCACCCCTCAGTCATAGGATGTAAGGATGTAAGGATGTAAGAGATACCCGTCAATCTGCATCCCCATGTTGAACTCCGGCATGTTATTCCCACAGTTTAAGGGGGAGTTAGTGTTTCAAGCTGATTTTCCACTTTCCAGCAACCAGTCAACATTTACACATTTACACATGGCTTTGGTGGGGATGGCCTTCAATCTGTCCCCTCTTTTCTACAGTTCTTACCCCACCTCCCTTACTGCCATGTTGTTTTGTTTTTCTAAAATAATAATTTTGCAGAGACTATGTCCCTTTCCCAAGAATCTTCTCCCAAATGATTTTAGCCATCACCGATAATCTGTCTGTCAGGATCAATGATTTCTTTAGAGCTTGGGGAAGGGTGGTTTTCTAACTGTATCCCTCCTTCCTCACTTATTACTTGCTATATTCCTATAAAGAACAGCTTTTCTTATTAACTGATGTGAGAAACACACTCATCTGCCCAAACCCAAAGGATGGACTTACAGGCACGAAGATCAGCGAAACTGAGACTTTTAATAACAGTCTTGCAAGATGGGCTGTCTTGTAGGCAGGCACACCCAGGGCAGTCACAACAGGTGATTTATCTCCTAGCACGCAAGTCCCTCCCCCACTTCTTCATTGGTTGAGTTCTCCGGGGTTACGATCTTCCTGGACGTCGCCTAAATTTCATCCCCCTTATAAGGTTATACCCCGTCTCCTTCCCCGCTTAAGTTTCGATTTCCCAATCATGAAACTTTCTTCCCTTTTATGGGCCGACCCCTCCTCTCCATTCTGCTCACTTATTGTGACCTTCCAGGTGCATGAGCCATGCAGTTTGTTACATTTCCAGGCTGGCTGCCAGTGCTCAGATTCATCATGCCCTGAAAATGGACCATTTAAATTGTTTTCTCACACTGAGGATAAACTGGTTCTGGGTAAATGCTTAATTCTTTCCTAACTTTCAGGGTAAAATGTGGTCCTGATTGTCAGTTTTAATAGTGACAAATGAGTTTTCTTTTTCTGTTCTCTTGTTACAGTTTGGATTCCCCCTCCCCATCTAATGCGAAGATGGAGTTTGGGCTGCAGGATGTGTATTAGAGATGCTCACCTATGAAGGAAGGGGAGAACTGGGCAGAGGGAGAAGCTGAACTGTAGTGCAGGCAGAGCAAGCCCTGGCCAACCTGGAGGAAAACTCTGGGGCCGGCATCGCCTCCAGAACGGGTCAGCTGCCCAGTGGCCCTGTGTGGGACTGAAGTGGCCAGGACTTTCCATCCTGCCTCACTCAGGGCTCCTGACACCCCAAAGAGCACTAGCCTGAGGGAGGTGCTCCCTGGATCCCAGGCAGAGCCTGGTGGGAGGAGCTGAAGCTCAGGTGCTGCCTGCGCCCCCTGCTGCTGCTCTGCCGAGGATTTTCTGAAGAGGAACCTGGGAGGCGCATCCCCTCCTCTCCCACACTCTCTGTTTTGGGTTTCCCACTTTGCGTCTGCTCTGGGTTTTTTTGTAGTTCAATATTTTTATTGGCTCATGTATTTACAGTTAAAACCATTGGTGGTCGGGCACAGTGGCTCGCACCTGTAATCCCAGCACTTTGGAAAGCAGAGGTGGAAGGATCACTTGAGGCCAGGAGTTTGACAGTTTGAGACCAGCCTGGGCAACACAGTGAGATCACATTTCTACAAAAGAAAACTTTAAAAATGTTTTAAAACACACACACATGCTCGCGCTTGCACGCTCACACACACACACGCGCATGCACACACACACATGCACACACACACAACCTGTGGTCCCAGATACTCAGGAGGCCAAGGCAGGAGGACTGCTTGAGCCTGGGAGGGCGAGGCTGCAGTAAGCCGTGATTGCAGCACTGCACTCCAACCTGGACCACAGAGCCAGATCCTGTCTCAAAAAAAAAAAAAAAAAAAAAAAAAAAAAAAGAAACCCACATTGTGTGTTTTGTTTTGTTTTTTGATGCTTAAATTATCCCACATTTATCCAATGGATTCACCTTTGATACATCATTGTATGTCTTTGAGCTCTCCTTTCTTTTAATGGGAAATGCTGCTTAGAAGCCAAGAACTAAGCTCGTATGCTACCAGCTCCGAGGCATCCCTGCTTTTAAAACCCTCTGAGTAGGTAAAGCTAGGATGTGTGTGTGTCTGTGTGTGTGTGCGTGTGTGTGTGCATGTGTGTGTGTGCTTTAAATCCCTGTTTTATTACTATTTCCTGGAAAATTCACGAAGACATGGTTTCTTATCCTTTTTGATTTTATGTGTGTATAGGTATGTATATGTTTGCACTAATAACATTAACAGTTATTTATTCTAAAAGATACATTAAATGATGTCAAAATTATGATACCCAAATTACTACTAACAATAAAACCACTGAGTGAATTGCAAGATTTCTCTATAATTCTCTTCATCCTTTCAATATAACCACCAAGGATTTAAAGTCAGGTTGCTGTTTTCAAAGATTACTTGAAATAATTTTTCTCCATGTTATTATGTTACCACTTTGATATAAAAATAGGCCGATTTGTTTCAGCTTGTTTTCAGTTTGCAATGTGATTTTTTTCTCCTTTTTTGACTTTTTTTGAATATGTAAAGCATCTTTAAAGTCCAAATCATTCAGAATTATAACTTTGGTATGTTTCCCCCTGAGACTTTTTTCCTTCCTTAGTAAGGGGGCTTATAAAATTGGCACATTTACAAATTTCTTATCTGAGTACATTGGCATTTCTTATGTACACAGGGAATAGAAATGTATTTCCCCAAACATAACTTATGGAACATCACATTTATGAGATATTCCCTGGAAAGCTAGTTTGGGAAATGTTGTAGATACCCCCTCATACACAGATAGATTAACCTGGCATAACAGTATTGAACGTATGTTAAAGGTGCTAAGAATGCCTTCGCTAAGTAAATAGGGTTAATTTTCTTAAACACAAAGTACTGCAGATTATTTCATCTTGGAACATATTTTTCATTGCACATAATGACACTCCATAGTGCTTCATGGCATACACTTTGGAAATCCCTGATTTAAATGCAGGTTGTCCTAAGGAAATATTAGAATTGTCAGGCTTTCTCATGACACATCTTCATTATGATTCATAGGCCTTAACAAATAAGAAACAGTACAAGCCGTGATCTGTGTGTCTCTTAGGGAAGGGCTGTTTCAAGAACACAGAGTTATAACTTAGACTATACACTCTGTCATGCAGGACCTTTTCTCTTTCCTCAGCTGAGACAGAACATTCAGAACTATACTTGGCATACCTTGGCACTTAATAGCATTTGGTATATGAAAAAAAAAATAAACTTTTGCTTTCTTTCGGAACTGGAGCTTTCATAGATGCTGACTAGGTAAAGATATTCTATACATTTGCTTTGCCTTCTAAGTTTAAAAAACACATAACTAAAAATATACAAATAAAAGACTTAATGAACACCTAAGACTTCTGGGACAGTTTCATAGTGAATACCATAATAAATATCAAATCAAATGTTTTTGAACCTATTATATGCAAAAAAATGCATGGTCTTAACAAAATCTAGAAAAGAATAAAGGAGTGGTTGAGAAATATATTTCAATTACAGTATTGTTTACCAAAGCATATTCCAGGGAATACAAGACCTAGGAAATACAGGTATCCACAAACATCTCTAAACTCAAATAAGTTGAGAAATCTCTTTGTTAGGCAAATTAGTTTCTCTACTGTAGCCCTCTAAAATTAATTGTACATTCAATAAATCCTTAAAATACTAATATCTAGTGTAGATTGTTAATAAGTATATATCTAATAAATGGATATGCACAATTTTTTTTCTAGGAAAATAATTCTATAGGGCTAATGTTTCACTTGCCTCACTTTAGGAAATGTTGACCAAGCTAAGCCACAGTGCCCAAAACCATTGATAAAACTTTAGTCAGGTAACCTGATTCAGATACTGGAATTATAAAACGATGATTGACATGTTAAAGGATTTAATTTAAAAAAAAAGTACATAATATGCAAGAACAGATGGGTAAGGTAAGAAGAGAGATGGAAACTCTGGGAAATAACAAAACAGAAATAGTAGAACTCAGAAAAAACCTACTATAACACAAATAAAACATGTCCTTTGATGAGCTTATCATGGATGGGAGAGAAGGGAAGAAAGAGTTGATGAGCCTGAAAATATGGCAAGAGAAACTTGCCAAAATGAGATGGAAAGAAAAAAAATTGAGAACAGCACCAATGACGACAGCACGAATGGGACATCAAAGATCTCTAGGACAATGTGAAAAGGTGAAAAACATGAATATTTGGATTACCAAAAGGAGATTAAAGAGAGACAGATCAGAAGAAATTGTGAAGTAATAATTGCCAAGGAATTTCCAAAGTTAATGGTAGACACCAAATATGGATCCAGAAAGCTCACCCAATAGCAAGAATGTTAATTATCAATAAATATACACTTATGCATAACATATTTAGGCTGCAGAAAACAAAAAAATGAAAAGAAAATCAAAAGAAGCTAGAGACAAAAAAATTGTTTTACTCACTGAGGAGCAAACCTAGAAGAATAAGGACATAATTTACAGTGGGTTTATCATCAGAAATCATACAAAAAAATAAACAAAATAAAGAGCAGAGATAAGTGTTTAAAGTGTTGACAGAAAAAAACCCCTATTCACCTAGCATTCTATAGCCACCAAATTGTTATTCACAAGTGAAGTAGAAATAAAGACTTGCTCTAACAAACAGAATCTGAGGGAGTTCATTGGCTGCAGGTTTTCCCTACCTGAAATTGTAAAATAAGTTCTTCAGAAAAATGTAAATGCTATAGAACCAAAATTCATATCCACATACAAAAAGGAAGAGCTTCAGAGAAAAAGTTAATGAAAATACAATAGAGTATTGTATGGTTCTCATTCTCGGTGGATCAGACAGGTAATGAATATAGCACGTGGGGAAGATAAATAACAGTAGCATCTTACGGGATGCAAGGGAGAAAGTGGGAAACGCTGTAAGTTACCTATAGGACATGTGAAATGCTATAGTGTTATTTGGAAGTGGACTTATATTAGTTAAAAATGTACATAGAAAACTAGAGTAAACACTAAGCATATCAAAAAGAAGTATCGCCAACATTCTAAGACAGGTGATACAATATAATCGTATGAAATTCTCAATTGAGAAAGAAAAGTAGAGGGATTATAAAGAAACAAACAACAACTGCAACAGAAAGAAAACACATACAAACATGGTAGACATTAGTCCAACCATATCAATAACCACTGTAAATATGAATGGTCTGAATACACTAGTTAAAAGGAAAAGATTGTTGAGTGGATTAAAAAATAAGACCACTAGAGTAGAAAAGATAAATAAACAAGACCTGACTACATGTTGTCCACAAGAAATCCACTTTAAATATAAACACTTAGATAAATTCAATGCAAAGGGATGGGGAAAAAAAAGATACCTCACACTAACACCAGTGAAAATTATCTGGGGTGGCTATAGTGATTTCAAGCCCAGCAGAGTTCAAAGAAAGGAAAACTATTGAGGATGAAAAGAAGCTTCACATAATAATAAAGGGTCAATTTTCTAAGAAAAAAATTAGCAACCATAAGTATGTACATGCATATCTTGGAGATATTGGAGGTTTGGTTCCAGACTGCCACAATAAAATGAACATTGCAATAAAGTGAGCCATACAAATTTTTTGGTTTCTCAGTGTATATAATGCTATTAAGTGTGCAACAGCATTATGTCTAAAAAGATAATGTACATACCTTCATTAAAAATACTTTATTGCTAAAAAGTGCTAATAACCATCTGAACCTATAGCAAGCCATAATCTGTTTGCTGGGGGAAGGTCTTGGCCTCAATGTTGAAGGCTGCTGACTGATCAAGGTGGTAGTTGCTGAAGGTTGGGGTGGCTTTGGCAATTTCTTAAAATAAAGCAACACTGAAGTTTGCTGCATCAATTGACTCCTCCTTTCATGAAAGATTTCCCTGTAGCATGCAATGCTGTTTTATATCATTTTACCCACAGTAGAACTTCTTTCAAAACTGAGGTCAATCCTTTCAAACCCTGCTGCTGCTTTATCAACTAAGTTTACGTAATATTCTAAATCCTTTGTTGTCGTTTTAACAGTGTTCACAGTATCTTCACCAGGAGTAGGTTCCATCTCAACGAACCACTTTATTTGCTAATCCATAAGAAGCAACTCCTTATACGCATTCAAGTTTTATCATGAGATTGCAGCAATTCAATGACAGCTACAGGCTCCACTTCTAATTCTAGTTCTCTTGCTGCTTTTACCACATCTGAGGTTACTTTCTCCACTGAAATCTTGAACCCCTCAAAGTCATCCAGGAAGACTGGAATCAACTTCTTCCAACTTCCTCTAGTGTTGATATTCTGACCTCTTCCCATGAATAATGAGTGTTGTTAATGGCATCTAGAATAATGAGTCCTTTTCAGAAAGTTTCAATTTGACCAGATCCATCAGAGGAATCACTGTCTGTGGAAGCTATAGCCTGACAAAATATAATTCTTAAACAATAGGATTTGAAAGTTGAAATTACTCCTTGATATTTGGGCTGCAGAATGGATGTTGCGTTGGCAGGCATGAGAACAGTGTTAATCTCCTTGTACATCTACATCAGAGCTCTTTGGTGACCAGGTGTATTGTCAATGAGAAGCATTTTTTTTTTTTTTTTTTTTTTGAGACAGAGTCTCGCTCTGTCTCCCAGGCTGGAGTGCGGTGGCGCGATCTCAGCTCACTGCAACCTCCGCCCCTCCAGGTTTAAGCAATTCTCTGCCTCAGCCTCTGGAGTAGCTGGGATTACAGGTGCGTCCCACCACGCCCGGCTAATTTTTTTGTATTTTTAGTAGAGATGGGGTTTCACCATCTTGGCCAGGCTGGTCTTGAACTCCTGACCTCGTGATCCACCCACCTCGGCCTCCCAAAGTGCTGCGATTACAGGTGTGAGCCACTGCACCCAGCCAAGAAGCAATATTTTAAAGGGAATCTTTTTTCTGAGCAGTAGATCTCAACAGTGGGCTTACAACAGTCAGTAAACCATGCTGTAAATAGATGTGTTGTCATTCAGGCTTTATTGTTTCATTTCTAGAGCACAGGCAGAGTAGATCTAGCATAGGTCTTAAGAGCCCTAGGATTTTCAGAAGGGTACATCAGCCTTGGTTTCAACTTAAAGTCATCAGCTGCATTAGCCCCTAACAAGAGTCAGCCTGTCCTAAATAGCATCTTCTTTCAATTGAAGGCTGTTTCATCTACATTAAAATTCTGTTGTTTAGTGTAGCCACCTTCATGAACTATTTTAGCTAGATCTGGATAACTTGCTGCAGCTTCTCCATCAACACTTGCTGCTCCACCTTGCACTTTCATGCAATGGAGATTACTTCTTTTCTGAAACCTCATGAACCAACCTCTGCAAGCTTTAAAGTTTTTTGTTTTTTTTTTTTCTGCAGCTTCCTCGCCTCTCTTAGCGTTTACAGAATTGGAGATGGTTAGGGTCTTGCTCTGGATTAGGCTTTGGCTTAGGGGAATGTTGTGGCAGGTTTGATCTTCTATCCAGACCACTAAAGCTTTCCCCACATCAGCAATGAGGTTGTTTTGCTTTGTTATCATTTGTGTGTTTACTGGAGTTGCACTTTGAAATTCCTTCAGGAACTTTTCTTGGCATTCACAACTTGGTTAATTGTTTAGCAAAAGAGGCCTGTCTTGGCTTTCCACATGCCTTCCTCACTAAGCTTTGTCACGTCAGGCTTTTTTTTTTTTTTTTTTTATACTTTAAGTGTAGGGTACATGTGCACAATGTGCAGGTTAGTTACATATGTATACATGTGCCATGCTGGTGTGCTGCACCCACTAACTCGTCATCTAGCATTAGGTATGTCTCCCAATGCTATCCCTCTCCCCTCCCCCCACCCCACAACAGTCCCCAGAGTGTGATGTTCCCCTTCCTGTGTCCATGTGTTCTCATTGTTCAATTCCCACCTATGAGTGAGAATATGCGGTGTTTGCTTTTTTGTTCTTGCGATAGTTTACTGAGAAGGATGATTTCCAATTTCATCCATGTCCCTACAAAGGACATGAACTCATCATTTTTTATGGCTGCATAGTATTCCATGGTGTATATGTGCCACACTTTCTTAATCCAGTCTATCATTGTTGGACATTTGGGTTGGTTCCAAGTCTTTGCTATTGTGAATAATGCCTCAATAAACATACATCTGCATGTGTCTTTATAGCAGCATGATTTATAATCCTTTGGGTATATACCCAGTAATGGGATGGCTGGGTCAAATGGTATTTCTAGTTCTAGATCCCTGAGGAATCGCCACACTGATTTCCACAATGGTTGAACTGGTTTAGAGTCCCACCAACAGTGTAAAAGTGTTCCTATTTCTCCACATCCTCTCCAGCACCTGTTGTTTCCTGACTTTTTAATGATTGCCATTCTAACTGGTGTAAGATGATATCTCATTGTGGTTTTGATTTGCATTTCTCTGATGGCCAGTGATGGTGAGCATTTCTTCATGTGTTTTTTGGCTGCATAAATGTCTTCTTTTGAGAAGTGTCTGTTCATGTCCTTCGCCCACTTTTTGATGGGGTTGTTTGTTTTTTTCTTGTAAATTTGAGTTCATTGTAGATTCTGGATATTAGCCCTTTGTCAGATGAGTAGGTTGCGAAAATTTTCTCCCATTTCTCACGTCAGGCTTTTAATTTCAAGTGAAAGATGTGTGACTTTTCTTTTCACTTGAACACCTGGAAGTCACTGTAGGTTTATTAATTGCCCTAATTTCAATAATGTTGTGGATGAGAGAATAGGGGGGCTTGAGGAGAGGGAGAGAGATGGATGGCCGGTCAGGAGATCTGTCAGAACACACACGTTTATTGATTGTTTGCAGTCCTATATGGGTGCAGTTTCTGGTTCCTCAAATAATTACAATAGTAACATCAAAGATCACCGATCACAGATGACCATAACAGATATAATAACGATTAGAAGTTTAAAGTATTGAGAGAATTACCAAAATGTGACACAGAGACAAAAAGTGAGCACAAATTATTGGAAAAAAATTGGTGTTGATAGACTCGCTCAATGCAGGGTTGCCACAACACTATAATTTGTGTCAAAAACACAGTATCAGCTGGACATGGTGGCTCACGCCTGTAATCCCAGCACTTTGGGAGGCTGAGGAGGGTGGATCACGAGGTCAGGAGTTCAAGACCAGCCTGGCCAAGATGGTGAAACCCCGTCTCTACTAAAACTACAAAAATTAGCCAGGTGTGGTGGTGGGTGCCTGTAATCCCAGCTACTTGGGAGGCTGAGGCAGAGAATTGTTTGAACCCGGGAGGCGGAGGTTGCAGTGAGCCAAGATCACACCACTGCACTCCAGCCTGGGTGACAGAACGAGTCTCCATCTCAAAATAAATAAATAAATAAATAAAAACAAAAAAAACCCTGCAGTATCTGCAAAGTGCAGTGAAACAAAGTACAATCAGATGGGTATACCTGCATATTCTTAACAAGAGAGCATCCAAATACCTGAGGCAAAGACTGATAGAACTGCAAGGAGAAATAGGCAAATCCACTATAATAAATGGAGATTTCAACAGACTTCTTGTCAGTAATTGATAGATTTAGCAAGCAGAAAATCCGTAGTTGATGTGAACAGTGCTATCAATCAACTTGATTTAATTGACATTTATAAAACACTCTATCCAACAACAGAAGGATATGCTTCTCTCTGAAGTTCACATGGAACATGCACCAAAATAAATCACGTTCTGTGTCATAAATTATTACACTTAATAAATTTTTAATAATCATAAAAATATATTTCAGATCCCAATGGAACTAAACCAGAAACCAAATAATAGCAAAAATAACTAGAAAATTTCCAACTATTTGGAGATTAAATAGCACATTTCTAAATAACATATAGATCAAAGTAAAAGTCTCAAGAGAAATGTAAAAAGTAATTTGAACTAAATAAAGATAAAAATTACTTTAAAAAGTGGAAGAAAGTGAAAGCATTCTTTAAAAGAAAATGTATAGCATGAAATGAATGTATTAGAAAGATGAAAAATGTAAATCAATATAATATTTCACCTTAGGAATCCAGAAAAAGGTGTACAATTTAACCCTATAGCATGAGGAAAAAATGTAATGAATAAAATGAGAGCAGAAATCAATGAAGTTGAAAGTAAAAAAATAGAGAAAATAAAATAACATCTAAGTAAATAGAGATATAGTCCATGTTCATGAATTGGAGGATTTAATATTGTTAAAGTGTCTGTTTTTTTCCAAATTGACCTATAAATTCAATGCAATACTAATAAAAGTCTCAGTGAGCCACTTTGTAACTATGAATAACCTGACTCTAACATTTATATGGAAAGTCAAGAAACATAGACTAGTCCACACAACATTTAAAAAAAAGAACAGATTTGGAGACATTTATGCGAGGAGGAGAATGTTGAGTATGTGAAATACAGGAATTTCTCTTTAAGATGGTGAAACTATCCTCTGTTGCACTCTAATAGTGTGTATATGATATTATTTATTTCTTAACACCTAAAGAACATTACAGCACAAAGTGAACCTTAATATATGCAAATATAAATAAAAAGCATTTAGGTAGCTGGGGAATTCTGAGATGGAACATGGAATGTGACGAAACATCTGACTATGTTGCTGATAAATGACATAATGCCACTGGCGGAAGTGGGGAAAATGTTGCTGACCTGTGTAGCTTTGGAAATGAGTGGACTATGCAAAACTAAAAAAAAAATCTGCACATAAGCACCATGGTCTAGTTGATAATGTTGTTTCCCATGGGAGTATGTTTTAGCAATTCTATACTGCTATATATGTAAATAGAGATAAATAATTGAGTAAACGGATGGTGGATGGTTGAAGCCAGGTTACTCACTGTTAGTGTGGGACTTTATAGATAAACAATGAGAGAAGACTAGAATAATCCATGTGGTAGTGGATAAGAGACTTCTGTATGAACTTAAGTTTAGCTTGAGAGAGAGGGAGAGATTGATCTAGAAATATTTATAGATAGGTGTGTAGACATGGGTTGGTATTTACACGTTTCCTTGCTCAGTTACCTGAGATTTCCTAGAAGTAATGATACCTCATTAATAACAAGAATATTAAGTGATAATATTTTGATTTCTAACACTATTCTCCAATGAAAGGAAGTAGGGCTTCTTGGAGAAATGACTGATTATAGAATTAAGTTAGAAAAGATGTGATTATCCTAGATCATCAATTTAGTATCAATAAGTGATATAGTGCTAACCAAACACAGATACACACGCTCACACAATGATGTGGCATGTCAAAGGAACACATGAGCCAGCAGAAAAAGCTCCAAATGGTCAAAATTAGAACAATAAAATAAATAATGTAATATAGGAGTCGCAGCTATTTGGGAGGCTGAGGTGGGAGGATCGCTTGAGCTGGAGAAGCAGAGGTTGCAATGAGCTAAGACTGTGCCACCGCACTCCAGCCTGGATGACAGAGTGAGACCCAGTCAAAAAAAAAAAAATTACACCATATCAATAGAATCAAGGAGGTGAAAAACTTCATTATTATCCCAATTTACACAAAGAGGGAATTTGACAAACACAATGTCCCTTCATGATAAAACATTCAGCAAACTAGAAATAAAAGGGGACTTCCTCACCAAGAAAAAAGGCACCTATGAAAAATCCCATAGTTAACTTCAAACTTAATTTAAAAGGTGGAAAATTTCCCTAAGATCAAGAATCAAGCATAGATTCCCATTCTTGCCATTTTTATTCAATTGGAGTTGTAGTGGAGGTGTAGATAGGATAAGATATGAAATTTAAAAAATCCAGAATGGAAAGGAAGAAGTAAAACTATCTCTGTTTGAAGATTATATGATCTCTCAAACAGAAAATTGTAATTAATCCACTAAAACACTTATAAAACTAATAATCAGGTTCAGCATGTTCCAGGGTACAAGATAAACATACAAAATTTAATTGTATTTCTGTGCATTACCAATGGACAGTACAAACATAAAATTTAAGAAAACAATTTACAATAGTAGCAAAAATAAAGAGATACTTAGGAATAAATTTAACAAAACGAGTGCAAAACTTACACAGTTGTCCCTTTGCATTTGTGGGTTTTGCATCTGTGGGTTTAACCAACTGCAGACGCAGAATATTTTTTTAAAGGATGGGTGCATCTGTACTGAACCCATGCAACATTTTTTTCTTGTCATTATTCCCTAAACAATGCAGTATAACTATTTACATAGCATTTACATTGTATTAGGTATTACCAGTAATCTAGAGATGATTTAAAATATTCAAGAGGATGTTCATGGGGTTATATGCAAAGTTACTTAAGCATTTTACCTCAGGGACTTGATTATCCATTTGCATATGGGTTTTGGTTTGCATATGGGTCCTGGAACCAATCCCCCATGGGTACGGAGGGGCAGCTGTACTCTGAAAAACAGCAAAACACTGTTGAATAAATTTCAAAAAACCTAAATAAATTTTAAAATACCCTATGTTCATAAATCAAAAGACCTAGTGTTTTTTAAATGACAATACTATCCAAATCTACAGATCCAAGGTTAAGACAGTGTGATATTGTTAATAGGACAGACGTATAGACCAGTGGGATAAAACTGAGAGCATGGAAAGAAACGCATATATTTATAGTCCATCGTTTTTTGACAAGGGTGTCGAGACAGCTCAGTTAAACATAAATAGGTCTTTTGAACAAATGATGCTGGGACAACTAGATATCCAGCTATAAAAGAAATAAATTAGAACCCTCCCTTCTACCATGAACAAAAATTAACTCACAATGGATTAAACACCTAAGTGTAGGAAGTAAAACTATAAAACTTTTAGAAGGAAGCACAGACGTCTATCATCATGACCTTGAATTAGTCAAAGTTCCCTTAAATGAGATACTGGAAGCACAAAGGATCAATTTGACTTTATGAAAATTAACGTTTTTATGCTTCAAAGGGCAGCACCAAGAAAATAAAGACAAAAGCCACAGGGTGGAAGGAAATTTAAGAAAACAATTTACATAGCAGCATCATATACAAATCATTCGTTTGATAAGAAAAGAACCCTTAAAGAAAATGTCTCATTCTAAAATGAGCAAATTATATGAATAGACTTTCTTTAAAAAAGATTTAAAAATGGCCAATAAACACATTAAACGGTGTTCAAAATCATTAGCCATCAGGGAAATACAAAGCCAATATAGGTAAATGTCACTTTACACTCCTGTGATGTCTATCATGAAAAAGACAGATGGCCAGGTGTGGTGGCTCACACCTGTAATCCCAGCACTTTGGGAGGCCAAGGAGGGTGGATCATGAGGTCAGGAGATTGAGACCATCCTGGCTAACATGGTGAAACCCCGTCTCTACTAAAAATACAAAAAATTAGCTGGGTGTGGTGGCATGCGGCTGTGGTCCCAGCTACTTGGGAGGCTGAGGCAGTGAGTTCAATCGCTTGAACCTGGGAGGTGGAGATTGCAGCGAGCCGAGATCATGCCACTGCACTCCAGCCTGGGTGACAGAGCGAGACTCCATCCCAAAAAAAAAGAAAGAAAGAAAGAAAGAAAGAAGGAAAGAAAAGAAAGAAAGAAAGAAAGAAAGAAAGAAAGAAAGAAAGAAAGAAGGAAAAGAAAGAGAGAGAGAGAAAGAAAAGAAAGAAAGACAATGACAAATGTTGGTAATATGTAGCGACATTGCAACCCTCATACATTATTGAGGGGAAAGGAAAATTGTGCCATCACTTTGAAAAACAGTCTGGAAGCTCCTCAAAAGAGTCAACATGCAGTTACCATATGACCTGGCAGTTCCACTCCTAGGTATTTAACCAAGAGAAATAAAAATACGTGGCCACACAAAAACTTGCACCCAAATGTTCATGACAGTAATATCCATAGTAGCCAAAAAATAGAAACAATACCATGTCCATCAACTATTAAACAGTTAAATAAAATGTGGCATCTTCATAGTATAACCTATAATTTGGCAACACAAAGGAATGAAGTTCTGATACTGGCTACCACATGGCTGAACCTTGAAAACATTACATCAAAAGAAAGCAGCCAGTCATGAAGGACCACATCATATATTGTTCCATTTATACGAAGTGTCCAGAATAGGCAAATCTATAGTGATAGGCCTGTGTTGATCAGAGGCTGACTAGGGCTGAGGGGTTTGGAAGCAAGAGGAGTGACTGATGTTGGGTACTGAGTTTCTTCTTAGGGTAATGAAAGTGCTCTAGTTGTGATGATAGTTGCTCAACTCCAAATACACCAAAATCCATTTAACTGTATGGTCTATATAGGTGAATTTTATGGTATGTGAATTATATCTCAATAAAGCAGTTTAAATAACAAGGGCCGGGGTGCAGAACATATGGGAACTCTGTTCCATCTTGCATTAGGCTGTTCTTGCATTGCTATAAGGAAATTCCTGAGGCTGGACAATTTATTAAAAAAAGAGATTTAGTTGGCTCACGGTTCTGCAGGCTGTACAAGCATGGTGTCCATATCTCAGTTTCTGGGGAGGCCTCAGGGAGCTTTTACTCATGGCAGAAGGTAAAGCAGAAGCAGGCACATCACATGGCCAGAGCAGGAGCAAAAGAGTAGTGAGGAATTGCCACACATTTTCAAACAACCAGATCTCCCGAGGACTGACTATTGCAAGAGCAGCAACAAGAGGATGGAGATAAACCTTCATGAGAAGCCTGCCCCCAGGATCCACTCACCTCCCACCAGGTGATTGGATCCCCACCTCCAAAACTGGGGATTAAAATTCAACATGAGATTTGGTGGGGACATATATTCAAACTATAACATATCTTCACATTTATTTTTATAATTTTAAAACTCTTAAAATATAGTGAAACATTTATTTTTTAAAAGGCATACCAGCTCTGATTCCCAGCTCCAGAGTTCTCTTGTGCCATCCCACTAAATGGAAACGATCCCAAGGAAGTCCCATGTCCCTCACTACAGGAAACTACTGCCTGCTTCCTACTTTTTTCCTAGACAAGAAGCTTCTTTCTCATCATTAACTACTCTGCATTCCAATGGCAAAAATGTCATTGGATGTCACACTGCATTGGGTCTCTGAGATGGAATAGATGCCTTCGGGCAGTCTCTAGAAGTCAGTAGTTAAGTGAATACATCTCTGTATTAATTATGCATCAGCATGAGGTTAAAGGAGAGCAAACTGTGTAAAAATACATCATTTGAAAAAATATTTTATGTGCACCTAATTTTCCAGTTATGCATGTACATGGATCCACATACCATTTGCTAGTTGCAAATTGTTCCTCTTGTTAGCAGCATAGTGCATCAATGCAATTGTACCCAGATATAATTCTATTGTATTTAAGCCAGAAAAATCAAAACTACCTACTAATGCACATTTTTTCAGCTTGAATTTTTAATTTAACTGACTCCTCCAAATTGAGCAAATGATGCATAGATGCGTGTCCAGATTCAATGATCAAATTCTTCAATAAAAAGGGAGGGTGGATGGGAAGGCAGTTCCAGATGAGTCCTATCAGAATCTAAGATTTGCAGATTCTGTCTAATGTTACTGTGGATTTTCTTCCACTTTATGTCAAGTTACTAAACCTTATATAAGGGTAGAGTAATTAAGCCAGCCTAGAGAAATTATAAGCACATTGTCAGAACACCCACGCCAAAGTCCAGGAATGACTGTCAGCAATTTTGGATCCCAGACTGTTACACTTGCTTTCCTTGGCAAGCTCTAATCAATGAGCCAGCCACAGAGGATCGAAGGCAACTGTGATGAAATGCCACCTTATGAAGTAATTGGCTTCATGGATCTGCCCAGATGAATCATAAAACTATTCATCAATATCCTCAGTTGTGCAGCAGTGAGCTGTTACATGGTTAGCTCAAGGAATACTCTGATCAGGAAAGCTTATTGTACGATTCATTTGGCAACCTATTAATCATCTTCACCTTAGAATAGAAGAGGGTAGGAAAAGGAACAAATACCATCATCACCATTAAGCCAGGGCTAGCAGGCACGAACTTCTCTGCTAATATAGATGCAAAATCTAAATGCACTTACAATGTTTTCCTGTCAAGAATATAGGTGTTACACTTTTCTATTCGAAATTTGTATTTCCCTCAGCCTTGATTTATTGTTGTCCATAAAAATTTACGTGAATATTGGAAAAAGTGGCTGTACATGTGCTGTTGTCTATAAGGTAATGTTATTCGTGAAAGAAATTCCACTTGCACAAATTCCTGAGCTATAAAATTCAGGATATTCTGAATTAAGGGAGAATTAACTGTAGGGGGAAATGTAGGTATCACAGAAAATTCTGCTGGTTAATGACTAGTCCTCTCATATGCAAAAGCAATTGCCCAAACTCAGCAAGAGATAGTACTTTACACACTTGCTACTAGAGACTCTGAAATAGTAGCCACATGGATATTGTTCTTGAGCATTTTGAAGTAAGAGCTAGATGACAATACATTTTGCTTCAGAAGGACGTTACCTGAACTGGCACATTTTTGATATTTTAAAGTATGTGTAAATTCCATATTCTAAAACTGGTATTGACAACTTAGATCTAACTTTGAAGCTGAAACACAGAGAGGAAGACTTCTCCATATCATGTATTTCACGCCTTCCTTTGTTCTTCACTCATTCATTCATTTAGTCTTGCCATGAAGACAACGAGAATGGAAAACTAATGCTTCATGGTGTAGGCCCAAGGGTGGCATTTAGGGAAATTTTATGGAAAGTTCATTTGATTTGGGCCTTGAAGGTTGTTTGAAAATTCAACATTTGGTGATGGAGAAAGGGAATGACAGGGAATGAAGGAGACATGGGCACAGAAATATTTAGGACAGGCCCTCTGGGGTGTGATCAGGAATGGAAACGATGAGGCCATGAATGGGTGCTAAGGATGGAGCCAAGGTCCTGGAGCCTCGTGTCCCTTGCAGGGAATCTGCAGGATCACTGGATGGCAGAGGGGCCTTTGCATGGACTCCAGCAGTCCAGTGGCCAGGTCAGCCGTGCGGTGACCATGTGGGCCTAACATAACCCTCATCTTCACTGGACTCCAGACAGACTTCTTTCTGACCTTCCTTTGCTTACAGCATTAACTTTAGAAAGACTTGAAATTGCAAATCATTTCTCTGCCCATGTGAGATACAAATCTTCTCCTAGATTCTTGCCAGTTTTACACTCAGGAATATTTTTCTCAAGGAGCTAGAAGCGATTCCTTTGAAATGTAATCATCTCTGTGGGAGAGTGAGAGCCTAGTTTTATAAGCACCAATCAGAAAATCCAGATGGCTTAATTGCATTGGCCGACCTCACTCCTGACATCTTCCCATCCCTCTCCACTGGCTCACCCCAGCACTTAAACTCTATCCTGCCATTTGTTTCAGTGGAGTTGAGTTCAATCTCTCTCCCCTATTGCCCCAGTCTTGAATAAAGTCTTCCTTGCCTGTTTATCCCACCTCATGCAGTTTTTCTTTGATAGCAGTTTAAGCAGATTAATCTAGCACCACAGGGAACAGCGGGGAAATGAAAAATCCTGAAGGAAATACCAGGCAGGAGAATTTATTTAAAATCCAGCCAAAATTCACTAAAACCTAAACAGTGCAGTCTTCTGGAAATGGAAAGAGGTTGCTCAGGGACAAGCATAGGCATGAGATTCAGGGCAGCCTAGGGGAGAAGTGGCCATCAGCGGCACCCAAGGCCAAAGGGACCTAGCTTAGTGGATCCACTACTAGATAGGAAGACAAGATTAAAGACTGCATCATTATCTTGGGTATGAACATCTGGAGGTGGATCTGTTCAAAAACCAGATGGACTTGCATTTCTGCCGGAAGTTCTGAGTCAGTATCAGGATTAAGTATTACCATTTAGGAATTACTCTCAGAAAGGCAATAACTTAAGTTATGAAACTAGATGGAGCTTCTAAAACTATAACGAGAAAGAAGAGAGCTTAGTTTGTAAATTTGAAGAAGTATACTCAGAGGTTAGGAATCAGAAGTAAAATAGGATATGGAGATAAGAAAAGGTGACTACCAGGTCAGACTAGGGCACTATTATACATTTAAAGGGAATAGAGAACTCTTCAGAGGAAGGGATGGGGAAACATCAAATACTGTAGGGAAGTGCAGGCAGATAAGAAACTGAGGGAAGACCCTTAGTGAGGGAACAGGGATCAGGGAGGTTCTCAATGATGTCAAGAGAATGGTTTCAGGTTGGGCGCAGGGGCTCACGCCTGCAATCCCAACACTTTGGGAGGCTGAGGTGGGCAGATCACCTGAGGTTGGGAGTTCGAGACCAGCCTGGCTAACATGGTGAAACTCTGTCTCTACTAAAAATACAAAAATTAGCTGGGCATGGTGGTACATGTCTGTAGTCCCAGCTACTCAGGAGACTGAGGCAGGAGAATCGCTTGAACCTGGGAGACAGAGGTGGCAGTGAGCCGAGATCACGGAACTGCACTCCAGCCTGGGAAACAGAGTGAGACTCCATCTCAAAAAAAAAAAAAAATGGTTTCAAGTGGCACCTACCAGAAGCAAAACCAAGTGCCAAGGAATAACCAGGAGTGATCAGAGAGTCAGTGGTAAAGAAGGGTAAGTGGGGAGAATGGTGTTGGGATTAAAAGGAGCAAAAGAGATGGTGTTCTCTCAACTTTTCTCTGCCTTGCACTTGAGCGTGGAACCAGTGAGGCAATCGTCTCCTGGCTGGAGGTGGGGAGTCACCGCAACAGTTAAGACCAGAAGCGCCACCTCTTCCTCCTTTTTTTCTTGTCCTAAAGTAGTGATCTCATTGGCCACTTGTCTCTCATGGCTAAGCTACAAAATGGAAGAGGCTTGTTGGATCCAAAACGGATTTTGCAGGAGTAAAGGATAAATCTTAATTTTGTTAAGATGCTGATATTTCTGGTACGAATTGTTCTCATAAAGGTGGTGTATCTTTTAGAAAATTTACTTGAGCAAAGGAGAACTTATGGAAGAAATGAGAGGAAAGGCAAAATAGTAATAATAATACCAAACCTGTGTCTGAAAGCACAGGAGGCAGAGCAGCAGCCAGACCTTGAGTGTCAGGAGGCACTGGAGAGTCTCATCAGAGTGGAGCTGTTGGGATGAATCAGCCATGGTGTTTGTTCTTAGTCCTGCACCCCTTGACCCAAAAGTCCATGTCCTGGAAGAAGCATCTGTTTGGCCTCATCTGAGCCCTGGGAATCATCAGGCAGAACATCAACTGCAACCAGGCTGCGCACAGAGGGTGATTGTCTTAAAGGAAGCCAGAAGCCTATGCACTGACCACTGCACATCCTGCTGGTGATGGAGGGAGCCGCCCAACAGAAGCATGGCAGAGGAAAAAAGCTGAGAACTGAGAATATTTGCTTGGAGCTAAGTGGAAGTCCAAGGATGGTCTATTGTAAAGTAGAAGCAGATAGAAGGATGTCACAACCAATAACCTCTTTGTTTTTAGTAAGCAAGCAGGTGTAAACCAAAAATAAAATTCTAAGGCCCCAACCATTTGAATGGACTTCTTCCTTAGCCAGGACTCTTTTGAAGTTTAACCTGAAAGACTGGCTCAGGCCTTGATGGGAAGTGGGGGTGGGACATGCCTCATGATACATCAACACAGACTTTAAGTCAGATAAGAAACATTTATAACCTATTCTCTATGAAGCCTGCTGCCTGGAGGCCTTATCTGCATTGATAAAACTTTGGTCTCCACAATCTCTTATCACAACCCGGATATTCTTTTCTATTGATCCCAGGTCACTGGAAAAATTCAACTAATTGTCAACCAGAAAATTTTAAAATCTACCTATAGGCTGGAAGCCACCCCCTCCTTCAAGTTGTCCCACCTTTCTGGACCAAACCAATGTATTTCTTAAATGTATTCGATTGAAGTCTTATGTCTCCCTAAAATGTATAAAACCAAGCTGCACCCTGACCACCTTGGGCACATGTTCTCATGATCTCCTGAGGACTGTGTCACAGGCCTGGGTCACTCATATTTGGCTCAGAAGAAATCTCTTCAAATATTTTACAGAGTTTGACTCTTTTCACTGACACAGGCAAATTTTTCTGTTGAGAGGGATGAGTCTGAAGGCACATGATTGGGATAAAGAAAAGGCAGGAGGGCCAGGGAAGAGTGTCCCCTGCTCCACACTGATGCTTCTGTTGTCTCTGTCTCAGTTTTGCTTCAAGCTCTATCTGCTGGCCTCCAGAATGACAGTGCCTGCATCAGGTAAGGTTTCCCAGAAACAGAACCTGAGATGGGGATTCTTGTTCAAGAGGTTTATTGGGAAATTGTCTCTGGGAGAAGACAGAAGGAGGCCAGAGAGGGCAAGGAGACAGGAAACGTTCTAAACTAGAATATGGCTCACTGGCAGCTCTGGGGCACAACTGAAACTGCTTTTGCAAAAATTATAACAGTGCGAAAATTATGACAGTGAAAGAGATCTGATCTAATCAACCCTCATCTTGCCTTTAACTCCAAACTGCCCTTGGTCATTCCTGGGCTTGGGCCAAACTTACTTTGGGAAAAATTTAGTTTATAGTTTAAATGATAATAGCCTTTCCCTAAAACGAAACCACCTTTATAAACCTCATGGAAGGCCACCAGTTTGGAAGGATAAGAGGGGACCGAATTCTGCTAAGATGTAGGCACAGTGAAACAGTTGCCAGCCAGTTTTTCAGAGGTCATAAGATTTGCACCTCCCCCAATTATTCCTATAGTTAGTGTCACTATTTTAGAACCTAAGATTGGCCTTTTGAGATGTCTTTTATGGCTTTTGTATTCCTGACAACCAGCTGGCCTCACCCAGAGCTGTGACTCAAAACAGTCCTGTGGCCTCACCCAAAAGTGGACTCAGAGCAGGAGGACCGATTTCCACATCCCATTGATTGCATCCCCAATCAATCAGCAGCACCCATTTCCTAGTCCCCCTGCCCACCAAGCTGTCCTTGAGAAACCCTAGCCTCTGAATTTTGGGGGAGATTGATTTTGAGTGATAACTTCGTCTCCCACATAATGTGGCCAGCCTCGAATTGGCTACACTCTTTCTTGCAATGCCATGGTCTCAATGAATCAGTTTTGCCTGTGCAGTGAGCAGGAAGAATCCTTGGGGTGGTTACACAACTTCAACACAATTCTTACTTTGAGGCAGGGAGCAAGCATGATGTGAGTCATGTGTCATCAGGGTCTGGTGGGAGAGTGGAGGCTACAGGCAGCTCAGCATCCGGGAGCAAAAGGCTCCTGTGAGGCTGACTCAGCAGTGCTGACTCAGCCTTCCTGAGTGGGTAGTCGGTGGCTGTGAGCTGTCAGGGGCCAATATTCAGCCACGGGGAATGGGCACATCTGCTGGGGAAGGGGCCTGGGCATGTGCCCACTGTATCTTCCATAGCAGCTGATCCCAAACTTGAGTGAGCTCAGGATCAACTGGAGGGCTTCTTAAAACAGCACTAGGCCCACCCTCCACAATTTCCCACTCAGTAGTGATGGGGTGGAGCCCAAGAATTTGCATTTCCAATAAGTTTCCAGGGGCTGCTGCTGCTGCTCCTGAGCTATGTGCCACATTTTAAGACCACTGATCTACAAGGTAGATGCATCTGGTGCTGGGAAATACCTGGACCTTGTACAAGACATAAAGTCATATCTGTGCCTGTGACTCACTTTGGCCTAAAGCATCCCCCCCACCTTCTTAACCAAATTCATGACATCATTTAGGTATCAGCTTAAGTATGCCTTTCCAGGGGAAAGCTTTTCAGACCTTTGCTACAGCAAACCCCTTGGTGATGAATCTATACGGCTAATTGCAACTGTAATTGTATATTTACTTAACATTATTTGATTCATAATTTGATTAAGTATTTGATTAAAGACTCTATCCCACCACTCTGCCTGTGACGTGAGGATGGGCTGGTATCCTTCTGCCTGTCATCAGTCATTGTACATCTAGAAGTTCAGAGTCTGTTGAGGAGCCCAGGATTTGGCTGGAGCCAGAATTCCTGGGTTCGTTCCCACCCTCCCCACAACCACCACATAATCCACATAATTGGAGCAAATTATTTCAGTTTTTCTTATTTCATTCCATTTCAAATTATTTTGTCATTGCAAATAAATGCAAATTATTTCTAATTACATTATTCATTGTTTCAGTGGTCTCACATGCAAAATGGAAATAAGAACCTACTTCACAGGGTTGCCAAGAGTAGGTAGTGAGTTGGTGGCTAGAGGGTGCTTGGGTGCTGCCTGGCACAGAGTGGGTGGAGGTCTGTGTTCGCCATCCTATTGTCTAGCACAGTGAACATTTATTAAATACTTGTTGATGAGTGAATCGATAATGTTATAAGGGAAATACTTGTTTAAACAATAAAAAAAAGAAATCCTTCCCTAAATCATGTCAATTACACAGATTTCCCAACTGAAGCCATGGGTCCAGTACCTGGGACATTCCTAGTCCCTGGGGCAAAACAATGTCAGTTTCTTACTGCTATCCTTAAAAGATAACCATGTATGGAAAACTAACATTAAGCTACAGAAAAAAATTCAGCTAACAAATATTAAGTCAGTGTTCCAAGGGGTTTCTTGAGAATAAAAGTGATGAAATGGAACTTCTGCCCTCAAGAGACCCACAGCAGTTTGAAACTAATGGGCCACTTCCCCCTCACCTCCTCCTCCACATTCCCTCTTCTTTATTATGGAAATTTACCATTTTTCTCCCTCCTTACTAAAATGTATTCAGATTCTGGTTTACTCCCTGAGCCTCCCTGAAAATTGTTTTCTCTTCCCTTTTCAACCGCCAACAATGGGAAGAGGCCTCCTGCCCCAGGATGTCCCAGCATTTGGTTAGGTCTGGCTGACGTCGACCTGAAACTCCATTATTTCACTGGTTTCAGAACCTCCCTCTGGCAGCTCCCAGGTGAGATTAACACCTCCTGTAGCTCCTGGGTCTCTGCAGGAAGTTCTGTTCTGCTCCCATCTTCTTCGAGCAGGATTTGCGTCATTTTTCCATCCTGGAGGCTGTTCTGCCAGACTTCCCTGCATCCACCCTAAAGTGGAGCCACGCGACTCAGCAGGGCGTTCCTGTGGGGTCGGAGCCCTGCAGGTGGTCCCAGTTCTGGAAGCGATCAACGCTCATGTTAAGGTCCTGCAGTGTCACCACGCCTCTGTGACAGCCCCTTTCAGAAGTTTTCATTGCCTTTGCTTCAGGGTCACTCTCCACAGGTTGTCACGTTTGCCTGTCCTGTGCTTTGGCTTGTCATTCTATATACCCTTAATAAGTCTCCTTGTTGAAGTCATCCCAGCATTTCGGGCTGCAGTTGTTTTGTTTGGGTTTTGATTACGATCTATCGACAAAGTCATGGCCATTTTTCTTGGCTTGGCATCACCCACGGGTAGTGATGTGGTTCAAGATGGGAACTGTGTTCACTTCCAGGGGCTGCCATAACAAATCACCACAAAGTCGGTGCCTTCAAAGAACAGGAATGTCTTCTCTGGAGGGCAGAAGTTCCAAATCAAGGTCTCAACAGGGCTGTCCTTCCCTGAAGGCTCTAGGGGAGAATGCTTCCCTGCCGTTCTCAGCTTCTGGTGGCTCCAGACATTTTTTGCATTTTTTTTTTCTTTGCTGCATCACTCCAATCTCTTCTCTCTCCTTCCTCTATAAGTCTGCATCTTCCCCTTTTTTGTCTTTTATGTGAAAACAAATACAATTCAAAAGCTGCTGGAACCCCCAGAAACACTTTAAGCCTTGACAGAGATGTGATCGTGAGCTCAGTCACATATGGACACAACTTCTGTTCTCCGATTATAGATTAACTGGCTTTCTTATTTTTCTTGTTCTGTACAATGCCTAGAAAGAATTAAATGACGTCAAGGACAGAAACCTCCTGCCTTTCAAATTAATGACACTTTTATCGATTAACTTCCCCTTGCTGTCCTGCTTTGCTTAGACCAGATGACAGAAAACCCATGACTATCACACCCTCTGTAAGAAATGTTAAATGCACCCTTTCCCAAAAGAAACACTGCCTATAACCAACCAAATTGCTGTAACTATGCACCAACCTTGTATGAATGAGTTTTCATCCTGCTAAAAAAACTCCTCCCTCTCTGCTGCTGTAAGTGAAACCTTCACTTCCCTACTTGGGCAGGCTGACTCCATTCCTTTGGAGCTGGTGTTTCTCGGGGTGGTGGGGTGGCAGCCTCACACCAATTTATGCTGGAGTAAACTCACTTTAAATTAGATTCTGACCCTTTTGACTATTTCAGGTTGACATCTGTCAGCACATTTGTCCTTGGATTTAGTGTCTGTCAGGCCTCTGAGCCCAAGCTAAGCCATCATATCCCCTGTGACCTGCGTGTATACATCCAGATGGCCTGAAGTAACTGAAGAATCACAAAAGAAGTGAAAATGGCCTGTTCCTGCCTTAACTGATGACATTACCTTGTGAAATTCCTTCTCCTCACTCATTCTGGCTAAAAAGCTCCCCCACTGAGCACCTTGTGTCTCCTGCCCCTGCCTGCCAGAGAACAACCCCCTTTCACTGTAATTTTCCTTTACCTACCCAAATCCTATAAAACAGCCCTACCCCTATCTCCCTTCGCTGACTCTCTTTTTGGACTCAGCCCGCCTGCACCCAGATGAAAGAAACAGCCTTGTTGCTCACACAAAGCCTGTTTGGTGGTCTCTTTACACGGACACGAGTGAAAATGTCCACTCAGATAACCCAGTGGGATCTCATTTCACGACTCTTATCTTAATTATATCCTCAAGGACCCCTTTTCCAAATAAGGCGTAATTCACAGATTCCAAGGGTTATAAGGTGGACATATTCAACCAACTACAGGGCCCAAGACAAGATCGGTGTCCTTATTACACCAAAGTACAGGCTGGAATAGTTAGGGACTACATCTAACATTTCAATGAGATTTAATTTTTCCTAGAAATGTTATAATTCTCCTTTGATCACTTTCTCAATTGGCTTGTAGTCATAGGATGTACTTATAAATAAATGGAATAAGTTTTTCTTTTTAAAGATGCTGCCAAAATGCACGTATAAATTAGTAATGTTGGAATGTTCTCCAATGATTCCAAATCACTTTTGGATTATCCTTGGAACCATTTTTTAATTTATATTAGACGCATCAGAATTAGTATTTTAGAGCCATACCTTTTATGCAAATTATTCTGACTCTGAGCTTCTTCCTGCATAACTAACATTATTGTGTCTCTTGTGTATATCCTAGAATTGTACTTTAAATAGAGTTAAGGCATTATTTGCAAAATATTGCCATGATAAGCTTCCCTTTGCCATATGATCAAGGCTAAGGCATCACTAAGAAGTTTTATCATCTCTGCAAGGCTATCCAATGTTGAGACAAGAGTTGCTGAGACCATCTTTTCTTTTGGATCTTTTGACTACATTTTACCTGTGTTTTCTAAGGATATTTTAATAGGTTTCATCAGTGATTTCTTTTTTTCCATTGTACAGTATTTGAAAATCCTTCCTTCCTGAAGCTCTGATTCTGAAATATATTTACTGTCTGCTTGACTTGGACTGTGTACGTTTAATCTTGAGCTTCAAGAAGGACAGCTGTCTCACTTTAAGCTGCTTGTTAGTTCTAGTGTTTGCTGAACATTTGCCAAAATATATAAGAACATTCTTAGCAGAACTGGCACGGGGTGCAGACTTGCTTCTGCTTACTGGTGAAGCCTGTCCATTGGGGGTGCAGTGGGCACCACCCTGAATGGTTCATCTCAGCTCAGCAAGAAACAGTGCTAGTTGCTCCTGATGAGTCAAACCAGCAACAAAACTAAGAGGGTCGAAGTCAGTCCCAGGAAAGGATCACTGCATTGTTACTTAAATACCATAACTGTTTTTATTTGTTTGTTTGTTTATTTATTTATTTATTTATTTATTTATTTATTTATTTTGAGACAGAGTTTGGCTCTTGTCACCCAGGCTGGAGTGCAATGGCGTGATCTTGGCCCACTGCAACCTCCGCCTCCTGGATTCAAGTGATTCTCCTGCTTCAGCCTCCCGAATAACTGGGATTACAGATGCTGGCCACCACACCCAGCTAATTTTTTTTATTTTTTACTAGAAACAGGGTTTCACCATGTTGGCCAGGCTGGTCTCAAACTCCTGAGCTCAAGTGATCTGCCCACCTCAGCCTCCTAAAGTGCTGGGATTACAGGTGTGAACCACCGCTCCTGGTCCCATAACTGTTTTTAAAACACAAATATTCCCAGATTAGATAACCTCCCTACTCCAGAAAAATCAACTTCATATCACAAAAGAATTTGGCAGCAGAGGGAGGATCTCTTGAGGCCAGGAGTTTGAGACTAGCTTGGGCAACAGAGTGAGACTTCCTCTTTCTGGAAAAAAAAAAAAAAGAAAGAAAGAAAAAGAATTGAAAGTAAAAGGATGGAATTATTCATAGCATTGACCAGAGATACATTCTCTCACTTTTGAACATAGATCCAGAAACCTAAATTAAATATCAGCAAGCTGAATGTTCCCACACATGTGCGCACACACACACAAACAATTAAATCATAAGACAGGCATTGTTCACTTATTTCTTATTTTGATATTAAGAAATCTATTAATGTAATTCAACACACTAGTAACTTAAAGAATAGTCATGTCAACATACACAAAATTATGTTACTAAATTAAACATCCAAATAAATATAATCATTTTAAAACCCTTCTAGCAAAATCGGAATAAAAGGAACTTTATTAACATGATAAAATGATTTACAAGCAACATCAAAGCAAAATGCCCTGCTTATTATTCACTATATTGAAAATAAAAACCCATGGGAATTAAATCAGGGATTTAAAAAACAGGTTCCTGCAAAAAAAAATGGGGAGCCCAGAAAGACCCCACACACGGGCCACCGAAGTGCCCTGTACAAAAGCTGAGAAGTGATAGGACATTCTGCCAATGTTGTTACTATACCTGCCTGCCTATTTGAAATATGCATCATCAGATACTTTTCTTTCACACGTAGAAGTAAATTATATGCCCCATATGCTTTTCTTCATATGCAAAAGTAAATCCAAAGTTGACTACAGACTTCAATGCAAAAAGGTGAAACAATAAAACTCTTAGAATAGATTATAAAAGACTATTTTATGATTCTGAATAGAGAAAAATGTCTTGAAATAGACTCAAAGGTACAAACCACAATGGAAACAACTGATAGATGTACCACATTTAAATTTAAAACAACTGTAAAATACGAGATACCTTAAAGCCAAAGACAGCTAGAAACTGAGACCACACATGGACGACACACATAACTGATGAAGGATGAGTATGGAGCACTTATAGAGCAAGGTTCTGCTCTAAACAAGAGCTGTGGATGGACAATTCAGAGAACAGGAGCCCAGGTGAGCATTCAACAGAACAAGATGCTCAAACTTGCCAGTAATTAAGAAAGCGCAAATCAAAATCACAAAGATAGACCCTTTCTCATTATCCATTAGAATAGCAAAAACATTTGTGTTTTATGGGAAGAATGGCTGAAGATGTGGAAAATGGAACATCTATAGGCTGGCAGGACTGCAATTGGAAGTAGAGAACAATTTGGCAAAATCTGGTAAAAGATGCTGGTACATGGATACCTTTTGTTCCATAAATTCAACTCCTAGACAAATAGTTAGATGACAGTGCTTGCTTCTAAACCTAAAAAGACAAAAGTCCCTTCCTGCATTGTTTGCAATGACCATAAAGTGGAAACAGTCTAATAGTCCATGAGTAGGAAGATACAAGACTGGCATCCTTATCTCACCAAAGTACATGCTGGCATACTTAGCTACTACAGCTGAGATTTCAACGAGATTTAATTTTTCATAGAAAGGTTTTAATTTTCCTTTGATCACTTTCTTAATTGGCTTATAGTCATAGGATGTAATTATAAATAATTACAATGGCTTGTAATTATGAGGAGTTTGAGACCCGCCTGGGCAATATTGCTCAATAAAGATTGAGCCACGGGGTAGAAGAGAACACAGTGGCTAAGAGAGATAAGCTGAAGCTACACATACCAACATGGATGGATCTCAGAGGTTAATGCCATGTGGAAAAAAGAGAAAGTTCCTGGATCATGTGAGCAATATGATATCATTCATGTAATCTTTGAGAATGATATGAAATATGCTGTATATTGCTATGAACACTTACATGTAAAAGAATATATTCAAAAACCAAGCATGGACATGGTACTCCCCATCATGACAGCCTGCCCTCTGGCGAGAGAAAGAGGGAGGGAGAGGGGGAGAGAAAGACAGGGAGTATGGAAGGACATCTCCAAATAGGAAAAAAAATACTGAAGCAAAGATAGCAAAGAACTGGTGTATTTGGTGGACACGTGTAGTCATGTGGCATCTTAGACAGCACTTAAAGCTGCCCATGCGTCGTCTCAGAGAAGGCGGATTTGAGGCTGAATCACACCTTCCTCCTTCTTGTAGGCTTCAGTAGGGTAGATGTGAGAATGTGAACTTAGAATCTGGAGGGTCCTAGTCTCTTGACCATAATTGTCATAGTTGGACCCTTGGGTCATCAACTGAAAGCCACACAGGCCAGCGGGGCAGACCCTATAGGCCGCTGATCCCACAGTCATACCAGCTCCCTGTCCTCCTATTCCTCTCACTAAGGAAAAAAGAATGTCTTCCCAGTTTTCCTTGTAGCTAGAGGTAGCTTGTGGATTCAGAACTGGCCAAGGGTGAAAATGTCTGGGTACTTCTAGGAAAGGCAGGAAGAGAGAAGATGCAGGCAAAGAAGAAACTTTTCTCCAGCCTCCCAGGCTGGATAAATGGCTGCTGAACTTCTCTATTCTCATCCACATAAACTCTTGTGTAATGTAAAAGAGAGAAGAAGAGATTTACAGAGAGTGCAGAGTTCCCCAACTCGCCCTGGCTCCCTCCTTCCTTACAACCTAAGTAGGAGAAATAATCTCTCTAGTGATTGTTATGAAAAACCATCTTCATTAATACATTCAATTAAGTTAAAACAGGCAATTTACTAGAGACTTACCGAGATGAACATAGAACAAAAGTCTCCCACTGAGGAGCAAGTGGACATGCTGCCAAAAATACCCTCAACCCCCATCTCCCAGGTTCCTTTCCTCAGCACAAATTCTAGGGACAAAGGACCTGACCCAGCTTGGTCCACATTTCCGACACTGATCTCCAACAATGGATGCAGTCGTGTCACGTGACACAACCTTGGCCACCAGCAGCTTTGAGTCATGGGGTTCAGCTCAAGAGAAGAGAGCTAGATGGACACTCTCCACAAGGTCCACTGCAGAACAGACTGCGATTTTTTTTTTTTATTTCTAGAGTGCAATGGCCCGATCTTGGCTCACTGCGACCTCTGCCTCCCAGTTTCAAGCGATTCTTCTGCCTCAGCCTCCCGAGTAGCTGGGACTACAGGTGCCTGCCACCACGCCTGGCTGATTTTTTAATTTTTAGTAGAGATGGGGGTTGCACCATGTTGGCCAGGCTGGTCTTGAACTCCTGACCTCCGGTGATCCACCCGCCTCAACCTCCCAAAGTGCTGGGATTACAGGCATGAGCCACCGCACCCGGCCAACTCTTCGATTTTTATTTTGAGAAACTCACAGGGCTTCATGCATTCCCTGTTCCTTTTCCCTCCTCCAGACCTCCCCGGGGATTGCTTTTATGATATTTAGCATGAGGGTCAAAGCAGGTTCATCAGCCCAGTGTGGTTGAGCTGATTGTTATTAATTATGAATAAAACAATTAGAAAACTATTAGCAGTATACAAGGTTATATTTTGCCCTGACATCGTAAAAGGCTACGCCTAAAATCCACTTTAAACGGCAATATTTTTGCTTCACTCTCATTGTTAAATACTTTTTTCCCCTTATCTTTAACCTCGACATTATTAAAACTGCACCAGGAATCTATTTAAAAAATCTCACTGTGACATTTCAGCAGAAAAATGACCTTACCATTTTATAGGTGCTGCAATCTTTTGGCAGGATACAACAATTTTTTTTCCTCCTCCAGGAAATCAACATTCTAGAAAATGCTTGTTTAAAACTCTTTATTCTATTGTCATTTGTAAGTGGGCTAGCACTTCCAATCACACAAAATGAAGAATGGCTAAATTGCAAACAATTTCTGTGTCCATGCTTCTTGCAAACTGTCTTTCATCTTGATCATGCTTCACATTTCATCTCCAAGGTGAGCTGAAGTCTTTGCAGGGTTCTGAACTGTGTCTTACGTGCCGAGGAATACAAGAGATTCCACAAGCTAATGAATATAGTTTAAAAGTTGACTGTGTATGATTGCAGACATAAATCAAACTTTTTTCCAAGTGATTTTTTTTTTTTTGCTTGTCGTTTTCTCACATTTACCCTCAAATAATAGAAACAGAGCTTGTAGAATCTTTTTGTCCACATTAGAAAACAACAAGCGATTTTTCTGCAGCTGCCTTTAGGAGACACCTGGTGAGAGGGTGGGGGGTGAGAGGGTGATGCAGGGGCTGGTCCCCTGGTGATGCTCCTGACAATGATGACAGTACAGCAGGGGCGGGGGTGGTATTTGCAAAAGATGTAGCGAACATCCATTTAGGGCTGATTTTTTTTTCTTTTTGTACCATGCTAGTCACTGGTCACTTTGCTCACATTATTTTCTTTAATTCTCACAACAACGATATGGAGTATACCAAGAGGACTACTACTACTTCTACTGTTATTATTATTACCATCTCCATTGTCTAGAGAAGAAAAGTAGGCTCAGAAAATGGACACACACAGCAATGTGTCCATCTCAGGGTATGGAAATCACAAACACTGTTCTTCACTTAGAATGTTCAGCAAAATAATTATTTTTTAGTCCTGTGATTCAAAAGCGGGGATACCTGATTGGGGTTAATCACCTCATGAAAGTACGGCAGGGAAAGAAGAACCATGGATGGAGGCAGCTAAGTGCAAAACCAGGCCCTGATAAGGAAACAGAAACACATTTATTTATTTTAAATATTTCACATTTATTGTACATTTTTCATGGGTGTGGAAGGCGTTCTAACCATTGCCCTGCTCTCACCTTCAGCGTTCAGTCAATATTTTCCAAGTAGTTATTGAGCCCCAACTTGACTTTAGACCCTCAGTGGCACTGTGGGCACAGCTCTGCAGGAGGCACTGCGGAGCTTACTAATGAGCAGGCAGAGAAATCATCACAGGGAGCTTGTGAGGAAGATCTGTGCACAGAACATGTCCCCTCCAGGGTCTGTAGCTACTGGGCACAGAGGCAGACCCCAGACCAGCCTGAGCCCATTGAGATCTGTCTCCGGGATGGAACGTTGGAAACGTGAGATCAAGGAGACCTGAAGAAGCCAGGTGGTCACAAAACTTCATCAGGACTCGAGGCACTGCCCGGACCAGCCAATGGTACCCACACGCTGGGAATTATAGGGGAAGGAAATGATGACTAGGAGGCGGGACCTGGGACCAGCAGGGAGGGGGACAAGTAGAAATCCCTGACTTTCCAGTGGCAGCACCCTATGGGCCTGATTCTCACTTTCTATAGGCCACCTTTCCCCCCATTTTCTCGAACTAATTAGGGTGGGTTTCTGTCTTGTCTAAATAGGAAAAAACCTCTGTTATTGCAGAAGGGCTAGTCAGTATAAATTGTTGTTGTTTTTGCTGCTTTAATGGCAAACCTACTTAGTTTTTTCTTTTCTTTTTCCCTCAGCAACTCACCTAACTTGTGCTGAGGAAGGATCTACTGTGAAATAAACACCAAGCCAGATACCAGAGGAAACAAAGATGGGTAAGGTCACGTTCCCACCCTGGAGGTCTAGACCCAAGTTGGAGGAGATGGGCAGGTAGACAAGCACAAGAGATCAGGTACAGAGAGGTCCGGGAGCCGGAGGGAGTGAAGATGGATGGGGAGTGGAGGGCAGCCCCCAGGAGGAAGTCCCTCGAGGGCTGCAGGCAGGATCCAAGTGCACTGCTGTGGCGGCTGAGGCCTCCCAACAGCAAACCCAAGGGCTGCAGGATCCGAGCACACTGCTGTGGCAGCTGAGGCCTCCCAGCAGCAAACAGGAAAGCCACAGAGCACTCCCGAGGCAGAGCAGATCCGGCTTCTGGATCCCAGTTCATTAGCAGAAACAAGCAGAAGCTGATGCCAGAAAATATTTTTAAAAGTGTGTTTGGCCAATCCCATAATAGTCTCCCGTGTCCCCTCGTCACCGTGCATTTTCAGGGCTGTGCTTAAATATCTCCTTATCACAGAGGCCTATCCTGACAAACTATTAACAGGGCCTCCTTCTCCACCCTCAGGTTTGCTCTCTATCCCTGAACAACCCTCTAGCTTTCTCCCCAGTGTCCATCCCACCTACTGGGCATAAGGAATTGTTTACCATCTCTCCCTGTAACAGAGGGTGCCCTCCTCACCAGCCAGGTGCCCTTTCACTCCCTGCTCTCTCCACAGCGCCTAGAACTGTGCCTGTGTCAACAAATACTTGCAGAATCAGTGAACGCATCAAAGAAAACGGCATCCTCATGAACTCACCGACAATGGGCGAATCTCAGCCGTGACAGGGAAATAGTCCCTCATATCTCACCAGCCACCCGGCAGCAGCCAGTATGTCATCTATGTGGACCTGCAGCTAATGATCCACATTCAGAAGTTTACGTCATGCCTACACGGCCTTGCAAGCGGGGATGAGAGTCCTCATTCCCAGGGGAGTGTTTAAGGCTCAACAGGATTGAGTGACTTGCTCAAGAATTGCTCGTGGAGGCTGGGCTCGGTGGCTCACACCTGTAATCCCAGCACTTTGACATTCCGAGGTGGGTGGATCACCTGAAGTCAGGAGTTTGAGACCAGCCTGACCAATATGGTGAAACCCTGCCTCTACTAAAAATACAAAATTAACCAGGCGTGGTGGTGCATGCCTGTAATCCCAGCTACTTGGGAGGCTGAGGCAGGAGAATTGCTTGAATCTGGGAGGCGGAAGTTGCAGTGAGATGATATTGTGCCATTGCACTCCAGCTTGGGTGACAAGAGTAAAACTCCATCTCTAAAAAAAAAAAAAAAAAAAAAAAAGAATTGTTCATGAGTTCCCAAGGCCACACGGTCTGTAACAGAAACAGAATTTGAATCCAGGTCCAGTGAATTTCAAAATATGACCCCGAAGCTTTTCCTTCTCCACCTGGAGAGGAGATGTTAACTAAGTTTAAGAGGGTTTCATAAATTCAGGAATGGTTCCCAAGGGTTTAAGTTGCTTTCATGTCTCCTTCCCTCTCTGTGACAAGACCACAAGGTTCCAGATATCCACAGATTCTGAGGACTCACACCCAATGGTCTCTGGAGGCGCCTCTGTCTCTCCCGCCACCAGCATGGCTGGCATTTGAAAAGGCAGTCAAAATTAAATTAAACTGAAGTGCTGTGTTTTTTTTATTATTATTTTCTATGGTTAACAGATTTAATTGAGAAGTCAATTCATATTTGTAATCTTTTAGAAATGAACTAAATTCTGTGTTAAGATTTGATTGACACTTCTGCAGGCCAGTTCTCCAGACACATCATGCAAGACCCAAGTGTTCACTTGCTCTGATCTCTTTGTATATTGGGTTTCTTGAAAACATAACAGCAGCAAACTCCAAAGACTCTGAAGATACAGGCAACGTTATTAAGATCTTTTCCCCTTGATGCTAGCTAGATAGGTTACTGTTTTCTCTTAAAAAAAATCTATCTGTCTATGTGGTATTATTTCAAATAGTCTTTGAAAAATGTAATTTCTGGGAAAGGTTTTGTTTTGGTTTGGGTTTTGCCTTGAGGAACAGGGAGCTGCTAATTCTCAACCATGGCTAGGGTGCCCATCAACTGTGAAGTGGACTGGAGGCTCCTCCAAGCCCCCTTTTCTCTCACTGTGGTCACCTCCTATGCCTCGTGCTGACCTCTGACATTCTCCTGACAACACATGCAAGAGCCTCTCGGTGACCCTCAACCACCATCTACCAGTCTAAGGAATTGTGCAGGCCCTAATGGTTTCCTACTCCTCACCAGCTAATTAACCTTCTGTTGGTTAAGGTTCTGTTGGTTAACCTTCTGTTGGTTAAGGTTCTGCTGGTTAACCTTCTGTTGGTTAAGCCAATGCTCTAGACCTATTTTTCTCCCTGGAGAGCAAGTGTGTACAGTGGTGTGAAGGATATAACCATATGTTCAAAACAAATAGGCATATTAGAAGCACTGTTGCCTGAGAAACATAGGGCAATGTGTTTTTCCACTTGATTATATTTTTCCATAAATACAATTTTAACATGTTTTTCTTCTAGGCTTAAATATAAAATCCCATCTAGCTTACCCTTTAGCTTTCCTTAAAGTCAAAAAATAGGCTATATAAAGCACACACAGACACACACACATATATGTTTCTATATGTTGAGCTATCCTTAGAGGATAGATTCCCTAAAGGGTAATTATTAGTTAAGGGGCATAAGGGTTTACATATTTCATAAAATACATTGACACACTCATATACTGCATGTGGAGATGTAAAATGGTACAGCCACTTTGAAAAATAGTTCAGCAATTTCTTATAAAAGTGAACATGCAGCTACCATACAACACAGCAATTGTACTCTTGGACATTTATCCCAGGTTTACATAAAATCCTGTACATGAATGTTCATAACAGCTTCATTTGTAATAGCCAAAAAGTGTAAACAACCTAGATCTCCTTCAGGAGATGAAAGTTTAAACAAACTGCAGTGTAATCCATCTTGTGGAATATTACTCAGCAATCAAAAGGAACAAGCAATTGATAGGAACAAGAATTGAGAGGGGAATCTAAAGGGAATTCTGTTGTGTGAAAAAAGCCAGTCTCAAAAGATGGCATACTGTATTTCCATTTACATAACATTCTTAAAGTGATAACATTTGGAGATGGAGAACAGAATTGTGGTCACACGGATGAGGCTTGTGGGAGGACGTGGGTGTGGCTATAAGAGGACAGAATAAAGGATTCTTGTATTGATGAAAATGTTCTGTGTCTTGACTGTACTAATGCCAATATCCTCATTGTGAGTTTGTACCATAGTTTTGTAAGATATTATAATTGGGGGAAACTGGGTAGAGTATGTAGGATCTTTTTGCATTATTTCTTATAAATACGTGAATCTATAATTATCTCAAAATAAGACTTTAATTAAAAATGCATTGACACATTGTTTTCTGAAAGGAGGTAGCAAGTTTTCTTGCCAAACAACAATGGAGAAGACAAACTTAAGACTAACTCAAACTGTTTAATCTCGAAGGAAGGACACATGTGTTTGTCCATCGACGAGCGTGTTCCAAAACATGTCATTGGAAGTAAGAACCAGCTTTAACCAGAGAAATAGCATTATTTCATAATGGTCTCAATGCTCCTCAACTGCTAAAGTTAATTCAAATTAAGTGTTAATGTTTGATCTGAAAAAAGAGTGTTATCTCTTCCAGGTATTATTTGCATTTACTTGTAAAATGTAAAGTCAACCCAAGAGAGTGTTTTCTTGGAACCCCAGGGAGGGAAAAGGATCTCCTTCTTCAATGCCTCTGAAAGCCCACAGAGATGGCATCCTCTGCTGCAAACCCACCCTCCATGTAAATTCGGCCACACTGAACCCAGTGTTGGTCAGAACCATTCTGAGTCCAACTAGAGGGCCACATAACTGAGGTTGTCTCTGGGATTTGTGTTTCCTGTGACTTAGATTTACGTATGCAATGTGGTTTTTCTCCTGTTGCTGCTGCCTTCATTCCTGACTCGTAGGCTGGTGTTGGATTGTGAGGATCAGGTTTGGAGCTGGTGCTTTGATAGTCTTTGATGTTTTCAAACGCGTGAAAGGCTGTCATCTTTTCAAGTGGCACTCAGCTCCAGGTAAAGAATGTCTCTGATTTCTTGAGTGTCTCTCAGAGGCAATTATATCCTGATTGACCTGTTTGACGTTAAAATGTCTCCAACATGTGCTCCCGTATTGGGAAATGAAGATCTTATTTCTATTCTTCTACTCAAGTCTGTCTCCTTTGAGAGTTCACCAGAGTTCTAAACTTTGGGGATGGAAAGCACCAGATTGTTGGAGTACTTTTTTTTTTCTGTACAACTGACATTTTAAAAATCAATATTTTAAGCCTAACACGGAGAACATAGAGTCAGGCATTTATTGCAGCAATGATGTGATAAATAGCCAGGTAGTCCTGGGTACAGTGACAGGCACCAAGGATTCAAAGGTGGAGAAAGACATGGATCCTGCCTGCAGAGGGCTTATCATCTGGCTTATGAGTGGCGGCAGCAGTGGTTGGGGAATGAGAACACAAGGAGACAGATAATACAGTCCACAATGGAATGCATGGGACACTGAAGGGGTCATAGTCCCACATCCTTGACGTGAAGAGGTGCCGTCTTAAGACATCATTCATGTGTGAAAAGTTTGCTCCTTTAAAAATCAATGTGTGAATGAAGCTGGAAGCCATCATCCTCAGCAAACTAACACAGGAACAGGAAACCAAACGCCGCACGTTCTCACTCGTAAGTGGGAGTTGAACAATGAGAACACATGGACACAGGGAGGGGAACATCACACACCGGGGCCTGTTGGCGGCTGAGGGGTAAGGGGAGGGAGAGCATTAGGACAAATACCTAATGCATGCGGGGCTTAAAACCTAGATGACAGGTTGATAAGTACAGCAAACCACCATGGCACATGTATACCTATGTAACAAACCTACACATTCTGCACATGTATCCCAGAACTTAAAGGAGAAACGGGGTTTCTCCATGTTGGTCAGGCTGGTCTCGAACTCCCGACTTCAGGTGATCCACCTGTCTCAGCCTCCCAAAGTGCTAGGATTACAGGTGTGAGTCACCACGCCTGGCCAAAACACAGAATTTTAACAAATGTTAACACTTAGACTTTGAAGAGCAACCAGTGTTGATGAATATATTGCTGCCATTCCCACCTCTCCCCTACTCATTCCTTTCCCTGCCCTCTGTGGAGGTAGCCAGGGCTCTGACGTTTATACAGAGCTTTCCTCTTTAGGATTCTGTCTTTTTTTAATATACAGGTACATGTATGCATGTCACTGTTTTGTGTGCTTCATATTTAAATAAAACACAGTGTCTCGAGTTGTACATATCCTTTTGAATTTCACATTTTCTTCTAGGCTAAATGATAATTTTATATGTTTTTAGATATATCTACACTGATACACTTTAAGTGCTTTATCCCAGGGGTTGGCAAACTTTCTCTAGAAGAACTGGACAGTAAATATTTCAGATCTTATAAGCCATATGGAGTATGTCAACTCCTGCTCTGTGGTATTTCATGGTATGCCCCAATTTGTATCCATTTCTTAATTTATAGGCTTTTTAAAAATTGCTTTCAATGTGTTCGTATTATTTAGAAATGCAACAATAAATATATGTACACCATCTTCTTGTGCATGTGTATGATGCTCTTCAGGGTCTATATTCAGAAATTACTCATTTGAGTATTAATGTATTTGAGTTCCTTTTCTGTGAACTGAGAGAGTTGCTCAACCTACAGTAGACTTTATGTGAGCAGAAAAATAAAGCGTGTTGGTTCTGTCCTGGCCAGTGCAATCAGGGCAAGAAAAGAAACCTTTGTGGGTTTTTATTTAATCCATCGAGACCTCAGATTTAATTTGTAATCATAGTAATACACAGATTATGCTGAAAAATCTAATCTTTTGGTCATTCTTTTGATGATAATCTGTAAATGTAAAACTCTTAATTTCTTTATATCTGAAAGTTTCTTTATTTACCCTTATCTTGATTAATAGTTTATCTGGGTATAGATTGATAAATGTTTATTGTTTAGCAATCTGAAGTTTTTATTCTCTTCTAGCTTCTCTTGTGCTTGATTAAAAACAACCTCTGGCAATTAATTGTTATTTTTTTAAGTAACCTATTTTTCTTATGACTGCTTTTGAGATTTCCTTGTTATCTTTGGGATCCCACTGTTTCTTTACAATCAGATTAATTGGGACTGATATTATTTACGTTGTACGAGGCTTATTGTGCTTCAAAAATGTATAGACTCTTGTTTTTCAGTTCTGGAAATTTTTGAAGATTATCTTTCTGATGGCTGCTTTTTCTTCATTCTCTTTTTTGTCATGCCTAAAGTCTTATTATGTATTTTTGAACCTTCTCATTTTACCTTCCTGGTCTCATAATTTCTACTTCTTATTTTTCATCTCCTGAGGTGCATCCTGAGAAACTGCCTAATGTGGGTGGCTTACAAAGAAGGTGGAAACTAAATACCACATAGCAAGAACAAGGGAGATTTAAGAGTGAATGATCAGAGTTAAAGAGTTCTAAAGTCTACATGTTCTTTGAAAAAAGAATATAAATATTTATTAATTTTAGACTTTGAAAGTTAAATACCTAGCATTAAATTTTTAAGAGTTCCCAATAAAGGGATAGAAATAGAAGGCAAAACATCCAAATCTGATGTAAGGGTAAAAAAAAGAAAAAACAGAAAAAGATAAAAGAAATGAAGACTCCTCAATTTACTATGACATAGGAAGAAGAAGAATCATTAAGACATTAACATTGTGCAAACAAATTCAAATATTTTAAAAATCATAATCAGCAAAAATAAATTTTATTGTTCGGTTAAAAGTGAGGAATTTTCAGTTTGCATTTTGAGACATCCAACAATATGCTATTTACAAGAAAGAAATTTAACATATAAGGTAAAAAAAAAGACTGAAAGTTAAAGGATTTAAAAAGATGTATAATACCATACAAAGCAAAAGAAAACTGAGGTAGCCATGTGAACAACACACAGAGGGCTTTAGGGTAAAGGGATTGTTAGGATGAAGAGTTTTGTTACATCATGGGAAAGGAGAAAATTCACCATGAATATAAAAAATCCTGAATTTGTATTCACCAAATAACATCGCTTCATAATAAGTAAACCAAATATTGACAGAAACAAAATGACAAATCTGCAGTACTAACGAAAGTAACACACAATGCAAAAAATGATCAGTTAATGTGATTACAACACATGAGTATGGATAACAATACAATTTATGGCAATGTGCCCATCACAATTTGGTGGAGGTCGTGGGTTGCTGACAGTAACAGGTGGAGCATATACACACTTTTCAAGACGGATGGCTTGAAAATACACTCAGTGTATTCTAAGCTGCACAGCGAGTGTCAACAAATACAAAAGAATCGATGATGTACTGACCCAGAGAGGTTAAATAAATTGTGTAAGTTTACACAGCTAGCAAGAAGTAGAATTTAATTAAAAGAGATTAAAAAACATATTTAGCACGGTGCCTGGCATGCAGTTGATATTAAATGGCTATTGTGTTTTAAATGTTATTTGTAAATATCCCCATCTTAGAGATCTTTCTTGCTTCTCTTCTGTTTTCAGCTGACTTTCTTGGCTTTCCAGATAGGCAAATCAATCAACCAATCAATCAGTCGTTGCATGAACTGCAATTTCCATAACGGTGTTGAGAGCCATGTCAAGAACTCCGGCGTGGGTCACTGTTTAAATTTAGACATCATTAAGTAAGAGGTGGTCTCTTTCAATCTAGGATATTTTCCCCCAAACAGTGTTGATACCTGAATTTCTTCACATTGTTTTAGTGTCATCCTGGATTTTGTTGGAATTCTTTCTCTTGATCACATGCCAGAGCGATTCACGAGGCTGAGAGGGGCCCCAGTGGGAAAATCTTCTGGGTGTGTAATGACTTCTCTGTGTTTCCTGAAAATGATTCATCAGGGGCAGCTTTTCTTGTCTTGTTTTTTGATTGGAAGGTCTTCATTCCTGGTTGGTGAGCAGGCACCATTGCCTTTTTGGAGCTGCCACCAAGAGTCAAGTGACAGCCCTGCTCTTCCTTCCTTTGCATTTGGGGGCTGACCACCCAGACGGCCCAGGTGGACTATCCGCGGCTCCTGCAGAAACTCCCTCCCAGATTGCTGCTGTCACACATGGGGTCTCTTCGTTCCATTCCCCTTGGCCTATCCGGCCTTCTCTAGTTCCTTGGCTGCAGTCTGGCCCCTCCCTGTCTTCCTCGAAGGCGGTCTCACATGCACGTCATCCAGCAGAAAGTCCTCTATTTTGTGCCATGAAGAGATACTTTCCTTTTTAATGCTACTGTCATTTCCCCCAGTTTTTCATTTCTTTGCTCCTTTCAGTAGGAATTGGGTTACTGAGGCAAGCTACCTACAATCAATTCTCCATTTTATCAAGTTATCTCTCCTTTTATGTTGTGATTACACAGGAAACTGGATTTGAAAGCCAGATAAGAAAGCAAATCCAAGATGATCCATACACCCATCATTTTGGTATTTTTGGTTTGAATAATGTAAACATTATGTAGCTAAAAAGTAATCAACAAGGGTCTCTGAATACCATGGAGATTGTTTTTGGCAGCAGAAAATACATTAGTTCTCCATTTCTACAAACTGAATGCTCATTTAGAAGAAAAATGAAGTGTTTACTCTGAAACTACATATCATTAGACAGATATTTTTGAACAATTTGAATCTGAAATATATTTGTAAAAATTCTGTACCCAGACATAAACCCATATGGCATAATTGTTATTTACTCTTGGTATGCCAGGTTTGCAAAAGTTTTGTATTTTCTTTTCTCTCAAAACTTGGAGAGATGACTTAAATTGCAAGAAAGTTCTTAATTTTTCATCAAAACATAAAACAAGTAATTAAACAGTAAAAAGTGATAACGTGTAATTATAAGTAATATTCTGAGCAGGATAAGGCAATGGTTGTCAGCTAGGACAGTTCTGTAACATATGGGACATGTGGTGATGTCTAGAGACACTTTTGGTTGTCACAACTGGGTGAAGGTGTTAATGGCATCTATTGGGTGGAGACCAGGATTGTTGCTAAAAATCCCACAGTGCAGAGACCAGCTCCTCACAACAAAGAATTATTCAGCCCACTATCTGCCAGGTATCAGTAGTGTCAAGGTTGTGGAACTCTGGAATAAGAAATAGCAGATCACAGGGACATGCCTTCTCCCTTTTACATGTTCCTCCAAGACAGGGCACCAGACATCAGGCACATCTTAAAACCCTGGAGAGTGAGAATGACCATCCTGGTGTTTGGAAAGCAGCTGTGGTTCTTGGAGAAGACATAGGGTTGGGGTGAAAACATCTAGGTTCTTGCCAGCACTGCTACCTGGCTATGGAGAAAGCTATTTTACCTGCAAGTGTCAGAATTTTC
Organism: Homo sapiens; assembly: GCF_000001405.40. Taxonomy (NCBI): domain Eukaryota; kingdom Metazoa; phylum Chordata; class Mammalia; order Primates; family Hominidae; genus Homo; species Homo sapiens. Next base: position 60,675,380 of record NC_000020.11, on the reverse strand, counting down.
ATCAATGAGGGAGTGAATGACACTGAGCAGACAGAACCATTTAGAAGAAAAATAGGCTGGCACGTATAAAAGCATTGTACACACTGGAAATGGCATACACATTGAAGACATTATTTTTAGTTTATAATATTTCATATACTTTCTATTTAGCCACAGGTATTGAGCCTTCAAATCCATTTTTTTAAGTGCAGAACTTTTTTTTTCTTGTAGTGTATTCAGATAAAAGGGCACAATATAAATAACCTGTATTCTCTCTTGAACACTTATATTCTACCTTTATTTACCCATATTTGTTTTTTCTTATTCTTTCTCCTCAATTCACCTATTGCTACTTCAAAGCAATTGAAATCAGAGAAAAGAAGAATTGCTCACTAACCTGCCCACTGTTGTAATCAAACTCTGTGAATGGTTCCATCATTCATGTAAAAATAAGGAAAGCGTACAGTGCAAGAATTCAAAGTGAGAGAAGGTAGTTATTATTTTATTACTGAAACCACAATAGCACATCTTTTCCTTTTGGTGAGCAAAGCTAGAATTAATATTTTAAATAGTAAACAAAAACTGACAAAAAAGAACCAAATATGATGAGAATGAATGTTTATTATTTTAAGGAAAAATTTATCCTTAAAGCCTTATCTAGAAAATGGAAATCAGAAAGCTAGGAGCACCAGCTAATGCGTGAAAACATCAGAATTTCTTAACCTGGTGCTTCCGCCTTTATTCTCTCTCCCTTAAGCAGTAAAGGGACATTTTCCCTGTTAGCAAAGAGGGAATTAAACGTCGGTTGAAGAGGCAAATATGGGAGACATTTTGGAGTCATTCATTCATATATTTCTGGCAATGGCTCTGAAGAGTGGATAGCATTACCCTCATTTTACAGATGAAGAAACCAAGGCTTACACAGGTTAACCGCCCGGCTCAAGGTTCCACGATTGTGAATGGCTGTCATGACGCCTGTCTGACTCTATGACACATGACACTTCAATTTCTATGGTGGCTTTTCCCTGGGAAACAAAGAATTTATACAAATAACACTTATCATTACAGAAATAAAGTGCTGCATTGCTTTTGAGCTCTAAATGCCTTTTTACTTATTGCCATGTTATTCCACTAAATTATCAGGAATGATAATACAACAGACCTTGGCTTTATTATACTGTGAATTTGTAAAGTCTGAAATTTTCCAAAAACATCTCATTTTTGGACGACTTCACTTTTGCCTCATTTTTATCAATAGTTTTAGTATTTGACTATTTTCTTAAAGATAGCTTTTACAAAGGAAGAGTTCAAGGTTGTTTTGCTTATAATAACACAAACTGAAATGGACATTTGCTCACCATGTGCCAAATACCCAACAAACACCATCTCATCTCTTGTTCAGATTAAACTCACAGAGATGTTCTTCTTCTCTTCCTTTCATCCATGCAAGAGTTCAGGTAGAGACTGGTGAAGTCAATGGCTTTAAGTCAGGAGTCAAAAACAGGTGGCCTGACTCCTCATCTACACACTCATCAATTCTCCTATATGTCCTCTGGCTTCTAGAGAGATATTCCTACGGGATGTCAGAGAGCCATCAAGCTGTGGGAGGTTGGAAGGGGAGCTGCACAGTGCCAGGCTAAAAAGGAGCTTCTGCCTCATCTCATGGTGTTTTTAATTCAATGTCCTGCCTCAGTCAAATTACAGGTTCCTAGAAGCCAAGGACCCTCCTGAGACCCACAGCCTGAAAGTGTTCCTGGCACAGCAACCTCTCTGGTCATTCGTCTCTCAATCCTGACAAGTAATGTATTGTAAATCCCTACTCAGTTTCCTTTATTTTCTTCTGCTAGTTTAAAAAAATCACTATATGCTTTTTAAAAATTAGATGAGAAAAGTCGAATTCCAGAGACTTGGGATTGGAAGGTGGGTGCTATCTTCCAGGGTCTTTTGATGCAGATGTGACTGCAGTGCTCCTGAAACCACAATAGCACATCCTTTCTTTTTGGTGAGCAAAGCTAGAATTAATGAGTCCCCATGCTGAGGCCACGCCTGGTGGCTGTAGACAGTGGTGCTGAGGCTGTCACTCACTGGCAGAGTCAACGGAGATTTGGTGCTTCCTTTGTGAATGGAAAATATCTTAGGCCCCCAAATCACTAAGCTAAAGGGAAAAATCAAACTGGGAAATGCTTAGGGCAAACCTGCCTCCCATTCTATTCAAAGTCACCCCTCTGCTCACTGAGATAAATGCATATCTGACTGCCTCCTTTGGAGAGGCTCGTCAGAAACTTAAAAGAATGCAGCCATTTGTCCCTTATCTACCTATGCTCTGGAAGCCCTGTCCCTCTTCGAGTTGTCTCCCCTTTCCAGATCCAGACCAAACCAAAATGTGCTCCGACCACCTTGGGCACATGTCATCAGGAGCTTCCGAGGCTCTGCCACAGGCGCGCATCTTTAAGCTTGGCAAACTAAACTTTCTAAATAAACTGAGACCTGTCTCAGATTTTCGGGGTTCACACCTTCATCAGCCATGAAGATGTGGAATGCATGTTTGGCCTTAATTCTATGTGTTTTCTTGGTGAACTCCTATTTTGGAGGAGCGGGGTAAAATCATCAGCAAAACCTTGATACTGAGTCTAACAGTTGTCGTCTAATTTGTGGGAATGAAGTGCCATAAATTCCAGAGTGGAAAATTGACAAGAATCCTCAAAGAGAATGGGATGCACATGGCAACTCAGTTTGGCCTTTGCTTAGATATTTTCTTCTCTTTTTTGGGTATTGTAATATGGCCAGGGTCTATTTTAAGAAAGGAGAAATAACAAAGGAGCTCAAAGCTTTTCCATCAGCTTTCTAGACCTCGTATTGTTAATTGCCTACTGTATCTGTCATTACTGCATTTTTTTTTCTGGTGTATTTAGATAAAACCCTATACACTTGTTAATTAGAATGATTAAAGAAATTAGGCTACTGCGGGTCACCCTGCTTTTACATTAGACAGAAATTCACCACGCGTGGAGAAGAGATGTTCTGGCTCTTTCTATGGGTAGCCAGATAACATGCCCCAATTTTCACAACTGTGGTGGAGCTAAAAGGCTGAAGAATTGTACTTCAAGTGTGAAATAGAGGCTGCGTTGTTTAACACCATCCATGGGAAAACTACATAAATGTATTAGAGCAGGCAATTTAGGGCCTGTTTGTACAATCTCATGGAAGTGGGGTAACATTTACAGAGAAGTGAGACAGAACAGGTATCCTAGATTGCTCTAGCTAACCCGGAGTTCAAGGTGAAACAGACCGCATGGCTCAATTGTGTTAAGCTCTACTCATTTCAATGAACAGTTGGATTGCATACTGGGCTGGTTTTTCATCTTCTGCACATGGAGCCTCCATATGGCAAACTTCATTAAGCACCTGGGCCAGTAGGCATGGTGACAGGGGCCCACCTTTTCACCTTCCCAATGTACTTACTATGTGCTTGGCACTGGCCTTAGCACCATATTCCAAATGCCAGATTTAATCCTCACCTTATTGCTATCGTCAAATTACAGATGAGAAAACTCAGGCTCAGAGACATAAACTGCCCTTCCAACATCACACAGCCTAGTGAGCGTTGAGGTGTTGAACTTTCAATCCAGTGCCCTGGCTCCTAAGCAGCACTGACCCGCAGCTGAGGCTTTGGGCTATGCTCTCAGTCTGGGACAAACCCCAGTTTCTCCACTAAAGGGTTAGAAGACCTGGGTCAGTCACTTAATGTCTCTGTGCCCGAGCTTTCTTTTTTGTAAGGGAGATACCAGCCCCGACCCCGTGGTGTGATGGGGTTGTGCTGTGAAGACTGCTAACTCTAAGCGTTCCTTTACATTCTCTGCCTCCCCACCTTCCTGCTCTCTTGGGATTTAACTTTGTGGCCCCTGAAGAGATGAGGAAGAAATATGCATCTCTTGCTATGAGATTTCAATTATTTAAAAGGAACAAGGTCCACAGGCTCAGGAAAGCTTGAGTCACAAACTCACAGCCGGGTGAGTGAGAACCCTTAGGTGGGGCAAAATGGACTCTGCCTCTGCCTCTGTGAAGACGGGATCATGCTAATTCTGCTAATTTGAGGGAGAATTTTCTCTGTGGAATGGAGATAAGAAGGTAAGAACTGCCGTCTAGATTCAGTTTTTGAGCTAACTAGCTGGATGACCTCAGTGAGTCCCTGAACTTTCTTATATGCACATTTCTAAGCTGAGAAGTGAGCAACTTTGGAGCAGCAGTGCCTGATATCAACTGCCCCTTACTGGCCAGGCACCATCTGCCTGCACGGTGCGTAGCCTGGACATTTACTGAACCAAGCACCTATGCATTCGCTCTTTTGCTACCAGAACTACGATGAAGCTGGTGTCCTCATTGGATAGAAGGTAATATCTGCTCAATAAACATTGTTTTATATTTACAACAATGGTAATTACAAGTATGACACAAAAAAGTGACATTTTAGGGTAGCTTTGTGGCTTAAAAAAACCTTAATAATTTTAGTCAGATGGGTGGTAACTCAAGAACTTACAGCTTGACACTGCATTAAAATATTCCTCTTTAAGGTATATCTACATTATGACTTAGCTTAGCAAGTTATTGTTTTAAATGTCCTAGAAAAGTAACCTGTTAGCCCAGGCGAGATGGCTCATGCCTGTAATCCCAGCACTTTGGGAGGTGGAGACAGGCAGATCACTTGAGATCAGAAGTTTGAGACCAGTCTGGCCAACATGGTGGAACCCTGTCTCTACTAAAAATATAAAAATTAGCTGAGCGTGGTGGCAGCTGCCTATAATCCAGTTACTCAGGAGGCTGAGGCAGGAGAATCTCTCGAACCCACGAGGCAGAAATTGCAGTGAGCAGAACGTCACTGCACTTCAGCCTGGGTGATAGAGCAAGACGAAAAAAGTAACTTGCTTACCATGCTGTATCCCCACATCAACCGTTGTAATAGGATTTCTCAGCCTTGGGACTTAGTGACATTTTGGGCAGACACTTCCTTGTTGTGGGCTGTCCTGGGCTCAGTGGCCTAGCACCATATCTGCCCTCCACCCAGTCGATGCCCCCAGTGGAGAAGCGCTGCCTTGGATCAATGACCTCAAGCTTAGAATGAGTAAAGTCTGAGTGCTTTGATAGATGTTTGTTTTTGTTTTTAATTAAAATTTTGTATCCCAATGGAAAGATGTTATCCAAATGCCTAAAAAAATGATTTCTTTAAAAGTTTTGCTGTCTTACCATTCCATTTGTGTCCACTGAATGTGACTGTGCTGATGTTTATGGGCATTCTATCTGGATGGGTGGATGGGGTGATGAATTGGGGTTCTCAGATCCTTCGCGAACTGGAGAGGACACCTTGGCTTAAAGGGTGGCATTGAGCTAGTTTGTCTCATCTTGGGGAGACAGATGTTGCCACTGATTAAATTTGAAGAAGAAAGAAAACATGTAATTTGATTATCTTCACCAAGTGGGTGTAGCATAGCTAATCTTATTTTCTCAAATGGAAGAATTGCTGCAATAAGTAAAAAGAAGAATGAATGTTTGGCTGAAGGCAGTGTAGTGTGATAGAAATTAATGATGCTGTCTGAATAGAAGGCTGGTTACATCTTTTTCTTGCTTTAATGTTTTCTTAGGGATGCATTTGTGGTAACCTGTATGACCACAGCAGTTGCGTCCTAAATCCCTGCCCCACTAAAATAGATTTAGCACAATCTATGAGATGAAAATGCAGGTATTCCCTCTGTGAGCTAGATATTGCCCACTGAAAACCTACCCATGCTCAGAATGTTCTTAAATAAACTTGCAGAAGAGAATAATAAAATCCTGAATCTGTTGTTCCTATATTTCTATTGCACAAAACCCAGGACTTGCAAAGATTCTCAAGTAACAAGAAAGTTGAGTGAATAGGAAAACGTCAGATGCTCAACGGAACGCCTACACGGTATATCCGGCTTATTTTTTCCCACTGACCTCATTTGTGTGACATTTTCTCGGCAGATGCATCTAGAGCCCATGAAAAACAATTATGGTCTGTATTCACTTGTAGAAAACACACTGGAAAAGACTCAGTGTTGGCAAGAATAAGTCAGCTCAACCTGGACAGGGGAACCTAAGCTCTTTTCCATTTATGAGAAAAATGCTACAGAAAATTTACATCTTAACGCAACAGCATCTGGCCCTATCCTGAGAACATAGAAGTAATGCTTGTGGGGTGAATGAATAAATGAGCAAGGGAGTGAATAAATAAAATCAGCAAATCACTTGCGGTGTCCATTTCCACAAAATCTATCTTATAAAAATAAACATAATGGCAACAATAATAACAGCAAATGCATACAACGTTTATGCTGGGCTCAGCACCACTCTAAGTGCTTTAAGTACATTAACTCATTTAACCCTCATAATAACCCTGTACACTGGATACTATTATTATTCTGCTTGAAGATGAGGAAACTGAGGCACAGAGTAGTTAAGTCACTTGGCCCAGGTCACAGAGCTAGTAAATGAAAATGTTAGGATTCAAACCCTGGACATTTGTCTCTGGAGTCCATGCTCTTACATGCTGTACTGCATTTTCCCAATATTAAAAATGATATGGTCTGATGATTTGCATTATTTAAATGAACCTGGGTTTTAGATCAATGTTGATTGATTAGTTTCTTTGAATAGTTAGCTCTCCTTTTTGTTGGTTTATTACAATGAGTTAGAAAAACTCTGAAGGACAGGAAGTAGAGCAAGGAACCATCAAATATTCATTCAACACCCACGGAAAACCCATTTGGGAAAATAAAATGTAAGTAAATGGGGAAACCAGAGCTCAACTTGCTAAAATTCAGTTTGTGAGCATTTGCAAATCCCTGCATAAAATAATGAACACATTTTCCACAAAGGGCACAGCCTGGATTCAGAAACATTGCTTGGGTCACAAAAAACAGCTGAGTTCAAGAAAACAAACAAACAAACAAACAAAACCAAAGAAAAAGTGTTCTTCAGTGCGTTCTGCCTTGGCCTGTTGCTCTGTAATGATAGTTGCTATAGAAATGCCCAGGTGAGGTGTTCTCGTGAACACAATGGGTGGTACCTTCAGCATTATCTTTATTACAAGTTTAGGGCTTCTGTCAAAATCAAGTCTCCATAAAAAGGAAATCAACCAACTCCATGAAAGTTAATCCATGATTTTTTTAAAAAGTCAGTATATTTATAATTATCTGAGAATTAGGAATGAAAAATAGAGGTCTTCTTTATTTAGCTCTTTCTACTTAAATAATGCAGTGATGGGAGAGATTTTTGTGGGAATGTATAATTTAATATAATTGAGTAAGGGAATTAGAACATTTCATCCACTCTGCTATTTAATGACACAGTTCTTAAGATAGCTGAGGACATTATGTTATAGCGAGGTTGAGGTTTCCCGGAGAGCTAAGTGGGAAAACAGAGGCAAGAGGAAATCTTGGGAACAAAGGGCACGAACAGAAATGTTTAATAAATTCGAGTCAGAGAAATGTGGCTGAATGCACATGTGTAAATGAGCTCATGGATATTCAGAACAGAAATTAAATCAGCTCATATAGACAGCATGAAAGACCTTCCTCCTTCCCAGCCTGCTTTCCTCCGAGAGGCCACAACAGGGTAAGCTCATTCTCTGATGTGCTCCCAACCCCATTTTCTACACAGGTTCGGGGACTCCTTGCAGATTATTTGCCACACTTAAATGAAGGAAAGGCAAAGAACAAAGCCTCTTCTTTTCATTTTTTCATTGCACAGCAAAAGACTCTTCATTTTAGATCACAGAGGATTATCTCCTTCACCTACCCGTTCCTCTCCCCTCCCTACTCCACTGCACCCGTTTCCTAATGTTGCCTCACAAATTCCCATAAACATAGCCATTCGGGACAGCACACATTTATTACCACAGGGTTGCTGCTCCTCTCGGGTCCAGGCAGGGCCTTGCTGTGCCCTTGACTCAGGGTCTCCCAAGGCTACAGTCAAGGTGCTGCCTGGGCTGCCATCTCAGGTGGTGGGTGGAGTTCTCCTCCAAGCCTGCAGCTCCTGCAAGCCAGCCCTCTCCACGGGTAGTTCACAGCACGTGGGGTTTGCCTCTTCAGGGCCACAGGAGGATATGTCTCTGCTTGACATCTCTGACATCAGAGAAGGATGGAGGCCTCTTTAACAGGGCGCCCCCCGACTGGATTGGGTCAGGCCCACCTGAGATAATCTCGTTTTGATAATCATCATCAACTAATTAAACTAGGACCTTAATTATGTCCAAAAAATCCCTGCACTTCTCATATACCATTGGTTAGAAGCCAGTCGCAGGGGCTGGGGGAGGGAATTCTCTGGGTTGTGACTCATTCAGAGTCACCTTGGGTGTGTTCTGCATACCCTCTGACATGGTTTGGATGTTGTCCCCTCTGAATCTCATGTTGAATTGGAATCAGTGTTGGAGGTGGGGCCTGGTGGAGGTGATTGGCTTATGGAGGTGATCCCTCTTGGCTTGGTGCTGTCTTTGCAATAGTGAGTGAGTTCTCACAACAGCTGGCTGTGTAAAAGGGTTTGGCACCTCCCCCCTCACACTCTCACTTGCCTCTACTCTCACCATGTGATGCACGGGCTCCCCCCTTGCCTTCCGCCATGATTGTAGCTCCCTGAGGCCTCCCCAGAAGCTAAGCAGGTGCTGGCAACATGCTTACGCTACAGCCTGCAGAACTGTGAGCCAATTTAACCCCTTTCCTTATAAACTACCTAGTCTCAGGTTTTTCTTTCTTTCTTTCTTTCTTTCTTTCTTTCTTTCTTTCTTTCTTTCTTTCTTTCTTCTTTCTTTCTTTCTTTCCTTTCTTTCTTTCCTTTCTTTCTTTCCTTCCTTCCTTCCTTCCTTCCTTCCTTCCTTCCTTCCTTCCTTTCCATTTTTTCTTCTTTCTTTCTTTCTTTCCTTCTTTCTTTTTTCCTTTCCTTTCCTTTCCTTTCCTTTCCTTTCTTTTCTTTTCTTTCTTTTCTTTTTTTTTGAGACGGAGTCTCACTCTGTCACCGAGGCTGGATTTCAGTGGTGCAATCTCAGATCACTGCAACCTCTACCTCCCAGGTTTAAGCGATTCTCATGCTTCAGCCTCCTGAATAGCTGGGACTACAGGCATGTGCCACCATGCCCAGCTAATTTTTGTATTTTTAGTAGAGGCATGGCTTCATCATGTTGGCCAGGCTGGTCTCAAACTCCTGACCTCTGGTGATCCACCTGCCTTGGCCTTCCAAAGTTCTGTGATTACAAGTGTGAGCCACCATGCCTGTCCTGTTTCTTCTTTTTAAATTTTTTTTTAATGTCCATAGGTTTTGGGGAACAGGTGGTGTTTGGTTACTTGAGTAAATTCTTTAGTGATGATTTCTGAGATTTTGGTGCACCCATCTCCTGAGCAGTATTCACTGAACACAATCTGTAATCTTTTATCCGTCACCCCCTTCCCACCCTTTCCCCTGAGTCCCCAAAGTCCTTTGTGTCATTCTTATGTCTTTGCATCCTCATAGCTTAGCCCCCACTTATGAGTGAGAACATATGATGTTTGGTTTTCCATTCTTGAGTTACTTCACGTAGAATAATAGTCTCCAATCCCATCCAGGTTGCTGCAAATGCCATTAATTCATTCCTTTTTATGGCTGAGTAGTATTCCATTATAGATATATGTGTGTGTATATATATACACACACACACATATATACACACACACACCAATATATGGTATATACGGTGTGCGTGTATGTGTGTATATATATATACACACACCTATATATGGTATATATGGTATATATGTATACTAATTATATATTTTATATATGTATGTATGTATGTATGTATGTATATATACCAATTTCTTTATCCACTCCTTGATTGATGGGCATTTGGATTGGTTCCACATTTTTACAATTGAGAATTGCACTGCAATAAACATGCATGAGCAAGTATCTTTTTTGTACAATGACTTCCTTTCCTCTGGGTAGATACCCAGTAGTGGGATTGCTGGATCAAAAAAAAAAAAAAAAAAAAAGTAGGCACATAGACCAGTGGAACAGAATAGAGAATCCAGAAATAAACCCAAATACTTACAGCCATCCTGGGATAACTGGCAAGTCACATGTAGGAGAATGAAACTGGATCCTCATCTCTCACCTTATACAAGAATCAACTCAAGATGGATCAAATACTTAAATCTAAGGCCTGAGACTATAAAAATTCTAGAAGATAACATGAGATATTTCTTTATACAAATGCAAGAACAGACTAATACAACCTCCTCGCCCCAACTCTCAGATCCTTTCATGGACAAGGCAGGAAGGTTGAAGGAGGCCCAGGAAGGTGGAGGTGTTTGCCTTCTGCTGAGGGTGGGGCTTGTCAGCACCAGGGCCCAGGGCCCCAGGTGGTCTTTCCTAGAAACCTCTCACCTTGCCTCATTGTCTAGCTGTTCTGAGGTAACAGTGGCCGTATGCCTAGTAGGTGTGCCCAGCAAAGTGACCCCTCCCTCCTCTAAAGGGAGCCCAGATGCCTCTCCACTGCACACTGATTCCCTTGTTCGCTTTTCACGTTGGACCAGGCCTGCAAGGTGTCAGGCTGCACTGGCAATGAGCATACAGTGGAGGGCTCCAGGCACCTGCTCCCAAGGAGCTTATACTTTAGACTGTGGTCAGAGAGGGGCTGGGTTCCAATCCTACCTTCACCAGAAGTCCTTTAGTTTCAATGGACATTACCCATCTTGAACTGGCTCAAGAAAAGGGGCAATTTCTTAGCAATCATGGTTGGTTTTCCTGACTTAGAAAGCAAGGCAGAAGCTCCCTTCAGGTGTAGTTGGATCCAGAGCTTTGTCTCTTGATAAATAATCAATAAATAAAGACTTTTTCTGTTCCCGTTCTAATTTCAGATGGGCAGGCTAAGTGTCTTTTGTCCTAGGATGCTACTAAACATTCCACAAGGTCAATAATAACTCTCCAACAACCTGCCTGTTTTCCTCTGAGCCCTTGGACCTCACATCTAGACAGGCATAAGGTCTGACTCCCCAAGTTTGCAATGTCCTTGTCCATGTGCTGCTTTAAGACAGCATGGCGCGGCCGGCCACCTCCCCAGAATGGGGCATGGGTCCCACTGGCCCTCCTTGCCACGTCACTTCAGCCAAATGTCCATTTTATATTAAGGTGCCAGTTTCTGTTGTAACCAAGACGTATTTAGCAATGCAAAAACTCAACATATCAGCTCCATGACTGGAAGTACATGCTGCAGGCATGGCTGGGTCTAGAAGCTCCCAAGATGTCACTGGGGCTCTGTTTCTTTCTGTGTCTTTACCCTGTTTACCCTTGGTATGTTACCTTTCTTCTCTCCTTTTCCTAACAGGTTTCCTCCATGTGGCAGGGAAATATGGCTTTGAGGCATAGGGTCAGGGCCAGGACTAGGGAGAGGTGAGTGAGGCACCTCAGGCCAAATTCAAGGAGGTTCTGGCTCTCAGGGCTGTGCAGGACTAAGTACCTGCTGCGTTTCATGACCCTTGCCCCAGCACCCTTCCCCGAGGCCCAGCTCTGCACAGAATTCAGGAACCATCAGCTCAGCAATCCCAGCAGAAAGAGCTTCCTTCTCTCACAGTTTTCATAGGTTGCAAATCAATTCCAGCAACAGTGATTGATTGGCCCTGCTTGGGCACATGGTCTCATTTTGAACCAACCCCTGTTGCTGGGGATGGAGCACTCAATTGACCAGAGCTGAATCACCTGCATCCCTGGAGCCTGGGATAGCCAGGCAATCTGATCCATGATCCCCTGGAGAATCAAATGGAATGGGGGAGAAGCAGCACCCCAAAACACAAAAGCAACAAATGGCTCCTGTACTTCCACTCAAGCAAATAAGCCCCTAATTAGACACTATTTGTTATAATTTTGTACTGTTGTGTATTTTTTAGGCTTGCCTCTTCAGTCATATTCCAAAGTCTATGAGGATGAGAACAGTGCTTGATGTCCCCACATCACTGACCACAGTCTCTTACACGTAGTAGGTGCTCAGGAAACCTCTGCAGGGTAATGTGCTTCCACATTACAGTTGCTAATGATGTAGATTATTGCACTGCTTGATAGGAAACCCTGATGGTTCCTAGCCATCATTTGGTTACGTCAATCCATGCTAGAGATGATGCAGTGTAGAGAGAGGTATTTGGGGATTCCAAAATGCTGAGTTTCTCAGAGGATTATTTTCTATGGGTTATATGCATGTGCAGAATCAGAACCTCCTCCAGGAGCTGAGAGAACCTGATTCACTTTCTGGAAAGCCACAGCCTCTCATTGCAGCACTCTTGCTTGGAGAGCTAAGTGCCTAATGGGGGAAAATGCTGGATTCTATGTTGGTGTTCTGGGAACAGCTCAGCCCTGCCTCATAGACTCTGGAACACCTACTCTTTCCAGCCAACAAGAAAACTTGGGAAAGTCAGTGAGGGTCAGGAGCCAGGCACTGAGGCATAGACAACTGGGGAGATGTTCCTGCTTGCCTTCACTCATGCTGGGGCATTGCAAGGTTTCCTGTGTTCTGGGGGTGGGGAGAAGGCAAGCATTTCTTTCTAATGACATTAGGGTCAGAGCTTAACAAAGAGTAGATCCTATAGAAGGGAAGAAAGATCAGGAAACACCATCTCTGGGCTGTTTTGGCAGATGCAAATTGGTTCTGCCTTTTATACGTCAAATTGGGGAAGAATTGTTCTTTGGGGAAAGATTGGAATCAGAAAGGAGAGATCTCCTTCCCTGGCACCAAAGGGTGTGAGCACCTGATGGGCAGAGAGCCCCTGCAATATGCAAACTGGCTTGCAGAGGCCCTCCTATTAAAATGCCAAACAGTCAAGAAGCAGTGTCCTTCTGACAGCTTCTCAGAATAAACAGGGTGGCAGTTTGCATTTGAGATGTGCAGACGTGCTAGAGTTGGCTCTCAATTTGGCAGAAGCAGAGTTAAAGGGGCACCCTCTAACACTAAGGGACTTATTACAGAAAGCAGTCAGCATTGCAAAGCAAGAGAGAGTCTGAAGTTAAGAGAGGGCTTCACGACTGATGGACTATTTCATATTCGCATTCCTGAGTGGAGGAGGGAAGGAAGGATGGAGAGATGCCAATATCAATCAATATCATTATCTTAGACTTTTGTTCATCTTAAAAATTCAGCTCAAATGCACCCTCTTACTTTTCAATTGTTTTAAAATGGAGTGAAGTTTTCATTTGCTCTAACTTTTTCATTTACAGTTTCTGCACGCAATGGAGTGTCTCTCTTCTGTAGATGAGGCTTCCTTAAACCATATTCATTGGCACAGTAGCTCCCTGGGTGTTACAAGTGTTCTTTTGCAAAGAGGTTCCTTGGGCTAAAACGTCCAAGAAAAGCGGGTTGAACGAAGCAAAGCAAGTGTCCCCCCTGCAGGACTTTAATATATCAGTACTCACCATGAGGCTCTAAGAGGGGAGGTTTAATGAGGAATCCAGGCTTCCTACTGGTGTATTCCACTCAGAACTCCTTTTCCCACAAAATATCTCATGCGAGTCGGCAAAACGTTTTAGACGTTTCAAACCAGACAACTAAGATGCCACATCTGAGATGTACCCTGGGGACCTCGGAGCACAGAGACCTATGTTAAATGATGAATTAAGATGGACTCAAATATGAGATCCCGCTAGACTCAAATGTGAGGAGGCTGGAGAATGGCGGGTAAAAAGCAAGCACTGAGTCACCCAGACAGTGAGCTGTAAGAATGCAGACCCAGTCAGGGGCTGTGTTAGCCAAATGTCCCCTCAAGCCACGCTGCGGGGACTTGCTCCCTTGTCCAATGATTGAGCAGAGACCTCGCCCCACAAGAAACCTATCGTCTGCCCCCTTCCCTCCAAGCCACTGGTGGTCAAAAGAGAATAGCCAGCAAACACATGCTAACCACTGCTCCATTCCCTGTATTGAATCATTTCATTTCTGCTTTTTTTGTGTGTGTATGTGTGATCATTCCTCCACCTACTGTAGGTCAAAGGCTTTTTATTTTCAGGAGTCTCTAGACTGTAATCTCACAAATGGCACTGGGAGTCTAAATAAGGCTATCTGCCTGAAATGGTGAGTTCCTCAGAGGTGGACCCATGTCAGGTTGCTGCACACTCAAATACAGATACTCACTGAATACTTCAAATAAGAACTACGATTTTTTTTTTGCTAGCAACATCCCAGATTCAACCTATCTTTTTTTCTGGCCTCAACATTTTATTTTATGAAAGTTTCTTTCATAATACACAATAAAGAAAATACATATATATACACATATGCACATATATATTTACATATATAATGTAAAAAGGTACATATAACCTTGGTTTGGTTTCCAAGAAGGAAGGAGGAGGCAGAGACGGCGGATGGGTCAGGTATTCAAATTTAATGATGCTTCTGCTTTGAAATGTTAAAGCATTGCTTGGTTGGGATCTAATGAATACAGGTTAAAGTATCATCTGAAGGACCGTCAACGGCTTGTAAATAAAACCATTTAGGAGTTGGTATCAGTCAGGGTTCAACAAGAGAAGTAGAACTAGTAGAAGAGTATATCTCGATATCTATCTATCTATCTATCTATCTATTTATCTTTCTATCTATTGTTCTGTCTATCTATCATCTATCTATATCTATCTATCTATTTACCTATCTATCTATATATCTGGAGACATTGATGACAAGAAATGGGCTCATTCTGTTGTAGGGGCTTCCCAAGCAAGTTCTAAACCCATAGGGCAGGCAGTCCAGAAAGGAAGACGGTGTGGGGTGGAAACCCATGGGCACAGGCCAAGCTCTGCACCTCAGCGCGGCTTCTAAGGTCTTACAACTGATTCACTCAGTCCCACCCACTGTACAGGGTACTATCTTATTAAAGTGGACAAATCAAGGATTTAATTATATCTGTAAAATACTTTCAGAGCAACACCTGGCTCAGTGTTTAAGAACCGGGGCCTACAGCCTGACCAAGTTGCCATCCTAGAGTTCGGTTTTGTTTGTTGTTGTTGTTGTTGTTTGTTTTTGACAGGGTCTTGCTGTGTCACCCAGGCTGGAATACAGTAGCATGATCATGGCTCACTGCAGCCTCAACTTCCTGGGCTCAAGCGATCCTCCCACCTCAACCCTCAGAGTAGCTGGGACCACAGGTGCACACCACCGTGCCTGGCTAGCTTTCATATTTTTGGTAGAGACAGGGTTTTGCCACGTTGCCCAAGCTGGTCTCAAACTCCTGAGCTCGAGCAATTCACCCGCCTTGGCCTCCCAAAGTGCTGGGATTCTAGGCGTCAGCCACTGCACCCGAGCTGGAGTTCTTTATGAGTACAGACGACAGGGTTAGGTCAGAAGTGTCAGAGTGGGGATTTGGGCCCTGGTTTGATTTACTTTAAAATCGGGGTAAAAATCCTTGCTTTTTCTCCTTTGGGGGAAGTCAGAAGTATTCCCCGTCCTATATTCTTTGAATTTCATATATTTTGTTTTTTCTCTGTAGATGTAGCATCATCCAACTTCTGACAGTCTCTCTATCGGTAAGTTCATTCCGTTTTGGTCAAAAACAAATATCTAGCTTTCTTCCAACTGTCTGTAGCCCACTCTAAAGTCCAAGGACTCTGAAGTTGTGTTGTCTCCTGATTATAAGTAAAACTAAGCAGAAAGGGTGTTTACCCATTTACTCCTTTAAGTGGAATGCAGTAGACTGTGTCCTTTTTCTAACAATTGCTCCATATGTTGATTTTTAAAAAATTATGTAAGTTTTTTCCATTATCAGGGTCTACTTCTTGAATTCGACCTACTCTTGATTTTTAAAAAAGGGGATTGGGTATATCTTTTACTTTTGAGACTGAAACATTAATATGTGAGCTTGGCTCTGATTTGCTTGCAGTAGGAGAGAAAAGCATTTTGAGAAAACAGAAGCAGTTTGCATACACTATGTCCATGACGATTTGCAGCTGTGGGCGCAGCTCACCCAGTGCTCACGTAGTTAGCCTCGCTGGGCCGGGGTGGGTCTGTGATCGTGGTAGGATACTACCCAATGTTGGCTGTGACTTGATGGAGGTAAAGACTGGCCAGCACACTGTTGGTCCCCACGGAAATGCTATTTGGGCAGACTTTGCTTCTATAAAAGTCTTCCCTTCAAACACCCTGAGGGGGTGTGGACACCAGAAGGAGCCTGCCTGTGTCCAGCAGGGTCTCCGGTTTGGTCATTCAGGGGATAGTCATCGGGGGTCTGATGTGTGTTGGGCACAGGACTCAACTCTGGGGGAGGGGCGTGGACAGAGAGAAGCTGCCTGGGCCTCTTGAGACTAACGGACCAGCAGGGAAGGCAGACCCTTTAAGAATTTACAGCCACGAGTGCTGCATACCTTGGTGGACAGTCTCAGAAGCGCCGCGGAGGCCAGGAGCAGGCCCAGTAGCAGCTAAGCACGTCTGCAGGGTAAGTCTAGCCTGCATCTTTGTCGGGAATAGGATTTGTAGACCAGGCACTGCCCTCAAACCCGGACAAAAGGACCCTGTTCTGGGCCTTGCACTTTAGCAACTCCCCCTCCCCCTGCTGCTCCCCCGACCATCACAGCCCCACCGCTGGCTGGCTGGCAGCTGCTGAGGGAGGGGGGCGTGAGGGCTCCGCTGACAGTCCTGTCTTCAGCCCCATTTCCTCTGAGATACTCATGAAGGAAGGATGGCGGCCCTGCTCTCTCTCCTGAGCTCAGATGAGGAGAGCTGTTCTACAATCTCCCCACCATCCAATCCCTTCTAATCCCTTTCTTCAGAAAAGCATTTCGGAAGCACAGGTCATGAAAGGACAATAGTGTGCTTCCTGGCTGCACCCTCTGTGTTAGGTATCATTCTGCTGTAGCCCTTATCTCACCCTCTCCTTGTAGGAACTTTGGAGCAGGTTCTGTCCTGATCCCTGTTTTCCGGATGGAGAAACTGAGGCATCCAAAGGGCGACTTTCCCACTCTCAGGGAGCAGCAGCCATCCAGCCCTAAGCCTGGGTTCCCAGCATCCTATCACACTGCCTTCCACGCTGGAGGGATACTTCTGCAGATGGAACCTGGAATCTGCTCTAATTTCTCTTTTGTTGGTAAATCTTCATCAAATTATGACTGTTGTAGCAAAACAATGGTGAGCCTGGGTAGCCTCCGGGTTCCGGGATAGAGAGTGTCTCCTCTGCCCATGCATCGATCTCTGCCTCTGCCTCCATCCCAAACCCATCACTCTCCTGTGCAGGCAGATACCTTCGGGGACTGGCAGCGACCAATGAAAGGAACAGAGGATCCCGTGTGAGAGGATGCGTGATGAGGAGTTCTGAGGGAGTGAGCGGCTGGACGGAGCAACGCTGTGTGAAGGGCGGCCCTGCCCGTTTCCTTCCATCTGGGAACAGGAGCCCCTTGATACTGAATCTTATCATTCCCCCCAAAACCTGGACATACTGACTTTTATGTGAAATACCTTATTTTTAAAAATGTTGCCGATGAGTTAAAAACAGGTCCGGAGCTGGCACATGGAGGGTCTCTCTGGCCCAGGCTGCCCATCGGTGATGCTTGCCCTCACCTGCTTGTATCAGTCCTGCAAGAGGCCCCAGGTCTGCTCTAACCAGGCCAGAGGTGGCTGAAATGCACTGTGAGAAAGGACGTTCTGACTTTGACTCTGACCGGAAGGCCGGGGCCAGCAGTTCGTTTTCAGGTTGCCTTCTGCTTCCCGGCTTTACTGAGAAGGGGGAATGCAGATGTAAATGAAAAAGAAATGTGCTGGATGGACCGGAGGGAAATCAGCTCAGCTAAGTGCACGGCCCTGGGTAGCTGTGAGGTTGGGGCAGGTCATGGGAGATTCATATTTTTTCCAGGCCAGTTCTCCCATTCATAATGTAACATTTACAATTTTTTTTCTGCCCCAGTAGAACGGAAAGGAATCTAACCACAGGTTCTTTTCTAGCAGCATTGGCTCGGAGCTGCCTATCCACCTACCAAGAGACTCCCGTCTCACTCTCCACCTTGTGTGTTTTTTTTACTTCCTCCACGATACCTTCTTCTTTTTTTTTTTCTTCCTGGTCCCATTTCTCTCTTCTGTTATGAAAAAGCAATAGTAGCGGTGGGTTGCCTGTAAGATAAGTTTGTTTTGTTTTCAACCTTTTTATTATTTAACCCTCACCCACAGGGAGGTAAACTGATACCCTATCAAGGAAGAGACAGACAAACCCAGGAAACAGGCAGGGGGATTGTGCGGAAATTCCAGATCAGGATTTGCTTGGGCTAGAAGATTTAATTTGCCAGACTGCTGGGCCTGTCAAAAGTGTCTGCAGTAACCACTCGGGTGTTCATAAAGCCGAAACAGCAGAGGAGGAAAATGAAACCTTGGATCAATTTCTCTGTTTGGAGACCTTAACTTACGTTCAGTTGAGGAGAAAAAAAAAAAAAAAAAGGAAAGAGAGAATCCAACCAACCAACCGGAATTGTCATGGCAGATTAGCCTAGGAAACCGATGCATGGGTTTGTACATTCATAAGGAAATAGAGGGAGCCCGAAACTCTGTTCTGGTTCTTTAGAAAGAACCCAGAATTGTTCTCTTTTTACCTCCCAATGGCCCCGTCTGTAAATACATGCTTCTTCCCACAGGGACAAGATGAGGCCGGCCAATTGAAGAGGAAGGTAAGGATGCCGTGGGCAGGACAGCTGCAAGGTCAAGGGTCTGGGGCCCAGGGAGACCCCTGGTAAGAATGACTGTGTGTCCGTGACGGGGCTAAGACACGCTCATGGAAGTGCCTGGGCATCACTGCCTGCCTGCTGTGGCTCTTTCCCACACACTGGAACCCTGGCATCTGTGCTAAAGGAGCCCTCTCATCTGCCTGCCCACAGCATGCTCCATTGCTGTCCGCCATATAGGTGCCTAAAAATGCTTTCAAGAATTGAAAAGAAAGGGTTGGCATGGAGCAGTATCTAGAACAGATTTGCAGTTTCCTTGCCTTCAAAGGTAGTCACTTCAGTTTATGAATTGGAACAGATGAGCTATTAATTTATTTTCATTCATTGTGCTTCATTCAGAGTTTATGCAGAAATGGGATACTTGCATAGTCTTAAATATTGCCCTCCAAATATTTGATAATTACAAAGGGAAAAGTAGTAAGTTTACAGTGGAGAATCTTGGCATGCACTACACTAGCCTTAGTTCAAGGTTAACATCACAGAAATACATAGTGACATCACGGGCTCCTTCTAGGGTGCACTGGGAAGGCACATTACTTCAGGGGTATCCCCCTGAATAATCTAATCGCAAGTAAACAACAAACTCCCATTCTGATATTTTCTACAAAATAACTGACTAATATTCTTCCAAAGTGTCAAGGTCATGAAAGACAAGGGAAGACTGAGGAAGACTGCCCAAAATTGGAAGAGACCAAAAGGACACAAATGACCAAATACAATGTGGGGTCCCAGGATGGATCCTGGAATAGAAAAAGGACATTAGCAGGAAAACTGGGGATATTCAATTAAGTTCCATATTCTAGTTAACAGTATTGTGGCAAGAATAACTTCTTAGTTTTGATGAATGTGTGATGGCTCTTTAAGATGGTAACACAAGGGGAAGCTGGGTGAAGGGTAGTTGAATGCTTTATTATTTTTGCAAATTTTCTGTAGGTTTAGAATTCTCTGTCTCTCAAAAAAAAATTAACTGTTAGAAAAAAGTAGCATGTTCAGAGGTGTTCCCTGTATGATATCCAAGAATGTCTCATAACTTCTATCCACAAAGACACTTGACCTTTCTCTTTGACTCCTTATTCACATTTTAATCATGCACATGGAAGTCATCAGTGTGCCCCAAGGACACAGGACACTGGGCGCAGCTGAAATGTCATAAATAAATTACCAAATATATATGCTAAGAGGACCATTTCCTTTTCCCATGGTTCAAGGAACTGTCTGCATCTCATTCACTGTAAATGCTCTATGGTGTCCTTAGGGAAGGTGGAGGTCAGAATGGCTGGTGGAGATTGACTGTTCATGTAGGTCACTGCTATGGTTCATCAAGAGGGATGTGAGGGATGGACATTCACCATTCTGTGGTTGACAGTTCTGGTCTGGTTGCAAAGAACAGAAGTGTGTCCAAGTAAGCTCAGCATTCTGTTGTACAGACATAAAAGGCAATCTTAAAGACAAAGACATCGGCCCTGTAGCTGTGTGGCTGGGTTTTAAAAGTTGAGACATAGTTTCATTAATGGGCTAAGAGTTTATGGCTATGTCAGTTACTTTATTGTGTGAAGGATTTCATGTTACTTTTTTGTTTTGTTTTGTATTTTTGTGGAGAGGTTTCTGATTGGGAGAAAATACGAACTCCTTGCTCTGCAAAAAAGGGAGTACATCAGTCAGCTATTGCCACACCGATGCTGTGTAACAAATGACTCCATAGATAAATGGCTTATAAGAAGCCCTGATTTTCTTCACTCATGTGTCTGCAGGTCAATGCAATTCAGCTGATTGAGGCTGAGTTCAGCTCCAGGCTGTGAGTTCAGTCCACGTCTGATGCATGTGCCCATGTCTGATGCATTCAGTCTACGTCTGATGCACATCTGATGCATGATTTGGGGTCCACCAGATAATATGGACAAGGAGGCTTAGTTTAGATAACCCATGATAGCTCTGCTTTTTATCTATTCAGTTTGCTTTGCTGTCTGTTTTTGTTGTTGTTGTTGTTGTTGTTTGTTTGTTTGTTTTTTATGGTAACTGCACCTTGTTTTGTGTTTGCGGAAATGACCCCTGCCCACTCCACATAGTCCTGGTGGACTTTGTCAACCAGGATGCTGCTTCTTGCTTGGCCACAGAAGCGGGTCTTCTGACCAGACACGAGCAATTGCAGGACTCTTTTCCCCTGGCCAGAGTCAGTATCTCAAGAAGGGCACACTGAAGAGGTTAGGCAAACCGACATCCTCTATGGAAAGTGAATGAAAACATTGGCTCTCTCTCTGGTAACTGCCATGCTGGAAGCCACATGTTTGACATGATGGTTCATTTTCCTAGCCATGGTGAATAATTCAACTGTAATAGGACAGGGTGAGGTGAACAAGGGGGAGAGAGCTAGCTACTGCATAACCTCATTGAGCTATTCAATCTACCTTAGACTAAAAGTTCCTGGGCCTGATGTTCCAAATTCTAAGCTAACATAATTGCTTCTTGTAGGAAAAAGTTTTACTTTTCTTTTTTTTTTTTTGACACATTTAATCCAAATTAAACAACACAGCCATGGTAGAAGGAGCAGGAAGTGGCCTCCTCAGCAATGTGTCTTTTTGTTTATTTTTAGAGACAGGATCTCACTGTGTTGCCCAGGCTGGAGTACAGTGGCACCATCATAGCTCACTGCAGCTTTGAACTCCTGAGCTCACTTGATCCTTCGATCCCTCTGCCTCAGCCTCCCCAGTCCCTGGGATTACAAACATGTGCCACTATGTCTGGCTATTTTTTGGTGTTTTTTTTTTTTTTGTAGAGATGGAGTCTCACTATGTGGCCCAGGCTATATCCTCGGCTCAAGTGATCCTCCTACTTTGGTCCCCCAAAGCCCTGAAATTATAGGTATGAGTCACTGCACCTGGCCAATAATGAATCTTTTCAAAACACATTTATTGAGAGATAATTTATGTCTTATAGAATTCACCCATTTACACTGGACAATTAAGTAATATTGAGTAAATTCATATAGTTGTGCAACGACCACCATTATCTTAGCTGAGACTGTTTTAGTATTGCACCATTTAACTGTCTCATGCTTCAGGGAGGACAGTTGGCCTCACTTGTCACTTTTCACACTCTTAGCTCTGGCTGTCTCCTTGCAAGGCCTCGTTTAGCTTGCACCAAAGACTCTGAACCTGGGCTCAACCTGCTGTGTCTATAACTAATTGTGCCAATGAGCTCCCTCTTCTCAGAAGATTATGTTGTCCTGCCTGAAGATTCCTATTATGCATCAATCCAGAAAAGAAAAAAAAAATTAAACATTGGAATCCTTATTTGAGAAGGAAAATAAACTTCTCTTTTGGGTTGAAATTCCTCCATTGGAATGTGGTCATATGTGGTTTGAATCTGAAGCCATTCTTCACTGCATTATTTGGGTTTATTGCATAACTTCTAGTAAGCTATGCTGGAGAACTTGGCTGAACATTAATTTGAACTATTTTAAGTTTCTGGCAGACTTTTGGACTAAGATATAGCATGGCTTTGGAGTCTACCTCCTTAACTAGAAAATACATACAGGCTATGTGGCCCCTTTCAAATGCCCTTACATGGGTGATCCTTGGAAGGGGCACCCTGAGAACAGGTGAATGTTAGGGGGGAAGCTGGAACTTCTACCAGGAATCAAAGACCCCCTTTCTGTGTCTCAAGAGCCAGAATATCTGCATCTTTGGGATTCACTGTCTCCTTTATTTTTTTACTGACTTCCTCTGCTCACACACGGCACTCATGACTATGATATCTCAAATCACATGGATGAAAGCCCGAAGCTCACCACCAGGTAATGCTGTCTCTGCATCTTTGGGTTGCAATTCTGGAGATGAGTGGGTAGTGGTGTCTAGTGCCCCACTGGTCCAGGGCCGGATGTGGTTAGTGTGGCTGCTCCTCCAGCAGGGCTGTTCTTGGGCCAGTTCTCAGAGAAGGGGCTTGTTGGTAAGCCAGCTCCTCCAAAATGGGCACTCCCCTGACCTCATGGAGCCAAGAAGACAGACCGCTGGAGTGTAGGTATGGTCCAAATCAAAGATGATAAAAAGAGAAGAAAAAATAGAAGAACATCTGCTAAGCTGGAAATAATTTAAGTCAGAGATCTCCTAGCTTTGCAAAGTCACAGAACTTTCTTATGATAGGCTAATTCTAGAAACTTCTTCCCACTCACTCCCTAAAAATTTAAAATTAGAATTAGCTTTCTCTCGTAAGTTTCAGAAGACTTCCCCAAATGCATAGTATTTCCAGTAACATCCAAAGGTATGCCTCCCCATCCCCACACCTTGAATGTGAGAATATCAAAATGCATGTTTTTTGTTTGTTTGTTTGTTTTACTCTCCTAAAGCCCCTTTTTAAGCACGTGCAAAACCCAGTAGCCAAGAGTCTAAGATCCAGTCAGAGTCTGAGCCAACACCCTCTGGTTGGCAAGAGCATGTGGTTAAATATTCAGGAATTTAGCAAGTCAGCTATTAAATCATTGGTAGCTTTCAGTCAGCCATGGCGGGACTATTTACACCACAGAAATTGGCAAATGCTAAAAAGTCCATTCCTTTACCTTTTTTTTTGTTCCAGAGAGCTGGCTTACCAGAATATACCTGATTCAAATCTGGTTTCAGCTACCTACAAGTTGTCTGCCTGTGGGTTTGTTATTTAATATCCCAGTGCCTTAGTTTCCTCATCTGTAAAACGGGGACAATGACAGTATCTATCTCATGGAGGGTTTCCCTGAGACCTGCAAGAGGTAAAGTGTATGTAAAGCTCTTGGAACATCGCACTGGTTACCATATAACTAAAAGAACAATTGTATCTATCTTACAGGGAATTTCTGTGAGACCTTCACGAGGTGAGGCAGAGACAAAACTTTTAGAACCTGCTCAGTCAACACTGGTGACTGTACAGCAGAGCCCTAGCCAAGACAAAGGACCCCTGCTCTACCCACTCAGGACAGCCCAAGAAAACGCCTTCTGCAGAGAAGCAATTGCAGCAATTCAGACACAGTCATCTCATCAGGAAATGTCATTAGGTTGGCATTAGGGACACAAGAAACAACAGCCTAATTTAAAAAGAAAAGCTTTCAGGAAAATAGATTTTCTGCCTCCTTGCTTCCAGAAAACTCTCCCCAAACCACGGAGGCATTTATAATTATAGCAACAATAAATGAACAAGGGCAGAGACTGAAGTCATTAAGGAATCACAGGCAGAAATGCTGCCTTCAAGGATGGCAGCAATTTTTTTTCTCACAATGGTCTTAAAAAATAACCTTTCATGCTTGTGGTTGGCATGTGCAGGAGGGCAGATTCTTAGCATGGAGTCCCCTCAATCTTCCTGGCAAGATGATCTGTGCCTTGGGTTGGAGGAGGGGTCAAGGAATTCCAGCACGGTCCAGCCCTCATTCTCTCCTGCTTTTGAGGAACAAGGCTTCCAGGTGTCCAAGCTCAGGTGGCACTCTTAGCACCAGAGAGATGATGAGAGCAAGGTGAGCCGGAGGTTGCCTTAGCGGGAGTCCCACGCCTGAAAGCCTAACCCTTGTTCCTTGGCCGGACTCAAGGCCCATCCTCATAACATGCTGTGTTTGCATCCTGACTGGACGGTTTAGAACTGCTTACTGCCTTTGAGCTTGAAACCTCTCCTCTCTGCATTGCAGACAAGGACACCTGTCCTTCAATCCACGGTGTCACTAAATGAGGCCTGGCAGCTACTGGATGCTCACACAATTTCACGTATCTTCCCTTCATTTTTTTTTTCCTTTTTAACTTCCCTTCCTGCCCAGCCTGTGAGCGATCACAGAACTCATGAGAAATACATGGCACTGTTTTCCCGCCCTCTGCTTCTCAGTCTCTGGTTTGCTCAGTAACACACGTCTGCCAGGGGTGCCACGCGGCTCACTGCTCACTGCCAGGGACCGATGCTGAGCTCGTCGACCAGCTTCCTTTGATTCCTTCTTCGATGAGATGCACTTCTTTGGTGGAGGCAGGGAATAAGCTAATAAAGAAATTACAAATTCTGATAAGTGCTTGAGGAAAGCAAACGAGATGCTGAGAATCTCACTCCATCTCAGTAGCAGGAGGCGCAGGGCTGCTGCTCTGTGGATGCTGCGCAGAAAAGACCACACGAGAGGGTGACTTTAAGCTGAGACTTGCTAGGTGACAGTCAGGCAGCTCCGAGGGAGCAAGATCCAGGAGAAACACAAACCCATACACACACATACACACTTCCACACACACATACTCACATGCACATATCCACACACACGCATGCACACACACTTGCACACATACACATACAACACACACTCTCAACACACATACACCCCCCACACACTCACATACCCACACACACACACACACACGTGTACTCATACTCGCACACATACACACACACCTACATTCACATATACTCACACAGATACACACACAAGTACACATACACATACATTCACACGTATACACTCACACTCATACAAGACACTCGTATACACACTACACACACGTAGAAACACAAACACATTTGCAGACGTACACACTCGTGCACACACTTGCACACATACTCGCACATATACACGCATGCACACACATACACTCACATCACATATACATACACACACACACATACACATACACATACACGCACGCACCTAAACACACACGTGTACTCACAGACACATGAACATACACACACACGAACACATACACATGCATACTTACACACCCACACATGTTGTGCCGGGGGCCCAGCAAGAGGCAGGACACTATGGAATCCTAATCAAACATAAGAAACCAAAAGTACCACTGAATTCTTGACAACGGCTATGCGTTTCTTAGAGTAGCACCAGCTCTCCTTTTTATTCCCTAAAGTTTTCAAAAATAAAACAAAGCCACAAAGGCAAAGGCCTTGGAAAGGGGCGTATTTGAGGACCGGAAGGGCCGCGTGGCTGTGGGAGTAAAAAAGGAAGTTGCGGTGAGCAGTTTCTATCAGGCAGGGCTCATGGACCACGTTATGGGTTTGGATTTTATTCCAAGAGTCTTCTTGGCATCCGTGGTGGTCAGAATAATCTCCCTCCGCCTCCCGCCATGGCTAACCATATCCAATCCCAGAACCCGTGGCTGTGTGACTTTCCACAGCAAAGGGGAAGGCAGGTTGCAAATGGAATTTAGGTTGCTGCCTGCCGGCCCTAAGAAAGGGACATTATCCTGGATTTCCCAGGCGGGCCGGGATTTCCCAGGCGGGCCGTGTCATCGCAGGTCCTCGAGAGTGGAAGAGGGAGGCAGGAGAGGGAGTCCAAGTGATGTGGGAGGCAGGAGAGGGAGGCCAAGTGATGTGGGAGGCAGGAGAGGGAGGCCAAGTGGTGTGGGAGGCAGGAGAGGGAGGCCAAGTGGTGTGGGAGGCAGGAGAGGGAGGCCAAGTGATGTGGGAGGCAGGAGAGGGAGGCCAAGTGATGTGGGAGGCAGGAGAGGGAGGCCAAGTGATGTGGCGTGAAAGGATGCGGCCCTTCACTGCAGATGACTTTGGAAACGAAGAAAGCGGCCACGAGCCTAGGAGCATGGAGGCCTCCAGAAGCTGGGAAAGGCAGGAAGTGGCTTCCACCCTGGAGCCTCCTGAAGAAACCAACCCTGAAATCCCCTTGATTTTAGCCCAGTGAGACCCACGTTGGACTTTGGCTTCTAAAACTACTAGGTAATAACATCGTACTGTCTAAACCACTGAGTCTGTGGTCACTTGTTACAGTCACAGGAGCAGATTGCAGCAGCCTACTCCCTGGGAAGGAAGGGGTCCACTCAACAGACTTCCCCAGGAATGTATCCTTGAGCTCAAGTTTTAAACCCTAGCACAGCATTTCTCAAACAGGCGTGGTTTGACCCTGCAGGGGGGAAGAGGAGGGGAGGAGAAAGAAGGGGCATTTGGCAATGTCTGGAGAGAGATTTGGCAATGGCATTTGGCAGGGGGCATTTGGCAATGTCTAGAGAGAAATTAGATTGTGACTGTGGGGGTGGTGCAGTGCCGGTATCTAGTGGATTGTGATCAGAAGTGCTGCTCACCATCCTGCAATGAATAGGACAGCCCTCACAACAGAGACCGTCTCGCCCTCCCCCACCAAATGTCAAGAGTGGTGAAGTTGAGAAACTTCGCGCAGAAAATGAAATTCTTTAGCCCAACTAAATGCACATGTTTTGAAAGGTAATTTTAAGGGTGAAAACATAGTACACTGTGAGTGGAATTTTATTTTCAGGTGCCTGATATTCCTATAATTTATCCTGACACCAGGTAATAAGGGGCTTGTTCTCTACCCTATTAGAAAATACTTCACAGGTCCTCTAATATGTCAGAAGGTACTGCCCCAAACACCAAGGGACTCACAGGAAATGGAGCAAATTCTCATGGTCCTGTTTTCTACTGATGTCTTCAGATCTTGCTTTTCTCTTTTTGCCTTACAGTGTCTTCTTCTACCTGCCCTCCACCAGAGGGTATTGGTTAATTCTTTGACACTGAGAAATTCAAATCTGACCCGTCTGACTTTTGATCCCTGGAATAAATGAAAGAAAAGACTTTGCAATGATCATGACGGTGAGTGGACACAGTTCTTTGTCATTGAACCCCAGGCAGAAAGCCACTGAGCTGAATGATACGTAGGAAAGTCCTTTGTAAATGGTCAAGCTCTAATTTTGCTGCCTACTCTGAGCTTGCTAGAGAATGCTACTGCTAGGGAGAACCCACATTCTTCAAAGGTTAGGCTATGCTTAAATCGATGAGCCGGGTGCATTTGCTAAACTGTAGGAATAACAACTATCCCTCTGTCTCCTCAGGGGCTTCCTCAGTATATTTTATTCAGAGCTGGCACAAGATGAATGGGCCCCAAGAATTTTATAAGAAGACCACATAGGATCTCAGATTGAGGAAGTCAATCTCAGATCAGAAAAAAAGATAAGTTCTCCAAGGGTTTGACAGAAGCCTCATTCAGTGCCAAGGTTCTGAGACTACCAGACAGATACACACACACACACACACACACACACACACACACACACACACACACAGAGAGAGAGAGAGAAAGATTCATGCAGACCCTTGTGTGTATCCACTGTGTGTATATAATACAGACCTTGTGTTTATCCACTGTCTGTATATAATATCTGTATATAATATTCCCATCAGGTCAATTTGCCATTTCATATACTATTTATTGACAAGTCATTCACTGTATACCACATTTTGTGTTTCATTATTCTGCACAAGGGTCCTGTAAGCTAAGGATGATCATTTTTCCTTTTTCAGGTAAGTAAACAGACTCAGTGCACACTGGTATTTACCTCCTGAGACCAGCAGAAACTCAAACACGAGTGTCTCCTCACTTCATTAGGCTGTGTTTTGGAGAATCCAGAAGTCCTAACTTAATAGAAAAAACTATTAAAAATAAAACTCTGTACCTAAAATATAAGGATTCTGGTTACAGCCAAGGATTTCCGGGTATCTTATCTTGACTTGCTGGAATCTTAACTTTTTCACCTTAACATGGTTATCATCTGACTGGACGTGGCTGCCTTTTGGTTATCTTAATCTGCCTCCCTTGCAGCTATGATTGTGTAGTCAGCAGCTTACTCTCTGTCTCTAAGACATGCCAGAATCGGTCAACAATCCTAGAAGTGGGGTGATGGCCAGTATAGATTATCGTATCAGTGCTTCCCAAAATATGTTCCAAAGAATGTGGAATGGTAAAAAGGGGGCTTGTTTGGGAATTCTCTCTTACTAGTGAAAGAAATTTGTGTGCCCACTCTGAATCCAGAGTGCCCTGTGCCACTATGTGATGGAGCTAGTTAGCTGAATTTGTAAAGTCATATGTTCCCCCAGGCATTACGTCTATGGGAGAGAATGGTCTTGGTGTATCTCCAGGATGCTGTGAAGTGCTGAAGCATGTGGCTGCCTGCTAACGGTACAATTTCATTTCCTACAATCCTTCTGAGTGTGGGAAGAACACTTGGAAAGCTCACAGTGTTCTGAGGGTCTTCCACCTCCTCCAGCAGCTTGATATTTTTGGTTGTGGTTGCAAGCCCGTTTGAAGTCCCCTCTGTCTGCAGAGCTCATTAGAAGTGAGAAACTGCTTCTAAACTAGCAAATGACAAATTTTCTTCACTTACACAGGTGCCAAAGGAACAGGTCATTATGAGTTGCTCCTGTTTAGATTAATCACAGTAAACACCCATTCCTGCGTTGACCCATCACTTATCAACAACAGCTAAATGAGGCATTATTTAATCATGGAACCCTGAGCACCAGCCACCCTCTCTGTCCACAGAAACATGACTATCTGGTTCTTTAGCAAATATCTGAAGATTTCAGCTGCCAGCAGATATTGATCAATTTCGGAGCTCCTTCCCAAAATCAATACCTGCACACAGCCAGGACTCAAGGCTCTGGGAAAGAGGGAGTTGATGATCTGAACCTCCTTTTAACAGTCAGGTTGCCAGAGACCTGGGTGTCCAGGCTGAGGGATGTGCCCACCTGACTGCCTTCACAGCTTGTCTTCCAAGGTGCTGTCTGCTTGAGGAAGTCAGAGCTGCTCCTAGAGGATATACATTTATGAACAAAAGAAAAATGTCTATTGGGCCCCAAACTACATCTTCATCCTTCTTATCACCTAAGCGATTTTAAGTTGATGATGTTTAATGAGATCCACGTCGTTCAGATAGACTTCAAGCTGTGACCCAGCAAGGCAACACCAATTTAGCCTTACTAAACACACCTCCCGATTTTTTTTAAAGTACTTCACGCCACATAAATTAGACTGCCATTGAGATAATTGGAATCTTGTGGCTGTTAATTTTTCACAGATCCACTATTTTGAAAATAAATCATGAACCATCATCTTTGAATGTTAAAGTTAATTTACACTGAACACACTTTTCTACTTCAAAGCATTCATAGGTGGATATCTTCAACAGATAATTGACAGAGATGGAACCTCCCTTCACTGCCGTCACAGCCACAAACCTAAAATACCCACGTCAATCCAAAGCAGCCAGAATCCTTTTGGCTTTTTGTCGATCATCTTTTCTGAACTGGAACTGTCCAAATAGTCATCTAAAATAATTGATCAAAACTGTTGTTCCAAAAAGGATTACTTTTTGGCGGGGGAGGCATTGCAAGAGTACGTTCTGCATTTGCACAGAGGCTATGTGAATTTTCAATAGACAGAATATCTCAAGGACCATTCAATACAAATGAATAGGCTTCTCTGATATATAAAGAACTCAATTACATGTTTCAATAAAGAACGTAAGTGTGCTTTTCTTTTTCAAAAAGACCTCCTTTTTTGCCTGTAGGTAGCGTAAACATCAGCACAAAGCAAATAGCTGAACTGCACTCCTGTATCGCACTTGATTTTAAAATACCAATGTTCTCCCTCCCAGAGTTGCTCCATGCCCTGAAATGTCAAATAGAAAATATCAAAATTACTGGTAATTCTAAATGGCCGACTAACCAGGTGTATGTCTTGATACTAAAATAAAACAATGTATTGGATGTCAAAAACACATTAGCTAAAATTCATTTCCTCCGCTTCCCACAATTGCACCACCTCCATCATTTTTCATCAGGCAGAAGGTATAGAGAGACATCCGATAAATAAAGCATAAATGCATTCTGCAATTACAAAATGTTAAATAAAACACTACACATTGTAAGGCAAAGGGAAGGAGGTGTGGAGAGGAAGCAGAAGAACAAAGTTGAACTTATCGGGGTTCTCCCAAAGCTTCCTGACATCGTCCCTATTGAAATTAAACTTCCTTAGAGGGGCTCTTTGTAAGGCGTTTTAGTGACTGGAGTGGAAGATAAGCCAACATATTCTAAGTGAGCTCCAAAATGTCCAGTTGGAGGCAATGCTTTGCCTGTGTTTGCCTCTGATAAACCATAGGCCTCTGTGGGCTTCTGACTCATTGGCTTAAGGGGCATCAGCCAGGTGTCTAGCTGCAGCAGGGGTTGTTCGTTGGGAATGACATCACGTGGACCAGATGCCACATGTGGTGCAGTGCAGCTGCTATCAATCTGCACTATAGCAGAGCTTCTCAAATTTTAAAGAGCACACAAATCACCTGGAGATCTAAATAAAACATGCAGGTGACTTTAGCTGGTCTGGGTGGAGCCCAAGATTCTGTCTTCCTGAGGAGCTCCCTTGCCATAAGAATGCTGGTGGCCCCGGGGCCACCCTTTTGGCAGTGAAGCTCCATGGTAGGAAATATTTCTGAGTCTACAGAAAAACAAGACATCAGAGAGATGGGTTATCTCTTAGAGCATAAGTTTTTATCTGTGAGCTTGCCATACCCTTCATGAGATCTACAGTGAAAATCAGGCCATTATTAAAGCAGCAAAATTGAAAAAGCCATTTTTAAAGATACAATTGAAAGGAAAATGATGCCCATCGCCTGTATTTGATTCTTGATTGTAAAAGGAGGCAGATCGATAGACAGTGTCTCAAGAATGTGGTTCCTGGATAGGTTATTCATTGCAGCAAAGGTAAACTATGGAATGTGTATTCCACACTGAATTGTCTGGGGCTTTGACAAAATGTGATCATATTCAAGTCATCCTTTCACATGGACAGTAGCTCTCGGCAGTGAAAGGACTGAAGTGGGCTCCTTCTTGCCTCTCCATTTTATTGTTATGATGATGATTTGCCCCATTTCTTTTGTCTTCTCCCCATGAGACTGACTTAGCAATATGAAACCACAAATTACAAATGGTACCAAGAAATGATAGCAAGGATTGGTTGAGTATTGCTGGAGAGTGGCATGGAATCTGGTCGGCTCGGTTGCCTCCTGCCCGCAGATGGTGGTTACCCATGGGGTGGGACGAAGTGGAATTGGCTGGATCCTATGGGGTTCTTCCATAGGTTGTCATCAGTCTCCACTTTCTTTTCTTGGTTCCCTGTCTTAGCTGCCTTATTGAACCCCTGTTGAGGATCAACATGGATGCCTGACCTGGAAGCCTGGTACCCAACGAGGGGAAGGACACATCCATTACTGCCTCTTGGCTGCTAACCAGTCTTCCCTGTGTGGAATTTAATGGCAGAATTCAAATCATTACTCTTCCTTACTTTTTCCCTGAAGATGTCCCTTCTCCAAGATCTCCCCATGCCTGACCCTCGCTAGACCTTTAGTTAAAAGGCAAGCTTGCTTTCAATGATGGGGACTTGCTGGCTTTTCCACTACCATGGATCAAATTTGCTTTTCAAACGCCACCGCTGATGGTCTTGATGTGTTTTCCTGTTGCTTGTGTCACTCAGCGGTGTCTAGTTCAGCCTGGAAACATTCCCTTTGACTCTCTGTGATGTTTTCAAAGGTAGGAACAAACCCCATCCTTTTTTATTCTAACCCGCCATAGTGGCAGGTTAAGCTGTGATCACTGGTGGGAGTGAAGATGAGAGGAAGAGAGGGTCCCCTGAACTTCTCATACTTACTTTCCCAGAGACCACATGAGATGCTCTGCAACCCAGAAGTGTAGCTCTGAGCCAATCCTCATTTAGGACCCGTGCTTGTGTAACGATATGTTGGTGGAGGTGGTTCTGATCATCAGATAGAAAGGACTCACACTGACCCTCAGAGGTGAGCATGCTGGGCTCCAGCAGTACACTTTGTTAGTCTGCTCAGTGG
The DNA here is from genome assembly GCF_000001405.40 of Homo sapiens. Classification (NCBI taxonomy): domain Eukaryota; kingdom Metazoa; phylum Chordata; class Mammalia; order Primates; family Hominidae; genus Homo; species Homo sapiens. The sequence goes on along the minus strand of NC_000020.11, from coordinate 60,643,050 downwards.
CCTTGGCCTCCCACTCCCCATGCCCAGCGAGAACCCCCCTGCCCGCCACACTGAGTGTCATAAGGAGCCCTTGACATCAGCCTGTAAACTCTTCAGTGTCATAGAAGGATGGTGGGGAAGCCAAGTGCTGCAGTGGAAGGAGAAGACTAGCCAGGGAAAGAAGCAGGCAGGAGGTGAGCCTTGTCCTACAGGCTGAGTTTGGAGCTGTCAGCCATCGCTCTTATGACGGATGAGAACAGCCACAGAGGGAGGCTGGCAAGGGGTCCTGGAGCAAGAGCAATGACTCAGAGAGGCCGCCAGCCCTGTCACTGCTGCATTCATGGACTGTTGTGATGTGTGGCCAGAATGAAGGAGCCGACAGGCTGACCAAGGGGCTGTGGGCATTGAGCCCAGGACCCACACAGAGAAACACTCCCTATTGCATAATCTCCCACCTGCCCAGGGGCTCCAACTGGTTCAGTTCTTAATGACCACATGGACTTGGAGCATAAGGATGCAGACACAGCCCCCTTTGTCGGGATATTCTTAATATTCCAGACAGCAGTGAATGTCTGTATTAAAAGTAGCCGGGGAACCTGAAGATCATTAGCAGAAGGCAGCACAATTTCTGGGGCAGGCAGTCATTGAAAATGTGGTTTGGAAACCAGGTATGCGTTTTCAGCTGTGAAATCCATGCTGAACTCGGTCCCCACAGCAGGCCGCCTCTCACGTTTTCTCCTCTTTCCCAAAAGTGCTCTGGACATGACTAATTCTCACTGCTCTGGTCTCTTTACTGACGTCATTCATTTGTTGCACACTTTGAGCCAGGAATCATCCTAAGCACTTTACAAATAGGTATGCATGTTAGTTCCATGTTGCAGGTGGGCTGACTTGCAGGAAGGCGCAAGAAGTTAGATAACTTCATAACCAAGATCGCAGAGCTGGAGAGGCATTCTGGATCCCTGAAGTCTGACTCACGCTCCCACACCCTGAACCATTTGCTAAGCCTGCTCAGTCCTTCTTTTAAGCCTCCAGATAGAAGGCAAATCCTAGAAAAGAGGTCCTGTAGAACACAGCACAGTTCTCACTGCTGTAGATGGAGAGTAATGGAAAATCCCCAAGCAGTATTGAAATCTATAGACAATGAGTTATTGACCAGGTAATCACAGTAACCACTCAACACAGGAGTAGAGATAGTAATTAGGTCTTGATTCCTTCTGAAGTCCAAGGAGAGAGAATAGTGAGAATGCAGAGACCAACATTTTAGGATATGCCTTGGTTTCTGCTGACCATCTCCAGGTGGGAAACCAGAGGGGTCTCCATTCTCAACATCCCTGTGGGCAACCGGCTCATTCCTTTTCTTTATAAAACTAGGTTGAGCCTTGGCCAACATAATGAAAATATCAGAAGCAATAAATACGTATTTTGTCAAGTGACTGATTAATGTGTTCTCATAATTGGATGCACAGTGAGGCTCAGCTGAAACAGTCACAGACGACTGTTAACCAGGCCCTAAGCTGCCACACAGGGAGCATATTGGGTTGCATTAAAATCTATTAGCATTAAAATCTATTCCATGAGATCAATATGACACCACTTCTTTCTTCTCTTACTTGGAGGTTTCGACCAGCAATTTCCAACATCACCTCATCATTGCCATAAGCTCTTACAGCCGAGAGAGCCATGAGCACACAGTGGGCACTCATATGTGTTTGCCAAATAAATTATGCTGATTATACTGTTCAAAATGATGCCTTATTGATTACTCCATCTTCCAGAAGCCAGGAGGGTGAACAGCTTATTAAGGGCAGCACAATATCTGGAGAAATTCCTGTCTCCCTCCAGGCCTGGTTTGCAAAGTTTCTGCCGCAAATAATACAGCTATTTAGACCAACAGCAAGTATGAAGAATGGCTTTTCCAAGCTCAAGGAAGTCAAAATTATTCATGCACGCCCTGTGGGTTCTCAGGTTGCTTCTAGGTCCTGCTCATGTTTCTAAATTAGATCCTGAGCAAACAGCATAAAGAAGTAGGGGGAATTGCCCATTCCTTAAGGCTCCCATCCAAGTTTCCCATCAAGAACCCTCCTCTGGCCCATGTTGACTCTGCTCACTTGTTGCCACTGCCCATGGGACCGACCCACAACATCGTTTCTGCCCCATGTGAGGGCCACACACGTTTGTGAGCTTTTGTCCCAGCTTGTCTGAAGGTTCATATACAATGAAAGCACACAGGCCAAACCCAACCCACCACTTGATTTCTTATTACCTGTGAGCTAAGAATGCTTTTTATACATTTTTTAAGACTTTATATTTTTAATATAGTTTTAATTTACAGAATAACTTGGCAGGTAGTACATAGAGTTCCACATATCTTTCCCTGCTACCCATGGGGCCTGACACACATGTTTTCCTATTACATCTTACACTAGTGTTGGACATTTTCTAAAACTAACAAACCAGCACTATACATCATTATGAACCAAAGTCCATACTTGACATCAGGGTTCACTCTTGGCACTGTACCTTCTATGGGTTTTGACAAACGTATGATGACATGTATTCACCATTACAGTGTCGAGGAAGGTACTTCCTTCCATCACTGCCCAAGTCCCCTGAGCTTCACTTATGCAATAAACCAAAAGTCCCCTAATATTTCATGGCATGTGAAAATTGTATCACGTTTACATTGCAATGTCCATAAATAGTTTTATTGGAACCCGGCACCTCTGTTAACATATTGTCAGTGGTGGCTTCCACTCTACAACAGCAGATTTGGGTACTTCCAACAGAGACCATGTGGCCTGCAAAAGCCAAAAACGTTTACTATCCGGCCCTTTGCAGGAAACGTTCCCTGACCCCTTGTCTAGACTGTCAGTTCTGGAAAGTCCAATTTGTCACCTCTCAGCATTTAGTGAGGGGATTTGATCATAGTCAGTTTCCTAATTTAAGATCCAAAACCTCCTCTTAGAAATGTTAACAATTGTTTCCATTGTCAGCTGTCTCCCAGAGTCCTAGAATCCCTTCTATCATTTTTCTGATGGGTCTTTATCCTTGATAGACGTCTTGATTTTTTCAAATAGTGAACCTTCGATAAGAGGTGAGCCTAGAGGATTAACTTTGCCCAGAGAAAAGACGGACCCTTGCCCAGCTTCTTGACAGCCAGCTCTGAGCCCTGGGCATGTAATGTTTGGTAAGAGTGTTGTTGTTTACTGGGGGACCTTGAGCCACATGGTAACAGCTCACCCTCCCTTCAGAGAGCCTGGAAACCAAAGGCTAAGTGACCAACCTCGGTAAGTACCTGAACCCCAAGGCTCAGGCGAGCTTCGCTGGTTGGTGACACTGACTAAGCGCTATCACACATCCTTGGCAGAGGAGTAGACACTGTCCATATGACTCCATCGGGAGGGACAAATGGAGCTCGCATCCGGAGTCCTCTGGACCCTGCCCTATGCTTGTCTTCTCCGGACTGATTTTAACCCGAGTCCCTTCATCCTGATAAACCATGACCATAAGCATGACAGCTCACATTCCATGAGTTTGTCTAGTGAATTATTCATCCTGATCGTGGTCTTGGGGACCACCCCATGTACTAAAGGTTGTTGTTTTGATTGTTGTGTTGTTGAAATGTGAAGTTAATCAGACATGAAGCAGCGTGCTCAGTGGCAGAGCATTCCAAAATCATCTCTACTGTGGGTGTCAAGGGGTAAGGTCCACTCAGGTCATACAAGTAGAGCCTCCTACTGCCACCTGTCTCTGCTGTCTATATCGTGAGAAAGAGAGTCTCTCTTCTTTCCTTAAATTAGTTTATTTTTGTCTTTGCTGTTTTGAAGTAGATATCATCACTTCCATTTTATTTCCTTTTTTTGTCTTTGAGACATGGTCTTGTTCAAGTATTTCACTGATGCTGGAGTGGACAGCGTGATCATAGCTCACTGCAACCTCAGCCTCTCAGTGTCAGGTGATTCTCCCACCTCAGCCTCCCAAGTAGCAGAGACTAAAGTCCCGCACCACTGCATCTGGCTAATTTTAGTATTTTCTGTAGAGATGAGGTTTTACTATGTTGCCCAGGAGTGGTCTCGAACTCCTGGGCTCAAGCAATCCACTTGCCTCAGCTTCTTAAAGTGATGGAATTATAAGTGTGAGTCACTGTCCCAGTCCATCACTTCCATTTTAAAGATGAGGAAACTGAAGCTAAGAGAAGCTAGACAGCCTGCCTTAATTTCAAGGTCAATAAATAGCAGAACCAGAAAAGCCCAGAGCTAAACAAGTGTGAAAGTCTTTGTTTGTTTGTTGGTTTGTTTTTTTCAACTACAGATTAACTTCCAAACTTCCAGGAGTCTCCTGGCTACAAACTAATTTTCAGTCTTTTTATTAAAGGCTTATTTTGACCAAGTGGGACCTAGGAGAAAAGTTTCGGAAAACATTTCGCAATTCCCATTTGATAAGATTTGTAAGAGTGAGATAAAAGTACAGGGCTTTCTGTTCTAATTAGAGCTGAATGTTAGAATGAATTGGTAGCAGGTCACTGTGACCCATAAAACTTGGCTCTTTATAGAAAACTTTTGCTGTTATTGTTTTCACTGAAAAGAATGTCTTTTTCTTTTAAAAACCTGGAAAATGCAAAAGAGAAGAAAGAAGGGAATGCTCACCCAGTGTCTGTGAGGCAGATGCAGTGGACCTCATGTTTTGTGCCTTTTCCCCACTGTATGGATGAGGGATAATTTATGATCAAATTATTTCATTTTGATAATCATTCATTAGCTGTGAGAGTTGCTCTCAGTCCTGACTGTGGAATAGAGTCAGAATCTCTGGGCATGGGTCAGCCCCCCAGAGGAATGCAGCACTGAGAACCATCCTTCTAGATTCAACTGTGCAGGGCATCCAGTTAGAATGCAGTTAGATGTGGGCTGCTTATCTAATAAGGTTCTTTTAAAGACGCTGATGTCCAAGTGATTCCTGCCTCAGCCTCCTCCTGAGTAGCTTGGATTGCAGGCATGTGCCACCACGCCCGGCTCATTTTGCATTTTTCAGTAGAGACGGGGTTTCACCATATTGGTCAGGCTGGTCTTGAACTCCTGACCTCAGGTGATCCACCTGCCTAGGCCTCCCAGTGTGCTGGGATTACAGGCGTGAGCCACTGCACCGGGCCAATACCTTGAATTCTTAAGTGTATCTCTTATTAAGGCTGAAGGCTACATTTTTGTAACACCAAGAAAGCATATCTGGGAGGTAAATTTCATGAGCATGTGTCACCCCCACACATGTGGGAGTGGGGTCCTTGGATTGCTCCCTCTGCTTCAGAACCTCTGCAATTGCTGCTCTATTTCCTTTGGGCAGGAGTGTGACAAAAGAACAAGCTGGGGCCATGCTGATTTGTATTTGTTTTTATGTAGCCATATTTTTCTCTTCCTAAAAATGATCTAGTATTTTGCATTTATCTTTATTTTATTATTTTAAATACTTTCCAAGATGTGTCTAAATCTGGTCGAAATCTGGTCCATTTTTTACTGGTTTTCTTTGAAATTTGGTGAACGCTTGCCGCCTGTGTTCTCAGATCTTTGTTACAGTTCCAGCAATTTTTCTATAATTATGTCATTGATGATTGATTCTATTTTGGTAGCTCTGATATTTTCCTTAGAAAATGTCTATAGTTCTTAACAAGGGTTTTCTTATCTATAATTATCCATTTATAATAGCATATCTTTAACTTTTTCATCAGTATTGTGTGAGGGCTTCTCAATTTTTCAACTTTTCTCTGTGCCTCTATAAATATTTTAGTGGAAACTTGGGAGATACTGATTTACGGCAGAATGCTGACCAGATTTTATCTGAAACCTCCATTGCTTGGCTTGATTTGGGGACTCAAGAGAGCCCTAAGGAATCCCAGCTTGACTTGCACCTTTAACAAATCATACTCTCCAAACGGCACTAACGACGCAGCTTTAACACTATCATAGAGAGGTTATTTCCCTTATGCTAAGTAAATGCAGCCTACTAATCATATGGCGTTTCACACTCATTCGTTCTATACATATTTATCAGTCACCTACAGACCAGGCAAGTATCTAGTTCTTGGGATAGAGAACAAAGGACAGAATCCCTGATCTCATGGAGCAGGCAAATGATAAACAAAATAAATAAGTTATAGGGGATGTTAAAATGTGCTCAGTACTTAGGAACAAAATAAAGAAAAAGGATCCAAGGGGCCGGGCAGGCAGAGGCGCAGCAGCCAGTGTGTGCAAATAACCGACTTTAGGAGGTGTAAGTTTGTGTTCTTGGTTCAGTTTTTAGTTACTGACTCTCAGGAACCAAGACCAACTGCCTGCTTGATTACACTGCCTGTACAACTTTGCCTTTCATGTCAAGTAATCATTTCAGAAATTTTCTAGTTTGAGACCTTGTCACATCAAGAACTTCGTGGCAAAGTGAATGACATTCTGAGCAATCGCTCCATCCCTGGATTGAGCAATTACCTTGAGGCTCTTCCCTTCCGACTTCCACTGCTATATCAATGAGCTTTCATGGGAATATACCTTTGCGTAATCTAAATAATGCAACAAAAGAACAAAGCAAAAATATCTGTCCCACCCATATCCTCTCTACAGGCAGCAAGAAGAATGTCTGCCATAGCACATCCCGGCTGCTCCCAAGCTCCCCTTTTCTCAATGTTGTGTGTCCCGAGAGTGGGTTGGGGAGTTTGACAAGCAGCGAACACCAAGGATGCTAAAGGATTCCAGAAAGGTCATTCGTTTTTCCTAGTGTCGGCGATCTGGGCAATATTGTTCATTTTTTTTCTGCCTGGGGAATATTAGCAGAATAATCCATCCACCCGAATGTCCACATTCTAATGCTGGGAACCTGAAATGTCACCATACATGGCCAAAGGGCCTTTGTACATATGAGAAAGTTAAGGATTTGGGGTACCCTGGGCTGTCTGGGTGGGCTCCATGTAATCACAGGAATCCTTATCAGGGGAAGAGGGAGTCAGAGTAGGAGATGTGAGGATGGAAGCAGAGGTGGGAGTGATGTAATTGCTACCTGTGAAGATGGAGGAAGGGGCCATGAGCCAAGGTGTGCAGGTGGCCTCTGGAAGCTGGGAAAGTCAAGGAAACAGATTTTCCCCTGGAACCTCCAGATGTCTAATCCCCAGAACGGTAAGAGATTGAATTCGTGTTGTTTTAAACCACCAAGAGGGTGGCAATTTGTTACAGAAGCCACAGGAGACTTCTGAACACTAGGAGCTCAGCTGTGTCAGGCAGGGGAGACTCGGAGCGTCCTTAGAAATGCAGACTGGGCACTGAGCGACATTTCCTGTGGTCCCTGAGCTCAGCTGAAGGCCTGCACCCCACACTCTGGGATTTGAGACTGCCTTGTCGTCTGCTGTAGCAGTGCCCTTTATTTCTGGGGCAGATCTCAATATTTGTGGGTTGACTCAGACAGATGTGGTTGGACAGAAGCACTGTGTTAAGAGAAGGATACTGGGGAAGAGCCTGTCTTCACATCCGACTTTATGCCAGGCTTGGCCTTTCAAAGGGCAGCTATGGAATTTCACACACTGCCTACCAGAGAACTCTGTCCGAGACAAGCCCAGAAGTTTCAGCTTCTTTAGCATCACAGGGGAGCCCCTCTGCCAGGGAATCTGCATTTTAGCCTGCTGCCCACACCCCTGGGGGATTCCAGCACATCTGAAGGCATAGGGATTGCTGCTCTGCAGCTGCTTTGCTGCGTGGCCGCGAGTCACTCCTGTGACCCTGGTGCTCACTCTATCCTGGTATAACATATATGTCACAAGGGAACCACCATTTCACATTTTCCTTGTTTTCTTTCTGAGCAGCTGAGAAAAGCAAAACCTGCCTGTTTGTATCTAAGCACTGAACCAGAAATTCACTGTGAGCCGTCAGACTCTCCGGCTACTGAATCAGAGCAAGGAGAGAGCACCTGAGGATGCTGCCCCCAGGAAAGACGGGAGTGGTGTGTCAACTGCAGAGCCACGTTGATTCCGTGGGAAGGCACCTTGTTCCCTGCATGGGCACCTTTCTTGCACGTCTGTTCTCCTCAGTCTCGGAGCTGGCTGCCTATGCGGAGATCACCTGTTAGAAAGTGGCAGTTCTGGGTATTATAAAATTGATCGTTTCAGTGAGTAAAAACTGTAGAGGTGGTGAACCCCTTGTCCAGATCCCGGTCCCCCTTGGGCGGAAACTTCCGGGGAGTCCAGACGCTATTGGCACTAACCTACCCTGTCTGCCTTCTCTCTTCCTTCTGCAGAGAAGACACTGAAAATCGCAGACGGGCACAACACCCTCCCATTCCTGACGACTATGATCAGATGTCCTTTCTTTCCAAGCAAAGAGATAACCTTTTGGGACAGGGGCGTAACACACCAGCTGTACTGTGAGGATTAAATCTTTGCGCTAGGAGAGTGATTTATGCTCCAATAAAGCCAAACAAAACCTAATTGGGTAGGGTGAGACCACCAAAAATTATGTTCACAATGAAAAACAGAACGAGAACTAATTACCCGGGTGCACTGTCCCATTTAGCTATAATTCTACAGTCAATTAGTATTCTGTTTAATTGTACAATTAATGAACATATAAGTTAAATTCATAGTTTATTTCTACCACTAAATTACCTATTTGAATTGCCTCTTTGGAAAAAAAATAAGAGACTCAATGCGCACATTATTAAATGAGTTGGTAATGTACATTCTGGGCATGCCTTAATTGTAAAACAATTACTCCACTATTATGGCTGGGATGTTGCTTGTGTTATTGGGAACTGAATAATTTAATTTTCTCTTATCAAATGAACAGGTAATAGTTTCACTGACTAACACACAATTCTCCTGGCAGTTTTCAAGACTTGCATGTGCAGGTCCTCATGCCATCCAAAGCACGGAAAGGCCCCGCATGAGAAACGGTGGTTTTGTTAGAACCTACGGGAGATACTGGCATGGGTGACTCCTGGCATGGATGGCTCCTGCTCTTGGTGGGGATGGTGAATGAGCTGGTAAAGCAAGGCCAGGCACTCCCCAGCCCTCGCTGGCTGGTGAGTACAGAATGAGAGACAGACGCCCCCGCAAAGCAATCTTCAGTGGTTTGCCTACTCCCCTTGGCTCCCTGGAAAGTTCCTGTTGAAGAATATCTGAAAATCCAGAGATGGGTGGGTGTTCATGTGTGCTCTTGGATGAGGTCCTGCCTCCAGGCACTGCCGCTGCACCATCGTTGTCCCCAATGTGCCTCTGCTGCCCACGTCCATGTTTGTGTGGACTGGTTCTCACCCAATCACTACGGCACTGAAACCCCTGACATTCGAGGTTCAGTGGTGTCCTCAAGTGTCTAAGTTGTTAGAAGGGGGGTGGCACCGTCCTGTGTGCTTCAGAGGGGTGCTGAAGCCCTGCAGAATTTAGTGAGGTGGCCAAGCTCAACAGTCCTGCCATGGCCCCTCCTCTTCTGACTCCCCAGCCCATGCCCTGCTGGCCTCTGGGCACACACAGTGCCTTTCCTCTGGTTCTTCTACCAGGTTAGATCTCCCTCCAGCAGAAGTCCCCTTTGGTCCCTCAGGTTTCTTCCCCAGGGTTCCTGACAGCTCTCTAGATATCCTCCCTGTGTGTGTGTTCATCCTGGGATTCCTAATATATAAAATAAAATCCTTATTACATTCCATTGTGAAATCATGCAGGCTGCATGGACTCCAATTCCAGCTCTGGCACCATCCATGCAGGTGACCTTGGACAAGACACTCAGTCTATGCCTCACTTCCTTATCAATGAAATGGAGACAACAGTATTTTCCCTGGTGAAGGAAGAAAGTCATGGGTGAGGGGCATTCCCTTATGAATAAAGGAACAAGTACATGAAGGAGCCCAGAACATTGCTCAAAAGTGTTCCCATTACTATGATACAATTAGCCTCTGATGATGCAATTATGATGTAATTTGACAATGCCCAAGTGGTGTTGAAAAGCAAAAATTCCATCAAGCCAAATAGCCAAGTTGACTAATTCAAACCGGATGTCAGGGAGGGTGGAATTAGACTTGCGTGAAGAAGAAAGTGGCCTTGGAACTGAACTTCCATCAAACCAGTTCCTCTGAGACTCACAAAACCCAGTTATGTGATTGATTTGGTCTGTTTTTCATGTTGGAACACAGTCTGAGTCATCTGATTGCAGCAGAAATAATGACACTGGA